>NC_000017.11:54435980-55060980 GCF_000001405.40 Homo sapiens | reverse complement strand
CATGTTTCTTTAGGGCAAAGACTGGTTCAGACAAGCTAAATATTTTGGCTTTGGACTGTTCACCAATTCATTGCTGCCTTAGGTCATAATACTATGCTGAAAGAAACTTTAAAAACAACTTAAGTGTGAGAGTAGGCTTTAGAAAGCTGTTGATCAAAGGAAGTCGCTAAGAGTGGCCCATGCCTGTGAAAAGTTGTTAGAACTTGAAGAAAAAATAACAACAATTTCATGGGAAATTGTGCTCATGATTTTAAACTTAAGCTCGGTTATTCTGTAAGACACAAAAACTCATAAAAATACTTGAGTTTTAGAGAACAGTACAGCCAATTCTTTTCAAAACAGTGAGTAGGTATTCTGGTAGCTATCCTTGATTGAATAAAACAATGAAGGTGATCCTTCCAGTGAAAAATGAGCCCTTCACAGCTTGTTTTAATAATTAGGTTATCTATGTGCTTAAGGAATTTACATGGGATGATCATTAGTACTGTAGTAACTTGGTGTCAAGATCTTCAAAAGGATATCAAAGGAAAGAAACTGCCAAATTTCACACCATTTAAATTTCTAGTTTTTAAAAATTTTTAAGAGAAGAGTTATACATACTCTGTATTTATAATTTTTAAAGACTCATTTATTGTGAAAAAAGAAATCAATCTTTGGAAAAATGGAAAGGTATTTTCACTAAAGCATAGGAACTCTTTCATTAACAATAGGTCTGTATCATCAAAATCCTCTTAACAAAATAATATCATTCTATGTACATAAGAAAAGCTGAATAGTATCCATGGTCAACATATTTTAAAATTGGACACTTTCAGGGTTGATTTTGGGTAGTCTATGTTTTTTTACGGTGTTAATGAAATGAATGGTGTTTCAGTATGTATGCATGTGGGTTTGTATACACAGATGTATACATGTATTTTTAATTATTTTTGTTTAAACTGGAAACTATATACTAAGTACTACTCTGAATCCACACATCTTTACCCTCAATCTCATTTATCTTATTTTGTTGATTGCATCATTACAGCCTCTCAGTCACTAAACTACAAAGACTTGACTGTTGTTTCTCCTTATTACTGCACATTTTATGACTGTTAAATCTGGTGGACTTTATCCTCATGGTGTCTTCTGCATAGACCTTTTTGGTATATTACTATTATGATTACCCAGTTAAATCCTCCATTGCCTATTTTCTGGACAAGAGCTTCTCAAATTTTAAGGTGTAAACAAATCACCTGAAGACTTGTTAAGTGTAGATTCTGATTCTATAGATCTGGGATGAGACCTAAGACTGCATTTCTAAGTTCCTGATTGCTGATATTTCTCCTGTTGCTGACCACTCTGAGTAGAAAGGATGTAGAGTTCTAGATCAGCATTGTCCAATCACAGTAGCCACTACTTATATGTGGCTACTGAGCACCTGAAATATAGCTAGTTGACTGAGGAACCAAATTTTTAATTTAATTATAATTATTTTGTATTTAAGTTTAAAAACTCAAGAAATGTAAACTATTTTTTCACAAAACAAGACTTTACTGTTTTGGTAGAACTCTAACTCACTGTAATCACTGCATCATTTAAGATATTATTGTTGAACTGTAATGTCTGTGTCAGGCACATGAGTCAGTTGAGTAGTATACATAAACACGTAACTGATGTGGCCAGTGTCAAAAAATTAATTAATTATAAATCCTTTTTTACACACCAATATGTACACACAGTAGGCTTATCTGAATATTTTATGCAATCAGCCTGAGTTACAATGATACCTAGGTAAATCATATTAGTAATTAAATTAAAATACTTATTTTTATTAGGCTATATTTATTTTTTGTATTTAGTAAAAATTTGTCCATAAAATAAGTATGGACAAAATTAAATTTAAATTAAATGTAAAGTGAAGACATACTACTGATGCAGAATAAAATGGAGATAAATTAGCTAGTAATATTACTGGAACAATGCAATTGCAATTTGCAAAAAGTGTGTTTACTGTAGAAGAAAATTTTGAAATATATATAAAGTGAGCAATATTAATAGCCATTTTTGCAAATTAATGGTGAATTTGATAAGAAGTTTCGTATTAGCAGTTAAAAAAATAAATAAATAAAATTAGTCACCAGAAGTAAATGTCCAACATTTGTAACTATAAAATGGCTAGAATTTTTGCACAAAAAAGAAAACCATTTTTAGATTGAGATAGTAATTTCAGTTATGATAAAAATACTGGGAAACGTATTTCATAAAAAATGGAGGATATTCAATTAAGTAATAAAACAAATGCCCATCGACTATAAGAACTTTCTAAGAATATCAACGATCAATTGATTAAAATAGCTTTCAGTGGGCCATATCATGCAAGAGACACTACCAAATTCATCCTTCAGGCATGTACTGCCTCAAAGGGTGTCCAAACTTATGATAAAATGTTGATTTGCAGCCTAAAAAAATCAAACTTGCAGTGTAGATATTTTTAACCCTTTTACATCTGTCAAAAAAGTTTCAGGTAGATAATAAAAAACAAGTTTTCATCATGATAAATGGTGCTCCAGCTATGTTGCATCGAAAATTTAAATGTATTAACCCCATCAAAAAGTGGGTGAAGGATATGAACAGACACTTCTCAAAAGAAGGCATTTATGCGGCCAAGAAACATATGAAAAAAGCTCATCATCACTGGTCATCAGAGAAACGCAAATCAAAACCACAATGAGATACCATCTCATGCCAGTTAGAATGGCGATCATGAAAAAGTCAGGAAACACAGATGCTGGAGAGGATGTAGAGAAATAGGAATGCTTTTACGCTGTTGGTGGGAGTGTAAATTAGTTCAACCATTGTGGAAGACAGTGTGGCGATTCCTCAAGGATCTAGAACCAGAAATACCATTTGACCCAGCAATCCTCTTACTGGGTATATACCCAAAGGATTATAAATCATTCTACTATAAAGACACATGCACAAGTACGTTTATTGTGGCACTGTTCACAATGGCAAAGACTTGGAACCAACCCAAATGCCCATCAATGATAGACTGGATGAAGAAAATGTGGCATATATACATCATGGAATTCTATGCAGCCATAAAAAAGAAAAGACTTCATGTCCTTTGCAGATACATGGATGAAGCTGGAAACCATCATTCTCAGCAAACTAACACAGGAACAGAAAACCAAATACTGCATATTCTCACTCTTAAGTGAGAGTTGAACAATGAGAACACATGTACACAGGGAGGGGAACATCACACACTGGGGCCTGTCGGGCGGTGGAGCAAGGGGAGGGAGAGCATAAAGATAATACCTACTGCATGCAAGGCTTAAAACCTAGATGTCGGGTTGATAGGTGCAGCAAACCACCATGGGATATGTATACCTATGTAATAAACCTGCACGTTCTGCACATGTATCCCAGAACTCAAAGTAAAATTAGAAACAACAACAACAACCAAATTTGAATGTATTGACATTTTCAAAGAAGAAAGAGGCTGCTTTATTGTTTTATTCCACTGTATGATACATATTGAAAATATTTGTGCTTAGTTTTCTCAAGCTGATTTTATGAAAAGCATCATAGATACAGTTGCTAACACTGTTTAGTATACGCACGTAAATTGAGTCATCAGTAGTTTATAAAACTGTTAAAAGAAAAAAGGAGGACAATACATTTTCTGATGCTATGTTATTTGCCAATACTTCTTGGCTGAGTTATGAAAGAGATTTACGAAGATTTTCTGTACTTTTAACTCCAATTAAAGGTTTTCTTAAACAAAAGGAAGGTGCATCTATTATTCAGTAACCAGACAAAAGAAAATGGCAGTGTGATTTACATTTTCTCACTAATATCAGTGCATGTAAATGAGTTAAACTACAAACTACAAGGAAAAGGAAAGTTTATGAAGCTAGATAAGTATAAGAGTTTATAGTGAAATTGAACTTTTTCATAATATAAATAAAAAATAATGACTTTACCTATTTTTCTACTATAAGCTAATATGCAGATCTTAATTATTGATAGTGTTACATAAATTGGCTATGAAAACTGAAAAAATTTTGAAGTATGCTTTCTTCATACTGCTAAATTTAGAGTTGCTTTTGTTATTTGTAATACTCCTTGAATTTGATGCTAATATTTTTTGTAGAGTCGGGGGTTCTCCATGCTGCCCAGGCTGGAATGGAACTGCTGGGCTCAAGCGATCTGCCTGCCTTGGCAGATCTCCCAAAGTTTTGAGATTACAGGCATTAGCCACTGGGCTTGGCCAGTTTTTTTGTTTGTTTTTGAGACAGGTTCTTCCTCTGTTGCCCAGGCTGGAGTGCAGCGGCATGATCATAATTCACTGCAGCCTCCATCTCACAGGCTTGAATTTTATGCTAATAATACTGAGCTGACAAGAATTAGTGACGGTACTTAACAGATGTAGCTTTGAAAAGATCTTGCTTAAAAACAAATTCTTCTTAGAAAATAAAATAGTTTTGTTAGTGTGGATGTAAACATTAAAAGAAAAAGATTTTTGGTATTCAATTCAGTCATTAGAAACTTTTAAAATAAGTTTGGAACAATTTGAGTATGTGAATTTACTTTTTCAACTGTAAATTTTATTAAATCTAAGCACAGATCCAGTATTTCCAATGAAAATTCAGTGTAAAAATTGAGATGTGCTCTAAATTTTAAAAACACTAGATTTCAAAGATACAGTATAAAAAAGTAAAAATATCTCATAATGAATTTTAAAAATATTACTGCATGCTAAAGTAATATTTTAGATAAATCCAACTAAATAAAATATATTAAAATTAACGTTACCTGTTTCTTTTTCCTTTTTTAAAAATGTAGCTCTTAGAAAATATAGCAATATATTGTGGCTTTCATTATATTTCTAAGGGACATTGCTGTTCTAGACTATTACAACAGCCTTTTATCTGATCTTCGGTTACTTCCCAACTTGCTGTCAGTTTAACCTTAAAGTATATCCTCCATTTATCCCTTTATCCATTCACCAAATGTTTGAGTACCTAATAACAGCTATTGTTGTAAGATAAATCAGAGAACAAATCCAAGATAGCTGTCTTCATGAAGCTTACCCTCCAGTTGGGGGACACAGATAAAGAGCAAAACATAAGTAAATTATTTAAGATGTAAGATAGTAATAGTTATACTAAAAGAAACTCCTCCACACACAGTAAGGGTCAGAGGAAAGATGGTGCAAAGAGACCAGATGAGCTGGAGAATGAGTAAAGGGGTGGAGGGGAGAAGTGTGGAAAGAGCTGAGGTACTTTAAAAGGAGTGTTAGGATGGGGAAAGGACAGCAGGTCATGTAGGCCCTCATAGGCTTTAACAGTTACTTGGAGGTTTCTACTTGCAGCATTTCTGCCTTACTTTGACTGAGATGGAAAGTCCTGGAGAGTTCTAAGTGCAGTTTTAAAACAATATTTCTGGCTGCTTTGTTCAGATTAGACAGTATGGGAGTGAGGCAGGGTAAAAGTAGCGTGATCTGGTAGGAAGCTATAATAGCAACACAGGTGGGACCTGATGGCGGCTTAGACCACTGATGGAAGTGGTGAAAAGTGGCAAAATTCTGTGATTTCTAAAAAGTAGGCCCAACAAGTTGGTTATGGAGTATGAAAGAAAGAGTGGGGTCAGATTATACGTGGAGACAGTTGTTCATTTTTCTCTCCTTGTCAAATATTTTAAATGGCAGTCCTCTAAGATCTTAGGCTGGTATTCAACTGCTTATATGTGTAGGCCCCAACACACCCACCCAAATGTCATTTCCTAACAGCTTCATCTTTCCGTGTTTCCCTTATGTTCCTGGGCCTTTGATAGTGATGTTGATAAAAGAATACATGTCAAAACTAGTATTCAAAATTAGATTCCTGACAGGTTTAGGCTCTTAAATTCTCAAGTCCTATGAAAAAATTGTAAGGTAGGTACTATTAACACTTTTTCAGACATGAAGACAGAAATATATTAACAAATAACTTAAAGTTAGCATAGAAAAGGTTTATTTTGACCACAAACACAAGCAAATTTCCCCTTTTATGCCATGATTTTCATGCTGTTTTCTCAGCCTGAAATGCTCTGCCTTTCTGTGTCTGGGTCAGCTCACGTGCCACCTTATCTATGAAAAGTCCCCTTATGCCCTCAGTTAAAATTACATTTTCCTCCTCTTTATTAAATAGTTAATACAAATCATTTCCACCTCTTAATATTTTTTCTTCTATTATTTGTAATATTTGTTGAGTGGTATGTGCTATACACATTATCATCTATGTGTATTATCTTAATACCTCTAATGTTATTGTGAAGGATCCCATTATCAAACCCATTTTGCAGATGAGGAAGCTGAGACCCATAAAGGTGAAGTAGTTTGACAAAGGTCAAAAGCTAGCAAGGAGCAGGGTCAGGGTATAAACCAAAGGTATAACTCCAAACCCCATTATCTACTGCACTTATCCTTAGGCCAATTCACTGTGTTTTTGTTTTTGTTTTGTTTTTGAGATGAAATATCACTCTATTACCCAGGCTGGAGTGCAGTGTAGTCTCAGCTCACTGCAGCCTCCACCTCCCAAGTTAAAGTGATTCTTGTGCCTCAGCCTTCCGAGTAGCTGGGATGACAGGCATGTGCTACCATGCCCAGCGAATTTTTTTGTATTTTTAGTAGAGATGGGGTTTCACCATGTTGGCCAGGCTGGTTTTGAACTTCTGGCCTCAAGTGATCCACCCACCTTGGCCTTCCAAAGTGCTGGGATTATAGGCGTGAGCCACTGTGTTTGGCCAATTCACTGTGAACCATATAAGATTCTCTCTTTTGTTTATATATTTTTTCATATATTCATTTTTTTGTCTTATTAAATTCTAATACAAATTAGCCTTAGATTACTTATTCATGCAGACATGACCTTTCTTAATAACAGAAACTAATCCTTTCACAGAAATAAATACAGGAGGGCCTCATGTGGAAAAAGTAGGTACTGCTAGAAAAAGAAAAAAACTGCTATTTTTCCTTAGATTCACATCTTACATCAGCCTTTAATACAATTATTATTTTATCAATCATGGCTGATATTCTAAAGTTTATATATTCCAAGCCTTTAGGAGAAAAGAAAAATGTAAAGTTAGGAGAAAAATCCCCTAATTTATCCTACATATAAAAACTAACAAGAAAGATTTGTAAATGTCCATTTTCAGGATGCAAACGCTAAAATGTAAAAAGATCTGGCCATATAAACTCATGGAGGTATAAAAGATACAGAATGAAAAGCACTAAAAAGTCATATCAATTAAAGTACAAAAATATTTAATAAAATGAGGGTCCGAAAATTGGCCCGAAAATAGAGGACTTTAAAAAAACTTGACTTTGGAAATAATTTCAAATATTCAGTTGAGCTGCAAGAATAGTATAAAGAATATCCTCATATCCTTTACCCAGATTTACCTAATTCCCCAGGTTCATCCTTTTGCCAACATGTTCATGAGTGAGAAACAATATATTCTTGTAAGCCACTGATAGTAAGTGGTTGTGGCTGAGATTTTGCATGTTCTCAATCTCGCTCACATATTTATTCATATATGTAATATTTATACACAATGCAATTACATATATGTGTATAAATAACACACATGTATATATAAATATACATGCACTTTTTTAACCATCTGAGGGTAAGTTATATATATCATGGTCCTTTATCCCTAAAAACTCCAATATTTCCTATGAATAAGGATATTTTCTTATATAACCACATATTTCCTAAGAATAAGGATATTCTTTTATATAACCACAGTACAGTTAACAAATTTAGGAATTTTAACATCAATTCAATGCTTTAATCTACCATCTGTATTCCAATTTTGTCAACTGACCCAATAATATCCTTTATAGCATTTTTCCCATTCCGGTAGAGGATCCAGTCTGGAGTCAGATGCTGTATTTAGTTTTCACGTCTCTTTAGCATCTTTTAACCTGTAAACTTTTATTACCTTTTTTTTTTTTAAGAAAATAGCATTGACATTTCTAAAGAATACAACCCACACACACACACACACACACACACACACACACACGTCATACACGTCTTTTTTTTTTTTTTTTTTTAAACAAAACTTTCTCTCATTTTGAGCTTGCCTGACATCTCTTCATGGTTAGATTCAGGTTACACATTCTCGCCCAGAAAATTACACAGGTGATGTTGTAGTCATTTTTTGGGCATCATATTTGGAGTCACACAATGCCCAAATGTTCTTCATTGGTGATATCAACATTTAGCACATTTAGCAACATTTAGTCAAGGTGTTTTCTGATTTCTCCACTGTATAACTGCTATTTTACCCCCTTGCAATTAATAAGCAGTTTGTAGAGAGATACTTTAAAACCATGTAAATATTCTGCTCTTCATCAAAATTTTTCCCTAAATTTAGCATTGAATGATTTGTGCCTGATCAAGTCTTTATTAAAATAGATATAAAATACTGATTTCCAAATCTAGCAGCTTCTCTGCAATTACCAGTCAGTATTCAACATCCTACTATAGGCAAAAGTACTCCTTTCTCCCTATTAATTAATTAATCAATTTACGAATGATACCGTGAATTACGATTTCTTCTATAGTCTGCAATACATTACTGTACTAAATTATTTTGGTACTCAAGTTCTTCCATATTTGGCCAGTGGAAGCCCCTTCAAGCTAGTTCCTGTGATATGCCCCTGTCATTTTGAGCACGTCCTTATTTTCTGGCATATTAAGATATTCCAGGCTTATATTTTACTTACCCTTCCTCATTTCTGAAATTTGTCATTTCTCTGAGTAGCCTGGCTTTCTTCTAGTGGGGAGTGGTATCTGGACACTTAGATATAGTAATGTGCTCACTGTTATTAGGGTGTCTGTTTCTTAGCCCTTTAAGTTGACAGAGCTAGGGAAAATATACATATACAGATAGTCCCTGACTTATGATGGTTTGACTTAATGTTTTTTTTGACTTTATAATAGGCTTACTGGGGTATTAAACACATTTTCTACTTGATATTTTAAACTTGGATTGGGTGTATCAGGACATAGCCCCATTGTGTTGAGGAACATCTGTATATATACACACGCATATATATAATACACATGTGTACATACATGTTCATATGCACATATATATAAAAGAAATGATGTATTCACAATGATACATCCAATTCAAGCCCATCCCGCAGGGTTCTTTCCTTCTTTCTTTTTCCTTTTAAGAGACAAGGTGTCACTATGTTGCCCAGGCTGGAATACAGTGGCTAGTCACAGGCACCATAATAGCACACTGTGGCCTCAAGCCATCCTCCCACTTCAGCCTCCCAAGTGGCTGGAACTATAGATGCATACCATCACACCCAACTCAGGGTCCTTTCTTGACTTCATTCATTCTATTTTATCTTTTCTTTTTCATTGAGATTCTGCTTCTCAACAACAATGAACACATTTGCTCAGACCTATAAAGCATCTAAAATTGTTTCAGAACTGCTTTGCCCCACCACTAAAACAATAAAACAAAACAAAACAAAACAAAAAAAGGTTTAGGACTTGTATGAAATTCCTTCCCAACTCAATTCCATCCTGACAAAACACTGAACACAAATACTGCATTCACTAGTTGCTTGAATTGGTTCTATCTTTGTTTTTTTTCCTTACCATAATTATGGTATTCATTTGAAATACAATTAGATTCATTTTCTTCAGTACACTTGCAGTTTTAGGTTTATTTTTCCCTTTCCATCTTAATTTTTAATATATTTTTCGAATGAGTAGAATATTAACATGTACACAAAAGTAAATATTACATGAAAAGGTATTCTTAGAGAAGTGTCACTCTTTCCTGTATCTTAACATGCATATCTACCCATGTTGTAGGTAATCAATTTCATTGCTGTGTAGTTTATCCCTCCTTTGATTTCTTTTACAAAAATAGGCAGGTGTATTTTCAATTTTCCTTGTTCATAAAAGATACAGAAAGGAGTGACACCTCTCTAAGAATACCATTTCAGGCCCGGTGCAGTGGCTCACACCTGTAATCCAGCACTTTGGGAGGCTGAGGCAGGCAGATCACCTGAGGTCAGGAGTTCAAAACCAGCCTGGCCAACATGGCAAAACTGCATCTCTACTAAAAATACTAAAATTAGCTGGGCATGGTGGTGCACACCTGTAATCCCAGCTACTTGGGAGGCTGAGGCAGGAGAATCGCTTGTACCCGGGAGGTGGAGGTTGCAGTGAGCTGAGATCGTGTCCCTGCACTACAGCCTGGATGGAACAAGACTTTGTCTAAAACAAAAACAAACAAACAAAAAGAATACCATTTCATGTAATTTTTACTTCTTACTTCTAGGTACATGTTAATATTCTGCTTCTCTTCCAGGAGGAGCAATTTGTCTGATGATGTTCATTCTCCAGTTCCTTTGGTAGTTGCTTATTATTAAATGTTTAGGTTCTGGAGTTATTTTTTATTGGGGGATGTCCTCCGTCATCCCCCAATGAATGTCATCATTCTTTAGACGGTTTGACTTAATGATTTTAGAAGCTAGAAGTTCTATGGTAGTATAGATTTAACTGGCATTTCTTTTATTATGAGAGAAAGAGATTGAGTATCTTTTCATTTGTTTAATGGACATTTTTATAGCTTTTTTGATGAATTATCTGTTCAGGTCTTTTGCCTATTTTTCTATATAATTTTGGTTTCTCTTTAACTATTAAAACTTCTAACTGGTTATTATTTGTGTATATGGATGCAATTTAGTTTTGCATCTTAATTTTATATCTTGCTAGCTTATCAACTTACTGAGTTACTTTTATCACTCTCTAGGGTATTCCAGATTACTACCATATCATCTGCAAAAAAAGACAGTTTTATTTTTTCTTTTCCAAGTCATATGCCTCTAATTGCTTTTCTAGTCTAACTGTATCTTCTTTTTTGTGCCATTTTTATTAAGTTTATACATCAACGCTATACTTGCTTCATGAAAAGAATTTGGAAAATTTCTTTCATTTTTTATACCCTGAAACAATTTATATAGTTTTGAGACTGTCAAAGGTTTGGTTAAATTTCTCTGTGAAACCATCTTGCCTGGTCCTTTTATCTAGAATAGTTTCTTGATAACTTACTTTATCTCTTCTACAGAAAATGGCCTTTTAGGCTTTCTATCTTTACTCCGGTCAGTTTTGGCAAACTATATTTTTTGAAAAACTTTTTAAAAAATAGGTGAGTTGATCTTATTCATGTTAATTAAGATAACCATTATGTTTGGTTGCAGTTCTATAAAATTTTCTTATGTTGAAATTATTGTGTATATTTACTCATTTCTTTGTGTGTCCTTTTTACTTAAAAAATTCTTTTTGGTGTTTATGAAGGTTTGTATTTTCATTCTATAGGTTACCTTTCCATTATTACTTTTTAAGTGCTTGCTATCTCCTCTATTTTTACCTAATTTTTATCTGATATCAGTTTTAAATATTTATTGACTGCTACGCTTTGCTTATATAACAAAATGATGTATTCTGTTTTCCTCTTTTTTCTTTCTTATCCTCCCATTAAAAAATTTGCATCTTTTGACTTTTGTTAACACATGTAATGTTCATGCTATTTTTTTCATCCATGCACTGACTCATTTTAGTCTCACCTGTACAATAAAATATATGAAGTTCTCACCATTTGGGAACATTTTCCAAAGTTATTTTAGGCATTTTTTAGTTGGATAAAACTCATCCTATCTGAAGGTCTTCAGGAATATCATGTGTGAAATATTCCCTTAGTACTGGTATATCACAAACTGTTTTCTATGGCCTTGATATTTTAAAGTCAGGTTGGCTATATAAAACATTTTTGTATACTTTCTTTCTTTCCTTTCATGTCCTGAAAATGTTGTTCCACTATTGCCTTACTTTGCATGTTGTTTTGAGAAACCCAATGCTGGTCTAATTCTATTGCCTTCATAAGTTGCTTAATCTTTTTACTTGGAGGCAGTGTGCATTTATTTTCCTCTAAAGTCTAATAATTTTACTAGAATATATTGTACAGTAATCTTTCCAGGTCAGATTTCCCCAGTACCTATATTAGATTCAGGTCTTGTTTTAATTATAGAAAGTTTTCTTGGATTATAGTTCTAAGTATTAGGCTGTTCAGTTATTTTGATTGATTTCTTTAAGAAACTCTTTTACTTCTTGATTATATTTTCACTTTCCTAGTTGCTTTTCTTGTTTTCTTCATTGCCTTTTCACTTGATTATATTCTTCCTGGAGCAACTTGTAATTTAGTTTTCATTTCTGATAGGATTTTGTCTCTTCCTTCTTTCCTAAGTTTTATCAACTCTCATTTCACTTTTTCCTGATTTTTTTGGGGGTGATCAATATCTATTATTACTATTTTTTAAGTTTCTCATTTGAGATGTGTTTTTCATAGCCCAAATGCTTATTTGAGGAAATTCCCTTGAGTATGGAGTGTGACGTTACATTTTTCTTAAGTTTTGTGGTTAAATTGTTTTGGAAAGTTTTCATCAGGAGGAAAGCTTTCATTGATATCATCTGACTTTTTCAGTCGTTTTATAATGATGGAGATAGAATTTTTGTTCTATACTTTTTTATTTCACAGAAAAAGTTCTTAGTTCAAGAGCACTCTCTTCTGTGCAGTTTCTTCTATGGATCTTGTTTTGATGGTCATAGGGTAGGGTGGGTGGATTAATAAGTTGTGTTCTGCTTTCATTTCTATAAGCTCCTTAATTTTCCCTTCTTATTTCCTTCTTTCCTATCATTGCGAAGTCTCCAAGGAATTCTATCCATTCTCTATTGATCTGGTTCTTCCTCAGAAACAATGATTCTTCAAGGCTGCCATTTTTGATTGCATTCATACCTTGAAGTCTCTTTTTTTGTAGCTAGTGCTAAGAACCACCAAGTCTTGACATACGGCCAGTATTTTGGCATTTATGTTTACCTTTTCTCTTTCTGGGGGTGATTTTGTTTGTTCTTCATCTAATTCATAGTTTCTCTCTACTCTTTATTTCAGAATTTTTCAAGCCTTGCCTCCTCTGTTCTCTGTATTCCAGGTTTCAGTAAAGGCAAGCTTCAGAAGTTTTGTTGGAATTATTATTTTTCTTGTTGTATTTATATGTACTTTAAAGGCTGTGGTGTTTTTTTGTCACATAGTCATATTCAAAATATGGGTCCTGTATGGTTCTATCTGCTTTCTTTGTTGATTTTATGTTTTCTAGGGGGACTGTGTGAGGGAGATTCAAAATCAGGTGATCACTGTTGATCTCTAACAATGTTCTCTTATTTATATTTTGTCATTTGGGTTTTCATTTTATGATATTGTCATATATTTGTTTTATAGTGAGCTACCT
The DNA here is from genome assembly GCF_000001405.40 of Homo sapiens. Lineage (NCBI taxonomy): Eukaryota > Metazoa > Chordata > Mammalia > Primates > Hominidae > Homo > Homo sapiens. The sequence continues at coordinate 55,047,623 of NC_000017.11, read as the reverse complement.
CAAATTCTTTGAAGAATAATGCAAAGTGAAAATAAATATTTGCTTTTTATTATTAACAAATAAATGTAAAAAATGCTCTGCCTTGATGACTTTTTTGTTCTTTAGTAAAATGAAGTATGAGTAACAAAATAAAAAAGAAAAAGAAAAAAGGGGAAATGAAAGAAAAGAAAAAACAATGGAGAAGTAATGAGATTGGTTATTTTGGTCTATGGATATGTTTTTTTCAAAGAAATTTCAAAGAGGTTTTAACATTGTTTTGAGCAATAGTAGCAAGACTTTAGCATAGGTACAGCCTCCAAAAGTGATTGCTTTTAAGCTCTGTGCTATTTTGTATTATGTAATATGTATCAGGAAGCTCTGGGATATTGTAAAGAACCACTGCTTTATAATTATACCTCATATGTTCACACACACACACACACACACACACACACACACGAGCACATATATACACAATACATATACTTACTTGTTTCACATTCTGGAGCTCTTCTGTCAATTGTTTCCTTTGCTTATCTGATTCCAATAATTTTTCCTATATTTAAAAACCACCAAATTAACAACTTGTTATGAAAGTATTAACAAGTGTGACTTCTTAGTCCCTTGTTTCAAGGCCTATATTCCCAAATATCAAATTGCTACAATCTGAAAATATTGCTCCTAGTCATTTTTCTGGCTTTACATGAGGCACTTAAAAGTAATTAGTTATTTACAGTAAATTGTGATGTAAATATACTTTTTATTACCTTAATTTTGCAAAATCTCAAAATATAAGCTCTAACAGAAGCCAGTTAAGAATACAAATGTGTAAATATTAACACAATTTTGGTTAAGCTATCATTGCCAAAGAGATACCAAATTGAAGAGCATTATTATTACAAATTAGAATTAAAGGTCTTCGACCATACAAAAGAGGGCATATGAGACTGGCTCACCTCTTAATTTCCTAATTTAATTTTAGCTTATTCTTGGAAGATTATCCATGAAAAGGCATATATGACTAATGTAAACAAAACATAAAATAATAGTTATTAAGATTAATATTATACATACACATAAAATATCTTTGGATTTGAAATTAAGTCAAGCATATACCCTACGATGTCCATTTTTATTAATTATATCTTAAATAAATTCACATTTTATTGGTCAAATCAGAAATACTAAGAGTAATTTAAGAGCCATTAAATACAAACCTGAACAGAGGAATTGCTCGAACATTAAATTGAGTGGTAAAGATTCATGGCAATATTACAATGTTTAAAAAAGGCAATATCCTTTCTGGTATATTTCAGCTTATTCTTGTCTAAGAGGTGAAATGAAGGTATATGAAAATGAATATAATATGGCAATCTAATGACTATGCCACAGGAGCCAAGAGACTGCTGGCTCCTGTGATTTTATGTTCTGGGAAGTCACCTTCACTCTTTGTGCCCTAGTTTTTTTGTATCTGTAAATGGAAAATATATCTATTTTCCATTCACCTTTGCAAAGCAGTAGCAATGTGAATTCTGCAGAAAGCCTTCCTTAAATAAAGCCCACAGCACTTTTAAAAATTATTCTTGCAAGATAAAAATTAGCTATTGACATAAAATTATCTTGGTTTCATTTTTATTTGTACCTCATATTAGACATGAAGAATAGAGATGTCACAGGATAATGAAAAGTGATGAGACACCACCTAAATGCTTTATGAACTTCATTTAACAACCTCTGCTTTTTATGAGTGTATAATACAAGTAGAAAAACTGAAAACAAAAACATTACCTTTAACGAAATATTTATTGCTTTGTACACTACTTTATATGGCTTCTTTAACTGGCCAGCCAATAGGTAGGTTTTGAGGTAAAGGTAATTATAACATGTAAAATTTGTTTTATCTGGAATTTTTGTACCATATTCTAACCAACTGAGCTAGCTGGTTGCCGGCTTATCTGGGAGTTTAGGTTTTGTCATATCAGGGTATATTCAGTTACATTTCATGAACTTTAAAGGTAAATCCTGATTTATTGAATGACTCCTCAGGGAAGTCTTATTGAAATGTTAAATTAACATGACATATACACTTTCAAATTAACATTCTAATAATTACTGTTGATATTAAAATAAAATCAAATATATCACTAAAGTTAACAATGATAAACTATAAGGAAATGAAAAAGATCTGAGAGCCTCTGAAAATTCTGATAAACCACAAGTCTAATGGTTTAGGTAGCGATAAAAGAATACATAAAAAGTTATCTTATTAAGGTAACCAACACTGGGGAAGTTTTCTAAGAGAATATAAGGAAATCATTGTCAATGTATTTTTAAAACTAAATTTTTATTTTCCATCAAAACAATTGTTGCACTAAAAAATGTGGAAAGATAGCGGTTTCAAAGGTAAGAAAAGAAATATATAAAATACTCTTATAGTAGTGAAATGCTCATATACTTTAGGAAGGAATGTGAATTGGCAAAACCTTTTCAAAGGGAATATGGTAACATATGCAAAATTTTAAGTGTCTATATCTTTTAATAAAGCAATTATATTTTCAGACATTCATTCTGTGTATATACTGTACAAATGCCCAAAGATACATCTACAAAGCTGCTGAAGATGAAATTATTTTTAAAAACTGGAAATAGTCTAATGTCCATCAATAGGGAACTGGCCAAATAACTATTTAATGTATAGGACAGTTATTGAAAAGAATTTGGTAGATCTGTGTATATTAACCTGAAAAGCTGCCTGAGATATAATTCTTATAAAGAGAGAGAGAGAGAAAAAAAAAGAAGGCAAGTTGTAAAAAAAAAAGTGTGGATGAAGTGACTTACATAGAAGTGAAAATACACACATACTGGAAAAAAATTTTTTAAGGCTTTATTATTTTTTGAAGCAGTTTTGGATTCATAGCAAAATTGAAGGGAAAGTACAGAAATTTCTCACATACTCCCTGTCCCCACATATACATATATTTATTTATTTTTGTTTTTATGTTTTAAATAGTAGAGATGGGGTCCTGCTATGTTGCCCAGGCTGATGTTAAACTCCTGAGCTCAAGTAATCCTCTTGCCTCAGCCTCCCAAAGTACTGCGATTAAAGGTGTCAGCCATCATGCCCTGCCTATTTTTAAAAAATATAATTTTCTGTGTAGAGAAAAATCTATGAAAAGATAAATAATATATTTGCAACAATGGCTTCCTCTAGAGGTTGAGATTATAAAAACTAAGGTAGCAAAACAAATTTTCTTTCCTTTTGGTGTAAATATTTTCTATTTAATAAAAATTAAATAATTATCAATATACTATACCTTATTTAATAAAATAATTTTAAAAATATGTGCCTATGACGAATTAGTGGTAAATCAAGTAGTTATGTTGCTTTTCCTAAAGATTTGGAAAATATAGCTTTCTATAAAAATTAGGATATAATTTAAATGTAATATTCTTCTAAAAACAGAATGAAACCACATAAAGAGAATCAAGGCCAGACATGGTGGCTCACACCTGTAATCCCAGCACTTTGAGAGGCTGAGGTAGGTGGGTCATTTGAGCCCAGGTGTTTGAGACCAGTCTGAACAAAATAGTGAGACACCATCTCTACAAAATAAAAATTTAAAAAAAAATTAGTTGAGCATGGTGGCATGGACATGTTGTCCCAGTTACTTGGGAGGTTGAGGTGGGAGAATCACTTGAACCCAGGAGGTTGAGGCTGCAGTGAGACGTGATTGCAGTATTGCACTCCAGCCTGGGCGACAGAGTGCGACCCTGTCTCAAAAACACAAAACAAAAACAAGAATCAAAAAACCAAACAAACAAAAAAAGAGAAGAAAAATGTTACAGTATATTTGGGATATGTGTGTTTTTTTCCTCTCTAAAATAATATTAATTCCAAATTACGTTAGCAAAACATGATGTCCCTTAAGAATAGCCCTGCACATGAAAAAAAATGTATTTCCCAAAGAACTCACAGGATCCAAAATTGCCACGACTTGCTTTATTGGCTCTTCATCTAATTCTGCCCTGGCCACTAATGAGAGAGAATAAAAAGGATAAGAAGAAACCTCAACAGAAGACATGAGCAAAAACCATTGTTCACACTAAATGTTGCACAGATATTGTGAAATATAAATATGTAGACCAAAAATTAATTCTCTAAAGGCCAACTGAATAAAGAATCTGATTTTTACTATTTGATATTAATATTTTTCCATTAAAAATAAAATTAAGCCCCAATGCTTCAGAATCCAATATAGGATTTTTTTCTTTTTCTTTTTTTTCTGAAGAAAACATAAGGAAACTAAATTAGAGGTTACCTTAAGTGTATTTACTTCTTTCAAGGCATCATCTCTTTCACACTTGAGCCTTTCCATTTCATCTGCTTCTGAAGAATCACAAGGAAGAAGCTATCAACATTAAAATATAAGAGAAAAGTTGTGCATTAGATGCTAATTATGAGAGGTAACATAAAAATCATTTTTGACTAATCTTAGGCTTCTGTATTCTAATAACAAAATTCAGTTTCTTATGTTGGAGTCATTTGATTAGATAAAGGGGATATTAAAGTATTAAAGCAATTTCATTCATTTTAACCTTACATTGTTGTCACTTATAATAGAATTTTGATTTTGTTGTCACCTTTATCATTATTTTAACAATATAATTTTCCTTAAAATTCCAAATTCGAAGACTGTGTTTATAATGTCAAAAAGACTTCAGGAATTACCAACATAAACTATTCCCTAAAGACATTCATTCTAATAGCATGGTATCTAAGGCTAACAAAATGCTGTACATTATAAATCAGATGGTTTACATGAGCCTAGTAAAGTATATTTATCGATTATGTATCTGGTTTTAACTAAATGAAATGTAATGCAACAGACAAGCAGCTTAAAAAGATTCCTGCACAGAAATTGTAGATTGAAGATAATATTAATAATTTATGCACAAGTGAATAACAATAACAAAAAATGCAGAGATGACCATATCTCGTACATCTAGCATGATGTCTCTGACCGTCAATTACAATGTAAAAACAATGATAGTCTAATCAGACATAAAAATCCAAGTTTAACTACAGCCATCTCCTATGTGGAAGCTATAACAACTAAAGAAAATATAATTTAAAGGACTAAGTGGAGAAAGTGGTTGTTATGTAAGCATGGGCTTAAAGCAGGGCCCTTTAGATAGGTAAGGCAAATGTGGAGTAGAAAAAAAATAATAAAAACAATTAATAATATCAACCACTTATTGGAAACTTATATGTGCAGATGCATTGCTAAAGACTGTATATATTCAATATCAATCACCTTGTCTCCATTTTACAGATGAAGAAACAAGCTCAGAAATGTTAATAACTTGCCTAAGGTTTCACAGCTAACAAATGGCCATTCCAAGAGTCCCACAAATCATAGTCTCTGATTTTTATTAAAGATTCAACAAAAAACGTGGTGGAATGGATATAATAAACTCATATTTGCTTTCCAAACTCCAGAATAACAGAAGTAGGAATTATTCTTCATATTTGGGGAGAACTTATTTCCCTGAAGATCACTGGTTCTTTTTGGTCTGTCACATTAGCTTTTGGGTATCTATGGACATTGCCCATAATTTACATGATCTACATTCTTTATGTCTCTGTTACTCTGCTCTCTCAGAAGTACTCAACACAAACACTCATAAGAATTCATTTCTGTATTGTTAATTTTGAACACATTTTAAAATGTAATAATATTTCCCAGAGTGTGTTCCAAAGGATATTAACAGGCTTTGTGTAAAAGCAAAATTGAGTGGTAGTGATGGTGGTAGTGGTATATGATTTAGAAAAAATTAACCTTATTTCCTGTATGGCTTCCAACAGCCTTAATATGCTAAAGAACATTTGAACTGCCAAAAAAAAAGTATAATAACTTGTGATGTTTCCTCAGTAATTTCACCATACTACAAACCCCCAACCTCCTTACCCTGCTGCCTTCATTTATTGATTTTTGAACTAGCTCATGGAACTAAAGTAAACAAAACACAATCTGGGAAACTCAATGTTGCTACTCAACATTCATATGGCCTACTCTATCTTCTCATCCTAAGAAGTGAAATAAGCAGGATTCAGAAGTTTAAATAAGGCCAGGTGCAGTGACCCAGGTCTGTAATGCCAGCACATTGGGAGGCCGAGGCTGGAGGATTGCTTGAGTCCAGGAGGTTGAGATCAGCCTGGGCAACATAATGAGACCATGTCTCTACAAAAAATAAACAAAATTAGCCAGACATGGCGGGGTACTCCTGTAGTTCCAGCTATTCAGGAAACTGAGATGGGTGGGGAGGTCAAGGCTGCAGTGAGCCGAGATTGCACCACTGCACTCCAGCCTGATGGCAGGGTGAGACCATGTCTCAAAAAAAAAAAAAAAAAAAAAGTTTAAATAAAATTTTAGATACCAGAGCTAAAATAATTTATTAAGAGAAACTAGGATTGGGATTTTAGGGATGTGACAATAAACTTTTGAACTTAACACCATGTAGGTAAAGCATGCGTAAAAGAATCTATGGTACTATTTTGAGAGGCAAAATAGTCACAGAACCATGACTTAAAAAAACGTTTTATAATCCCACTGCTATTTTGGATTGTGCAGCAAAAACTTGCAGCCAGAGAATTGGCTGTGGATGTTCCTTGTGAATTCTTTGAAAAGCCCCTTTGTGCTCAATGACTTTTTTGTATAGTTCCATTCAAATATACTTCAGCTAAGGAAGCGGCAAATGAATTGTTGTTATTTAACAGCAACAATTCCAGACAGATGCGTGTTTTCAAAATCTATCAGTAACTACTGAAATTTATATTCCTTAACCTTCCACATCTGTTTCCTGTCTGGTTCTCGCAATATCATTTGTGATCCTTGGATCTCCCGAACTTTGCAACAGCTGGTAAATAACATTGTAAATCATTTCTACTCTGCTTTCTAGAGTCTCCTTCTGGAGATGTCAAGAAATACATACTATAGGTCATTGGACTGTGCTGATTAGGTCTGACTTCACCTCTCCCTTCACTGTTGCTGCTCCAACATATTTTAAGTTACTTGACTTGTATCAATTCTGGATAACTACTATTCCATTGGCCATATTCCCTAATCTCAATTCATTTTAAACAGAAACAGTTACAAAACAGTTAACTTCAGTGTCAGTCTAATTTTATTGATAAGGCCTTCCATTAGAGACCTATTCAATTACCTTCTTTCCTTATAAAATTGTGTGTGACTTTACCATCCTATTCACCTAAAAATTTCTGGGTATCTTCTTTTCTCTTTCCATTTCCCTGCTCATTCCTTTCACTTCTTATTATCTGGCTTATACATCTTTCCTCTCACTCCCATATTTCTAAAATGATTACTTTCAATTTCACCAATAAAACTGCTACTTGACAAAGAAAATGGCCCCCACCAACTTTCTTCTTTGTTATATATAACATTGTTGAAGGCTTTTTTTCCTTGAAATTTTATCTTCTTTAGATTGTGATATTCTAATATCTCACCTACCCTTCTGCACATTTAGGCTATTCCCAATGAGTTACTTTCATGTCTACTCCTTAAATGGAGAAAGGGGGTTTGGGAGGTTCCCCAAAGTTTGTCCCTTTTCTCTTTTTTCCCTACAAGTTTGAGTGAGCACATTCACTATTATGCCTCAACTATCACTCTCCAAAATATTCCCAAATTCCTTCCCAGTGTCTAGTTCCTAATTTCCAGTGGCCTTTGGTTATTTGTACTTGCCAGCTTCTTAAATCTCTCTAAAACACAATCTGTCATGGTCTCTACTTTGAAAAAGGCTTTCTCCTTATTTCCCTATTTCTATAAATGCTACCTGTACCATCATATTCTTAGTTATCCTAGACAAAACTTTTGAGTTTTTTTTTTTATTCATTCTTCTTCCTTAGTTCTCATGTCCAAAGGGTCAGCAAGTCCTACTGATGACATACTTGTTGTAGTTGTTGTTTTTGGTAAGTAATCTAGATCTATAACTTCTTTCCTTTCTATTTTCCCCACCTTCACTATACTTTAGTTCTTTACTATCTTTATCTGGATTATTTCTATAGTCCTCTATCTAGACTACCTACCACCACTTTCACTCCCTTCCTAGATAACCAACACATATGATTCCTCTTTCTAAAATATCACTTTTGTCATTTAACTGTTTTCCTTAATGGCTCCTCACTGACTACTGAGTAAAGTACAGACTTCTAAACTTAACATTTACCCTTTGAGGCATAACTCTGTCATCTGAATGAACCCAATTATCTTTTTTTTTTTAAGTAGACTACTCTCTGTGTGCATTACGTTCTAATTTTTTTGTTTATGCTAATACTTTTATCACTCCCTACTCACCTCTTGAGCACATAAAATCCTATTTATCCCTCAAAATTTACTCAAATGCCAACTGTTATGAATCTTTTCTGAATGTTCTAAGCTTTATTACTCTTATGGCCTTGCCACACTATGTAGCTTTTCTTACTATAATTATTTGGGCACATGACTTTTCCTTAAAATATGTAGGCCAAGTTTTACCTATCTTAATAACATGTGCACATAACAAAACATGCACACTGCAGTTGTTCAATATATATTTCGTGTTTTCGTTAGGGAAGTGGCTATAAAGTATTTACTGCTATACGTGGTGAGAAATATGATACATACTATGATCCTGTATAAGTGAAACATTACTCAGTTTTATCATATACAGTTCCCTTTGGTATTTTCCATTTTGTTCTATTTCACTTGTTTAAAATGGTAGTCGCAGCCCACTAAATTGACTTAACAAGAGCCCAAACTGTGAAAAATCTATTTTAGGGAATTTAGTGTTCTCTCTATAATTTTAAGATAATCCATTAATGATACAGTACTTGATTAGTCTGGTAAAATCATACTATGATGGACTATATTCTGCTATTGCTAGGTTTAGAGTAGTGCTAAATGTGGGCTCCAGCCTTGCCCTTTCTGCATATAACCTTGTGCCAGCAGCAGGTGTAGCACTGTGTGAATTTTCTAATGTAGCAATGATGATTAGACTCACAGTAAGATAATTATATTTTTGGTTCTAAATGTCATATTCTTCCAAACCCAAAAGTTGTCAAACAAACAAAAGTAGGACTGACTTTATACTGACTCAGCAATTCCTACTTAAAAGATAGCATCTCAAGAGATCTTATGAGTCAGACAAAATAATGAGGAAAAGCAGCAAGTTACAAAAGAGTACATATTCTATAATTCTATTTATTATGAAATTCAATAAGGGGCAAAAATAATCTATGTTGTTATAAGTCAAAATACTGGTTCCAATGTAAAGGTGGGAGTGGCGGCTGACTGGGAAGGTGGCCTGAGGGAGCCTTTTGAGTGGTGATTCCATGTGAGACACATAATAAAAATTCATCAAATTGTACACTTTTTGTACTTTATTCTGTATATATTAGATTTCAGTAATAATATTTAAAAAAATAAATTAAGAAAGACAAGCCATCATTATCAGCCAAAAAAAGAAAACATGAATAAAAGACATACATGCCTAACAGAATGACCCAGGCCTGTTGTTTGTGAAACTGAGACGGTTGACAGGGTAACCATAGTGGAATTCCCCACCCTCACAGACAGTCAGCATCTGTAACTACAGACTGATTGGCATACTTCAGATGGGGGACTAAACTGCTTTTGAACTCAAAAAAGTAGGGAATTACACTGCAAAACAATCAGTTATTTTTTATTTGCTTTTGGTGAGCCACATGACTAAAATTGTGATTTTTATAATGTTTCTTCAGACTGTTACATCACCCATTAGCGAATCGTGAAACCAAAGTTTTAATGAAATACAAGTGAATATTAAATAAGAATGCAATGTACATAGAAAAGGTAACTAATGCTTTGACAGGCTTTTGTTTCAGTTATATACGTGAGTATGGTGTAAAATATGTTTTCTTATTCTGTACTCAAGTGAAAAAATATAATAAAAAATTAATATAATTCTATTGCACGACATTTTGATCTGAAGCCACAAATTGGAAATCATTGACATGTCAGAATTATTGACATGTCTGGAATTAGTGACTCTTGCACAATTGCCATTAGCGCTTTGCTTTTGCTGTCAAAGTCTCACAGGTTGAACATATTTTTTTTTTAATCCCAACAACTTCCAAACTATAAACACATTCTTATCTGCCCTAAAATTATATTGGTAAGGAGGAAATAAATTGCTAACCTGGAGCATGACCATCCATCTGCAGCTGCTAAAAAAGATTTGCTTGCTCATACAAAATACTCTGAATTGCCTATTTCATTGGCTTGTTGTAAACTACCCAACCATCTTTGCCTTCCTCATCAAAAATGAGCATGGCAGCTCTGAGAACTGTTTGGCAGTAAAAAACAATGCTCCCTGACATCAACATTAGGTAGATTAATACACAACACCTGAATCAGCAGAATGAAAACTGTGCGCCTTGAATACAGCTTTAGTTCTCTTTGAATAAATGCGACAAAATTAGTTCTGATAAATCAGTGCTTCATTCTGGGAGAACTGGGCACTCTCCTGAGGGTTACAGAACAACCAGATCTGTGGGTGATTGCAATGGGCAACATGCTTAGCAGTAAAAGAGATTGCTTACAAAAGAGAACAAAGTGATTTGAAACATTAAAAAAAGTGACATGCATCATTTTTTAAATGAGTGGTCAGACTTATTTGTTCAATAAATTAATTATATATTTATATACTCTGTGTTTCTGGAATTTGAAATCATGTAATTAATAATAAACACTATTCAAACTTCCTGTCAGTAAAGCATATCACTTGAAAACAGTAGAGCTCTAAATATAACCATGAAATAAAAGTGCAATTTTTGTTTTTAAACTTGAACTAAAAGAAAAAGTTATTAAAAATATGTAACATATCTATTCTCCTGCTTGAATTTAGGGTTTCTAGCAGCATTCAAAGAACCTGACTGACCATATCATTTATTTAAAAGTATATCTGAAAACAGAAACAAAAATAAAGAAATATATAAGTTAATAAGACTATTAGCAACTCAGAAAGGGTGTCATTAGAACAAAAAATGTTGAAGACTTTCTGGAAAATAAAAAGCAAATGGGTATAACAAGGTTGTAAGATATAAGGTAAATATAAAAATTAATTTTATGTAAAACCAAATAAATTTAAAATGAAACAAATTTTTAAAAGATACCATTAATTTTAATGGCAACAAAAAGCGTAAGGTGACTAGATTATTAAAATATAATTAATTAAAAATATATAAGATATATTGACATCAAAGAAGATATAAATACATGAGAAGCCATAACATGTTCACAGAAACTTAAATTTATAAAGACGTTGATTCTTCCCAAGATAATCTATAAATTCAACAGAGCAAAATTTTTCATGGAACTCATATGGACAAGATAAGACTGAAGATTAGCCAAAGCAATATTTTAAAAGAATGGCAGGAGGTCTGGGGGGCAGTTTGAAGTGATGTCAAAGGACATAACATTTCCATAAGACAGCAGAAAAAAGTTCAAGAGATATATTGTACAACATGGCGACTACAGTTAATAACGATGTATTGCATTTTGAAAATTGCTAAGAGAGCAGATTTTAAGTGTTCTCACTATAAAAAAAGATAAATTATTTGAGGTAAAGCATATGTTAATTAGCTCAATTGAGCCATTCCACAATGTATACACATTCTAAGTCATATTGTACACAATAAATATATAAAATTATTATTTGTCAATTAAAAGTAAATAAGATAAACACAAATAAGATACGAGAACATCTTATTAGATATCAAGACTTATGAAGCCAAGAAGCCACCAGAATAAAGAGTCCAGAAATTCCCAGGTAAATATGGTAATTTCATAAGGGACAGAGCTGGCATGAAAAGAATTCTTTCATCCCATTAAAATACAGATTTATATTTTTAATATGTTCATAAAAATGATTGATCAAAAGTTATGTCAGATTTCTAATTTTATTAATTATGTACCAATAATAAGTATAATTATAATTCAATATGGAAGAAAATTTTAATTTGTAAAGCCTTATAAACATAGGAAAATAAAACAAATCATTTTAATTCATTTAAAGTTTTTTTGCAGCAAAATGATAGGGTGATCATTTCGCAAGCATACAATTATGTGTTATCAGGATAAGATTCCAGGTCTATATGGAACAGAAATAAGAGCTAACAGAGAAAAAGAAAAGATAAAATTTTGAGCATAAAAGGATAATGCATGAATTTTCTTTGAAATAGATGGTTATGGGTATAAAATACTGTAGTATTTATATTCTACTGGTAACATTTAAAAGAATTGTATAATAACAGGTTTCTTTTAAAAATATATGTATTTATATATCCAATTATTTTAATCACTGGAAACCAAAAAAAAATCAACCAATGAAAAGTTGTTATAACTATATCATGAGACTAAGTCGATTTTAAGGTAAGAAACATTCAAATGGTAGATAGAAAAACAGATCTGTGTATCTAGATAGAAATTTAGTATATGATAAAGTTTGCATTTCAAATCAATGGCAAAAATGAAGATGGGTTTTTAAATAAATGATGGTGGAACAAAAACAGGTGGTTTGCCATGCATAATGAATGAATTTTTTAATTAAATATACAAATTATATAGAACATAAATTAAGAAGGAGGTCCTTAAGAGGATAAAACTACCAAAAATCCACAATGAAAAGGACTAAAATATTCAATAATATAAATGTCAAACTTCTATAGAACACATGATTGAAGCTAATAGACTTCACAATCCCATTTTACATAAAGCACAAAAAGAGGCAAAACCAATCTACATTGTTAGAAGGTGAAAGAGTAGTTACCCAATTTTTTGTGGGGGTACAGGGGTGTTACTAGCAATCAAAAAGGAACCTGGGGGCAGGAGAGCATCTGGTAATGTATTTATTTAATATTATGTTTCTTGATCTGGATGCTAATTAAATAAGGATGGTTTAGGCTATAAAATTTCATAGTATATATACATTATATAGGTGCTTTTCTATGTGTATATTATAGAGAGATAAAACAGATTAGAATGGACACATGCACACATGGTATCTGTCAGTTTGTCTAGCTAGCTAGTTATAGCACGTATCCTCCACATATCAAATTGTCAATACTGGTAAACTTAGGTGTGATAGTAGCACAAGAGGCTAGCGAGAGAGGAGAATGAATATCAGGATGAACTTTTACTTTTGATTTTAAATTGATTTGTATTTATATATTTATCCAAGAAACATGTATTATTTCTATTTTTAAGTGAAAAAAGCCTACACATATGACATATAACATTCAAGACTTGTGACTTATACATGTCAAAGCAATTCTATAGGGCATACTCTACCTGTGAATCTAATATATTGGAAATTTCATGTGCACCAACATTTACTTCATCCAACTGCAAGCAAAACAAGTTTCTGGCAACCTGGACAAAATCTAAAATGGAACACATTTAAGTAAGAACATGGCATTTAACCCCTTCTAAATCTTACTTTATTCTATATGAAGTTGCTAAGGTTTCAAATTTAACCCACATAAATTATCTTAAAATAGTATTGACTGAAGTGATAGGTAAATGTAATTTCAAATAAGAAGAGACAAATTGGTCTGAACTTACTTCAGTTAACTTTGCTAAAATTAATAATTCAGCTAAGATAATAATAAAGCAAATATATATCATGGACCTATAGTTTTTCAACCCTTGTATTATGAGTAGAACTTTTTCTGAAACATTTGACAATATTATGATTTATGGCTTTTCTAGCTGGAAGAACCTGAGGTTTGATAGCAATTATTAATAGCAGCAGATAATGTTTATGTAACCGCTGCTGTATGGCAGGCACAGTGCTTAGCAATTTCATCCTCCCAACAGTCTTCTGAGGTAGGTCCTCTTATCCTGTCCATTTTACAGATGAAAAAAATTGAGGCTGAGACAGGTTAAATGCCTTCAACTGTCCAAGGCCACGTGGCAAAGAGGAAAAAGAACAGTTCATAGGCTTCTTCTGACAAGGAGAGTAACTTACTCATCTATGTATCCTCAAATATTTTCCACTTTGGCTACTGTATTTTTAATTTCCAAGGATTCTTTTAAATATTCTCTGATTGTTCCTGTTTTACAATATCCTACTTTATTTCATGGTTGCATTACCTTCACTTTTCTCTTTAAAGATGTTATGAGAGTTTACCTGAATTTATTTATTTATTTTATTTTATTTATTTATTTATTTTTTGAGATGGAGTCTCACTCTGTCACCCAGGCTGGAGTGCAGTGGCACGATCTTGGCTCACTGCAACCTCCACTGCCCAGGTTCAAGCGATTCTCTTGCCTCAGCCTCCTGAGTAGCTGGGATTACAGGCGTGCACCACCATGCCCAGCTGATTTTTGTATTTTTAATAGAGACGGGGTTTCACCATATTGGCCAGGCTGGTCTTGAACTCCTCACCTCAGGTGACGCACCCACCTTGGCCTCCTAAAGTGCTGGGATTACAGGTGTGAGTCACTGCACCTGACCTCCTACCTGAAATTCTCTTCTGTGCTTCTTTATTTCTTTTTTTCTGAGTTCCTTTTTTCTGTTTGTCTGATAGTTTTGGGTTCTATATTTTATGTTGGAGGATTTCTCCAAATCTCTGGTGACTCTTGACTATGAGTTCATATTTAAGAATCGGGCACTAAAAAAGTTGGTTGGAAATTTTGTGTGTGTAACTTGCTTTGTCAACTGGCAGCTTTCACTACAGGGCAATCTGGTGGCCAGCTGACATTTCTGTTCAGCTTCTTCAGAGAGAATACCATAGTCTTCTGCCTATAGTAATAAACATGGCAGCAAAGTTCCCTGAGCAATCTGGGTGCATATTACGAGTGATGACTCACTATATACTCCACAAACTCCCTTGCAGCTGGCAACTATAGGTCCACGATCTCTGGTTTAATTTCTCAAAGGAATATACTTCTTTTCTCCTGGAGGTGTACGGTGGGAGATGCCGGACTACTTGAGAAAGAGCAGAGAAGAGCATGCATAATTCTCCTTATAAAGATTTCCAACAATCCTGTTTTAATATCCTGCCTAAAAACTCAGTCTCCAGAAGTACTTGATGTCTTCAATTCTTAAATCATTTTAGGGTCAAATCAACTTGTTCCTCATTGTGATTTTCCTCTATCTTCACACACTTGGGCTTTACCTGCCTCTGCTCACAAATTTACTTTCCTCACCCATTTTTCTGTCCTTAGATATTGTGATTTTACTTGTATGTGTTTTTCTGTTTCTTGTTTTCATTATTATTTTGGGATGATTTTCAAGTGGAGATGGGATGAAAAATATCTTTTTTTCATCACTTAAAAACCAAAAGGTCAATTTTTTTTCAGCAATACAGATGCTTTATAAATAATACAATGTTACATCTATTATACAAGAAAAAAATTACTTAATAGTGACAAGAAGACAAAAAGTGTTATATTCAAACATTACTGGTGGTGGAACGAATATATGTGCAAAATATCTCTGAAAAACAATTTACCAATATGTATCAAAAGTCCAAATCATTTGTGAGGATTTGGCTTAAGAAAGAAAAACAGCTACATTCATAATGTTGATAAATACAGATTTGTAATATCAGCTACTGAGAAACTATCAAAATTCACAATAGTAGAAAGGCTTAATATTATAGTACAATAACTAAGTGGTACATTATGGTATCTTTAATAAGAATAGAGTTGACCCCTGAACAACATAGGCTTGAACTACACAGGTTCACTTATACATCAAGTTTTTTCAACCAAATGCATAAAAAATACAGTATTTGCAGGTTGGAAAAGCCACATATGTGGAGGGTAAACTTTTACTATATGTGGGTTCTGCAAGGCTGTCTATGAGATTGAGTATGGCTGGATTTGGGTATATGCAGGGGTCCGGGAAACAATTCCCCTCCCATACCAAGGGATGACTCTAATTAGGTAGCATCATAAAAATATTTACTATATTATATTAGCTGAAAAAGGATTCGAATTAATCTCACAGTAGTGAAATTAGAACTTCCATATTTTGTACTGTTTCTTTTGTTATTACTAAAGCAATGTTTATGCAATAAATAAAAAATAAAAAGAATATGACAGAATGATGATATTTTAGAGCTGAAAGGTCCTAATGAAATTCTTCTTTCTGCTGACCCTGCCAGGTCAGTAATTCTAGCTGAGTTCTTTGGGTACTGATTAAGGACCTTGAAATGGATGTAGTTTTACTTTTCATTCTCTCCTTCTAAAGAACAAACACTCTTAATGAAAATGTGTCACCATAACTCTTGAATGATGATTCAGTGATAATACAACACAATAAACCTAATATTACCTCCAAAAGACACTGTCCCTTTTGAGTCTGCTTGTACTTGCTGTCTCAGGGCTTGGTGTTGTTCCTTTGTGGGCTGAATACCAAGATAATTTAGAGCCTGGAAGATAAAGGACTCATGAAAAGCAATTTTTCAAATCTCCAAAGAATAAAACTTTTCATTACAAACTTTACAACCCAGGGAAAATAATCAATACCAGAAACAGTCGACCAGGATTAAACACCCAAGGGAAGTCAGCTCTTTATGGATTAAGTGCCTATTGAAGATTAGCTTCCTGATTTTACTACTACCTCATTTTTTCCCCAAGACTAGCACTTTAGCTAATACCAAATTTATGACATTGTCCTAGAACCAAAAATCAAACTATTTCTTAGTTTATATGATTTGGCACATGTAAAATGGCAAAAGAATCCTACTACATCAGATTTACAAGTGACACTCTAAAACATGAATTATATTTGGTTAACATCTTGCCTTTGAGAGCAGAACTGAAGTTGATAGGAATTAGGTTCAACATAAAATCTTCTAATTTTTGGCTTGTTAGGGGCAGGCTTACACAAATAGTAAACTAAAAAGCTTTCTCTGCCACTTACTTCTCTCTTTCATCAGGCTCTTCCCCTTAAGGGAAAAGTTCTTTCTCGTTTTGGTATCCATTAGTGATTAAAAATTCAGAGACTGTTAATTGTATTCCAATGTCCATTCTCTCCTTGCTCCTTAGTAACCGAACCAACCACAATTTTCGGCTGAAAACACTGCCATGCAGCTAAAAGACATTTCCCAGCCCCTTGTACATCTCCATGCGGCCATGTAACTAACTAGGTACTAGCCAATGAGATACAAGGGGAAGTGCCATAGAGTACTATTAGGAAGTCTCCTTTCAAAAGTCGGGGTAAGCACTTCTTGTCCATGCGGATTAGTAAGGGGAAAGAAAGAGGAAGAAAAAAGATGAAAGGAAGGAAGGAAAGAAAGAGGAACTGATGGAATTTGAGCAGTTCTTTTGGTTCATGTGGTACCGCAGTAAAGATGGTGGAACAGAAAGATAATTGGAACATGGTCCCTGATACTCTGAAACCTCCACGGCAGCCCTGGATTACCTTCTTTCAGGCTTCTTTTTGGTGTGAAAGAAATTTCTAAAGGAAACTACTGTTATTTTGAGTTCGCCAGTTATATATAGCAAAATCTAATCTTAACTAACACAAAGGGACTAATTGGATGTCCTATTATTGGATATGGCAAGAGCATATATAGTGTCGATCACATCAAAACTAAAATGTAGGCAAAGTTTAGTATTGGTAATTATCTCTTACATATTTCTTCCTCCTTTAGAATCTCGTTCAATCATTTAGTAATTCATTCATCAAATAATTTATTTGGTGCCTACTATTTGTCAGCCACTAAACTATGCATAGGTGATAGATAAATGAAATATAGTCTCTCACCCCAAAGAGTTTACGGTCTCAAGGGTGAGAACAACTGTAAAGAAATAAGTAAAACACATAATTTAATAGAAGTATGTATAGGGTATATTAATACACAAAGCAACTGGTTAATCTGTAAGTGAGCAATTTGGGAACAATGAAAGAAGAATGGAGAAAGAATATCAGGAAAGATTCTTTCAAAAATGATTCTTAAGCTTAGTCTAGCATCATCTGCTTATCTCGTATAGTAGTCAAGTATTTGCATTGTATAACATGGCATAATGATTTTTAGCTTCTGTATTTTTTTCTCTTCAGTTATAAAAATGTTTCAAATATAAACACAAAAAATAATAATACAAAGAACACCTATATACTCACTATCATCAATTACTCATTGATATGTACTTAAAATTTATGTATATATTTTCAATAAATAAAACTATATATTCGGTTAAAAGTTTTTATAAATTATTCCTCAGCAGGAACTACTATCCTAAGTATTCTTCCTGGTCTTAATTTAATGACATTTACTACATAAGCAAGTATCCCCTAATAATATGTACTCTTATTTTGTGCATTTAAGCTTTTACCTCAAAAGCATAATCTTAAAGAGTAACTCTACAAATTATTTTTATTTTTACCTCAATTTTATGATTTCATAATTGCTCAATATTGTCTGCAAAACTAGTTCACTTATTTTAACTGTGAACAGTAATCCGTTGTATGAATTTATTGTAATTTATTATCCATTCCCTGATTAACAGGCTTTTATAACTACTCCAATCTGCTTTTTTTTTTAAATTACAGAACATTATACATGTCTCTTTGTAAAAATGTGTGAAAATTTCTCTACATTATATCCCTAGAAAAGGAAGTGCTAAGCCATAGGGGACATATGGTCAATTTTATTAGATATTGTTGAATTGTTCTCCAAACTGGCTTCATTAATTTATGCACACCAGTAGTGAATAAGCATTTCTATTTTTCTACATTCTTTTTTTTCCTTTTTGAGATTTAACAGCATCTGCTGTTTCCACTCTTATTTTGTCAATGTTGTATTTGAAATAGTATGCTGTTTGTTAATTTGAATTCCCCTAATTACAAGTGCAATTAAACATCATTTACATGTTTATTAGCAATGTTTTTGACTCACAAATTATTTAAAATATGTTTTAAATTTTCATACATGAGGTTTTAAGAAGTATCTTTACTGATTTTGAATTTGGTCTCTATCTTCCAGCTGTGACAACCAAAAATGTCTCCAGACACTGCCAAATGTCCCAAGAAGAAAAACTGCAGCCCTGCCCTTGAGAACCACTGCTCTGAAGACAATTGCCATATTAACAATTGGTGTCTAATTTTTCAGGTTTTTTTCTATGAATATAGTACCTATAAATTTATATAAATTGTGGATTTTTTGCAAAAATTGTCACACTATAGTGTTAATAATTATCAATATATTACTCCTTTCTATTCTGTACATTTTACAAATATTGCATGCTTTTTAAAATTGTTATGTTTGTACACTGTCTGAAGTGAACTTTTTTTAAAGCATTCTCCTTCTGATAATCATTTAGATTATACACAATTTTTCACTATGGAACACAATGCTACAAAGTGCTAGTGCTCTTTGCTTTATGCCAATGACTTCAGCAGCTGTAAGAATTATCTGGATTTTTTAAAAAATTATAAAATATTAATACAGAAGTTATAGGACATACTATAATAAAGTAATAGATATCTACTATCTTGCTTCATTAAAGCTTAGCAGTCAACTATATTTACTTCAGTTTTTGAATGTAACCAAAACATATAAAAACCCCTTTTGAACTTATTCCCAGAGGTAAGACTTATCATATATTTGATTTACTATTCCCATGAATTTTTTATTATATAATATTTGGTATATACTAAAAGCATATATGTAAAAAAACATGAGTTTTAAAGTAGGACAATAAAACACCTATGAATCCACTTAAGCAGCATAAAACTGTGAATACTGTTGGATTCATATCACAATATGGATATGGTATTTCACCAGAGGTAACCATACTAATGAATTCTGAACTATTGATTTCTTCTTTATCATTCTTGATCTGTTTATTTTAAAATGGTTTTATCACATACATATGTATTCCTAACATGTTACTTTGTTTTACTGGTTTTTTAGCTTCATAAAAATGCTACAGATAGTTTTCTAAAACTTGCTTTTTTCACTCTACAGTAAGGCTTACTACATATTTCAAATCAGAAAGTGTGAGTTCAACTTTTTTCTTTTTTTATTTCAATAGCTTTTGGGATACAAGTAGTTTTTGATTACATAGATGAATTGTATTAATGGTGAAGTCTGAGATTTTAGTTTACCTGTTTACCCGAGTAGTGTTCACTGTACTCAATATGTAGTTTTTTATCCCTTGCCCCACACACCATCCCCCTTCTGAGTCTCCAAAGTCCATTATTTCACTTCCTTTGTGCTTGCCTTATGATACTCAAGGGACGTACTCTAGTATCTTGGGCGATAGGAAGGGCCATAGGGTTCCCACAAGTTTCTGTCCCTTGTGTTAAGCTACCAGAGTGGGTGGAGGGGCAAAGTCAGGGGGAGCTAGGTCAGGCAAGTCCGTGCTCTGACTCCACCTGAAGGACAAGCAGTGGCCCCTGTGGGGTTTGGAGAGTGGTTCTCTGGCCACGGGCAGTACTGTTCTAGGTAGAAGCATAGGTGCCTCTGCTGCACAGAAGAGTTCACACAGGGAGTAGGGAGTAGCAGGTGGCAGTAAGCCTCATCTAGCTCCCATGCACTTGGCAATGCAGGTCTCTCACTTGCGGTATTGGCTAGCAGCAGCTAGCTAAATTTCAGCTAGCTAAAATCAAAACTGCCCCAGGTCATAAGACTTTCACATAGAGATGGGAACCCTAGGCTTTCAGGCCACACCCTTTCCAGTCTACTTGCAAAGCCAGGGTGCCCAAGCTCCTCTGCCTGAGGCCGCAGCATACTTCCCATTTGCCCCCTGGTTCTCGACAAGAGAGTTCATCTGCATTTGAGATTATATTGTGAATTTCAGTTGGGAGCTTCTCTCAACCTGCAACCACTGCCTGGGTTAGTTGGCCAACTTCCACAAAGTCCCCTGTAATATAGAATCAGTAATAGCTTCCTTCGGTCCATAGACTGCAAATGCATGCTATGCTCTTCCCACTGCCCCCTATATGAGTTCCAGTGCTGGGTAGGGTTAATGCCTTCCCCTGTGAGCTACACTGCCAGGTTCCCCAGTTGGGGTGTGTATCTCTACCCATCTTACACTCTTGGGACTTAGTTTTTTGGCTGGCTCATAGTGTAGGCTGCAGCCTCCTGCTTCTTTCAAAGGGTTTCGGGGTTTTATTCCATTTTCCTGTTAAGTTCCTATGTTGCTTCTTGGGAAAAGGTTCACAGTGTGAATATCTATACACTATTTTGTCTTTCCAAGGAGGACAGGCATGCTAATACCGCTCTAATCTACCATCTTGGGGGGAAAAAAAAACTTTTTTCTTTTTCATGACTGTTTCAGCTATTTTGGGTCTTTTGCATTTCCATACAAATGGATCCTTCTTTTAGGGTCACCTTATCCATTTCTGAAAAATAGCCAACTGATATTTTGATAAAGATTGCATTAAATCTGTATACCGACGTGGGGAGTATTGCTATCTTAATAATTAAGCTCATAGATTCATCAGCACAACACGTCTTTCCATTTATTTAGGTCTTCTTCAATTTCTTTCAATGATGGTTTGTAGTTTTAAGTATATATGTCTTGCACTTCTTTTTTTAAATTTATTCCTAAATATTTTATTCTTTTAGATGCTATTGTAAAAGATTGTCCACTGTGCATTGTTAGTGTATAGAAATACAATTGCTTCTTATATATGATCTTGTATACTGTAAACTTGCTGAACTCATTTTTAGGTCTAATAATATTGTGGTGGATTCCTTAGGATTTCTTATATACAAGATCACATCATCTGGGAATAGAGATAGTTTTAATTCTTCCTGCAATCTGGATGCCTTTTATTTCTTTTTCTTGTCTAATTATCCTGGCTAGAACCTCCAACGCAACATAAAATAGAAGTGGTAAAGCAGACATCCTTGTCTTATTCCTGATGTTAGGAAGGAACCATCCAATTTTCTCCCATTAAGCATGATGTTAGCAGTAGGCTTACATAAATGTTCTTTTTGAGGTTTAGGAGATTCCTTTCTATTGTTAGTTTATTGGGTATTTTTTATCATGCAAGGGTGTTAGGTTTTCTCAGATATTTTTCTTGTGTCTATTGAGACCATCACGTAAAAGAATTAAAAAATCAAGTATCTGCTTTTAATAAAAAAAGACTATTATGTGGTTTTGTCCTTTATTTTATTAACATGGTATTATATTGATTTTCTTATATTAAACCAATTTTGCATTCCTGAAATAAATAGATGGGCCGGAACTATTTGTACAAAGTTTTTTTGATTACTAATTCAATGTTTTTACTTGTTATAGTCTGTTTAGTTTTTCTATGTCTTCTTGAGTTAGTCTTGGTAGTTTGCATCTTTCTAGGAATTTCTCCATTTAATCTAGTTTACCTAATTGATGGCATATAATTATTCATAGTATTCTCCTATAATTTTGTTTTATTTCATAAGGACAACAGTAATATCTATAACTTACTTTTTTTTAAATTAAATTAAATTTTTTTTTTTGAGACGGAGTCTCGCTCTGTCACCCAGGCTGGAGTACAGTGGTGAGATCTCGGCTCACTGCAAGCTCCGCCTCCTGGGTTCATGCCATTCTCCTGCCTCAGCCTCCTGAGTAGCTGGGACTACAGGCACCCGCCACCATGCCCGGCTAATTTTTTGTATTTTTTTTTAGTAGAGATGGGGTTTCACTGTGTTAGCCAGGATGGTTTCGATCTCCTGACCTCGTGATCCACCTGCCTCGGCCTCCCAAAGTGCTGGGATTACAGGTGTGAGCCACCGTGCCCGGCCATCTATAACTTACTAAAACATGACATTGTGAAATTTGGGCTGATGCAGGAGGCTCTTGTTCCTTCATTTTCCTTACCATATAGTATTCCTCATATAATGATGATAATAATCATGCTACCATGGATTTATCAGTTCTTTTATTGATGAACATTTAGGCTGTCTCCTATCATTTATTCTTTGAAATAATGCTGATATATTCTTGTATCTATTGGTCAGGATGGTCTAGTTACACCATTGTTTCTCTAACCCCAAAGTCTTAGTAACCTAGAAATGACAAAGGTTCATTTTCTCCTTGCTAATGTTACATATCCAATGTGAGTCAGCTGGTTTCTCTTTCTCTGTATTTTTCACTTAGGAACCCCAGCTGTCAAAGCCTCCACCATCAGAAGTTTTGCTGCCTGCTATAGCAGAGAGGAAAGAAATATGATGAATTGCACGCTGGCTCTTTATTAAAGAACATGGGAAAGTACAATTCTATCACCGGCTGACAAGGAAGAGAACCTGATATAGCTGAAAAGCTCTGACTACTACTGCATTGTACATATCTCCTTATGTGGTGGCACTAGAATTTCTCTAGTGTATATGTCCAGAAGTAGAATTGTGAGGTTAAACGATGTGAGCAGGTTCAGTTTTGCCAAATTGTTCTCTAAAGTTACAATCCCGTGAGTATCACATGAGAGTTCCCAGCTATTTCTCTATATCTTTGTGAAGAATTACTCCATGTTTGTCCACTTAATGAGTAGGCAATTGTACCTCACTGCTGCTTTATTTTCATTTTCGCAGAGGGCATCTTTTCATATATTTAACTGCCATCAGTTTTTTTACTTTTGTAAATAGTCCATTCATTTGTACCAATCATCTTTCTTTGGGGTTATCTGTATTTTCCTTGGGTTGGAGCATTTCTCTAGTGTTTTCTTTTTTTTTTTTTTTTTTTTTTTTGGAAAAGGGCCACCAGCCCTTGCAGAATCTTGTGTTTCTCTAAGTAAAGATACCAGTTCTAGAATTCCAACTGAAAACGGCTTGAGGCCATGTTAAAACTGAGCCCCAATATCTAAGTCTGAGTCATTCCTTGAGCCATATGATGTCAGTACTCACACAAGTGCTCACACACTTCTGTTGTGAGATTTCCATCCCTCCTCTCCTCTCACCCATTCTTCTTTTTTTTCTTCCTTCCTAGCTTGACTATAAATTTTAAAAACTTCTTTATTTTATTCATTGTTTCTATATACAGGTTTAGCATCTCTAATCCAAAAATCCGAAATCGAAAATGCTCCCAAATCCAAAACTTTTTGAGTGCCAAAACAACACCACAAATTGTCCACACGGGTGGCTGAGTCCACACCTTTGCTTTCTGATGGTGCAGTGTATAATGAACTTTGTTTTATAGATAAAACTATTTTAAAACATTATATAAAATTACTTTCAGGCTATGTTTCTCAGGCGTAAATTTTCCTGTTTAGACTTAGGTCCCATTCCCATGATATCTCATTACATATACATGCAAATATTCCAAAATCTGAAAATATCAAAAGTTTCAAACACTTCTGGTTCCCACCATTTTGGATAAGGGAGACTCAACCCTATATTCATGGCAGGAGTGGCTTCTGGATTTCCTGGATTATACAATGTTGCCAGAATTAGAAGTTCTGTTCCTAACTGTTCAAGGATTACATAGATACTTTTGAAAGTCCATTAAGAACTACGGACCCGCTCCCAGAATATAGCCATGTATGCAAATTTTAATCTAGAATTTCTGGGGCTCATAAACTCCAAGTTAAACATTTATGGCTGTAAGTTATGCCATTTAGTTGTTACTAGGCAAAAATCATTTTCCAGATATACATTTGAAATTTTCCACAATGAAGAGTCAAAAAATGTACACTCACCAACATATATACACACACATTGGTCACTTTCCTATTAAAAATGGCTCAATGGCTTTTTACTGAACTCAGAATAAAATCCAGAGACCTCACCTTGGCCTATAAAGAAATAATCTGATTATCTCCCTGACTTACGTCGTTAGTACCACTCCTTCCCTTGATCACATGATGCCAGGAACACATTTCTTTTTTCTTAAAATAGTCCAGGCTCCATCCTGTCTTAGTACTTTTGCATTAATTGTTCCCTTATATCTCAGAAGTTTTTCCCTAGCACCATAATTCTCACGCTTCATGTCTCAGTTTAAATTTCACCTTCTCAGACAGCTCTTCCGTGACTATCAATCTGAAATAATCTACCATGTCTTATTGTCTGACATGTACTCTTGTTATTCACTTGTTTTTTGAATTTTCTACTTCCCCCACTACAATGAATTATAAATACCAGGAAACAACTTTTTGTCTTGTATACCACCAATTTTACAGTGCCAAAACACTAAAATGCCTCAACCAGAGGAAGTAAACAATAAATATTTGTTGAGTAAAAATAAATAACTTTGTAATCTTTGGTAATCTAAGATGGCTGAATTGGATTCACTTACAACCTCTTCTGACAACCTCCTTCATTGCCATGAGAATGAAGGAAAGGAGTAGGGTAGAATAAAAAAAAAAAATAACAGAAAGTATATATGCCTTGATACTGCATATTTTATGTTTTCATGATTAGAGAAATTCAAATAATCTAGAAAGAAGTGAATAACATCTAAAAGTTCACTAGCAAGCAACAACCACTATTAATATTTTGGTATATAAAGCTTTCAGGATTTTATTGATGAACAAAACTATTTTAAAAAGGCACTCCTACAGAAGGGACAGAACTGAAAAAAAAAAAAGGCATTCCATGTCAATGAACACAGCTCTTAAATATATCATGTGTTATTAAATCAAGCTCCTATTGATTGCCATGAATTTTTCACTAATATAAACAATGCCACTGTGAACAGCCTTCCACATACATCTTTGTGCCCCTGTCCAATTATTTACTTAGGAAAATTTCTTAAATGAGGAATTATTGCCTGAAAATCATAGGCAAAATTCAAATTTTGATACATATTGTGAAACTATTCTTGAGTCATTTTCGTTTGATAAATTTTTAAGAAATCCTCATTTTTTTCTAAAAAATAACATAGTAACATTTTATAATTTATGTGAAAGTTAAAATGTAACTATTTCTGATAGTACAGAAAAGATCCTGGAGGAATCCTGCCAGTAAAGTTTTTAAAAACTACTAGATAATAATAAACAATAACATCCACAAACACCTTAAATGCTTGGGTCGGCTTAGGAGAGGGAGTGATACCAAAATTTATGAAGAAACAACAATACGCAGAGGTAAGTGAGCATAAAGACAATGGGTGCTAATTCCTTTTATAAAAAAATTATGATTATGATTATTTTTAGAGATAGGATCTCACTCTTGCTGGAGTACAGTGGCATGATCATGGCTCACTGCAGCCTGGAACTCCTGGGCTCAAGGGATCCTCCTCCCTCAGCCTCCCAAGAAGCTGGGACTACAGGTGTCCACCACCACAACTGGCTAATTTTTAAAAAAATTTTTGAGATATGGGATCTCATTTTGCTGCCCAGGCTGGTCTCAAACTCCTGGCTTCAAGCGATCTGCTTGCCTTGGCCTCCCAAAGTGCTGAATTTACAGGCATAAGCCACCATGCCCACCCCAAGAATCTGCTAATTCTTGATGGCTTAAAACCTGCAAGCAAGAGGAAAGCACCTAGGGCCTAATGCAGGGAGGAGGATTAAATCACCCAAACAATGCTGGAACCTCATAGTGAACACTTTCAGTAAAATGGTAAACTAAGAAGAAAGTCCTACAGACATTACAGAATATGTCTTCCTTAGGTCTGGGTGGAAGAAAAAATATTTTTCCTCAGAGTGTATAACTATAGCGATAAGTACAATAGTTTTATAGCCGGAAAAATCACAACTTGGGAATTTAGTTCCAGTAGTTCCTGATGTCTAAGAAACATACATATGTAAATCTTTTCCAGAGGTTTCATATATTAGCTTCAAAATTCGCAAAGATAAAATTCCATTTTTCATGAAAGTATAATTTTATTTTTAAATTTAATTTTTATTTTCTGAGATGGAGTTTCACTCTTGTTGCCCAAGCTGGAGTGCAATGGCATGATCTCAGCTCACTGCAACTCTGCCTCCTGGGTTCAAGAGATTCTCCTGCCTCAGCCTCCCAAGTAGCTGGGATTACAGGTGCATGCCACCATGCCTGGCTAATTTTTGTATTTTTAGTAGAGACAGTGCTTCACCATGTTGGCCAGCCTAGTCTCGAACTCCTTTCCTCAAGTGATCCGCCTGCCTTGGCCTCCCAAAGTGCTGAGATTACAGGTGTGAGCCATCACGCCCGGCCGAAAGTATAATTAAAAAAAATTTACAACATATGAGGGAATATGACATCATAAGCAAAAGTAAAATACAAACAAACAAACAAACAAACAGATTTGACAGCCAAAGACTGCAGCTACTGTATAGTTAGACATAGAACATGTTTAACATATTTAAGTTAAAAAGGTGAATCAAGAATAAAAGTTAGGAAAAATATATTATAACAATACTAGGTAGACAATAACAAATTAGAAACTCAATGAATATGTGAAATAGCAGATGGTTGAAGAGAGTGAAGCAGAGAAATAATGTGTAGAAGAAAGAGTTGAAAATGCAGCACAGATAGATAAGAAGATGCAAAATATGAAGGAGAGGCCTGAAAGACATAGAAGATGAGCGAGTCTGTCTAATAAATATGTAATTGAACGGGTAACAGATAATAAAGAGAATTAAAGAGAGGCAATATTCAAAGTGATGCTAGCTGAGAATTTTGTAGAACCTAAAAAAGATATAAATCTTCAGATTTACGAAGCCTGAAAAATCCTAAATAGGCTAACATAAGAGAAATCAACACCTGGATACACCAAGGTGAAAATACAGAACACCAATAACAGGTAATATTTTCAAAAGCAGTCATAGTGAAAAGACAGATCATTACAAAATAAAGACAGAGCGACAGCTGAGTTCTCAAAACAGCAACAACAGAAACCAGAAAAAATGAGAATAAGAGCTACAAAAATCTTAGAGACGATAACTGTGACCCTAGAATTATATGCCCAATAAAATTCTCTTTCAAAAATGAGGGCAAAATATTTTCAGAAAAATAAAAAAAATGAGAGTTTTCTATCAACCTATACCAAAAGAACATTTAAAGGGGTTACTTAGAGAAAAGGGAAAATGACCACCCAAAACGTCAGAAATGCAAAACAGAACAATGAATAAAGAATATGGTAAACACAGGTAATTCTAAATTATCATTGGCTACAAGATTATAATAATAATTCATAATTTATAAAGCTAAACAAATATATTAATAATTCATAATTTGTAAGACTAAACAAAGATACGCCAAAACTAAAATATTGGACAATTACAGGTATACAAATTGAGAAGCAGGGGATCAGAATTAATGTATTGTAGAGCTTTGTATATACAAAGGAATTCTGATTAACCTTAGACTTTTAAGTTAAATGTGCATGTTAAAATCTTAAGGAAATCACTAAAAGAATAGCAAGAGAAGACATAATTTTCAAACAAGTTGGAGGTAAAAAGTAAAATGCAAAAGCAATTAATTAAATAATCAAACATAATCAAACCAAAAGAATACAATAAAAAGGCGGAATAAAATAAGTGATAAAAAAAGGAGAACAAAAATAAAAAATAAGATGGTAGAAATACTTCAAACTATATTATAATGTAGAATAAATGTAAAGTATATGAAGCAAGAAGAACTCTTACATAAGACTAGTAGGAATGACAATTGAGAAAACTACTTCAGAAAACAATTAACTAATCCAACAATTATTTTTTTCAGCATATACTATGAGCCAAGTATTTTTGTAGGAGCTGAAAACACAGAAGCAAAAATTTTAGCAACACCTTGTCAGGGCTCTGAGCCTAAGCTAAGCCATCATATCCCCAGTGACCTGCACGTATACATCCAGATGGCCTGAAGCAACTGAAGATCCACAAAAGTGAAAATAGCTTAACTGATGACATTCCACCATTGTGATTTGTTTCTGCCCCACCCTAACTGATCAATGTTCTTTATAATCTCCCCCACCCTTAAGAAGTTTCTTTGTAATTCTCCCCATCCTTGAGAATGTATTTTGTGAGATCCACCCCCTGCCCCCAAAACATTGCTCTTAACTCCACCGCCTATCCCAAAACCTGTAAGAACCAATGATAATCCCACCACCCTTTGCTGACTCCTTTTTTGGACTCAGCCTGTTTGCACCCAGGTGAAATAAACAGCCTTGTTGCTTAAACAAAGCCTCTTTGGTGGTCTCTTCACACGGATGCATGAAACACACCTCATGTAAATTGAAAATAAACAAACTCGGACTACCCTCTTTGGGTCCCCTCCCTTTCTATGGGAGCTCTGTTTTCACTCTATTAAATCTTGCAACTGTACTCTTCTGGTCTGTGTTTGTTATGGCTGGAGCTGAGTTTTCGCTCGCTGTCCACCACTGCTGTTTGCTGCCATCGCAGACCCGCTGCTGACTTCCATCCCTCTCAATCCGGCAGAGTGTCCGCTGTGCTCCTGATCCAGCAAGTTGCCCATTGCCGTTCCTGATCGGGCTAAAGGCTTGCCATTGTTCCTGCACGGCTAAGCGCCCGGGTGCGTCCTAATCGAGCTCAATACTAGTCACTGGGTTCTGTGGGTTCTCTTCCGTGACCCACGGCTTCTAATAGAGCTCTAACACTCACCACATGGCTCAAGATTCCATTCCTTGGAATCCATGAGGCCAAGAACCCAAGGTCAGAGAACACGAGGCTTGCCACCATCTTGGAAGCGGCCCACCACCATCCTGGGAGCCCTGGGAGCAAGGACCCCCAGTAACATTTTGGCGACCACGAAGGGACCTCCAAAGCAGTGAGTAATATTGGACCACTTTTGCTTGCTATTCTGTCCTATCTTTCCTTAGAATTGGAGGAAAATACTGGGCACCTGTCGGCCAGTTAAAAATGATTAGCATGGCTGCCAGACTTAAGACTCAGGTGTGAGGCTGTCTGGGAAAGGGCTTTCTAACAACTCCCAACCCTTCTGGGTTGGGAGCATTCGTCTGCCTAGAACCAGCTTCCGCTTTCAATTTTCTTGGGGAAGCCAAGGGCCGACTAGAGTAAGAAAGCTGTCGTCCCGAACTCCCGGCTTTAGCCAGTTGAGATCATGGCACAGCCAGAAGTCTCTATTCAACAGTCGCCCATGCGTGCACCCCTACCTTTCCTTCTAACCCATACCTCCTGGGTCCCGACCACGACTTTCTTGAAAGTGTAGCCCCCAAATTCTTCTTACCTCTGAATCTACTTCCTCTGATCCCTGCCTCCTAGGTACTAATGATTCAGACTTTCATTTCCTCTAGCAAGTTGTATCTCCAAAGGGATCTAAGGAAGCTCTACGCTGCTGCGTCCTTAGGCATCTAGGCTATAAACCCAGGGAGTCTTGTCCCTGGTGTCTTGTCCCTCCCAATTTAGGCATACAGCTCTCGACATGGGCAGTTATGTAGGATCCGTTCCCCATCACCCTTGCCAGGGCCCCAAGTTTGTAAATGGCTAAGAGAAAAGAGACAGAGAGGAGAGAGACAGAGGCAGAGAGGAGAGAAACAGGCAGAGAGGCGAAAGAGACAGAGGAGAAAAAGAGAGTCGAAGAGAGAAAGAGAAAGATAGAAATAGTAAAAAACCAGTGTGCCCTATTCCTTTAAAAGCCAGGGTAAATTTAAAACCTATAATTGATAATTGAAGGTCTTCTCCGTGACCCTATAACACTCCAATACTACCTTGTTGTCAGTGCAAACAAGGGTGTAGCCTAAAAATACTGAGACCACTGACAACCCTTAGCCTTCCTATCAAAAATCCTTAACCCAGTAACCCACGGACGGCCCAGAGGCATTCAGCCTGTAGTGGCAACTGCTTTGCTAACAGAAGTAGGAAAGTAACTTTTAGAGGAAACCTCATTGTGAGCACACCTCACCAGTTCAGAATTATTCTAAGTCAAAAAAGCAAAAAGGTAGCTTACTAACTCAAAAATCTTAAAGTATGGGGCTATTCTGTTAGAAAAAGGTAATTTAACACCACTGATAGTTCACTTAACCCAGCAGATTTCCTTACAGGGGATTTAAATCTTAATTACCATACAAAGGACCAACCAGACCTAGGAGGAACTCCCTTCAGGACAATAGAAGGTTCCTTCCAGGTGATTGAGGAAAAAGCCACAATGGGTATTCAGTAATTGATAGCGAGGATCTTGTGGAAGCAGAGTTAGAAAAATTGCCTAATAATTGGTCTCCTCAAACGTGAGAGCTGTTTGCACTCAGCCAAGCCTTAAAGTACTTACAGAATCAAAAAGACTATCTCAATCCTGACTCTAAAGGTTACCTACACCCTCTCTGAAACGAATTTGCATAAGAACTATTTATGGGAATGCATCTTGATGGGGCAGCTGGGTTGTTATGAAATACTCAGGAACCCAGCCCAGCTCTAGGACTCACCCCTGAGCACAAAGGCAACGTTGGGCACACTGGTAAAGGACTAGAATCCAGCACTCTGGACCCCTTTCTTTGTGGTCAAGAAAGGTGAGAAAACAGGTGCAGGACTGCTACATCGGTGAGTGTAACTAAACCGATAAACAGAGGTCCATGGGTGGTGACGCACCCTGGAAAGGAATAAGCATTAGGACCATAAAGGACGCTCTAGGACTAATGCTCATTGGAAAATGAGTAGGGGTGCTGGCATCCCTGTTCTTTTTCCAGAAGAGAAATGTTCTCTCCAAGGCAAAAATGCCCTTAAGATGTATTCTGGAGAACTGGGACCAATTTGACCCTCAGACGCTATGACTTATATTCTTCTGCAGTACTGCCTGGCCATGATATCCTCTTCAAGGGGGAGAAACCTGGCCTCCTGAGGGAAGTATAAATTATAACACCATCTTACAGCTAGATCTCTTTTGTAGAAAAGAAGGCAAATTGAGTGAAGTGCCATATGTACAAACTTTCTTTTCATTAAGAGACAACTCGCAATTATGTAAAAAGTGTGATTTATGCCCTACAGGAAGCCCTCAGAGTCTACCTCCCTACCCCAGCGTCCCCCCGACTCCTTCCCCAACTAATAAGGACCCCCTTTCAACCCAAACGGTACAAAAGGAGATAGACAAAGGGGTAAACAACAAACCAAAGAGTGCCAATATTCCCCGATTATGCCCACTCCAAGCAGTGGGAGGAGGAGAATTTGGTCCAGCCAGAGTGCATGTACCTTTTTCTCTCTCAGACTTAATAGACCTAGGTAAATTCTCATATAACCCTGATGGCTATACTGATGCTTTACAAGGGTTAGGACAATCCTTTGATCTGATATGGAGAGATATAATGTTACTGCTAAATCAGACACTAACCCCAAATGAGAGAAGTGCTGCCATAACTGCAGCCCAAGAGTTTGGCAATCTCTGGTATTTCAGTTAGGTCAATGATAGGATGACAACAGAGGAAAGAGAACAATTCCCCACAGGCCAGCAGGCAGTTCCCAGTGTAGACCCTCATTGGGACACAGAATCAGAACATGGAGATTGGTGCCACAGACATTTGCTAACTTGCGTGCTAGAAGGACTAAGGAAAACTAGGAAGAAGCCTATGAATTATTCACTGATGTCCACTATAACACAGGGAAAGGAAGAAAATCCTACCGCCTTTCTGGAGAGACTAAGGGAGGCATTGAGAAAGCATACCTCTCTGTCACCTGACTCTATTGAAGGCCAACTAATCTTAAAGGATAAGTTTATCACTCAGTCAGCTGCAGACATTAGAAAAAACTTCAAAGTCTGCCTTACGCCCAGAGCAAAACTTAGAAACCCTATTGAACTTGGCAACTTCGGTTTTTTTATAATAGAAATCAGGAGGAGCAGGCAGAACGGGACAAACGGGACAAAAAAAAAAGGCCACCACTTTAGTCATGGCCCTCAGGCAAGCGGACTTTGGAGACTCTGGAAAAGGGAAAAGCTGGGCAAATTGAATGCCTAATAGGGCTTGCTTCCAGTGTGGCCTACGAGGACACTTTAAAAAAGATTGTCCAAGTAGAAATAAGCTGCCCCCTTGTCCATACCCCTTATGTCAAGGGAATCACTGGAAGGCCAATTGCCCCAGGGGATGAAGGTCCTCTGAGTCAGAAGCCACTAACCAGATGGATCCAGCAGCAGGACTGAAGGTGCCCAGGGAAGTGCCAGCCCATGCCATCACCTTCACAGAGCCCCGGGTATGCTTGACCATTAAGGGCCAGGAGGTTAACTGTCTCCTGGACACTGGTGTGGCCTTCTCAGTCTTACTCTCCTGTCCCGGACAACTGTCCTCCAGATCTGTCACTATCCGAGGGGTCCTAGGACAGCCAGTCACTAGATACTTCTCCCAGCCACTAAGTTGTAACTAGGGAATTTTACTCTTTTCACATGCTTTTCTAATTATGCCTGAAAGCCCCACTCCCTTGTTAGGGAGAGACATTCTAGCAAAAGCAGGGGCCATTACACACCTGAACATAGGAGAAGGAACACCCGTTTGTTGTCCCGTGCTTGAGGAAGGAATTAATCCTGAAGTCTGGGCAACAGGAGGACAATATGGACAAGGAAAGAATGCCCATCCTGTTCAAATTAAACTAAAGGATTCTGCCTCCCTCCCCCTAAAGGCAGTACCCACTTAGAACCAAGGCCCAACAAGGACTCAAAAAAATTGTTAAGGACCTAAAAGCCCAAGGTCTAGTAAAACCATGCAACAGCCCTGCAATACTCCAATTTTAGGAGCACAGAAACCCAGTGGACAGTGGAGGTTAGTGCAAGATCTCAGGATTATCAATGAGGCCGTTGTCCCTCTATACCCAGCTGTACCTAACCCTTATACTCTGCTTTCCCAAATACCAGAGGAAGCAGAGTGGTTTACAGTCCTGGACCTTAAGGATGTCTTTTTCTGCATCCCTGTACATCCTGACTCTCAATTCTTGTTTGCCTTTGAAGATCCTTTGAACCCAATGTCTCAACTCACCTGCACTGTTTTACCCCAAGGGTTCAGGGATAGCCCCCATCTATTTGGCCAGGCATTAGCCCAAGACTTGAGTCAGTTATCATACCTGGACACTCTTGTCCTTCAGTATGTGGATGATTTACTTTTAGCTGCCTGTTCAGAAACCTTGTGCCATCAAGCCACCCAAGCACTCTTAAATTTCCTCGCCACCTGTGGCTACAAGGTTTCCAAAGAGAAGGCTCAGCTCTGCTCACAGCAGGTTAAATACTTAGGACTAAAATTATCCAAAGGCACCAAGGCCCTCAGTGAGGAATGTATCCAGCCTATACTGGCTTATCCTCATCTCAAAACCCTAAAGCAACTAAGAGAGTTCCTTGGCATAACAGGCTTCTGCCGAATATGGATTCCCAGGTATGGCAAAATAGCCAGGCCATTATATACAGTAATTAAGGAAACTCAGAAAGCCAATACCCATTTAGTAAGATGGATACCTGAAGCAAAAGTGGCTTTCCAGGCCCTAAAGAAGGCCTTAACCCAAGTCCCAGTGTTAAGCTTGCCAACGGGGCAAGACTTTTCTTTATACATCACAGAAAAAAACAGAAACAGCTCTGGGAGTCCTTACACAGGTCCAAGGGACAAGCTTGCAACCCATGGCATACCTGAGTAAGGAAACTGATGTAGTGGCAAAGGGTTGGCCTCATTGTTTATGGGTAGTGGTGGCAGTAGCAGTTTTAGTATCTGAAGCAGTTAAAATAATACAGGGAGAGATCTTACTGTGTGGACATCTCATGAGGTGAACAGCATACTCACTGCTAAAGGAGACTTGTGGCTGTCAGACAACCGTTTACTTAAATATCAGGCTCTATTACTTGAAAGGCCAGTGCTGCAACTGTGCACTTGTGCAACTCTTAACCCAGTCACATTTCTTCCAGACAATGAAGATAGAATATAACTGTCAACAAATAATTTCTCAAACCTATGCCACTCGAGGGGACCTTCTAGAGGTTCCCTTGACTGATCCTGACCTCAACTTGTATACTGATGGAAGTTCCTTTGTAGAAAAAGGACCTCAAAAAGCGGGGTATGCAGTGGTCAGTGATAATGGAATATTTGAAAGTAATCCCCTCACTCCAGGAACTAGTGCTTAGCTGGCAGAACTAATAGCCCTCATTGGGGCACTAGAATTAGGAGAAGGAAAAGGGTAAATATATATACAGACTCTGAGTATGCTCACCTAGTCCTCCATGCCCATGAGGCAATATGCAGAGAAAGGGAATTCCTAACTTCCGAGGGAACACCTATCACACATCAGGAAGCCATTAGGAGATTATTACTGGCAGTACAGAAACCTAAAGAGGTGGAAGTCTTACACTGCTGGGGTCATCAGAAAGGAAAGAAAAGGGAAATAGAAGGGAACTGCCAAGCAGATATTGAAGCAAAAAGAGCTGCAAGGCAGGACCCTCCATTAGAAATGCTTATAGAAGGAACCCTACTATGGGGTAATGCCCTCCGGGAAACAAAGCCCCAGTACTCAGAAGAAGAAATAGAATGGGGAACCTCATGAGGACACAGTTTCCTCCCCTCAGGATGGCTAGCCACCGAAGAAGGAAAAATACTTTTGCCTGCAGCTAACCAATGGAAAGGTAACCAATGGTGCACTGTGAAGTGTGCCAAAGAAATAATCCCCTGCACTGCAGGCTATACATTTCAATCCCTGTATCTTTAACCTCCTTGTTAAGCTTGTCTCTTCCAGAATCGAAGCTGTAAAACCATAAATAGTTCTTCAAATGGAGCACCTGATGCAGTCCATGACTAAGATCTACCGCGGACCCCTGGACCGGCCTGCTAGCCCATGCTCTGATGTTAATGACATCGAAGGCACCCCTCCTGAGGAAATCTCAACTGCACAAACCCTACTACACCCCAGTTCAGCAGGAAGCAGTTAGAGCGGTCGTCGGCCAACCTCCTCAATGGCACTTGGGTTTTCCTGTTGAGAGGGGGGACTGAGAGACAGGACTAGCTGGATTTCCTAGGCCGACTAAGAATCCCTAAGCCTAGCTGGGAAGCTGACCACATTCACTTTTAAACACAGGGCTTGCAACTTATCTCACACCCGACGAATCAGGTAGTAAAGAGGGCTCACTAAAATGCTAATTAGGCAAAAACAGGAGGTAAAGAAATAGCCAATAATTTATTGCCTGAGAGTACAGCGGGAAGGACAATGATCGGGATATAAACTCATGCATTCGAGCCACCAATGGCTACCCTCTTTGGGTCCCCTCCCTTTGTTATGGGAGCTCTATTAAATCTTGCAACTGCAAAAAAAAAAAAAAAAAGAAAAAGAAAATAAACTCTTTGATCCCACAATACTTAAATTAACTGAAAATTTTTGAAAAATACAGAAATGACGAACTCAAAATTTCCCCTCTTTTGGGGAGAGGTACATATGATCAAGAAGAAATACATTAGCAATGTCAAAGGTTCTGATTCTTAAGTTGGGTGATGGGTAAATGTGTGTTTTATTATTCTTTAAACTGTATGTGTATAATACATACATTCTTGTACATGATTAATATTTTAATATAAAGAAATTTAAAAAAAATTAAAAAAAATAATGCAAATAAAGTGTCTATCACAGAAGGTGCTCAATATATGGTAATTCTTACATTAAGTAATAAAATTACACAATGCAATTAACTCAGTGTACTTTGATATAGAGCTAAGCTTAGTAATAAATGACAGTTTTGTTGAAAGTAAAATTCACACTAGAAGAATACCACATGTCATGTTAGGTAAGCTCTTAAATTTAAGTTGGAAGTAACATGTTTTATCAAAAAGTAGGTCTCATATGTAAGCAGAATATGTATGGGGAAAAAAGTAAAACAAAAAGTTGGTTCCAATAATTTATTAAATGACTAAGGTCATCTTTTAATCTGAAGCAAAAATAAAAGTTTGTTAATTAGACAAATAAATGTGCTGAAGTTTTTCTGATGTCTGAATGATGAATTTTAAAAATTACTTTGTTACAATATTAGTCACACACCTTTCAGCCTAATACAAAGAATATTTCATTAACTATAATGAGACATTGGGTATGCCATTGCTCTCTACAGTTTTCTTGAAACGTTACAGAAATGGCAAGAGGTAAAAGTAAATATCAGCGAAATGGCATCCATATCCCAAAGCATCTTCCATAGGTATAAATATACAGATAATGCAGAGGTACGATATTTTGATTTCAAGCCAAGCAATAAATTGTATCCCTATTTGCTAAGTTTATAATGCATATTTATAAGTTTAATATTAGGATCAAATGAGACATATACTATTCATACTTTGAAGAAATATATCACTACAAATAACTATGCTGAAATAACATTAAAATATCTGTATATTAAATCATTCTCAGAGTATTCACAGAAAGAGGCAAATGTAAATCCATTTTACAGACAAGGAATTAAGAAATAACTAGTTCAGTGTTATAAATTTCTCTACTTAAACCAATAAAATATAAAAGAATTCATGACAATGCCACATGTATATATACATATGTCTGAACATATATATGTTTGTATGTGTGTATATATATATATATGACATTGTCTTGACAGGTAATTTCCTTAATCAAATTCTAACCTCTCTGCTTTCCTTAAAAATTGTACTGGGTAGGCTAATTACTTAATAAATTCATAATTAGTAAACATCCTTTCCTTGTGAAATTTTATTAAAACACCAATTTTCGAGCTGCCACGTGTAATGTTTATAGAAGATTAAAAAATATACTATTTTATTTTATTTTATTTTAAATACCTGATCACATTGGCCTTATTTATTACTGAATAGGAATGTGTTAAAACGTAATGGACAACAAAGTTGAATCTGTCTACAAAGTAGCAACCAAAAGAGAAGGACCTATTTCAAGCTGAGATGATACTGATATTATGACATTAATATCAGTATGTGCAAAACAAGTAATAGCTTTTACTTGTGTTGTATTGCATCAGTAATGCAAAACAAGAAGAGTAGCTCAAGAAATAATTTGGGTGGATAGATGCTAATGTAGATTTCACGAAAAAAGTTATTAAGAGAAATATAGTTTCAAACTGAAAAAAAAGAATGCTCTACTAAATAAAATTAACAAGTCTATCTTGATTAAGAGCAGAGGCTGAATTTATATCAAATGTGGGTTTCTTTGATGTAAAACTGGCATTTTACTTTTCCACAAAAATAATTTGTTAAGGCTTAAAGGGGAACCAAAACTGGAATTCAGATTTAATGGCCAAGCAACTCATATTTCTCAGAATCAATACAAATTTCGATTTTCATACCTCAAAGAATATTAATCAGATTAAAAATAATATCATGTGCTAGAAAAATTTAAACTAAGTAAAATAACAAAGTCTGTCAGGTAAAGCAGTTAGCTGGATAAATTTCTCCTTATCCAGAAGAATGGTATTAAATCTTGGATGTTCAGAAATGTATACTAAATCAATATCATTGAATAATTATTCATTTTTAGATATGTAATTGTCATGCTTTTAAACTTCAAACACTCTATTTTTGAAAATATTACTATTAACTGATTGCAGACCAAGCGTTAGCCAGAACTTACATTTTAGCCACAAACATAAACACACGTTACAAAAGATACTCAGGATTTTGAAAGTATAAAGGAGACATCTCAAGTATCTAATTAATTGGAAAATTTTATGGAGCACGAAGCAGCTATTTAAACACTAATAGGTGCTACAGGGTCTGCGGTGAAGACACTTATAATTTCATTGATAAAACAAGATATAGAAAAGATTATAGGGCACCAAAAAGTGAAGGTAAGTGCTACTAACGTGCAAAAGAAGGCAATGTTGGTCCGAACTATAATAGTTAGCAAAGTCTGAATGAAGGAGATGGAACTGAATGACAAAATCCAGGACATGCTGCCTCAAAGTATGGCACTTTGGTGTGCAAGAAAACAGCAGAAGCCGGAAGGTCTTTCTTACCTTCTCTCACCTTTTCTCCCCTGAGGTGGGCCATAAAACCCAGCTGATCCTCCCCTAAAAGTAGATTAAAAGACCCTCATTCCAGAGAGGACCTCCCTATACCTAGAGGAAAGGAAATATCTTCAACTCTGAAGACACAGAGATGTTAAGAATCTGAACAAACAGGCCTTGCTATGCTCCCCCCAGTTTATTACCATCAGATTACACCCTTTTGTGCTCCAATTACACTTCTGTATGACTGTTCATAAAAATACAGTTTTCCCTGTTTCTTTGGGTTTTCATTTCTGAAGGTTCTCATGTCAGGTAAAACATACATTAAATAAATCTGCATGCTATTTTCTCGTTAATCTGTCTTTTGTTATAGGTGTCTTAGCCATGAATCTACCGATGGGTGAGAAAACTTTTCTCCCCTATGTGAGTTAGAATTTAGATAAGATTCAAATTGGCAATGAGAAAGGACTATCATAGGACCAAGCAAAGGTGTGGATATGGGAATAAACAGATTGTGTGCTTTATTTTAGCTATGCATTTTTATACTCTTCCTAAAATGTAAGAATGCTTTATCCTCAAAAACTGACTGGAAGGTAGAGTTTGTGGTCTTTCAGCAGTATATCCATTTTACATCAAAAAAAAAAAAGGGGCTTATTTTTCCCTTCAGATCCCTGGTAACCTGATAAATGCTTTCGAGTGCTTTTCTGCCTTTAATTTTTCTTTTTTAATCATCTTAAGTTTCTTTTACATGAGAGTCTCAATGTTCCACTTTCCCCAGGACTACTTTTCAGTGCTTTAGTATACTGCCACCATCTTTCTATATTTAGTGGACATCTGACTATTTTGTTCTTTAAAATTTTGTTTCCCTTTACTTAAAAAAAATTGAATAATGGACTATTACTTGATTGTGTTTATTGCCATTATGAAGCCTCGTCTACTTTGCCATAATTTGTTACATCTTTCCATTTATTCTAGACTGTAAAAATCACATTTGTCTTATTCTCCGAGGAGAAAACTATTTGATCCAAATGCCAATTTAGTTATGAAAGATTTTATTTCTATTTTGTACTAGTGAACCACCATGAACTACCAAATTCAAATGTGAATTAAATAATTTAAATCCAAACTGCCATTCATTTAATTGTA
Source organism: Homo sapiens (assembly GCF_000001405.40). Classification (NCBI taxonomy): domain Eukaryota; kingdom Metazoa; phylum Chordata; class Mammalia; order Primates; family Hominidae; genus Homo; species Homo sapiens. The sequence continues at coordinate 55,007,710 of NC_000017.11, read as the reverse complement.
AATAAGTAACTTCAAGAAACTAATGACTCCAGTACTTTATCCTCTCAAAGAAGGAGAATACTTCTTTCCTGTTTTTGTCTTATGGAAGAAAAATGAAAATTTAAAGGTTTTACCATTTCCAGTTTCTCTGCCTTAAAGCGAACAGAGGGATTTAGGGAGATCTTTTCTTGTAGCCCATAATTTTCAGTCCAGGCAGAAGCAACATCTAAGAGACAACAGGGTGCACATTAATTGGGAACTTAATTGGAATCGAAATTTTTATTTGACAGGATATGTTCTGAGTTCCTGCTGTTCAAAAATAATTCTAGCTAATCAGTTAGCAGCTTTTAGTTTTGTTTGCATAATTTTTTTTTCTTTTCTTTTTTTTTTTTGGAGGGGGGACAGAGTCTCACTCTGTTGCCCAGGCTGGAGTGCAGTAGCACGATCTTGGCTCAATGTCTGCCTCCCGGGTTCAAGTGATTCTCCTGCCTCAGCCTCCCAAGTAGCTGGGACTACAGGTGCATGCCACCATGCCTGGCTAATTTTTGTATATTTAGTTAGAGACAGGGTTTCACTATGTTGGCCAGGCTGGTCTTGAACTCCTGACCTCAGGTGATCTGCCTGCCTCAGCCTCCCAAACTGCCAGGATTACAGGAGTGAGCCACCACACCCGGCAAGTTTTCATAATTTTTTTAAGTCTAAATTTTTTATATAAGTTGGCTTTACTTAAGTCCTAAGATATAAGAGTAGGCAATTATGCATTGTGAAGTCCCACAGATATATTAACTTAAAAGACAAACATACATCCCACCACTACTACATCACCACAATGCCTTAAAAAGATAAAAAGTCTTTTTGTTCAAAGATGTTGGTATTTTTTCGACTGGCAAAAGTGTTTTGTGATGTGTATTCTGGAAGTACTCTGGAAAAAACCATAAATGCAAGTCATTTCAAGTTTGCACATAAAGTATAATACAGATTCTGTACTTTGAGCTAAAAATCTTATCTCTTATTTTAAAGACAGGTTACATTTCAAGTAGCATAAATGAATTTGCAAGAGCTAAAAGTCATACACTTCTTACCCATTTTTCTACATCTTCTCAATATACCCTGATTATTTAAATGAGCCTTTGTCCTTAGTGCATGAATAAAAAAGATGCTACAAAAGACCAGAACTTGAAATACTGTACGTTTTAATATGCCAAAGTTTGTAAAACAAATTCCTGTAATTCATATTGATCTTACTATCTAAATTGCCACTATTCTAAATACACTTTTAAATGATATTTTACTAGTTCTACATAGAAACAAGAGGAAGAAGAAAAATCTTTGGAAAATGTCACATCTTTATGCAGTGTTTTAATTTTTTAAAATTTCTCAGAGCATCTGTCTCTAAGTACAAAATGATTTGCATTCTCTTAAGAACATAAGAAGTGCATATGAAAATAAATAGTCTTCCTCTAAACCTTTAACACATCCTTAACATTCTATGTAAAATCTTTAATATAGCTTATAGGTGTCAAGATCATAAAAAAATGGATGCTGACTTTTAGCTTCAAATGGAATTAAACTTTGAAAAAGACTGATTTTAGTATTAAATAGAATTTTTACAATTCTGATAAAAGTAAGTGAATCTCCTTTGTAATCATGATACCTAATTGTTGGCTATGAAATTAAAAATAATATATACATAGTGTATATATATACACACACATATACATATATACATATATACACATATACATATATGGGTATGCATATATATACACACATACACATATAATTTTTTTATATACATACATATAATTTTTTTCCTCTCTTAAGAGAAATCCTGTGCCAAACCTAAAGTGTAGTATAAAGATAGCATGGAGTGGAATGATATGGAAGACCAACCAGCAGATAACTTTATTTTTCATCCTTTAAGGTTTGGATATGTGAAGCTTGTCAATGACTTCCAGCTTGGTGTTTGGTCTGCAATTAAGGCACATTAACACTAGGTGGACCCAAGTGAACCTGATTATGGTCTCAAAGACTAAACCTGGGCTTGAATTATTCATTTCAAGTGTTAAGTGATTGGAAGAGTTGCAGAGGGGAGAGCAAGGGGGAGAGAGGAGAATGAGAGAAGGTGAGACAGGAACACCTACAACACTGACACACTGAGGAATGTGTTCTCACTTACGTTTTCCTACATCTAAGCATAAAAATTTGCTATCTCTAACAGTGAAAAGAACAGAAGCTCCTATTTATGCTTACTTCTATCTAAACAGTAAACTATGTACCTATATAAGCTCATTAATCTTCAAAATGACCACAGTGACCATAGGTGTTATTATTCCCATCCCAAAGATGAAAGACCAAGGCAGGAAAAGGTAAAGAAATTAGCCTAGGTTACACAGCTAGTACATTATAATGTCACGAGTCTAATCTCTTGTGACTCCAGACCAATGTTCTTAAGTGTGTTCAACATCTTTCATAATCAGTTTGCTCATCTATAAAGTAGAGGGAATAAACCAGACTGCCTCATAGGAGTTAGAAGATCAACAATATCATAGAAAACTACTGTGAAAACTTATGCAGTATTGTTAATATCAACACAGAGACACTGTATTATAAGGAGATTTAATGTAAAATTACACTAACCTTCATTTAACAATATGCAATCAGGGCTTAACAAAATCTTGTTTTTTCCAGACAACTTAGACCTTTACTTTTGAGTTAAAACCTTAAGAGGGTCTGTGTATAACTCCAGCACACTTTGTCAATTCAGAGTAACTTTACCTGAAAGCCCCTCATAGAAGTTTTCCTCATCTGCCAATGACATCTCTCTATCCCAGCTCCAAGCTCTTTATTTGCTCCTTTCTGGGGGAGTGAGTTTTTCTAAGTATGGCTTATTATTCTCTTGGCTCTCTCTCCTTCTTGTCCTTCTCCTTCTCCCCACTTCTTTTCCTTCTCCTTCTCCCTCCGTCTCCTTCTCCTCCTCCTCCCCGCCTCCTCCTCCTTCCCCCTCCTCCTCCTTCTCCTTTCTTTAGAGGCGTCTTGGTCTTGCTCTGTCTCCCAGGCTGGAGTGCAGTGGCCTAAACACAGCTCACTGCAACCTCGACCTCCTGGGCTCAAGCGATCCTCCCACCTCAGATTCCCAAGTAGCTGGAACCACAGGTGTATGCCACCATGCCCAGCTAATTTTTTAATTTTTGTAGAGACAGGGTCTCACAATGTTGCCCAAGCTGGTCTTGAATCCCTGGGCTCAAATGATCCTCCCATCTCGACCTTCCAAAGTGCTGAGATTATAGGTGTGAGCCACCATGCCTGGCCTCTCTCGGATTTTCTGTTCCTATCCTCTTTGTAGCAGCAGAAGAAAAGGAATGTTTTGTAAGGAAAGGATCAATACAATTTGCTTAATACCATGAACTCTGAATGGATATTTTTCCCCATAACTATTTTGCTTCAGTTTCAAAAGACTTGGTCTAAAGGAATTAAGGCTTTACGCGCTATTAGTAAAGTTAAAATAATGACTGTATTTCTTCATGCAACAATTCTTTTTTTTTTTTTGAGATGGCATCTTGCTATGTCACCCAGGCTGGAGTGCAGTGGCATAATCTCAGCTCACTGCAACCTCTGCCTCCTGGGTTCAAGGAAGCAATTCTCCTGCCTTAGCCTCCCGAGTAGCTGGGACTTCAGGCGTGCACCACTGTGCCTGGCTAATTTTTTTTTTTTCTATTTTTAGTAGAGACAGGGTTTCACTATGTTGGCCAGGCTGGTCTCGAACTCCTGACCTCAAGTGATCTGCCCGTCTCAGCCTCCCAAAGTTCTGGGATTACAGATGTGAGCCACCGCACCTGGCTGCAACAATTGTTTATTGCTATCCTTAGAAATGTCTTTAGTATATTGTTAGCTCACTTACAAACTCATGTGTTATTCAACTTATATATAGCACTAGTAAACAACTCTGGATTTTGAAATAAATTTCTGTATAATAGCATCATTTTTAAAACATTTAAATATTATGTGGATTTTAAAAATTCTAACCTATTTTACACTTTGGGATGATTTTTAGATAAGAACAGAAATAGAACTATCTAATTACATTTACTTTTGTTGAGGTTAACATTAAAATTTGTTTATATTTTTTGTATTAGCATCAGGTAACTGAAGAAATCTAGAAGTGATGGTTAATTTCTGATTTGTAACAATCTATAATTAGGTACTTATAATATGCAAATCACAATGTATATAAGTTATCTAGAGATAATTTAGAGGTGATTTTGCCTTTTTTCCACTCCCCAGAAATATCTTGCCTACTACATTTATGTAGAAGAAAATGAGACTGAGTTGATGCACTTTCTACTCTAGAAAAATGTTCCGTCTTAATTGTATTTTAATATTTACCTATAACTTACTTAAATATATTTTTCACTAACCTATTTTTCTATTACAAAATCTACCACTATTCTTATAGCGACTGGTATAAATTTACCTGAGTTTATTCATTGTTAACAAGATCTCTGCTCTAATCACACCTGACTCTTAGAATCATCTGACATCTAGCTCATCCTTAGTTCTATGCTTTTATTTGTGGTGCTTCCTTAACTTGAAACGATCTCCTGTGTTCAGTTATCAATTGATGTTTACCACTTTTTTCAAGATTTGGATAATGTCTGACTTTTGCCAAGAAATTTTTCTTAATTTCTGCATATTGTGACAGATTCCTTATTATATACTAGTTTTTGGGGTCAAGGGGAGGACATAAAATTGAATCAAGAATTGGAAGCTTTCCTTCTGCTCTATAAACATGACCTAGAATATTATCTGAGCTACACTCTAAGCTATAGGTTCCATATTATTAGTAACAGGAAAATTTAGTAAGCATATACTATGCACTAATTACAATATAAGTGCTTGACATGCAAGATCTTGTTTAATCCTCATAACAACTCCTTGTAACTTGTAACTATTTCAAGGTTACAGAGCTAATAAGATGAAAGCAAGAACCTGAACACTGAGTCTGTATTCAGAGCCTGGTGGTAACCACTGTGCCTTCCTTATACCATACTCATAGCACTCACTACTTCCTTCCTTAGGCCTCTTTGTTCATGTCTTTACATAATTTGTGTAAATGTGTTATTCATCCACAAGACAGAATGCTTTTTAGAGTAACAAAACCACCCATATCCTGCTCTGATTAACACAAAAAACTGCAAATAGTAGCTGCTTGATAAAATAAACATACACACACATCTATAAACAAATACATGCATATAAATTAGAATGTTTCCTAATTTCAATAATTATAATTTTTAGCCCCATGTTTTATTTCACAATATACTATTAAGTATCTCACAGAAAATATCCTAATTTCTTCATAATTCCCGTTGTACTGTATTCTACACATATAACATAGTAAAACCTTACTGAATAAAAGGTTAAAATAGGCATTGAATAGTTCAATTACTTTAAAAGTTAAAAACATGTTATATAATTATTAATATTTTATAATATCAAGGAATAAAGGGTTCTGACTTCCATCATCTAGCAATTTTGATGCTCATCTCATGACTGTTTCATTTGTCTTTTTCTTCTCATAAGGGTTCCCAGTTTAAAATAAATACAGTACATGCAGAGACTGGAAATTAATTATGTAAGAGGAATAATGCTATAAAGTTGGTCAATAAATCTAAGTAAAAGGTAATATAACTCATGGCTTAAGATTGCTATTAACCCACTGGTAAATACCACCCCAAATCGGAGGAAACTACTGTGGAATATAGTATAAACTCCTGTAAAGATTGGTAGCTATTGAGCCAGGCACGAGCGGTGGCTCACGCCTGTCATCCCAGCACTTTGGGAGGCCAAGGCAGGCAGATCACGAGGTCAGGAGATCGAGACCATCCTGGCTAACATGGTGAAACGCCATCTCTACTAAAAGTACAAAAAATTAGCCGGGCATGGTGGCAGGCGCCTGTAATCCCAGCTACTTGGGAGGCTGAGGCAGGAGAATGGCGTGAACCCAGGAGGCGGAACTTCGACAGAGCAAGAATCCATCTCAAAAAAAAGATTGGTAGCTATTTAATTTAAATTAATGCTTCCTTATTTTTCAGTTCTTATATAAATAATGCTATTAAAACAAAATTAAAATATACAGGTAAAAATTTACCTTATAATTAGGCATATATAATTAGTTTTTCAGTTATGTTTAGTCTTTTTATCATTGTTGTGTTTAACTTTTGGAGATAATTTCAGGGGGCTTTTTTTCTTCGTATTGATCCTGTAAGCACCTTATAGCCACATAAAAATCTTTATTTTACATTTGGCTTAGATAATTAACGCTTTATTGTTTTAAAAAGTCAGTAAATCATTTTATGGTAATTAAGAATCAATAATAATGAATTAACAATACTGACACCCTTTATAATTGATATCCATATGATTTCTTCCAAAAAAACAAGATACATTTCTTTTCTTAAGGTATGCTCCCTTCTATAATGTGTTTTCCGAAAGGTGTATTTAATATGCCTCATCAGTATTGCACTAAAAGGACATGGCAACCTAATCTTGATCTTTATAGAAGACTTTCCATTATTTGATTTAAACAATTCATTAATTATTACAGCTTCATAAACACTGTTATGACAATGCATCTTTTGAAACTTCAACTCTTTGTTCAGGGAAATATCTAATAAAAGTCATACTTTAACAGGGCCCAACGGAAAGACATTATTTTTACTTTTTCGTTCACTGAAGGAACAAAGACATAATTCACCCTTCTTCAAAGTCTTAAGTCACATTACACACTCCTCATTGAGAGAGAATTGAAATAAAAAACAGGAAATAGAAATTAAATGTGTATTTACCTGTATTAGACAAACCCACAGTACTGTTTTCTGAAGTAATTGGAATCTGTACTGTTTTGTTGTATCCAGTTTTTATCTGTGAAAGAAAATGAGGAACATGCAATGTCATTTACTAAAGTAGGTCACTTGAAGCCCATGTTAACATAAAAAGAATGGTTAAAGAGATTAAAGTAATTATCCCTCAAATATGAAACCTCTAAAATTTTGGTATATGCATCTTCAAACAAAGCAATTCAGAATTAAAGGTAACAATTGCTTTCAGCTCTACCACATCCAAGGATAACAAAATATAAGGCCACTCATCTTGTCTTTTAAAAGTATTATAGCTCCAAGTGACAAAGTATAAGGGGCTGACAGAAAATCTTATACTCTGTCTCTGTTCAGCATGTACCAGAGACTGAAGTTACCTTTGATGAATTTTATTCTACTGACTAAAAGCTTAAGTTTCCTATTTTACAGCTAACACAGATATAAATAATACACACTTTATTCTGTAACTGTAATTTGTTCAGATAATATAGCAGTTAGTAATTGAGTATGTTAATTCTGATATAGAAATTCCCCATTTTGTGTGATTCTACTTGGGTGAACTATAGCATGCACACATGAAGGAGCAATACCTTCTTAGATTGGATGCCTGGGATTAGCCTCACTGTGTGGGAAAGAAGCTAAGGAACAAAAAGGAAGATGGCCTCACTTCAGTCAAGCAGAGAACAGAAATGGCAAATAACTAAACCAACTGAAACCAAATATGACATTCTTAACATAGTTTTGAGTGATATCTAGGCATATCTTTGTGGAACCATTTTGTCATGCTGGTATTTTCTAACCAATCATGCTCCTGGACACAGGACATGCTGACTTAAAATATGTTTATTGAAAACACAGCATAAAAATTTTAAATAGAAAAAAATCTTTCAAAGAAATATTAATTTGTTAACAATTTTACTGAAATAATTCTATATGTACATAACCAATGTAAAAATGTATAGGGAATTTATGGAGTGCATATATAGAGAAATTTAAGATTACCTGACTTACCTCACAAGAAGATAAAATGTCATTATTTGTTTTGGGAGTGGATGAGGTCTTTGGGATTAGTATTTCAGGAGGAGAAGAAAAAAGACTTAATGTTGAGGCTTGAGGTCCATATTCTCCTGAAGCTTCTATAAGTGATGTACATGACAGATTTTCTGGCTGAATGTTGTCGGATTTTTGTCTTATGAATGCTATCTCCCAAGCAGATTCTAACCTAGTACTAAAAAGAAATCACTTTATGGATATGCTATGAATATAGTACAACTGAAATCCAAGATAATGTTTCAGATGTTATTAAAAAATACTTATTATAAAGTACTTAATACATCTTAAATTACTGCTTTCAAGGAGACATTCTAAATGACTCATTCTATCTCATGGATAGTATAGTTACCTCAACTTGGCTCCGGTAATTATGCTTTTTGCTTCTTCAAATGATACACCAATCATAGATTCCTTGTTGACTGAGACAAGTTGATCTCCTGGCTTCAAACGACCATCCTAACAAAAACAGTAACATTTATAAAGGAACTAATGAGGTATTTAAAAAAAAATTAATTGATGTAATTAAAGCAATGAAAAGTTTTCGTGAAGAATGCCTTCAAAAAGAGTAAAAAGTAAAATCTTAGACAACCTCAGTAGCAAAATCTCTTGATTAAAGTCTGGTTTGGTAACATATATTATGAGTAAAATGGAATGGTTCATGTATTGCATGAATAAATTTACGTGGTAAAGAATTCTTAATATGGTAGGTAGGACATAGGCCAGTATACCAGGAAAAGGGACCTGTTTTAAAAACTGAGCACTATGGGGCTGATAAAGCTCTGACTCTGTGATAAAGTGGGCCAAATAACTGTGGGATATTTCACAATACAAAACTCATTTATTTTATTTTCTCTGCATTCCTACATATGTCCTCCCACCAAACTGTTCAATGTGTGTGTGGATTTATCCCACATTGAGATTTTTAAAACTTTAGTCAAGGGTTTTTAAAAAAAAAAAATTAAATTTTCAAAATTTTTTGTAGAGATGAGGTCTCATTACATTGCCCAGGCTGGTCTCAAACTCCTGGGCTCAAGCAATCTTCCCACCTTGGCCTCCCAAAGTGCTCGGATTACAGGTGTGAGCCACTGCGCCTGGCCAAGGATTTTAATTATATTGATCCTACCCATATTTCAGCATAATCTTTTTTACTATACCTGCTATCCCCCTATGATTAAGGCCTAGTTGGCTGTGCATATATTGTTAGCCATATCCTGCTAATAATGACAATTCTAACTGGCTGCCTGGTGTTGCCTTTGCTAAGGCCTGGCTTGCTCACAGCTAGCCTAACTGAGTAAGACAGAGCATATCAGGAACAAGAGTTAATGTGGTTGTTAGATATGTTAGATAAGTTTCCCAGTTTTTGTCTTTTCTTTTCATTCAAACTAGAAAATAAAAATAAGCTTTCTTCTTTTACAGTTCCTAAGGTATTTCCCTATTTATCATTAATTAGTACAGTGGTAGAAACCATTATTTTTATAACTACAGAAAAAGCTTATATGGTTAAAAAGGGAGATTTTCACCTTGATGGTACTTAAGTAACTTCCACAAATTCAAGAAAACATCTTTCTTTAAAGTCTTATCTACTAAAATATATCCCTTGGATACTGATCTTTGATCTAAGCTGTATTATTTGTAATAATGGTGATTCACAGTTATTTTACTCCTAAATAACAACAGGTATTATTATTTTTTAAAAAGACATGAAGTACTATCTCTTTCACTGACTAAAGAATATATAGGAAAACAACAAAATTGACATAAAACATTCATGAAAGGATTTTATAGAAACATATCTCAAATAGTGTGTAAAAGATTATATAATCTAGATGCATAATGACCCTATCCTACTGAAATGTAAACATTATTTAAAATACTTAAGCCAAAAGAGTCAACTTAATTTTTAAAAATATATAAGCCAGGCACGGTGGCTCACATCTGTACACCCAACACTTTGAGAGGCTGAGGCAGAAAGATTGCTTGAGCCCAGGAGTTCAAGACCAGCCTGGGCAACATAGTTAGACCCCATCTTTCAAAAAAAAAAAAAAAAAATAGCTGGCACATGTCTGTAGTCTCAGTTACTCAGGAGGCTAAAGTGGGAGGATCACTTGAGCCCAGGAGGTCAAGGTCATGACTACGCCACTGCTCTCCAGCCTGGGCAATGAAGCAAAAATCTGTCTCAAAAAAAATATATATATATATAAAATATATAAAATATATATATATTTATATTATATAATATATATATTTATATTATATATATTTATGTTATATATATAATTTAAAAAAAATTTTTGATTTTATGTAAATATGTGATTAAACATAGTTAGCAAAGTCAGACAACATAACATGCAGTGTTAGTACAGAAAAAAAGTTCACATGAAGGCAATTTAGCCCATCTTGTATTAAAGTACACTGATGTATAGAAGCTGCATTTTCTGGCAGGAAGGGAGTCAGAAAAGAGAAGAAGAAGAATGCCTTCTGACTATGACTTCTGGTGTTTACATATTTTTTCTTTCTAAAAAGTATTCATAGCAGTTAGTTTTTTTCTTTGCCTCCTAGAATAAGATCTTAGCTGATCATGTGAATTTCTGAACCTGTTTAAAAGTCAGAACCTGCAAATGAAAACAAAGCTATTTTTGTAAGTCTGGCATTCGAGTGCATTCTGCCCCAGATGGATTAATGTATATGTGAAGATACTAACTTCAGAGATATGTTGAGACCTCTTCCACACAGTCTAGATTCCAATTCAGCAGTTACAGAGCAACTACCTGACATGGGAGGCAATGTGCCAAGCACTTTCATATGCTGAACTTCAGATCTGAATTCTTTCACATTGACATTCATGTAGATGTTGAAATAATAATATATTCCTGACCACATAAACACTTCTGTTAAAAACGACCAGTACTATTCATTTCTATATTGACTTTGGTATATAGTTTTCTAAATAATACATTTCAATATTATGAGAAACCATCTATACAGCCTAATTCTGACTTAACTAACTCATTATACCTAATACTAAGGAATAGTCCTTCTGTAAGCCTTAAGATTCCTTTCCTGTACTTTTACAAGATGTAGACTGATGGTGACCTTCTTTTAACTCCAGTTATTACTGTGAACTGAGGCAAGTTGTTCAGCTTTTATGAACCTCTATTTTCTTAGCTGTAGAATGGGGATAAATATATGTAACACAAGGTTGCTATAAGAATTAAGTAACATATGTAAATTATAGCACATTATACGTGTTAAATAAGATGAAGTGAATGAGACTTCCATATCTGTTGTGGACAATTTTCATACTGATAGCAAATTTAATTATATTACTCATTAGATTGAGAACCTTTGATGGCTGCCAACTGGTAGGAAAAGTTGAAACTCCTCAACATCCCAAACCCAGCACAACAAATTTACTGCAACTTACTTTTTCTAGCTTCATCATCCACCTTCCACACCAGCATATTCTTCATTCTACTCTCAGAGAATGTGCCTCAAACCAGCCATGGTCTTTTGAACCTCAATGTTTTCACACATATGAATTCCCATCTAGAATGCCACCATCCACCCTGCCACTTCTCTGCAATAAACTCTGACTTAAACTTCACAGCCCAATTCAAACACTATCTCTGCTGGAAGTTTTCTCTAGTTGCCCAGGATTTACTTAATCGTTGTGTCTTTTTGCTCAAAAAGCACTTTTACTTACCTAAAGGATTGCACTTACTCTGTATGGTCCTTATGTTTACATATCTGCTTTTCCCTGCCCTCACATTAGAATATACTAAATCAGCAACTCCCAGTCTAGGGGCAATGATTCTTTTAGTGGGCCAGAATCACCAATTCTTTCATTAGGCATAACTAGAACTCTGTCCTTTTCATGGTTATTTCCCTGGTACAGTGCTAGGTACACAGTAAGTCCACAATAGGTTAAAGGGGGCCAAGAAACAGTCTGAGGAAATTAAGGTAGCTATGACAAAAATAATAATGGCAAAGGAATAAAGAGAGTGACACTGCAAAGCGAACCATCTTGGCTGCTACTTCTTCAGCTCCCACCAGTGGGACTGGTTTCTTCATAGTTTGCCATCCAGAGGCCTGATCCTGATATTTATCTAAAAGCCTTAGCCCTGGTTCCAGTGCTATGCTCCGCATGAAAACAGATTTCCTCTGAAAGTTAAATATGTCCTACTTCAATGCCACAAATTACATGATGACACTGACTGTGAGACCTATAATTTCAGAGATAGAAGAGGAAAAAATACGTACATACACACACTCATAAGTATATTACATACCGATATATGCATGTTATATATATGTGTGTGTGCATGCATAGCTTATATGTATATGTTTTAATGTATATCTTAGAACCAACTGAAGAAAATATGAAATATACTATCAGATTTGAAGAGAGGATTTTGATTTCTGTCTGCTTTCCCTATGTTACCAGCAACAAAAGAAAGAAATAAAAATGAACATTTGAGAACTTTAAAGTGTTGTCGGAAATCTGACACAAAGGCCCAAGGAGGAAGTACCTTGGTGTGGAGCCCAAATGGTGCCAGTGGAAGGGTAAATAAGCAGATCAGTAATCCTCAGAAATGTGAGAAAATGACTACGGGACCGTTCATTCATAAATTTAAATTGAGCAAGTATGTATGTGTCAGGCACCACAGTGGGGACTAACAATATTACTGTGAATAAAATCAGATAGCATCCTTGCCCTTAAGAAACATACTGTCTTGTGGTTCAGGCAGAGATGATTAAACAATCATAAATATAAATATATCATTGCAAACTGAGGTAGGTGACACAAAGGAAAGGAATGGGATTTAGGAGCATATGTAGAAAAAAATAAAACCTAGCCTAGACTGGGGGAAAGCAGGCAACACAACCCTTAGGCAGCAGTCTTTGAATTGATAACTGGAAATAATGGGGGAAAGGAAATGGAGTGCTGTTTCCTAAGGGAACAGCATATGAGATGGAAAAGAAAAAAAAAAAAGAGAAATTCGCCCCTTCCAGGAACTGAGAAAATGCTACTCTGGAAGCATAGTGATGGAGAGGCAGAGAAGGACAGGGCAGAAGCCACACTATATGGAACCTTGCAGGCAACCAAATATTAGTAAGATATGTAGGTTGGGAGGGAAATAGGTATGGTGCATAAGAACAAACGATGCTACTGAAAGGGCTGATTCAAAACTGATGACAGTTTAAGCTCCAGTGATAAGAATAAAGATCAAGAAGACTGATGGGTTCAAGAGATATTTCGAGAGTAAAAAAGTCAATGGTATGTGTTAATGAATTGAACAGTGTTATGGGAGTTGAAATAGGAAGCTGTTAAATTTTCTGACTTTGTGTAGCTAGAAGCTGTCATTCACCAAGACTAGGTAAACTGGAAGAGACTCTGTTTGGGAAGAGTTGAGCAGAATATGGTGTGATGTAAATGTCATGAGTTCTGCTTCAGAAATGCTGAGTTTGAGATACCTTTAAGAGGTCCAAGTAAAAATGTTGATCAGGGAACTGAATATGGGTATGAAGCTTAAAGGAGTGTCTTGGCCAGAAAAAGGGTCTAGGATTGACCCCAGATAGATATGGGACTAGCTGACACAGTGAAAGGGCCTTGGAGCTCTCTTATTTCCTTAACTTTAGCAATTAATACAGTAGTTCTCAATTTATAGGGTGCCTCTAGCTCTTAGAGCTGAGGGAATCTTGGTTCTGCTTGAACTGAAAAGATGTATTCATAATATCCCATATTTGAACTCTGGATATGTTTTTCAAAGAAACATACTATTTTGCTTCTACTAAACCAGTATTTTATTCTCATATTTTCCAGGAGGAAAACTTTTGGGGTGGGTGGTGGCAAACCATGAATAATTAAAGAAAATTTCTTCTGCGTTCCAATAACTCCCTTACAGTTTGGAAGATTTGAAAATATAAATGAAATATAATCTAGCTATAAGCTTGAGATAGCCTATACTGTTAATTATGAAACATTATAATGTTAAAACAAAATTACAGAAAGTTAAAGCATTCATATGCATTTAAAAAATATTAACAGTTACTCAGTTCAGCAACTTCATTAAGATAACCTTATGAGTTTGTGTTTCCTATTCCACAGATTCTACTATGTAGAAATTTTGTGCAGACTAGAAATTTATTAACATGTTAAAACAGTATTTAGAATATAGTAAATGTATTAATACATTGTTGTAAAATAAAGTTATATCAATTTTGTATTTGAAGAATATGCATATGCATAGAGCTCTCCATCTTGAGAAAATATTTAAAAATAATGTAAGCACTAGAAAATTACTTCTATAAATTTTTTTATTTTTTAGAAATGCTCTGTTGCCCAGGCTGGAGTGTAGTGATGCAATCATAGCTCACTGCAACCTGGAACTCCTGGGCCCAAGGGATCCTCCTGCCTGGGCCTCCAAAAGTGCTGGAATTAGAGGCATGAGCCATCACCCCTGGTCCTCTTCTCCTACACCTTTTTCTATCTTGCCTGTTTTCCTTGGTCAGATATGACCAGGTAGGAAGAACATTAATAGCTCTGTGCTGCCCTCTAGTGCTAAGTAGAGAATATAGTCAATGAGAAAATTTTGCCTTTTAATACTTCAGTAAAATTCTAACAAGAAAAAGTAGATATCATAAGAATAATTTCTTAATCTGCTATCACTGACAGAAGATAAAGAGTCATTCAGCACCACCGCTATCAACTTATTACTCTAACTCCAAATAGTTTTCATCGTAACAAACAAGCACAAATTGATGCTTGTCTTAAAAGCAAATTCTTAGGTCAGGCGTGGTGGCTCATGCCTGTACCCCCAGCACTTTGGGAGGCTGAGGCGGATGGATCGCCTGAGGTTGGGAGTTCGAGACTAGCCTGGCCAACATGGTGAAACTCTGTCTCTACTAAAAATACAAAAATTAGTTAGGTGTGTTGGCACGCACCTGTAATCCCAGCTACTAGGGAAGCTGAGAGGTGGGAGAATCGCTTGAACCTGGGAGGTGGAGGTTGCAGTGAGCCGAGATTGTGCCACTGCACTCCAGCCTGGGCAACAGAGTGAGACTCTGTCTCAAAAAAAAAAAAAAAAAAAAAAAGGAAGCAAATTCTTATCACTTGTTGGGTACCCTGATCTACTATTGCATTATATCAAGTGTAGTTTAAGAAATGCCTTACTATATTGAACACACACACACAGACACACACTCACACACACCTCTCAGCTTTAACACTAAAGTAACACCTCAATTCTTGGAAGAAAAAATTCATTTTTTTGTTTTTTTGAATTTGTTTAAATTTAGCTTTTAAATATTTATTTAATAATTTAAATTTAATAGCCAAAAATTTATGCCATTAAACTTATTAAATAATACTTTTTTTTTTTTTTTGAGACAGGGTCTTGTTCTGTCATCCAGGCTGGAGTGCAGTGGCACGATCATGCCTCACTGCTCTTGATCTTCGGGGCTCAAGCAATACTCCCACCTCAGCCTCCAAGTACCTGGGACTACTGGCATGCAACACCATGCCGGGCTGATTTTTTTTTTAATTTTTAATAGAATTCAAGTCTCTCTACGTTGCCCAGGCTGGTCTCAAACTCCTGAGCTCAAGCAATCTTCCTGCTTCTGCCTCCCCAAAGCTAGGATTACAGGCATTAGCCACCATGCCTGGCCTCTATAACACTTAGAACTCGGAAAGTATATTTAAAAGATGCCTTATTATCTGAACAAGCATAAAACAATTGAAAGTACTACAACTATTTTGGAAGTTATTGGTAAAACGGAATTTTTCCCTAACAAGACAAAAAAATCCAGCTGAAAAGATAAACTGCTTAGTAAACAAGTGTTTGCAGTGGTGGGGGAGGGATATGGGCGGTGGGTAAAAGTAGTAGGACTGTTTATTTAACCAAACAACAAGAACAAAATAAGAAGATCCTTTCTCATGCTATATAGCTTGATATTAATAGAATATTTTATTAATTCTTAATTATTAATATAATTTTATTAAATTATTTACATTTGATATCTCTCCAAAATCAAATGGAGTCAATCAAATGGAGAATATTTTATTAATTTTATTAATTCTTAATTATTAATATAATTTTATTAAATTCTTTATATCTGATATCTCTCCAAAATCAAATGGAGGCAATTTTCAAAAAATGACACATAATCACTTTAGTAAAACAGAAACAGCAAATGAAATCCAAGAAGAATGAGAATTTAAATATAGTAACTAGTTTGTTAAACTGCTGGGGTTGTCCTTCAAATTTGGGTCTGAGCTTCCTACCAACCAAAGTGAAAGGGAGCTCATTATATATTTCTTACACTGAAGAGGAGAGTAAGACTTTCTAATTCCTAAAAAAAGACATTTTCTGGTTTTAATGAGTGATAAAACTCATTAGCTCAAGCTACAAGAACTGCGAATTCAGAAATTAGATTTTGTTTGCTGTTTCTGTTTTGTTTTGCATTTAGTAGAGGCTAAATGAATGTAATTAAAGTTCTACTGATCCAACTTAATAAAAACTCAAAGTAGTAGAAAGATAACAAGTCATCAAATATAATTTCTCTCAATCAGATACAGGATAAAAGTTGAACAGCATGTAATTTAAAAATAATAACCTTATCTTACAGTCAGAAATATCTATTATTTTCATAGAAGAAGAACCTATTTATTTCTTAGTTTAAAGCTCCTTGAGGGCAATAGTCTTATCTTCTAATTCCTTTGTATTTTTCACTGAGGTATGGTCACAGTGGATATAAATTCACTAATAAAGAAGAAAAAATAAACTTTACCACTGGTGGGTCTTTTTGTTTGTATTTTTGGTGGGCATGGGACATATTTTTACCTTATAACAGTCTCCTCCAGGAATAATTTCCTGAATATATACCAATGGGCCTTCATTCCGGTTAATTCCTCCTAGTACCTTCAGGCCAAGGCCTGTTTCCTTGGCAATTGTAATCATCTGAAAGGCAGGATCCCTAAGATAAAGTAAATTAGCACACACAGGTTAGTCTAGAGATCTGCACCTATTTTTTTCTTTAAACTACTTATTAAATCAAAATCTGAGATCTAGAGCAGCAACCCCTCACCTTTTTTGGTACCAGGGACTTGTTTCATGGAAGACAATTTTTCCAAGGTGGGGGGAGAGGGAATGGGGTTGCAGAGGGGTGATGGTTTCGGGATGATTCAAATGCACTACATTTCTTGTGCACTTTATTATTACATTGTAATATATAATAAAATAATTATACAATTCACAATAATGTAGAATCAGGGGGAGCCCTGAGCTTGTTTTCCTGCAACTAGACAGTCCCATCTGGGGGTGAGGGGAGACAGTGACAGATCACCAGCCACTAGATTCTCAAAAGGAGCACGCAAGCTAGATCCCTCACATGCACAGTTCACAATAGGGTTCATGCTCCTATGAGCATTGAATGCCGCCATTGATCTGACAGGAGGCAGAGCTCAGGCAGTAATGCTTACTTGCCCTAGACTCACCTCCTGCTGTGTCGCCTGATTCCTAACAGACTACGGACCACTACCAGTCTGTGGCCCAGGGATTAGGGACCTCTGATCTAGACAACCCAAAATACTTAGTACTTACTAGCAGTGACATTTTTAAAAAGTATGGTGACATAACAACAATTAAATGAGTTTGCTTGCATATACTTTTAATTTTCCCTACAAAACATCCAAAACACAAAAGAATTTACAATGATAATGCTTATTTCTTTGGAGTAGGACAAAAATGTATTAAAGGCGACGGAAAAGATTTGCTTTTACCTGGTTATTAGACTACTTGAAGAATTCCAAAACTAAATATTTTAAGTAGCTTTAAAAGACATGTCTGTGGCCATTTAAAGCAAAGTAAATATGACTTCCATTTGAATCTCAAATTTTATCTTTTTAATTTAGAAAGAATATTTTCTTGGTAAAAAGTACTTGTTTCAACTGTAATTTCTGTCAGACATAAAAGCAATGCCATTTGAAAAGAAGGGACTGTACAAAACATCCTGCAAAAGGGATATCCAAGTTGCATTTCTGAATACCTGGGTCAGACCAGAGACTTTTACTGGTCAAACAAAACTTGAATTAAGTTTGAAATAAGATTTAGGGCTGCCTGTTTACTAATACTGGGTACTGTGCTAAACAACACCTAAATAATGACATTTAATTTAATATTTATAAAATCCTTAAGATTCTTACCCTTATTTTTTTAAAAGACCCAAAATTCAGATAGGTTAACTTGATGGCCCAAGTGTGAGCCCAGTCAGTCTTACTTCAGAGGCAAAATGTGATATGTAATCTACTTTGTTGTTGTGTTAGAGCCATTGTTGAATATAGGACTTCCAGCTATCTTCAAATACATTGAATAACTGAAACTACTATTAAAAAAAGAAATACTTCTGGCTGGGCATGGTGGCTCATGCCTATAATCCCAGCACTTTGGGAGGCCGAGGCGGGCGGATCACGAGGTCAGGAGATCGAGACCACAGTGAAACCCCGTCTATACTAAAAATACAAAAAATTAGCCAGGCGCGGTGGTGGACGCCTATAGTACCAGCTGCTCAGGAGGCTGAGGCAGGAGAATGGCGTGAACCCGGGAGGCAGAGCTTGCTGTGAGCCAAGATCGTGCCACTGCACTCCAGCCTGGGCAACAGAGCGAGACTCTGTCTCAAAAAGAAAAAGAGTTACTTCATATCTTACATGATTATAGTTTTTAGAAAAAGCTTTCTTAGCTTCTGCCGTAGAAATTCTAAGAATATCTTTAAGAAAACTGTTGCATTCAAAAAAATAATTTCTAAAAAGAAGAAATTTTTTTAAAAAGCACATAGAACTCCGTTTTTGACTATTTTGCTCTCCATATATAACATCATTTAGAGCTGTATCACAGGTATACTGAATTCAGCTCTAATTTGGGAAGGCCTATCTGGTTTCTAGGGCAATAGTCAATCAGCTAGAAAAAAGGCAGAGAGGACAGGGTCCAAGGGTCCAAAATGCACCCTAAATTCATTCTTTTTTTTCTTTTTTTGAGACGGGGTCTTGCTCTGTCCTGGCTGGAGTGCAGTGGCGTGATCTCAGCTTACTGCAACCTCTGCCTCCCAGGTTAAGCGACTTTCCCACCTCAGCCTCCTGAATAGCTGGGATTACAGGTGCGTGCTACCACACCCAGCTAATTTTGAGTATTTTTGGTAGAGACAGGGTTTCACCATGTTGGCCAGGCTGGTCTCGAACTCCTGACCTCAAGTGATCCACCCGCCTCGGCCTCCCAAAGTGCTGAGATTACAGGCATGAGGCACCGCCCCTGGCCAATAAATCCCTTCTTTACAGGATGGTAGATTGCAAAAACATAAACGAGTAAAGCCTAGAAATGAAAGATAAGGTAAGAAAGGGAAGTAAGCTACCTTATTAGATCTCTCCACTAACTCTTAAACCCTCCAAATGTGAATGTCCTTCACTGGGGGCACAAACAATCTCCAGCATATATTATTGTTTCAGTATAGGATCTTACTTTTCTAATCCCAACAAAGTATTATTAACACAGCAGTTTATTGCTGCTAATACGTTTTCTCTATAAATCTATCCATATATTTTCTGAATTAATATCCATATATTTTCTGAATTGCTATCATACTACTTAAACCATTTTAGATCTTGTTTTTCTTCTTACCCAGAATTATTATAAGCAATGTCTATGTTGTTGAAAGTTCTTCTTAAACATAAATTTATATGTTCATAGCAGCATAAAATTTACATACATGACTAGGACCTTATTTTAAAACTCTTATTAAAATTTTAGATTATATACTCTTTTTTCCTATTAAGTATTAAAAATAGTTCTGCTCAACTTTACTCATAATAAGAGAATTACAAGTTAAAACTGCAGAGATACTACTACTCACCTACCAGACCAATAAAAATTTAGAACTTCAACAACATACTCTGATGAAAAAGCTATGGGAAAAGAGGCATTTTTGCACACTGCTGGTGGGAATGCAAAATGGTACAACTTCTAAAGAGATAAATTGGTAACCTCTAACAAAAAAAGACCCTCTGATCCAGCAATTCCATTTCTAGGAATCTATCCCAAAGATACTCTGGCAAAAAATAGAAAATGACTTATATGCTAGGTTATTCATTTTGGCATAATTTGTATTCACCAGAAATTGCAAATGTATTGTTTGCCCATCCATAATATAGTGGCTGAATAAACCATGGTACATCCACACAATAGAATATTATGCAGTTATAACAAAAACAAGGAATATAACAAAAACAAGTTATAACAAAAAACAAGGAAGATTTTTATAAACTGATATGAAGGGATCACCAGGATATACATTAAAACAAAAAGCCAAGGTCAAAACAGTATACATGACACCTTTTACTTAAGAATATTCTGGGGAGTGGAATCCAAATATATATAATTATCATGTGTACATACATATGTGTATATTTATTTTTATATATATGCATTGGCTTAACCAAAAAGAAGCACTACAAAAGGACCAAGAATAAAAACAACTTTTTATAGAGGGAATGAGGGCACACAGTGAAGACTAGAATAACAGCAAGATTTTTTTTAATATGCCTTGTTAAAGGTATGTTTTACGTTTGCAAAATGGCCACCAATTCCTCCCATTCCTGTCTGCATGCATCTTGGTAATGTGACTTTACTGCTTCCTTTCACTAAAAGCAAAGTCTGTATCTCCACTCCTTGAATTTTCATTTGGCTATTTAAATTGCTTTGGCCCATGGGATACCAGCAAATGTGAGGAAACTGGGTATTTGGAAAACACCTGTGCTTCTGCTACCATGTGAAAAGCTTGAGCCAGCCTCCTGAAGAATGACAGACCAGTTCTACAGAGACCTCTGCCATTCAACCTTCCTAGCTGAGGCCTCACAAGATGTAAATGAGGCCATCCTACATTATCTGGTATAGAGCAGAACTGCTCAACCAACCCACTGAATCATGAGAAAAAATAAATGCTTATTGTTTTAAGGGATTTTAGGGTGGTTTGTTAGTCAGCAAGAGTTAATCTATATATTATCAAATTTTTTTAATGGAATTATAAAATATTCTAGATATTAAAAATCAAAATTTAAAAAAGAAATCTCACAAAAGAGTTTTTAAAAATGTATTTGACAATTGTCTATTTTTTATTATTTTTAGAGACAGAGTTTTGCTATGTTGCCCAAGCTGGAGTGCTGTGGCTATTAACAGGTACAATCATAGCATACTACAGCCTCAAACTCCCAACTTCAGGCTATCCTCCTGTCCTAGTCTCCCGAGCAGCTGGGACTACAGGCATGCCCTACCGTGCCTGCACAGATGACTTAAAAGAGAATGCAGATTTTGTTCTATACACTGATTTACATTGAAAGGTAATTCAACGTATTACTTTACTCACTACTCATTGCTGCTATCCTAGACCACATTAGAGAGCTAGATGTAAAAAAACTTTTAATCAAATGTTCATTAATAGTTTACATATTTCAAACTATATTTCAAAACATATTAAACTTAAAAATTACTTTTCAAGTAGACTGGGTGATACTACAGTAGATGTATTTTTATTCATGCTTTCACCAAAGTAGCCTTGGATTTAACAGCTGTATAAATGAAGATCTTGATGAAGAGTCTAGAAATTCTTCTTTTCCTAGGATTGAAGAAGTAGAAAATAAATTGTCAGGTCTTAGAACTGTCAAATTTGATTCCAACTGTTCATAAAAACATTATATACACTTGGAACATAAATAATATAAGCCTGTATATAGATGTTAGATGTATTGTATGTATTTTGTGTTATGGCATTTTATCATTGACAATAACATCCGAGAAGTGTAAAGACAGCTCATTAGATAGATAAGTCTATGTCTATATCATTATGAATATCCATATCTATATAACATCTTCATTTTCTGGCAAAAGTGAACATACAGCTAAGCTTTAGGTAACTATTACAACTTCCACCCTTGGTAAGCTTAAAAATCACATAATAGTTAAAGATTAAGGAAAATGTCTCCTGTGAGTACAAGGCTACGAAGCTTATAGTCAGAAAAATAATTATGCAATGCATTTGAAAAAAACTAAATTCTTATTATCTTACCAACTATCTTGAGACACTTCCTGCAGATCCTATATTACTCTGACTAATATTATTCCAGGAACTTCTTAAATGGCTTTCCTATGAAGAGAAAAAAATATGCTTTTAATGTCTTATATTGTTCCACTGTGAAAATTACAGAGAATAGTGGTGTCATTTAATTAAAACAAACTGTATTTGAACAGAGATTTACCACCTTTTCATAAGAACAATGAATGAAGCAAAGGAACTTAAAGTTGAAAAAGACACTAGGATCATTTAGTACAACTCTCTTCCTGAAGAAATGAGGAGCTAGATTCAGAGACTGTGTGGTTTTCCCTCACAAATGAAAAATAGTGTTTTTGTTGTTGTTGTTGTTGTTGTTTTTCTTCTCCTAACTAGAACTCAGGTTATAGTCTACAGGATGGACCTTGAGATCTGATAGGCCTGGGTTCTCATTTGAAATTTTGGGCTTCTCCAAGCCTCAGTTTCTACAGAGGTACAGTAGGTGCCTTGATTGTGGCGATGATTTCACAAATGGATACATGTCAAATGTAACAAACTGTCTCACTTTAAATATCTGCTGTTTGTTGTAAATCAATTATAGCTTAATAAAGTTAAACTTTTAAAAAACCCGATTTTCAGTTAAAAATGGCATCTTGACCTTGGCACATATATTCTTTCCCTCCCAAGAGCCAACTAATATGAAAGTCTTAGGGTAAAGAGTTACAAACAGTACAAACTCAGAATGTTGAAGAGTAAATGGGAAAAGAGCCATTGGATGAAAATTTTGAACAAGTTTTTGGAAGATAAAAAAAAGATGGTTGGGTGATAATTGGTAAAAGAGGGGTGAAGAAGCTGAAATTTAGGGCAGTGCTTCTTAAACATTTTTTAAGTCTGAGCACACACATAATGGTAATATTTGTATGGCATACTAAGGTAAAGAAAGCTGATATCCTCTGAAAAGCTGAGGAGAATCAATATATCAGCACATCAGCAACTGATTCACAACAAAATTCTGGCCTAGGAAACAGGTGCAGGAGGAACATATCTTAAAGAATCCCAGAGAAACTGGCCGGGTGCGGTGGTTCACGCCTGTAATCCTAGTACTTTGGGTGGCCGAGGCGGGTGGATCACGAGGTCAGGAGATCGAGACCATCCTGGCTAACACGGTGAAATCTCGTCTCTACTAAAAATACAAAAAAAATTAGCCGGGCGTGGTGGCAGCGCCTGTAGTCCCAGCTACTCGGGAGGCTGAGGCAGGAGAATGGCGTGAACCTGGGAGGCGGAGCTTGCAGTGAGCCAAGACCGTGCCACTGCACTCCAGCCTGGGCGACAGAGCCAGACTCCGTCTCAAAAAAAAAAAAAAAAAAAAAGAAAAAAGAAAAAGAGAGTCCCAGAGAAATTGAAGACTCAGAAACAAAAAGTTCTAGGGAGAACAAAACTGAGAGATTAAAGACTAAAATCAAGAGGATCATCCTATCTTTTCTTCAACCACTGTATGCAGAAGAAATCATAGATTCTTCCGTAAATTAACTGAATGGGCCCCAAACACAGAGCCAACTACTTTTGAGACCCTAACATAGCAATGTATTCACTGGTCTGGGTGGTAAAAACACATTTCGACTTTCACGCCCTCTGTAGTAGCAAGCAACAGGAACAGTGGAAGCATGCAGATCAACAGCAGCCAGAAAAATGAAGCCACCAAGCCACAATGTCAGTAGCAAAAGTCCAATGACCATGAAGTAAGAAAGTTATTCAGTACCCATGAGGAAAAGAAGGGCCACCTGAGGGAGGAGCTTAAAATCCTTGGGCTTTGACTAGTAGTCTCTCAGAGTCAAGAGCCACTGCAGCTGTCCACAAGACTGATATAGTCATGGAAGAGAGTTCAATTCTAAAACTAAGTTTGCATAAGTTCATTATAGACTGCTTTAATGATACACGCATGGAGCAGATTCTCAAACCTCAAGAGAGGTCATTCTCAAATAATAACAATAATAGCAACTACCATTAATTGGCACTATGTTTCACACACTATGTATTCCAAATGTATTTATTTAATATTGTGGAAAATGTACTAGACATAAGTAAAAAAAAAAGAAAAGAAATGCAGAGTTCAAATGGCAATACTGCCATGGGCTAGTAATATGGCATTAGAAAAATTGCCTAACCTCTTAGCATCTCCTCCTATTAAGTAAGGTAAGAATAGTAACACCTTGCTCAAAAGCAGATGTGAAAAACTGAGCAGTCTTTCTACTGGTACCAAAGTGAGTAAGATCCTCATCTTTGGTGAGTTGTTCTAACTGGACACAGGTCCCCAGGTCCCCTGGGAACATATTCAAGCCTAATGATGTATAAATGCTACTCTACAATAGATTCCATATAATATACTTAACAAGACATTTTAAAACATTTCTATTTTAAGGTTTAAAATAAAATTTAGGTGTTTATTCCATTCACTTAACATGCTGGCAGTGTCCTAAGTGCCAAAGATGAGATGAGATCAGGAGGGGTGAAGTGCTCTGACAGCAGTATACACAGGGAGTATGGAGAAAGGCTGCGTAACCTGGGATCTAAGTCATCATTAAACACGAATACAGCCAGGCACCATGTTACAGGATTTTCTTCCCACAGGAGCCCCACAAGGGAGGTATTATTAACCCAATTTTATACAAAAGAAAAATAAGTCATACAGAAAGTATGTGGCTTGTCCATTGTCACAGGCTAGTTGTAAAGTAGAGTTTGAACCCTGCTCTTTCTTGCTCCAAACCCAAGCTGTTTGTTTCTACTACAGTATGCTGGAAAATTAATTCAGGTAAAAAGTTTGATTCACCAAAAAAGTGGAATGAGAGAGTAAGGAGTGGTAATGTGTTATCTCTTTTATATAAAGATGACACTATTGATTAAACAGAAGTGGGTTTAATCTTATCCATCCCAACAGTGGTATTCATTGTCATGTCCTTAAATATCATAAAATGCCTGTCCTTTCCCTCTCCTTTGCCTGCTTCCTACTCTCTCTTTATACAAACTTGCAAGGCCCTCAGCCAACAGGGATTCCAGTAATGTTACATACACATACTCACCACACTCACACACACACACACACACACACACACACACAAACCACCCTCAAGTTCCCATAATTAATAAATAACACAGAAGGAAAACATTCTGTTCTTTTACTAAAAATATGAACATTGAAGACAAATATATTGTTATTCTAGTTTGGTGAATCATAAGAGGCAAACAGGTCAGCAAAAACAGAGAAAGTGGAACATTGGAGAAAAAAAATCTTGTTGTTAAAGATGAATCTATTCCAGAAAACTTAAATTAGAGCTTTTCTTTGATAAGTCTGTTTACTTATGATCTCATTAAAACAATCTTCATCCCATGTAATTAGAAATCTCATCAGATTAAAAAAATCTGTCCATAACGCATATGGTGTTTGAGTAAGACTTAGTAATTTATATTCTCAGACATGGTATTCAATAAAACCAGTTCTTTTCACTGGACAAAAAATAGAGAAAATAAAAGGGATAAAAATATCTTCTGCCAGAAATTATAGTAAATATTAATTTAATGAAATTACAAAAATGCCATAATGAAATTGATACAAATTGCCAAATGTCCCTCAGTCAGGGTTGTACTAATTTACTATCTCACCAACTATAGTGCCTGTTACTCTAAATTTTCTCCACTATGGTATACTAAATAACGTTTGGATTTTTGCCAGTTTTATTGATGAAAATGGTATCTCAAGGTAGTTGGAGTGAGGCAGAAGAGTTTTTTTATGCTTTAAGAACCATTCAGTATCTTCTTTTATGTGAACTGTGTTTTTTTTACATCTTTTGCCAATTCTTCTATTTATCGTTAGGTCTTTCTCTGTTCAGTTTCTAGGAGTTCTTAAATATTACAGAAATTATCTCTCTATCAGCATTAAGAATTGCAAATATATTTTCCCCCCTTTTCTTCTGGGTTATGGGCTTTTTGTTACACAAAAGTTTGTGGCTAACTTATGAATCTTTTATGATTTCCAGGTTTTAGGTCAAATTAGAAACTCCTTGCCCACTCCAAAGTTATAAAGAATTCTCTCATATTTTCTTCCAGTACTCTTATGGTTTCATTTTTAAATATTTGATCCATTTGGAATCCATCATAATATAAAGCACAGATCCAACTCATATTTTTCCCAAGAAGACCACCCCATTGTCTCAACTACATTTATTAAATCTTTTCCCCACCATTTTGAGATACAACTTTCATCATATACAAAATCTCTTAAGTGTTTGGGTCTACTTCTGTAATTTTTATTCTGGCCCTTTGGTTAGGTTGTTTATTTGTACACCAATGCCATTCTATTTTAATTACAGAGGCACTATCATATCTAGTAAGGCCGATCATCTCTCATTTGTTCTTTTGTTAACCAAGTTTCCCTGGTTGTTTTTGGTTGTTTATTTTTACACATTAAATTCAAAGTATTCTTATCTTGTTTAAAAAACAAAACAATGCTATTTGTAAGGGAATCACACTAAATTTACAAATAATTGAAGAAGTATTGTTATCTATGATGTTATTTTGAGTCTTCCTATCCAGGAATTTGGTATCACTTTCTATTTGTTCAAATCTTCTTTTGTGAACTTCTATAGCAGGGGTGGCCAATCTTTTGGCTTCCCCAGGTCACATTGGAGGAAGAATTGTCTTAGGCCACACATGAAATACACTAACACTAATATTGACTAATGAGCTTAAAAACAAATCATCAACAACAACAAAAAAAAAACGCAAAAAAATCTCATGTTTTAAGAAAGTTTACGAAATTGTGTTGGAACACATTTAAAGTTGTCCTGGGCCACATGCAGCCCATGGGCCACAGATGGGACAAGCCTGTTTCTACTGTGTTTTAAAGTTGCCTTCACAGTGACCTTGTGAGGCAGGAGAATAGGGTCTGGAGGCAGGGAGCCTAAGGCTGATTGGTGCTGACTTCCTAGAACTGAATCAAAAGGAAAACCCTACCTCTCCACAAAAGGATGAGAGGCTACTCCCTTTGCACTGCATGGCAGATGAAAAATGGAAAGTACTTCTGATTAGCTGCAGGCCACTCCTTCATTTACATAGGGTGTAACCAAGGAAACGATGGAAAACCTCTAGAGGAAATTTAAACCCCAGAATATTCTGTAACCAGCGCTCTTGAGCCACTTGCTGCAGCCTGCTTCCACTCTGTGGAGAGTACTTTCATTTCAGTAAATCTGTGCTTTCATTGTTTCATTCTTTCCTTGCTTTGTTTGTGCATTTTGTCCAAATCTTTGTTCAAATTGCCAAGAACCTGGACGACTTGTAGTCAAGACCCTGCACTGGTAACAGCTGCACATTTCTTATTTAGTTAATTCCTAGGTATTATTTTTTTTTATTGTTAATTTAATGCCTTTTAAAAATCCACTATTTTGTAAATAACAAAAAATATTTTGGGAAAGCTTTAAGTGTTTCATCTTCTAGAAAATAATTTCCCTCCCACCCCAAATTCTGCTTGATTATATGATTATATGTCTTCATTTAAAAATGTTACTAATAAAGCAGTGGAAGAAAAAACCAGGCACAATTCATACGTGTTATATTTTTGTTAAAAATTATGTAATTGTAATATATTGGTTTACATACAATTGCATTTTACTTAACAACACACACACAGACACCTGTCACAAACAAATAAGTAGATGATTTATTAAGCTGTCATTGCAAAGTCTAAAATAATACATCTAGAATAGACCTATAAAGGCTTTGTAAGCAAAAGCCTAATTCCCATCCTTCCTTGCCAGAGTACTTTTATATTTACTTTGAAGTATTTAATGAGCTGTGAGGTCAAGAGCTCTAATGTCTTTTTAGTTGTTTGTCTAAAGTGAAATGATCACCAGAAGGAAAGGGAAGGACAGTATGATACCAGTGAAGGCAAGATTTGTTGCTTTAATACTAAGTCCAAATAGTCTCTTCATAATAATGTTAAAAAGCTCATAAGAAAAGTGCTTTGTCAGAAGCTATTGGCCATCTAGAGGTCTCTAAAGATACACTAAATTATCTTGATAAAATGGGGATTTTCAGACAAGATCTGGCATGTTCAGGGTGGTATGGCTGTAGACTGATTGGAGAATTTCAGTTCATATTGAGTATGAGGGCTTATGCGTATATTGTTAGTGAGGGAATAAAAGAAAAGAAAGGGGCTAAAGGAGGCTTTTTCTTAGCAGAGAGCACTGTTAGCTTTTCCAGGGGCATAAAGGAGAGATTTAATTGCTTTCTTGGGTTCACACACTATATAAAGTAACCAGATTCCTGATAGAGCAATAAGGACACATAGGGCACTCCTTGATTTTATGTTCAAAAAGGAAGATGTGGCTGGGGTCAGAAGTATCTAAAAATGCTAGGTAGGTATGGTTTGTAAAATATCCCTTAAAAGTGAAAATTCAGCACATTTAATAAACAATTATGAACAATAAAGAAAAAGAGGGTTAGAAAAAGTGAGAGAACAAAAACATTTTGAGGGGCACCTGGGGAAATGGGATATCAGCAATGGGGGAAAATCCAAATCCAGGGTTTGTCTACCAAAGGCAGGATACCAGTTCATTTTAATACTTTGTGGTTGGCAAGGAGTGATTCAGCAAACACACAGAAGTATCTGTTAGTTCATAAGTATCATTACAGAATAGTTAGTAATTATAAAATATCAGAAACCTCAAAAATATGTAAAAATTGATAACTGGTTAAATAATTTACAGTATAATCATGTAAAACAATACTATGTAATCATCAAAAATGGTCTAGGTAAAAAACAACAGCAAGGTAAAAACAGAATGTGTAGAATAATTTCATCTTTTAAAATTACATTTATTAAAAATATAAAATGTAAACAATAACTGACACTTGGAACTACTATTTTTATTTACTGTTATTTTTATTTCCTTCTTTAAGTTATTCTTTATTTTTTGAATGGCTTACAACAAGGATATATACTTTGATATATTATTTGGATAAAGAAGGAAAAATATCAAAAAAGTTACCATGTTCCAGTGTACCTTCTTGGCATCTAAATATCAGCTCTTTCTAATTATGTCTCCTTTAATGTCATTTTACCCTTTATGTTATTTTCTTCTTTCATCTTCATTTGCTAAGGTATCAACAAATGTTGCAATTTAAAAGAGAAAATAACATAGATCTGGTGTTTCACAAAGAAATTCAGCTACATCCTTTAAATAACTTCTTATGACAACTCCTTTGTAAGCAAATTGACAGGCAGTAGAAATAAATACACTTATTTTCTGCTATAATTTAAAAAGAAAGATGACTCATAGCAAAGAAGCTCATAGTACATATTACATAGTACATATATTTCATGTTTTTTTTATTGCATTGGGAAGAGTACCAGTCCAGAGGGTAGATGCCCACTAGACATATGACTTTGAGCAGCCACTTACTCTGCTCCCTAGTCTTCATATGTACGATGTCAAAATCATTCATAAAATGATCTTTAAAGGTTCTTTCTTGGCTCTACAAATCAAAAATTTTATGGCAGGCTTATTAAACTACAAGTCTCCCAATGTTTTTTGAGGGAACGATTTTCTTTTTAAAATATACGTCCACCTCTAAGATCAGTATGACCCATGAATGGGATGGGGTAGGCTGCAGTTGGTCATTTGGGAGGGATTAGAGTGGAGGGAAAAGTGTACTAGTGTAGTGACATTTCACATTAAGGTCATTTCAAAAGAGGAAGAGGGCACAATGATGTTGGCTGCTCAGTAAATAATCTGTCTGGTTTCTGTGGACTGACAAGTTAGAAATGCCTACTATTTATTTATTCACTAAAGCTAATATTAAAAATGTAAATATTTCTTCCTATAAAGTTGGATGTATTATACTTGAGGAGACACAAAAATGACAGCATTTAGAAACTGGTAACTTGTTTTATACCTTATCACAGCAGAGATTCCTCAAGATAACATCAGCTATTTATATAATCCTAAGGTTGTTTAAGAAAATTGGCAAAATCAGGAATGACTATTTTCCCTGGGCTAAACTTAACTGATCATTTTTAAATGACATGAAAGTTTCAGGAAACCAATATATAAAAGATCAAAGAGTTATAGTCATCCCTCAGTATTTTCAGGGAACTTGTTCCAGGACACTGCAGATACCAAAATTAGAAGATATTCAAGTCCCTGATATAAAATGGTGTAGTATTTGCACATAACCTATGCATATCCTCTCCTATATTTTAAATCATCCCTAGATTACTTATAATACAAAACACAATGTAAATATGTTATGCTATATTATTTAGGGCATGATGACAAGAAAAAGTGTGTACATGTTCAGTAAAGACACAGCCATTGTAGGCCTAATGTTCATTTTCAATCTGTGATTGGTTGAACCTGTGTATGTGGAACCTGCGGATACTGATGGCCAACTGTATTTTATTATCTTTTATTCTGTACCCAAAGGCAATATTCTGTTTACTAGTGCATGTTTTTTTCTTTCAAGAATCTAACGAGTTCAGAAATGCTACTCATTTGTCTTGGGGGTGTTACCAAAATGCCAGGGGTTCGGTTTAGGTCCTGTTGCTCACTACACAGAAAACCAATCACTGAAAGGAGTATTGCCAGGGAAGAAGGCTTTAACTGGGTGCCGCAGCCAAGGAGATGGGAAATTTGTATCCCTCTCCCTGACGAGCTAAAATTAGGGGCTTATATGGCAGGGAAAAAATGTAAGTATGTGTGGGAAAACAGGAATTAGGGAGGGGTAAGGAAGAGGAGTTGGTCAACAGGTAGCAAGTGATTGGTTAGGCCAGCAGTCCCCAACCTTTTTGGTACCAGGGACCAGTTTTGTGGAAGACAATTTTTCCACGCATGGGGGTGTGGGGGATGGTTTCCAGATGAAACTGTTCCACCTTAGATCATCAGGCATTAGATTCTCATAAGGAGCATGCAACCTAGACCACTCATATGCCTAATTCATAATAGGGTTCTCACTCCTGGGAGAATCTAATGCTGCCACTGATCTGACAGGAGGTAGAGCTCAGGTGGTAATGCCCACTTGCCCTCCACTCACCTCCTGCCGTCTGGCCGGGTTCCTAACAGGCCATGGACGGCTACTAGTCTGCAGCCTAAGGACTGGGTACCCCTGGGTAAGGCAGTCATGATGGCTGAAGGGTCTGGTATCATATTGTCCAGATGCAATGATCTGGTAAGTTTCAGTTTCTTGATAGTATCTGGGAGGCCTGATGGTTGGTTTCCTGAGAAAGTAACTCAGATAAGACAAATTTAACTTTCTCAAGTTTTAACAATGGGAGAATCAATTTCTGTGCTTATTCAAAGAAATGATTAATATCAGTTCTATGGGACAATTGGTCCTATTTCAGGATGCATAAGCATCTGCCTGTAACACACAGCCCAACTCAGTGGGAAACATCAGAAAACTACTTCAAAGAAAGTCTTAGTCTTCTTGAAAGGAGTCTTCATCAGCACAACAGCTCACTGCTCTCAGAAGTTTCCTTAGGCTACCGGACTGCCTTCTGTTTGCTTTCATTCATGCATTCATCCACCAAATTTTTAACTCAGTACAATTATGTGCAGGTACAACACTAAGGGCATGTGATATTATGGTGAACAAGTCAAGATCATTGCTCTTTTGGTATTTACATTCTAGTGGTGGGAGAAAAACAATAAAAAAAAGATACAATTAAATGAACTAGATTTCAGATATTGAAAGGTGATAGCAAATGTGACTAAGGAGAGAAGGGCTAATTTAGACTGGGGAGGGTGTCCCAGCTAAGATCCAAATAATAAGTCATCTGTGAAAAAAGCTGAGGGACAAAGCATTCCAGGCAGAGAAAAGGTCTGAGGGCAGTAAAACAAACTTGAGGTGTTTAAAGAAAAGAAAGAAGTGCAACTGGAGTGTGGTGAACAGGGAGAGAGTGGTAGGAGATAAGGTTAGAGAAGTAGGCAGGGTCTGGATTTCCTAGGGTCTTATGGGCTATGGTAGCAAGTTTGGAGTTTTGATCATATTTCACTTAACCTGACTATTCTCAGGAGACCTGAATTTGCCTTTCCCTTTATCTCTTACCTTTAACCTTCTAAAGGTTAAAAGTAAAGGCTCTAAAGGCTCTCCACTTTTGTACTTTCCCTAGTTTTCTGCCTTTGCCTTTAATCACATAATTAAATCACGTAATTAGACTGTGCTTTGGCCTGAATCATGTGAGACTGTCTGTCAGTGCATTTGAGATATAATATTGTGCCTATATCTGTATCTGCATCTCTATCTATATTTATATCTATTTACATCTTGACCAGGACTGGCTGCATAAATTGCAGGGCCCAATACAAAATGAAAATGCAAGGCCCCATGTTAAATAATTATTAAGAATTTTTAGCAGGGCATGGTGGTATGCGCCTGTAATCCCAGCTACTACTCAGGAGGCTGAGGCAGGAAGATCACTTGAACCTGGGAGGCAGAGGTTGCAGTGAGCCGAGATCATGCCATTGCACTCCAGCCTGGGTGACAGAGTGAGACTCCGTCTCAAAAACAAAAAATAATTTCAAGATGCTGACAGTAGAGCATTAAACAAACACAGGGCTTATCTAAGTGGGGTAGGAATCAGGACTTGGAACGAACCTGAGGATCAGCTAAAAAGTTCCTGGATAGAAGCCTTTCCAGAAGACATGGCCACCAGTGTGCCACATCAGTTTACTATCGCCATGGCAACATACAGATCTTACCACCCCTTTCCATGGCAATGACCCTATGAACTGGAAATTACCACACTCATCCTAGAAATTTCTGCATAAACTGTCCCTTAATTTGCATATAATTAAAAGCGGGTATAACTATGAGTTTGCAAAACTGCCTCTAAGCTGCTATTCTGGGCAGAGTGCCTATGGGGTAGCCCCTTTCTGCAAGAAGCAGTCTCTCTGCTGCTTACTGTACAATGCCACTTCAATAAAAGTTGCTGTTTAACACCACCAGCTTGCCCTGGAATTCTTTTCTAGGCCAAGCCAAGAACCCTCCTGGGCTAAGCCCCAATTTGGGGGCTTGCATGTCCTACATCATAAGTGAGGGGCCCTTTTAAGAGTAGGGCCTTGTGTGACTGCACAGGTCATATTTTCATGAAGCTGGCCCTGATCTTGATAAACATTACTTGAATTAATAAATGCCTTCTATTGATAAATGATTTCTGTTTTCCTTTCACATTATCTGTCAATCATATAAACTTAATCAAGAGCTTTTAAACGGAGTAGTTCCTCAAAAAGATGGCACAGAGGCCACTGCCAGAAAATAAGAAACTAGGGTATCAAAACTGACTGAGACGACTTCAGGGCATTATTGTGCACTAATTGGAAAACAATGATTACCCTGCCTTTTCTTAAGCAAACACCATATATTTGTACTTACTATTTATTCAAATACATTATTCTTATTCTTTTAGATACAAGTATTGTGATAAAAATAGCTACCAAATAAACAGTTGTGAGTATTGTCAGAATTATTGTTAGGTATTTCACATCGTTAAATGGATTCAGGAGCTTTATCAGGAAAACCACTAGAAAATACAGTTCAGTGACGACCACCATATTAAGACTGAAGTCCCAATTTCCTTAACTTATGTTATGGATTAAAAATACCAAAATTTAAAATAATACATCTTTATAATCCATAGAAAGCCTAAAAATCAATAATCAGATAAGAAAACATTATGTGAATATCAAAATGGCTTATATGAAAAATAACTTATATAACTTACTTTACCTAATATATAAAATTGGACATGATTATAGCTAACCAGAAAGAGTTTACAAGGTTTAACGTTTATTGCTGAAGAATAATGTTGCAAATTAAAGGTGTCAAATCTGAAATGTCAGTCCAGCTCTTGATATTTAAAATGTGTAATTAACACCTCTACCTACAAAACAGGGTTGGATTAGCCCTGCCCTGAGGAGCTCTCATTCCATTCATGGTATAATCCATTATTTGGCATTAGTTATCGTAACAATTTATGTATTATTACAAGCACACTCAGACTCACAAAAATTGCAGCCCAGGCTTATGCATTCATTTAAAGCTTTAGAGAAAAAAATATTCATTTCAGCATCTCCCAATGTTGTATTGTTATTGTATCTATGCATATTGACAGACCTTTCATCATCATAAGAACTCCTTGTATCCAGGTTATAACCTCGGTCTCTGACCCCAATCCTACTATGCTCAACTCTGTCTAAGCTGTTTGTTCTAGCTTAGAAATAACTTCAAATATGCCATCTTACAAATAGGCATCTAACCACGTTAATGATGATTTTTACCTGAGACAAAAGTAAAGAAATATTTCCTAATATAGAAAAGAAAGGCTTCAGTGTTTTTGTTGTTGTTTTGTTGTCATCCGTTGCAAAGCTGCTTTCTACAAGACGCAGTAAAAATAGCAAGTTGTAAGGAGTCAGAAAAAATCCAGGCTTAAACTCCAGCTCTGCCACTACCCAACCGATTAGGCTTGGACAAGTTAACTCATCATTCTAAGCCTGCTTCCCCTATCCATGCGCTGAGCTTGGGAAAAGGGTAGGTGAAAGGGCCTATGTGTCTAGAACCAAACTTCCTAACTGGCCTTTCCTCCTTCCTCCTACCCTTTCTAAAATGTCTGGAGCTGAACTTCCTAAATACACTTTTCTCTTTCTTTCTTCCTCGTCACTTTTGTCTTGCTGAGTGTTTGGATGGTGTCCAGTGGGCAGCATATTTAATACTCAGCTTTGGGCTGACATACCAGGCAGAGATGAATTCACTTTTCTAGGGCCAAGCTTTCAGCCACAGTAATTTGCTTACATATGGGGGGAATTGAGCAAGTAAGTACATACACTGAAGATAAAGGTAGCCAGATTTCCTGCTGTTGAACACACATATGCACACTTGTTTATACACAAAAATTTTCTAGGGTCTCTGCTGAGAGAGGCTAGTAATGAACACTTCTAGTGCTCAGAGTTTTTTCTAAATGCCACTTTCCACTAAAGAAACCAAAATTCGTGGCAGAGAAGGCTGATTCCAAGGCAGGTCAGGAAAATACAAGATAAGCATGGCACATTGTAGTGCCAGAAAATAAGGAAGTGATGAAAGAATGATGGAAACATGTCATAAAGGGGCTTCTATTGGCTAAGTCTAAGAAAATTTGAAATCAGAATTAAAAAATAATAGTAATAAATTGATTAAAATTTGAAGTCATGAGTCTATATTGATGTAAACGAATAAACAAGAAATATATGGTATAGCAAGGAAAACCCTACCTTACAGTAAAATGCCAACTAATAAATCTAGAAGGACTGATAACATTAGAAAATTGTCATTTGGCATCCATCACAGTGATAACAGATTCAAACAAGAAGCATCAATGGAGAAATCTGGCAGGAGAAAATATGATGAGAAACAGAATATTTACAGTCTCAAAGCTTCTCCCTACAAAACACAAAGATTCTCCCCACAAAACACACATTGCCTATTAATTTATGAATGTGACATATTTGCTAATTCACCTTGTAACAGAGAAACCTGGCAGACCCAATCTTAAAGAAACAGAAGTTAACATCATGAAACCACGGAATAAATTGAGATCATGTGATGCCTAAGAGGACTCACTGATTGAAGCACAGCATCTCCTCTAAGATATTCCTGTCAAGGGGTCACAAACATGAGGAAACATCAGACAGACCTATATTGAGGCACATTTAATCACGTAACCAGCCTGTATTCCTCAAAAATGTCAAAGTCATGAAAGATAAGGCTGGGTGCGGTGGCTCATGCCTGTAATCCCAGCACTATGGGAGACCAAGACCACCTAAGGCCAGGAGTTTGAAACCAGCCTGAGCAACCCAGCAAGATCTTGTCTCTCAAAAATAAAAATAAAAATAAAAATAAAAAAGGAAAGAAAAAGACAAGAAAAGACTGGCAACTATTCCAGATTGAAGAAGACTGAAGAGGCATGACAACTAAAATCAACGAGTAATCCTGGATTAAATCCTAGATCTAAAATGGAAATGATTGGGACAAATGGGGTAATTTATGTAGAGTCCATGAATAACATGATGTAAAGAATTTAATATATATCCCCCAAAATCCATATGTTGAAGCCCTAACCCCTCAATGTAGCTGTATTTGGATTAGGAAGTAATTATGGTTGAATGAGGTCATAAGGGTGGGAACCTGATCTCATGGGATTGGTGTCCTTATAAGAGACATAAGAGCTCATTTACTCCAATCTATGTAAGGCCACAGCAAGATGGTAGATGTCACAAGCCAGGGAGACCCCTCACCAGGAAGTGAATCAGTTGATACATTGATCTTTGACTTTCCAGCCTTCAGCACTTTGAGAAACAAGTATTTCTGTTGTTTAAGCAACCAGTCTGTGGTATTTTGCTATTGGTAGTCCAAGCTGACTACATATGGTAATACTGGATAAATATTAACTTACTGATTTTGATGCCTGCTCTGTGGTTTGGAAGGAGAAAGTGTTCTTGTAATAGGAAATAAACAAGTAAGTATGCAGATAAAGACTGAAGAATCTTTATCATTCTCTAATCTTGGTGAAGGGTATACAAGAAATTTGAGTACTATTATGTTGCAGAAATATTTTAAATTGTTTAATATGTTTGTTAATTGGACATTGAACTAAATTATGTTCTACACATTTCATTCAAAATATAAGTAAAAAACCAAAATATTTAGTTGTCATTCAGAAGTATTTCATAAACATGAACTGTCATTTCACATTATCATACTAAGATCAGATACAATGCATATTTTCTTTTATTAAAGTAGAAAGCTACAAAGACCAACACCACTTCATTGCTATCAATATCACTGTACATAAGAGTTTCATTTTGCAATTATTATACAAAAAATGAAATACTGGAGTCCAAGACAAAGACTGTATACTGACATATATTTATACTGCTACCTGGAGCTACAAAGAAGGGGTGCCTGGAGAAACAGAATGGTGAGTGGAAATGTACTGTTGGTATCAAGGATTTCAGTCTATGCTGTAAGAAAATTAAACTTTGAGAAATCTCATCCTAGAAGAGCTGAGAATCTGGTACAAGAACCAAGGTGCATGCAGATGAAAAAGATTTTCAAACACTGTCATCACACAATATGAATAAATTTGTAGAATCATGGAGACCTGAAATTTTTGAGACAGTATGCCAGAGTATAGAAAGAAGTCAGAAGGTATTTATATTTTATTGGTTCTGCAATTTTCTGGCCCTGTGACCACAAGTTAATCAATTACTCACTCAAGGTGACCATCATCACTCATGTGGACTACTGCAATTGCTTCCTAATTGTTCTACTTCCATTCCTCCCCCTACCTTTAATCCATTCTCCACAAAGTAATCAATATCTTTTCAAAAATGTGAGTCAGATCACATCACTTGTATGTGTCAAACATTCCAATAGCTTCCTATTACTTTTAGAATAAAATCCAAACCCTTGGACATGGCTTAAAAGGCTGGTATTACCAGGCCTTTGTTACCTGTTCTGACCCCATTTCCTACCACTTTCCACTCTGCTATGTTGGGAACACAGTGGCCTTCTTTCTGTTCTTCAATCATTCTATCTCTTTCCTTCCCCTGGGCCTTTGCTTGGCCTGGAATTGTTATTGAGTAGGTAGCTCCTTATCATCGTTCAGATCTAAACTCAAATGTCACCTCTTCAAAACGTCCTTACTTTACTACCGCTTCTCATGACTGTCAATCATACTATGTTATTACATTGTCTTCACTGCACTGATTGTTATCTGAAATTCCCTTATTTCGGTAACTGTTACTTGATTATTTTCTGAGTCCCTCAGCAGAAAGGACACTCCATCACTGAAGTGATCTCCCGACTTGTTCTGTGCTATAGTGCCAGCAGGTCGATTGGTGTCAGGCCCACAGTTGAGAGGGCAATAAATAAATAAAATGTCGAATGACTAGTTAAAATTTCTCAGGCCTCCAAGTTCCTCATCCACATAGTGGGGATAATTATACCTGCTCTGGCCATTAGAAATGGCCACGTAGCAAGTAGAAATACAGCCTAACTTTTAACTACATTCTTACTATGCCTCAGTCATCATGAAAGACGTTATATGAATATTATTCATTTACTGTTCTGATTTCCATTTTACAAGTAAGGACACCAGGTCTTAGAGGACAAGTAACTGACCTAAGGGCACAGGGCCATGGTGAGGACCCGGGTAAAAATCCAGAACCCCCTAACCTCAGAACCTGAGCTCTTAACTGCTATTTTATAGTTTCTAGAAAGATGCTTCCTTCTAACACAGTAAAATCCGCTATGCTGTCTGCCCCCCTCGAGTTCGTCCTGTGGGACAACTGAAGAAAGCTATTACATCCTCCCACGGGGTTCGTTTCTTTCAGTCTCTCCTTAAATGGCCCTCCTATCCTGGTCACTCTCTCCAGAACAAACTTCAGCGTGACAGCCTCCCTCCTGCTCCAGCTGTGGTGCTTTCCACTGGGCAAGTTGTAAGGGGCATCAGAGCAGGGGAAGCCGACTGCCCACGGGCTGAGAAAATGCAGGTGTCGTGGGTGCCCATGAGGGCTGCGGTTAACACAGCAAGGCTTCCTGAGAGAGGTGATACTTGAACTAAGTCCAGGGCAGTGAGCACAGGAGCCAGCGGCCAAGGGACCCCAGGAGAAAAGACCGCGGGAGAGCGTCGCCGGGGCTGCCGGGTCGAGACAAAGGCTGGTGGAGTTTAAATAAAGATCACAGGCGCAACCCCAAGTGATGGCAAGCTTGCACGCGGACGGGCGAAACGCATTTTCCTAAATGTTAAGAGACGTTCTGGCGAGAAGCGAAGTGGGAGTAACAGTCACAAAGCAAAACGCAAACTTACCCGTAATCTGGCAACCCGGCCTCCGTAGCCCGACTGCAAGCGCTGCCACCTGAGGAGCCTGGTAGCCAAGGCAGCGGCAGGCTCAACCCAGATCTCGCGAGACGGAGCACGCCTCGCGAGATTTGACCTCTCGTCCCTGAGAGGCGGGTGGGTGTTAGTTCAGAGGGTTATGGGAGGGCTCTGGCGTCCTGGATGGAGGTGCGTTCCTTTCTGTGGCTGGCGCTGGATCCACCCTGGGTCTCCAACCAGGGCTGCAGAGAGGGTAGAGCCGTTTCTTAGGCCAGAGTGGAGTGGGACAGGAGGTGCCGAGAGAGGACTGAGGTGGCTTGGGACATGGAAGCGCTGCAGCCTTCGAGCCCGGCATCCAGCATTGCAGCCGCCGCGGCGGCCTAAGAGCTCGAACCCTTTCACACGCGCGCAGGAGGAGGAGCGGCGGCGGCAGAACAAGACGACCCTCACTTACGTGGCCGCTGTCGCCGTGGGCATGCTGGGGGCGTCCTACGCTGCCGTACCCCTTTATCGGCTCTATTGCCAGGTAGGGGCCGGCGCCGCCCGCAGGGTGGCGCAGACGCGAGAGGTGGGGGTGCAAGACAAATCCCGGGACAAGCCCTCGCTCTGCGGGTCGTAGGTGGAAGAGGTTTCCGATATTATCTACCTAAGAGGAGAGAGGTTCAAAACAGTCACTTAACACCCAAAGTCACCAAAGAAATTGGTGACAAAACTGCAAGTAGCATCCAGTTCTTAGTGATTGTGCTTATACCATGCTGCAGAGTGAAACCCCTGATCTATGAACTGCACCTCGCCAAAAAAAAAAAAAAAGGTCCGCAGCCTCTAACCGGGTATCTAGCAGTCTGCCTTACCCTCCTGCGCACACACGCTTTTAAAATGTATTATTCATACATTCACTCTGCAAACCACATGTGGTTTATGTGCCAAGGGTAACTCTGGAAATTGGACTACTCGTGTTTCTTGGGCTTAAACTGGGATTAGCAGTTCCTCCGTACAAAGAGGCATGAATTAGGCCTTTGAGGCTCTCTCGCCCCACCCCTGTTAATATATAACTGTAATGTACTTAACCTGGAAACTGTTAAGTACATTGCAACGGTTCTGGGAGTGTGGCGCCCAGGACCGGCAGCATCAGCATCACCCGGGAACCTGTTAAAAGTGCAAATTCTAGGGCCCGACTCCAGGACTGAGTCAGAAACACGGGGTGGGGGGGTGGGGCGGGGAGAAGAAGGGGAGTGGGACCAGCACTCTATATTTTAGTTAAGTCCTGTAGTTGATTTTGAGGGCAAGTTTTGAGAACCACAGGCAAAGACAAGTTTCACGTATTTTAGAGATTTCTCCTTTGTTCTTAGCTAATAATTTGCAGCTTTGGCTGGCCATTAGGATCACCTATGGAGCTTAACGTTAAATACACGTTCCAGGGATCCCCTACCCCAGAGATTCTGGTTAGGAAGTCTAGGGTAGGGACAGGAATTTCGGTTTAAAAATCATGCCACAAGTGATTCAGTAAGTGTTTAAGATAGTGGCTCCCAAAATTCATTGTACAGCAACATTGGGAATCACCTGGACAGCTTCTAAAAATCCACACACATTACCCATTTTATCACAAGGCCACAGTGGGAACCAGGCATCAGTAATTGTCAAGTATGTTTTAGGTGATTCCAGCGTGCAGGAAAGTTTGGGAATTGTTTTTTTAACACCATGACTGGTATTCTTAGCTGGAGTTCACTCTTTCCGTGTGTGTGTGTGTGTGTGTGTGTGTGTGTGCGCGCGCGCGCACGTTTATTTATTTAAATTTGTAGAGACGAGGTCTCCCTATGTTGCTCAGGCTGGTCTCAACTCCTGGGCTCAAGTGACCCTCCTGCCTTGGCCTCCCAAAGTGCTGGGATTACAGGCGTGAGCCACCATGCCCGTGGAAATCAATTTACCTTTCTTTTAGATGATGAAGCAGAAGACAAAAGGACTTTTCTTTTCTGGCATAGTCTCCTAATGCCAGCATTTATGTGGGAATGTGCAATAGTTGATTTTGAGGATGAGTATAGAATGTGAATTACTTTTCATCAGAGACCAAGCCCAAGCATGAATTCTAAAACTACCAGTTGGTTAAATCATAAGCAGAACTGAATCCAAATCAGCAAATCTAGATCCTTCTCAGACCGCCAGGAGATTTTTGCCCCTCAGGGAACATTTAGCGATGTGTGAAGACATTTTTGGTTGTCACAACATGGAGGTGGGGGTATAGGGTGCTACTGGCATCTAATAGGTAGAGGCTAGGAATGCTACTAAATAACCAACAAAGCACTGCCTCACCCCCAAACAACAAAAAATTATTCAGCCCAAAATGTCCATAGTTCTAAGATTGAGAAACCCTGCCCCAAACTGAAATAACTGATAATATTGCGTGTGAAATGTGCCCACATGCAATCATAGATCAGGAAGCCAAATGTAATTTGTAATCTATCAGGTTCTTAGAGCTAGTAGCACAACTAGAATAGAGACCAGGACATCTTTTTAGTGCTGTTTTCTAGTCTTTTTGTCTATTTTACTTTAGGCATTGAACTTAGAAATTTGAACCCATATTCAAAGACTATATTGGAATCTTTATTGAGGGAGGACACTTAAAAGTATTTTTATTTAAGTGACTTAAATTTTTTAGTAAAAGAAGTTACATCTTAAACACAGCACTCAGGCAGAAGGATAAACAAGGATAAAGGCTTGCCCTCTGATGCATCTTTTAGGGATATAATGTAATTCAGTAATGTTGCATGGCAGTCAAATGAAGTTAGTTGACTTGCGTAACAAACAGAGAATGCTAAAACACTGTATCTTGCTGGGAGTCTTCCCCTAGCCTCAAATTTGTTTTTTGTTTTTTCTTCCTAGCATAGTAACAGGCAAATTATCCAGAAATCAGAATTCTGGCAACCTCAAGTATCAGAAGAAAGATGACCTTGGAAGTAAGGGCGTTTTTTTTTTTCTTTTGAGATGGAGTCTTGCTCTGTTGCCCAGGCTGGAGTGCAGTGGTGTGATCTCGGCTCACTGCAACCTCCGCCTCCCGGGTTCAAGCAATTCTTCTGCCTCAGCCTCCCGAGTAGACCTGGGACTACAGGCGCGTGTCACCACACCCGGCTAATTTTTTTCTATTTTTAATAGAGACGGGGGTTCACTGTGTTAGCCAGGATGGTCTCCATCTCCTGACCTCATGATCCGCCCCCCGTGGCTTCCCAAAGTGCTGGGTAAGGGCTTTTTTTAAAAGTGATGTCAAGGAAATAACTGTCATGAATAAAAGAAATGTCAGACATAAATACTCTTGATGCCCTATGATTATTTCTGTGGCCATAGGGATTAGGTGCTCTGATTAGTGATTTATATAAAAGCTCTACTATACAGAGAAGTACAGAAAAGATTCAAAACCATTAACCAACGTGGGAAAATACCTGTGATACCTTAGAAAAGCAGAATGTTAATAAAAGTGAAGCTACAATCTTATTTGGATTATAAAAGCTGTGATATGGAAAAGGACCAGACAGGAATATGGAAAAATTGAGTTAAGTATTTTCAGTGGAATTACAAGGTCATGGGTAAATTTTATTTCTATTAATGAAATACTAGCAATAAAGGGAAATGTGTTTTTTATAAATGGCTAAGCTGGAAATTGTGAGTTCGACTATCAGTGATAATAGTTGACTTATCTAGTGAACCTGCTTTTCCCAGACTCATTTTTGACCATGCCAGGTAACCAAGGGATTGCTGAAAAATAGGAATGACTTTAACAAATACAGGCTCATGACATCCCAAAAGTAGTCAGATTCTTGACACAGTTACAGCAATGGTCAGTTACCATATGTAAACTTGGCTCCAAATGGATTATAAATACTACATTGTTTTTAAACTTTTATCAAATAAATAGATCATCAACACCTAAAAGTATTGTTTAACATATTTGGTATCTTTTTCTAGACTACTGGACTTGGAGGATCAGCAGTTGCAGGTCATGCCTCAGACAAGATTGAAAACATGGTGCCTGTTAAAGATCGAATCATTAAAATTAGCTTTAATGCAGATGTGCATGCAAGTCTCCAGTGGAACTTTAGACCTCAGCAAACAGAAATATATGTAAGTGACTAACCAGTCATTAAAAGATTACTTTATTAATGTAAATTCCTTTCTTTCATCACTTAAACTGTCAGAGGACTAATTTTAACACTATGATTCTAATAAAACATGGCATTTTCCATTGTTCCAAATTGACTTTTACTATCATGTAACTTAAAAGTTAAAGTATAAATTCTGTTACATTAGGTGTAAAGCACTATTAAAAAGTAGTCTATGGGAATAAAAAAATTTATAGTAATGGAACCCGTCAGTATTTTGAAATTAAGTTTAGATGAGTGAAACAGTTGGGAGTAGCAGTAACCGTCAGGCTATATAGCTTCCTGACTTTTCCTCAGGCATAGAAGACATGGGAAAAATGTGGAAAAGCATTGGTTACAATGAGTAGTTTACTGGTTTATATCAAAAGTATCCCTGTCCTTCTAAAAGAAAACAAATTGAGGGCCTTTGAAATAATCAATAAGTAGTAAATAGTTATGTTATACTCCAGTGAGACTGAGACTATACCTAAACGCTTTCCTAAAATTTTAACCAACTGTAAGAAAGATTTTAACTGAAATCTCATTAATTGAGGATTAGCCAGAGTGAGTTAATTTCAACCCATATTGGAAAAGCCTTATAAATATTAGTGCTTGCCCAGTTTAGTAAACATGACTGAATCTCTTAATAAAGATTTTATAGGTTATGATTATGAATCTTCTCCAATTACGTGGTAGTATACAAAGGTATTAGTGGCTGAATTGGTACAAGTGACAGAATATCCTTTGGAAAATTTTTTTAAGCCTCGCTATTCCCTTATTTTCTCCAAAGTATTAACACTTTGTGGCATAATAAAGGTTCTAGTCAGTCAGTTTTATTCTGATTTTAAGGTAAGTTTAATGTTGGTATCTTTTTAAAAAAAATAGTCAATCATGACATTCAGGTATAAGTGTTACAGAAAAGTTGGGCTAGGGCTGTGATATGATTGGCTTGGACACATTTTAAATAATGTAATTTGCCGATTATTCCTTGAAGACCTCAAATATACAAGAGGACAGTTCATAACTAATTATGGATATTAGAACATTGGTTCTTCATTGACATATGCAAGTAAGTTTTTAAACTCAGATATGTTTATGGGTAATATTCACAATTTATTTTGCTGAACCCTACATTAGATTAGGTATTATGGTCTGATGAATAGGCAAAATAATGAGACTAATTTAGCAGGGAAAAGAGGAACTTTGTGAGATTCAAAGTATTGATAATATATATATTCTTTAAAACAGGTGGTGCCAGGAGAGACTGCACTGGCGTTTTACAGAGCTAAGAATCCTACTGACAAACCAGTAATTGGAATTTCTACATACAATATTGTTCCATTTGAAGCTGGACAGTATTTCAATAAAATACAGGTACATCAAAGTGTAAACTTTACAGAATATGATAAAGATACATGAAACGGTTTAGTATGAAACTTAGTGTTTTAGTAGATCTTGTGATTTCTGAAAACGAATTTCTTCTAAACATCAAGCTATTTTTCTTCA
This sequence comes from Homo sapiens, assembly GCF_000001405.40. Classification (NCBI taxonomy): domain Eukaryota; kingdom Metazoa; phylum Chordata; class Mammalia; order Primates; family Hominidae; genus Homo; species Homo sapiens. The sequence goes on along the minus strand of NC_000017.11, from coordinate 54,963,173 downwards.
CTATCTATACCTGCTATGCAGAGATTGAGAACCAAACCAAATGGATATCTGCTTTTAAGATTAGAATTTGTTCTTCATCCTTAAAGCAGAACTCATTGAGATGAAAAGATGCTCTTAATTTATCACAGAACTGTGTATTTAATAGTATGCTTATTAAAATCACGAAGTGTACTGGAATGCTAAGATAAAAGAACTGTATAGTTTCTGTTATGTAATACGAGAATAGAAATGTTATTAAAATCTTTCTATAATTTCCAGTGCTTCTGTTTTGAAGAACAAAGGCTTAATCCCCAAGAGGAAGTAGATATGCCAGTGTTTTTCTACATTGATCCTGAATTTGCTGAAGATCCAAGAATGATTAAAGTTGATCTTATCACTCTTTCTTACACTTTTTTTGAAGCAAAGGAAGGGCACAAGTTGCCAGTTCCAGGATATAATTGAAGTCAGCAACTAAGTCTTCCTTCAAAGTTGTGATTTTTGGGAAAATCATATATCCTATCTTCTCAAAGGAGAAATATTGTACAATAATATGAAGGCTTATATTTTAAATAATTATTTTTTCTCAACTAATTTTTTTCACTTAAACTTGAGAGAACAAGTTCAGCTTTTATCATAAGAAACTCATATGCCTAGCTAGAATATATGACTGACTATTCAATACCATACTGAAGAGTTTGATACTATTAAAATAAGCCGCTTTGTTTTTTAAATATGCAGGCATGGGTTCAGCTTAATTCCATAATTCCCTTCCAGATTATTAACTCTTCATACTTACAGCAATGAATCTGACAATGTTTTTCAAAAATGTATGCTCAGGGTTATTTGTTTCAAGTCATAGGCCAGAACTTCTAACCATGTTTATTGTGTCTAAAAGAGTTGGTTGCTATTTTCCTTCATTATGAATAGTCAGTATTTTAAAAGCTCAAAGTAGAAGAGGAGTCACTAAGCCCTAACAGCTTGTCCAAAGATTTAAATTCTTATTTCAAATTTGATTTGTCCTTTAAGGTTTAGGGCTATTTTATATTCAGAGTTCTGAATAATTACTTTGAAACTGTAGTATCATAAAATTGAAATAAAATACATCTACTAGGCTGTTAGCCAAAGCATCACCATTACAAGTCCATGAATGTTAAAATGTACAGGTGGGATTGTGAAGATTTACTGACATCAAAAGTTCTTCTGGAAACAAACCTTTGTTAAAAAAAAAAAGTATTAAATTGTTTTAATAGTGATTTATTTGTCATCAAATGTACAACTTATTCTAAATATTTTCATTTTCTGTGTTCTAAATAGAAATATTAAGTTGCAGTAAAAAGAGAAAAAAAGGCTATTTAGCATTACAAAGAATCATATTTAAAGGCTGCCCAATGTAGAGTCTAGTGACCTGTTCAGGACACCTGAAATATAATTAAATGACAATTATCAAGGTTTTAACAATTTATAATTCTAAACCAGAGGATTATAAAGAAGTGCAAATTGACTTTTACATTCAACTTTAGTTAAATGAAGGCACTCAGTATTCTTCCTGAATAATACATTCAGTTTCTCACATTTTATGCTTTCATCTATTCAGAATTATTTCATAGTAAAATAATCTACTCTTATCACAGCTGTGTGACGATTTCTAAATGTAGGAAGGCCTGTGAAACATGACACTGCAGTTAAATTGGTTGGCCTAAGGACTAAGTAATTTTTCTTCTGCTGAAGTTTTAAGTGAGTATTTGTTCCAAACAAGTTCTGTTGAAATCTCACGCTGTTGTCAGGAATCAGTGTTATCCTGGAACTGTTATTCTATTTAATCTTCATTATAGCAGAAATGTGCCACCATGGCTTTGACATGTTGGTAGGTATTGTCTTCCAGGCTTCAAAGCTGCACAGAGTCTACGTTTTAGAGAGTTGGCACCTTTGATGTGGTAGTGAGCTGATCATCCACTTTCTTCTAAAATAAAGAGAAGAAAATGGCCAGTATTCATCCTGTCCTTCTCTTTCCCCATTCCTTGATAACTCTCTTGTCTTTACTGGGAAGCTGGAGAGTCACAGTCTAGTAGAAGAAAGGTAAGAATGTGCTTCTTCCATAGGGGAGGGTATAAGGGGAATAAATAAGTTTTGATAGTTCATTGGTGACCATTAAATAGTAAATACATGGGATTAGTAGTGCTGAAAATAGGAAAAATTCAGACCTATTTGGAGGACTAACGGTAAATGGGTCTACTGGTACCGGTTAACAAGTATTAACTGCATATGAAAAACAAATGCCTGATTTCAGTGCTACTCCTATTGCTCATCTATTTTGTTAGCATTAATATTTCTATACCATAAACTACTGTATTCCCAAGCCTTACTATTTACAGATGAGAAAATCACAAAGAATGACTCTCATTAGTGAACAATGGTTCAGCACAATTTGAATGATTCAGGGGAACTCATATTTCAAAGTGTCAGACTCAGATGGCCCTTAGAAAATTTAAATACTAAATATGTAAAGTGATAATTATACTGAAATTATATGGAATATGGAATTAAGTTGTATAAGTTGAAGTCTTTACCTCAGTCACCATCATTTTGAGCTCCTTTGTGCTGGTGAGCATCAATTTCTTCATAAATAGCTCTGAAACAAAGCCATCACAGCAAAAGGGTTATGTATCAATTTCAAAGTGCTATTTTGGTTTTTAACTGCCAGCACTGTAATTAAAAATTGAGCTGGTTTTGGAGTTCAGGCTACATATGAGTAAAAATAAGTCTCTGCCCTGAAGTGTGTATTCTAGTTTATTTAAATTCTAATGTTGCACTTCATTTTTTCTTTTTTTTTGAGACAGAGTCTCACTCTTTTGTCCAGGCTGGAGTGCAATGGTGCTTTCTTGGCTCACTGCAACCTCTGCCTCCCAGGTTCAAGTGATTCTCCTGCCTCAGCCCCACGAGTAGCTGGGATTACAGGGACACACAACCATGCCCAGCTAATTTTTTTGTATTTTAAGTAGAGACAGGGTTTCACCCTGTTGGCCAGGCTGGTTTCAAACTCCTGACCTCAGGTGATCCACCCGCCTCGGCCTCCCAAAGTGCTGGGATTACAGGTGTGAGCCACCACACCCGGCCTTATTGTTGCAATTCCTATGTCTCTTAAAAGTATGTATTTCATAGAACCAATTAATTTTTTCTTGTGATTGAAATGAGAAATATGACTCAAATTTGGACAGTTTATGTTTTGCTTAAAAAACTCCTCAGTTTCTTCTGGTTTCAAACTTTTTAAAAAAATATTAGGACAAGTGCAGTGGCTCACACCTATAATCCCAGCACTCTGGGAGGCTGAGGTGGGTGGATCGCTTGAGTCCAGGATTTCAAGACCAGTATGAACAACATGGCAAAATACCATCTCTACAAAAAACATAAAAATTATCATGTGTGGTGGTACACACCTGTAGTCCCAGGTACTCAGGAAGCTGAGGTCGGAGGATCACTGGAGCCTAGGAGGCGGAGATTGCAGTGAGCTGAGATCGTGCCACTGCACTCCAGCCTGGGCTACAGAGCAAGACTTTCGTCTCAAAAAAAAAAAAAAAAAATTAATCTTCCAGCTTATTTAAACTATGTGATTACAGTCCAGACTCCTCAGCCATCTATAGCTCATCACTGTCATTTCTGTACTTTTTTTATATTGTATTTTTTCAATGACATCCTTCATTCGTTTTTCTTTTTTCTTTTTTTTGAGACAGGGTCACTGTCACCCAGGCTGGAGTGCAGTGGTGCAATCATGGCTTATTGCAGCTTCGACCTCCCAGGTTCAAGTGATCCTTCCACTTCAGCCTCTCAAAATGTTGGGATTAGAGGCATAAGCCACCATGCCAGGCCCATTCAATTCTTTATATGCGTCTTACATATGTCTGTAGCTGGAAAATATACCTGAAAGCACAACATTCATATATACAGTATAGCAAAACATGGCTGAGGAAAAATCTCAAAAATCACAGCGCTATGAAACCATGATCACCAAGTTCATAAGGCCCCAGAATGGTGCTACAATTTTAATGTTTCCCTAAAAAGTTTGGTCTCATCTCCCTCAAAACGATTTCAGTCTTCTTCACTCTCCTCAAACCTCTAAACTCTCTGGTAGAAACTGCATTCTTAATACATTAAATGTCTTGATATGGAAACTTCCTCATTTTCCCATCACTAAATCTTCAAGTTTATCTTCATTTGTATTGTCCATTATTTCTGTGATCCTGTCTATTCCTGGCTTCTGAAGCACTTGACCCATTCAGTTATTCTTCCCTTCCTGAGTCTTCAACCTCTCCTTCTATGCCAGATCCTATTCTTCAACATTCACAGATTCTCCAGCATCTCCCATGTCTCCCATTTTATACAAAGTACAGCCTTTAATTCCATCTCTTCTTGTAGTAAATGCCTTAGTATCCTCTAGCTACCAACAACCCCTTTTTTTTTTTTTTTTTTGAGATGGAGTTTCACTCTTGTTGCCCACGCTAGAGTGCAATAGTGGGATCTCAGCTCACTGCAGCCTCTACCTCCTGGGTTCAAACGATTCTCCTATTCATCCTCCCGAATAGTTGGAATTACAGACACCCGCTACCACGCCTGGCTAATTTTTGTATTTTTAGTAGAGACAGGGTTTTGCCATGTTGGCCAGGCTGGTCTCAAACTCCTGACTTCAGGCGATCCGCCTGCCTTGGCCTCTCAAAGTGCTGGGATTATAGGCGTGAGCCACCGTGCCCGGCCCCAAACCTGTTTTCATCACTGCTTCATATTTAAGTTCTAAGAAGTTATCTGTACTTACTGTCTCTACTTAATCTCTCATGTGCTTTTCAAATGCACTGAAATTTGGGTTCTGTCTTCATCAGTCCATCAAAGTAGCTTTTACTAAAATCATCAATGATCTCCAATCCATTATCTAGTTTTCAGTTCTTATCTTACTTGTCTGCCCCTGGCACTGTTCTTCACAGTTGTACTCGCTCCTTTTTGCTTCCAAATTACATTTTCCTCATCTGGTACTGAGCTCCCTGTTAACTTTCTTTACTCTTGGTTTTAGCATTTCCATTTCCTTGAATGTGCCAGAGCTCTGTCCTCTGGGTCTTTGTACAGGTTGTTCCTTGGGCCTACAATACTCATTTCCAAACTTTTCACTTAACTAAGAATTGCAGGCCTCAGCATTAATGCTACCTGAAGCTTTCTCTAATCCTCATTTAAATTAGTTCTGTTACAAACTTTCAAGTTGCCATATTCTTTCATAACATTAACACAAATTTTGTAAACATGTATTTGGTGGTTTGTCTAATTTCTGTATCCATACTACGTTTAACCTCTGTGAGGACAAGGGAGCATGTTTCTTGTTCAGAATTATAAATTAGTCCAGTCATAGTCCCTGGCACATAATATTGAAATTAGTGAATCGTGTGTATCTTCATAAACATACTGTTTGTCCTGGTAGAGCAAAAATTGTCAACCTGGGATTCATGGACAACCAATGATGTGAAAAAAACCCAGTAATTTCCTGCAAGATTCTGTGCTTTTCCTTGGAGGGAAGTCCCTGAATTTCATGGGACTTTCAAAAGAACTGAGACATTCTGACCCCCAGAAAGAAAGACCCACCACAGTGATAAAAGAGTTCCAAAGCTTCACCTCCAGCTTTTTACTGTCTCTCCCACCGCCAGTATCTGTGACACTGCCGTATCAACATACAGCAATCTCCTAATTTGAATATAATCAAGAACTTTTCCACTACCTGTTTGGATGGAGAAACTGATTAAAAAAACGTTTCTAGAAAGCATACCTAGTTAAGTGCCAGTGTCTTAAACCACTAATATGATCAGTGATATATCTACTCTATCAGGCAGAATGACTTAGAGAAATTTCTCAAACCTGAGTTAGGAAAAAATACATAGTGGACTCCTAAGTCCCTTAACATCTGCTCATAAATTAAGTCAACCATTACATTGAGGGATTAAACCAGGGACCAGAATATCAAATGTCTACACATGTCAGCCAAAGAAGAGATGCAGAGGGTTGGGTGGGGCTGGAAGCAGATAGGAGGGGTCTCCAGGGACTATAGGAGTACAATCAACTTGAGTAATCACCTGCTTTTTTCCCCAAACCCTGTGTGGAATGCAGCCAGCTAGCTGGTTTAAACCAGTTCATGACAGACCTCAGCAATTTACAGATGGATCCCAGTGTACTTTCCTCATTACCATGCTAGTATCTTCACCCTGGGAGATGCTATAGCTTCATTACCATAACATGTGACCTGTGTGCTGAAATAACGACTCACTGCATCTGCACAACTGCAACCCCTTTCCATGCAACGACATACCCTCTTCCCTCTCTATCACCCCATAAAACCCTCCTGTCACTTTCCTGCTTTGGAGACTATGCCCGGTGCTTTATTTGTGACAAGTAATAAAACTATTGCTCAAAGCCTGCATTCTTGGTTGGTTATAGTGGCTCATGCCTATAATCCCAGCACTTTGGAAGGCTGAGGCAGGAGGATTGCTTGAGCCCAGGAGTTCAAAACTAGCCTGGGCAACACAGACCCCCTTCTCTATAAAAAAGAAAAAAATTAAAAGGCTAGGCACGGTGGCTTACACCTGTAATCCCAGCACTTTGGGAGGCTGAGGTGGGTAGATGAACTTGAGACCAAGAGTTCGAGACCAGCCTGGGCAACGTGGCAAAACCCTGTCTCTACTAAATATACAAAAAAATTAGCCAGGCGTGGTGGCACATGCTTGTAGTCCCCAGCTACTCAGGAGGCTGAGGCATGAGAATTGCCTGAGCCTGGGAGGCAGAAGTTGCAGTGAGCCGAGATCACCCCCACTATACTCCAGCCTAATGACAGAGTGACACTCTGTCTCAAAAAATTAAATTAGCCAGGCATGGTAGCACACCCCAATAGTCTCAGCTACTCATGAGGCTGAGTAGGGAGGACTGCTTCAACCTGGGAAGTCAAGGTTGCAGTAAGCCGTGATCATGCCACTTTATTCTAGTTTGAGTGACACAGTGAGACCCTGTCAAGAAAAAATAATAATAACCTGTGTTCTCATGGAGAGTTGTCTATTACCAGATGAATGAATCTCAGGTTTTTTTAGGGGTAACAAGTCTGGTACCCCAGATGAGACCCAGGGTTGAGCCCTGACTTGACCTCCCTTATAGGCTCCTGGCAGGCAAAGCAGTGGGATGTGGAAGCATGCGTGGGCCAACTCACCTCAGTTGCCAAGAAGGAGACTAGAGAAGGGCCTTGGGACCCCTGACCTGGTGTCTAGTGTAGTCCACTGACCAGCACCACAAGACCTCTCTGGGAGAGTAGAAGCGGCTGCCTAGAGCCCAGACCTTTTGCTCGGTGCTGCTTTGAAGCAGCAGCTCCATGAACTACTAAAAGAGTGGTCTGGGTTTTGATCATTAGGATTCTGGGTTGTCAGGATTAGGACCTAGGTCAAGGGATCCAGGATTGTTGAGAAAAAGAAGTTCCTTCTTTCAGGTCTGGGAGACTGAGAGACATCGCCATCGTTTTAACAAGGGGAATCCCCAACAAAAAGACAAGGATGCTTGTCTTCAGGCTTTGTTCCCTACGTGGTATAACTGTAGGGCTCAATATTCTTACTTGTCTGTGGCCTGAATGAATATGAAGTCTGGATTCTTCTACCCTTAGTCTGTGGCAACCCCTAAAATATCAGGCTTTGTTTTGCAGCAGTCACAGAAGGACTGCTGTTAGTTTGATGAGGAGACCCAAGTTTCAAAGGGGGCAGTTTTGGTGGGATCATGATCCCTGGAACCAGAATGCAGTGATACAAAGGTTACATGAACAGTGTGTGTGCTTTCTCTGAGGAAACACCTCACTCACTTGATTGATTTACCTACCTCCCCACCACCTGAGCTGGATCCAGAACTACTTCATTGTCTCCATGAGATCTCCTGGGAGGCTGCCCGGACCGAACATGATCCAGGGAAAGGAAATCCCTGTTATCCTCTCAGCTTCCCAGGACCTCTGGATGGCTTTGCATGGTGGCCAGCAAAGAGGACCAGAAGTATTCAAGCTGAGTTGTGGGATTTGTGTCATCATTAATCTCCAGAGTTTGGAAGCCCCTCAGACTGTGTGCAGAGACCGTAGAATGTCGTGAACTAGGTCTTGGAAGGAGAGCTTGTTAGGGTGCCTCCTCTGGCAATGGAAACTGCATATCCACCCATGACCAAAAAGCAAATGATATATTACTGTAATACAGCCTGGCTCCAGTATTCCCTAGATCAGAAGAGATGGTCTGAATATGGGTCACTTACTGCAACTCTCCAATTGGACTTTTTTTGCAAGAAACATGGTAAATGGGAAGAAATGCCCTATATGCAATGTTTTATGGCCCTCTATCAAAACCCTGCCTTGCAGATGAAATGCAGAATATGTAAATTGGCCAAAGGGAACTATATTGCCAATTCTAGAAGCCTCTGGAGAGGAAGCATCAGTCATGTGGGGGCCTATAGGGAAGGGAACAAGTAAGAAGAGTCCCTTTACTACCCCCTCCAAGAGAAGTGAGGCCCTCTAACTCTACTCGGGGACTGGAACCTTGGCCAATACAGGGGCATAGTCCACCTTCTTGGAAATGGTACCCTCTGCACCTCCAGGGAAAAGCAAGGGCCCGTTCTGTATTTGCCAGGCCCTCCAAACTCTGCAGAGCCAGCTGTGGCTCCTGCTATGGCAATAGCAGGCCCCTGTTGCACTCTTCTTTGCCAGGGAGCACCACTCATAGTGGGAACGCATATAACCCTGGAGGGTGACTGTTGCCACTCAGAGCATGCCTGTTGGAGAAAGAGGTTTTGCTCGGGTCTATGTGTTTTTTAAAACTGTTGACTTGTATAACTGGAAATCCCATAGTAAGGGCTTATGGGTGAGCCCACGAGAGTTCGTAACTCTCATATGGAGAATATTCTCCACACATAACCCTACCTGGCCAGGTGTGCAGACCGTAACAGCAACCCTGCTCACAGCAGAAGATAAATCTGCCACCATGGCCAAAACTAAGGAGGAGGCAGACAATATGTGTGCTGATAACCTGGTGACCTGGCCCGTTGAGGTGTCAGTCCCAATAGCCAACCCAAACTGGGACCCCAGTGATAACAAGAATCAAGAGTGGCTTCATCATTATAGGAATATGCTTCTCAGAGGTATGAGGGAAGCAAGCCAGTCCCTGGTCAATTGGGGAAATCTCAGAGAAATAGAACAAGGCCCTAATGAAAATCCATCAGCATTCCTAAATTGATAATAAGAATGCCTCCAGAATTACACCCCTTGGGACCCAGATGACCCAAAAGCTGAGTAGTACTTTAATCTCACTTCATCTCTCAGCCCCAGATATTCAGAGAAAACTCTAAAAAGTGGCAATAAATCCACATACTCCCCCTTTCCAACTGGTAGACATCTCCTTTAAGGTCTATAGTAAAGAGATGTGGCATCTGATGAAAAGGAAGACAAGAAGATGCGGCAGCCCTACAGACTACTTCAGGAAGCCCAGGAAGAAGATGGCATGGGTGAGTGACCAGGGCCCCCACCATGGAACTCAGGGCCTGCCTACACTGGGGCCCAAACAATATGCTTACTGGAAGCAGAAAGGATGCTAGGAAAGGGAATGTCCAAATCATCCCCAGAGAGGGAAGGAGGAGGACAAGCCCAAGGTACCTGTTCCCTGTAACTGGACAAGAAACTGATGGATGGGGACATGGGGCTCCCTGCCTGGCTCCTCAAAACAAGATCCACATCTCCCCCAAGGAGCCCCAGGTTACACAGAAGAAGGGGGGCAACCAGTTGGATTTTTTTTCGTTTGTTTGAGACAGGGTCTGTGTTACCCAGGCTGGAGTGCAGCACCGTGATCATGGCGCACTGCCGCCTCCAACTCCCAGGCTCAAGCAGTCCTCCCACCTTAGCCTCTCAAGTAGCTGGGACTAAGGCACACCTGGCTGATTTTTTTGTTTGTTTGTGGAGACAAGGTCTCGTTATGCTGTCAGGGCTGGTCTTGAACTCCTGGGCTCAAGTGATCCTCCAGCCTTGGCCTCCCAAAGTGTTGGCATTACAGGCATGAGCCACTGCTCCCGGCCACCAGCTGAGTTTTTGATCAACACTGTAGCCATGTTTTCTGTGTTGATCACTAAAAGTGGACCCTATCCAGGAAGAAATGTATATAAGGGGTGTGTCTCATAAAGGAAATAAAAGATTCTTGGAGCCTCTGGTCCATGAAATAGTATCTAAAACTTTCACTCATTCTTTCTTCTGTTCCCCAAACATCCCATTCTCCTTTTGGGAAGGGACCTTCTGACTAAGTTTGGAGCCACAATTTCTCTAAATCAGGACAGAATAGAGGTGTTCTGAGCCCATGGCACTGCCATGCTGGCCCTAGTTCCTGGGGAAGTTCCAGACTTGGGGCCTCATATGACTCCTTGGCTAATGCGGTACTAGATAATTGTATAGCATTAGACTGCCTCTTAGCAGAACAGGGAGGAGGAGAGTGTGCAGTTATTAATTCCTCTTGCTGTACCTGAATAAATACCTCAGGGGAAATAGGAAGTTAACATTAGGAAGGTCCATGCCCAAGCCTCTTGGTTCCACACTTTTAATCAGCAGCCATATTTTTTTTTTTTTTTTTTTTTTGAGACAGTCTCGCTCTGTTGCCCAGGTTGGAATGCAGTGGGGCACGATCTGGGCTCACTGCAACCTCTACCTCCTGGGTTCTAGCGATTTTTCTGCCTCACCTTCCTGAGTAGCTGGGACTACAGGTGCGCACCACCACACCTGCCTAATTTTTGTATTTTTAGTAGAGACGGGGTTTCACCATGTTGCCCAGGCTGATCTTGAATTCAGGGTGATCTGCGCGCCTTGGCCTCGCAAAGTGCTGGGATTACAGGGGTGAGCCACCACATCAGGCCTAATAGCCATACTTCTAATTCTGTTTGAGAAGTTCTCAAATTAGCAATACCAAGTGTTACTTGGTTTCTTCCCCTAATGAGGCCACTAATTTTATTGCTCTTACTACTGTTGTTTGGTCCCTGCATCTTTAACCTCTTCGTAAAATTTGTATCTTCCAGATTAGAAAAATTTCAACTGTAGGTGCCTTTGCAACCTATCCTGGGAGACCCTAAAACATATTTAGTTTTAGTGCCTAGAGATTTTCACTCCTCTAACATCTCTGGATACAGTGTCCCTGGTCAACATGAAGAAGTTACAGAAGAACGCTTTCTGATCCTGGCCCCTAAAGAATTTACTTGTGCTAAGTAATAAAATTCCTATTGATCAAAACCTGTGTCCTTGTGGAGAGTCAGATATCTGTTACTATCCAGGTGAATGAACCCTGGGTTTTTTGGGTGGTAACAGGACCTGAGGGGCTGCAGAGCCTACCTGTGTAAAGGAGATAGCTACTACTCAACCCCAGCCCATAGCTAGCACGTAAAAATTCAGGCTTCGTGTTGACAGAGTATCTAAATGATCTAGAAGTCCAGAATTTTTATTTTCAAATATCCGAGTTTTCAGCTGTTGGCAACTGTGGTCTTATGATACATACTGGTTTTTGTCTAAGGTTCCTGGCTCACAACTCCCATAGCCCTTGTTACAGTCTTTTGTTATAATGTTGGGTGTGTCAGGCCTTAGGAGCCAGCCTCTGGAAGCAGAATCTCTCGACCTTCTCTAGTCCTCCTTTCACCTGCCCCAAGGCACCACTCTAATCGCCCACCTTTGTCACTGTGGGTCATAAGAGCCTCCCTAGAGAGGGTCCTGCCCTATACCCTGGGGGAAGGAATGCTGACATCAAGAAGCTTCCATTAAAAACCCTAGAGGACTGGGTTGGGGTTGGGTCAGGTCAGTTTCTGGATAGCTGAACACGTGGAGGTACCTGGAGGGTGGGACTCCAGGGAGGGCACGGAAACTCCATGGCCTTTTCCGCATGCCTCGCCCTGTGCATCTCTTCATCTGCATCCTTTGCAATGTCCTTTATAATAAACCAGTAAATATAAGTATTTCCCTGAGTTCTGTGAGCTGCTCCAGCAAACTAATCAAACCCAAAGAAGCAGTCATGGGAACCCCAACTTGAAGCCAGTCAGTCCTAAGTTTAGAGGCCCAGGCTTGTGACTGGTGTCTGGGAAGGTAGGTGTCGGGGTGGTGGGGACTGAGCTCTCAACCTGTGGGGTCTGACACTATCTCCAGGTAGATGGTGTTGGAATTGAATCAGAGGACACCCAGCTGGTGTCCATTGTAGAATTCATTGCTTGCCTGCTGATGGGGAGAAATCCTCACATATTTGGGGGCCACAGAAGTCTCTGCATTCATTGTTATATTAGAGTGAGAGCTGAGGAAAAACATGGTTGAGAGTTTCCCAAACCAGCAATTAATTTTTTAAATGCACATTTTAAATTCTGCACAGGTCAAAAACAAACAACTGCAAGCAAGATAGAGCCTGTAGGCTGTCAGTTTCTGAACAATGATTTCCAATAAACGTGCTTTAATAATTTTTAACAATTTGGGGGTAACCTTCAGTCACTCAAAGTATATTAAAGTTCTTATGACCTTACCATTCCATTAATATTTATATATCTTGACCAATATGAAATCATAAAAGAATGTTGCTTTAAGGATTTTAAGTAAAAAGTAATTGTACTAATGCTTTAGAAGACTAAAAACAAGTTCTAATATAAGATTTTTTTGGATCAGTTCATAAAGAGCAGCTAAAATATTCCATCAATGTGGCATAAACTTATGTCACCAATCAGTGACTAGTACCCTTCTCAAGCTAAAGAGAACATGACTTTCTGCCAAGGGATCTATGAGGAGTCCATTAAGCAGGTTAGTTCCAGTTATTTCTTAACATGCAACCCCAGCATTTTTATTTTTTAGTCACAAGGCCGGAACGATAAGACCATTAAGAGTAACAGCTGCCATAAAACCTCATAAGGCATTTTTAATAAGGCCATCAATTTCTGCCAAGACCTAAACAAAGTTAAATGTATAACCAAGCCCTGTTAGCTCTGCTATCAAAGGGAACCAAGACAAAAAATAAATTAATCATTTTGTAAATGACTTACTCTGTAGTGACAGCAGGAGCTAAGGGATCAAACTCCATTACCTCGTAGTAATTAGGTGGCTGGAGATCACTTTTTGTCATCGCTTTGGGCAAAAAAAGAGACCAGTAAACATATTGTGCTTTTTGAGGAGTACACGCAATTGATATTCTTTTTATAATTTAGACTTCAAATATTAGATCCTAATAAACACAACCAAAACAGACTGGTGTCCCAATGCTACTCCCAAGTTCAACAAATCTGTATGTATCAAAAAGGTTTCCAAACCTCAACTAAAGATTCATTTACCTTAGCATTCAAAACACAATACTCAGTTTAACACAAGCATTTTTACAGTCTCTTATAAGTCAGTCATAATGGTATCTGCCCTGAATTTGTTTCATTAGCTTAAAAATACAAAAGAGCATCTCTAATTTCTCCTATTTTCAGTTACCAATGAATCTCTGGCAGACTCATATATTCTCATAAGTTTCCTTATTTGATGCGAATAATAAGGTCCCATGTACCTGGATGATTGCTGGGCAAAGGTGGCAGACTCTGGTTTGATGGTGCTGCTGCAATGGTTTGTAGACTAACTGGCTGTAGAAACACTGAATTTGAATGTTCCAGAAACTGAAGAAAGCATAACACATGTTCATATAAACGTTCTACATTAAGCTTTTCTTTTATTACTGAGACTCCTACACTTGCAAGTACATTGTTCCAAGAACTTTGAACTGGACAAGAATAAGTTGTTTTTAATTATTACTTTAGTTTTTTTAGGTAATAATCACTTACGAGATTTACTACTTTTCTGCTGGGCATGGTGGCTCATGCCTGTTATCTCAGCAATTTGGGAGGATAGGTGGGAGGATTACTTGAGCCCAGGAGTTCAAGATCAGCCTAGGCAACAGCAAGACCCCAACTCTACAAAAAAAAAAAAAAAATAGCTGGGCATGGTGGCTCACACCTGTAGTCCCAGCTACCCCAGAGACCAAGGCAGGAGGATCACGAGCCTAGGGGTTTGAAGCTGCAGTGAGTTATGATCATATGATCATGCTATATATTCTAGCCTAGGTGACTGAATGAGACCCTGTCTCAAAAACAAGAATTTACTATATTTTTGTCTGATTTTATGCCTAATGCACCCTATTTCCCATAGAAACTGTGAAAAAAAAACCATATATTGCTTTTAAAAATGAAGCAGATTCAATGGCTCAGGCCAGATTCTCTGTTGTTTCACTCTGAATATAAAATCTCAGCCTTGAGTAGGAAAAAAAAAATTTAAATCTACAGAGAGGCACTCAGTGACACAACAAAATCAGGATTGATAAAATATTAGAATCTTAATTAGAAATATCTCTTCTCATAATTTTCCTTATTCACTCCACAAATATATCCTGGCCACCTACCAGCTGCCAGGCACTATTAATAAAGCAATAAACAAAGCAGACCAAGTTCCTGCCCTCATGACTCAGACAATCAACAAATGTGAACAGATATCCAATGGCATGTGCTCTAATATAAAAGCAGAGTAGTGGGTGGGAGAGAGACTGGGGTGGAATACTGCTCTAATAGGTCGTGGTCAGGAAATGTCTCATCACTGGGGACGTTTAAGCAGAGCCTGACTAAAGTGAGTCTTGTGGTTACTGGAGAGGACACAAGTTCACAGTCTCTGAAGTGGGGGAGGCCAGTGTGGTTGGAATAGAGTGAGCCAAGGTAGAGAGGGGCAGGAGGTGAGCCTGGAGAGGTGACGGGTGCGGTCAGATCGGCATTTCAGGCATTTACTGAGTAAAATGGAGTGAGGAAGAAAATCACAGGTGGGTTTTGAGCAAATGAGTGACATAATATGACTTCACTTTTTAAAAAAGAATGCCCCTGTTTTTGTTTTGAGAACAGATTATGAGGTGGGTGGGAGGGATGCGAAGGGAGGCAAAGGTTGAAACAGGGCTTCCCTTAGAGGCCACTGCAATGTCCATCCGATGGTGACTTGGACTAAGATGCAGAAGTGGAGGTGGTGAGAAGTGGCTGAATAATTGACATATTTTAAAAGTAAAAGGCAAAAGTAAAAGTAAAAAGGTGGATGTCAAGCGCTATTACCCAAGGTTTTTGACCTATGCAGCAAAGAGCAGAGTGGCCATTGACTGAGGTGGCAAGTCTGCAGGAAGGGCAGGTTGAGAGTGGAGACTGGGAAGAAATCAAGAGGAGACATTAAGTGGAAAGTAGATATATGAGTTCTGAGTTTAGAGAAGGGGTCTGGGCTACAAGAGATACAAACTTGTAGGTTGTCAAAAATTGAATGGTTATTTCAAGATATGAGACCAAAAGACCACAGAGGAATGAATGTAGATAGAAAAGTCTGAAGCCTGATCCCTGGGGTCTCCAACAAGAAAAGGTCAGTAGAGGAGGAAGAGCCACCAAAAGAGATGGAGAAGAAATGAACGTGAGGCAGGAGAAGAACCAAAGTGACTGGTGTCTGAAAGCCATGTGTGCAAGAAGGAGGAAGTGATCAACTTTGTCATTTGTTGCTGATAAAATGAGGGACTATGGAACTGCAGTTCTAAATTTCACAATACAGAAGTCACCAGTGACCTTGACAAGAGTTATGTCCATAGAGTGGTAGAAGAGCATGTCTGAAGTCAAAGAGAATACAAGGAAAGGAAGTGGAGATAGCAAATACAAACTCCAAAAAAATTTTGATCCTTACCATCTTGCTAACAGGGGCTGCGCATCAACACAATACTGAGCAGAACATGGGAATTAATGACCATGAGTTCTTTTCTGGCTACAATAATCTGCTGACTAGATGCACTGCTAGAAAAGAGTTTTGTTACTTACATTATCATATGCGTGGCTTGAGGTGAGGTTTTGGCTGGTCCTTTGGGCAAACCTAGGATAGTGTGATAACACAGAATGATTACCCTACAGTGAGAACACAAATGCAAAAAGTAAGATAATTTTCCTAGTCTAAAAACAAAACCTAAAAGGTACCTTCAGACTGCATAAAGTGTCATTTTGTAATAACTGTTTATAAAACAATTGGTTTTAGTGCACATCAGGTTATGATGCCATGGGTGGTGGGAGCCCTGAGACTGTGGAGTGTGCACGGAACACTAAGACCAGAGCCTTTAGTCTTTCCATCAGTGTAGCTACCACCCCATCGTTTCTTAAAGGATGAGAAGTAGTATAGAACACAGGTTAAGAAGAAAGCTGTGAGGTCTCCGGTCCAGGATAAAGCGGAGCAAACGTACTGCACTCTGTCTCTCCACTGAATGTCACTTAAAGGTGGACGGAATGCATAGAGCAAGTATTTGAGGACTCTGAATAATAGGAGCAGCCTGATTGGGAAAGAAGACCAGAATTCAAGTATCACTGAACTGTTGGTGAATTTACCGTTTTTTGCCTCTTCATATTTCCTGACCAAATGCAATGCAGTCTGAACCCCAGGCATCAATGAGAACAGACAGAGCTCTAGGAGAAGGGTTCTCATTCTCACTCAAGAAGCAGGAAAGGGAAACAATCCTAACACTCAGAATGTAGAAATCTCTTGTCCCTTTTTTGTCCTCTTCTCTCTGTTTTCTCACAACCCAAACCACAGGCAACCCCAAAGTGGCTGTAGCGACAGCCGAGGCAATGGGACTTGTAGGAAATTGAAACACAGAAGAATCTTCCTCTTCAATAGGAGCTGTGATACCCACAGCTTTTTTCCTTTCTGTCCTGCCATTTAGTCAGACATAAGCATAGTCAAGGAAATGTGTGGTATCATAGGGTAACTAAAGCTCCAGCTTTATGACTGGAGAAGCAAAAAGGGGAGTCCCAGGAAACTAGAAAGTACCAGATAAATCACGATGATGGAGGACTCAGGAAAACAACCTCATGAAGTTGTTTATGAAATACTGAGCTCACCCCCTGACCTGGGCATGCATGGATCCCATCTCAGTCACAATGTCAAAAACGGTGAGAAGTGAACAAACAACCTGCCACCTTAGACTGACCACAGGATGGAACATACATGAGACATATTTGAATGGCACTGCAAAGGCTTTGAAAATGTAGCTGACATTGGAGCCACCGCCCATAGAAGAAGGCTAAAACTGTGGAATGAATCTAGCCAGGTTGTTTACATGCTAAAATCAAAATAACATTCTTGATGTGATTTAAATTAAGACCAAGAGTCTCCTAATAAAACATTAAAAATGTCCAAGATAGAATCCAAAATTATGAGGCATATGAAGAACCATGAAAACTTCAACTTGCATGAGAAGACAATAACAGATATCGATGCCAAGAGGACACAGATGTTGAAATTATCTCAGAGATATTTAAGGCAGCTATTGTACACATGCTCCAAAGAACTGCAAACAATCTTTAGAAAAAAAAACCTGAAAAATAGAAAGTCTCAGCAAAAACACAAGATATAAAGAACCAAAATGAAATTTCAGAACTAAAAACTACAATAACTGAATTAAAAAAAAAACTTAACAGAATGAGCTCAATAGCAAAATGGAAATGACAGAGGAAACAGTCGGTGAACTTGAACATAAATCACAGAAAGTGTCCAATCTAAACAGAGAGAAGCAAAGAGTAAAACAAAGAAACAAACAAACAGGACCCCAAACACCTATGAGACAATGGCACAGGTCAACATTTGTGTCATCAGGGTTCCAGCAGGAGAGCAGAAAGACTGTAGTTCTGAAGAAAAGAAAGACTAAAAACATCACAAGTTTGGTGAAAGACATAAAGCCACAAACCACATTCAAGAAGTTCCATTAGTGGGTTAAATGGTGGCCCCCCAAATGCTATGCTCATGTCCTAATTCTCAGAATATGTGAATGTTATAAATGTTATCTTAATTGGAAAAATGGTCTTTGCAAATGTAACTAAGGATCTTAAGATGAGGATACCATCCTGTATTATCTGGGTGGGCCATAAATCCAATGACAAATCACCTTAGAAAGGCAGAGGGAGATTTGGGACACATACAGGAAAAAGCCAGGTGAAGGTACAGGCAAGAATTGGAGTGACATGACCAAAAGCTAAGAAATCCAAGGAGTACCCACAAGTCATTGGAATCTGGAAGAGGCAGGGAACAGATGTCCCCGTAATAGTTGTGGAGGGAGTGTGACTCTGCTGAATTTCAGACCTCTTGCCTCCAGAACTGTGAGATAATAAATTTCTGTGGTTTTAAACCACCCAGTTTGCAGTCATTTGTTATGACAGCCCCAGGAAACTAATACATTCAGCCAACCCCCAAGAGAAAGAAACAAAAGAAATCCATACCCCACATATTGTAATCAAACTGTTCAAAATTGGATAAAAAGAAAAATTATTTAAAGCAGACAGAACCACAATACATTATCTATAGAAGAACTGCAACTCCGATGAATGTAGATTTTTCACTAGAAACCATTTAGGCTAGAAAGAGTGGCACAGCCTTTTAAAACTGCTGAAAGAATAGAAGCATGAGCCCCATATTCTGTAGTCACTGATAATATCCTTCAGGAACAGACAAAATAGAGGCATTCTCACATGAAGTAAAACTAAGAGACTTCACTGTCAATAGACCTGCTTTAAAAGAACTGATAAAGAAAATTCTTCAGAGAGAAGGGAAATTATACCAGAAGAGAATAGTAAGAGAAATGGTAAACATTGGGTAAATATAATAGACTATTTTTCTCTTCTTGAATTTTTTTTTTTTTTTGAGATAGAGTCTTGCTGTGTCGCCCAGGCTGGAGTGCAGTGGCACGATCTTGGCTCACTGCAACCTCCGCCTCCTGGGTTCAGTCAATTCTCATGCCTCAGCCTCCCGAGTAGCTGGGATTACAGATGCGCACCACCACGCCCGGCTAATTTTTTCTATTTTTTGGTAGAGATGGGGTTTCACCATTTTGGCCACGCTGGTCTCAAACTCCTGGCCTCAAGTGATCCACCCACCTCGTCCTCCCAAAGTGTTGGGATTACAGGCATGAGCCACCACGCCCGGCCACTTCTTGAATTCTTTGCAATATATCTCAGGGTTGTAAGCAAAAATTACAGCATCATCTGTTAGTGGTTTCTTTTCAATGTATAGAGGAGTAATATATAAGATAACTATTATAGAAAAGGGGAATCTATATGGTGATAAGGTTTTTACTTCCTTTTATTTATTTATGTATTTATTTATTTATTTATTTGAGACAGAGTCTCTTTCTGTCACTCAGGCTGGAGTGCAGTGGCTGTAATCTCGGCTCACTGCAACCTCCGCCTCCCGGGTTCAAGTGATTCCCCTGCCTTAGTCTCTGAGTAGCTGGGATTACAGGTGCCTGCCACCACGCCCAGCTAATTTTTTGTATTTGTAGTAGAGACAGGGTTTCACCGTATTAGCTAGGATGGTCTCGATCTCCTGATCTCATGATCTGCCCGCCTCAGCCTCCCAAAATGCTGGGATTACAGGTGTGAGCCACTGCGCCCGGCCCAGGTTTTTACTTTCAAGTAGTAAAGCATTGATTTTAGGTAGACTGAAAAATAAGTATACTGCAATCACTAAAGCAAACTCTCTTTATATATATGTGTGTGTGTACATGTATATATAAACATATATACATATATATATTTTGCTAACAAAATTAGCAAAATAACAGGAAAAGAATCAGCTACTTTAAACCACATTATTTACCAAGCAACTTTATTTCACACACACACACACACACACACACACACACACACACACCATTATACAAAGATACAGTCAAAATCACAATAAACTAAAATGGAGCACTAAAAATATTCTAATAATCCAAAAGAAAGCAGGAAAAAGGAAACAGAAAAAAAGGAACACATAGAATAACTATATAACAGTAGACCTAAACTCTACATACAATTAAATTAAATGTAAATTGCCTAACATATCAATTAAAAGAGATTATGAGAATATATAAAAATGCATGAACCAACTATAGGCTATTTCTAAGAAACTCCTAATCTTTTAGTACAGTTAAGTTACAAGTAAAATGCAGAAGAAAATATACCAGGCAACCACTAAACAAAAGAAAGCTAGAGTGGCTATATTACTATCAAAATCAACATCAGGACAAAGAAAATTATGAGGGACAAAGAAGGACATTACATAATGATAAAAGACTCAATCAACCAATAAGATCCAACATAGCCGAATGCATGAGCTTCAAAACACATAAAGCAAATACCAACTTAATACAATCTCTTCTAGAAAGATGATATATTGTATAATTCTACTTGAATGACATTCTCAAAGACAAACTATAGCAATAGAGAATAAACTCCTGGCTGCTGGGGATTGAGGGTCAGGGGTACAAGGGTGTGACTATAAAGGAATAGCACACGGCAGTTTTGCTGAGTGACGGAACTATTCTGTATCCTGACTGGGGGTAGTTATTTGAATCTATACGTATGTTAAAATAAATAAAACTGTACACCAAACCAAAACAAAAAAGGTCAATTTTAGTATATGAAAATTTTAGAAATAAAATTAAAGTACAAAACTAAAAACAAAAAGAGAGAAGTTACTGAAATCAGAATTTGATTTTGAATCCCATTTAAATTTGAATCCTGTCTCAGTACTAGCTGGACAACCACTGGCAAGTTAATCTTCCTCAGCCTTGGTTTCCTCTTGTTTAAAATGAAAATGATGGTGGCACATACCTCATAGGTTAAGTAATTAGTAAGCATTTCTATACTTCTTAGCTTGTTGCCTGTTAGTAAATGGGTCATAAATATGGCCTATGAGCCGGGCACAGTGGCTCATGCCTGTAATCCCAGCACTTCAGGAAGCCGAGGTGGGCAGATCACCGTAGGTCAGGAGTTTGAGACCACAGCCTGGCCAACATGGTAAAACCAGGTCTCTACTAAAAATACAAAAAAAAAAAAAAATTAGATGGGTGTGGTGGCGGGTGCCTGTAATCCCAGCTACTTGGGAGGCTGAGGCAGGAGACTCGCTTGAACCTGGAAGGTGGAGGTTGCAGTTGGCCAAAATCGAACTACGGCACTCCAGTCTGGGTGACAAAGTAAGACTCTGTCTCAAAAAAAAAATGACCTATGTTTTATCCTGTCTTCTTTGTTATTGTTTTTTAAGGATTCTTTCTGTTATGAAAAACTGCATCACCCACTTTTTCTGTGATGGTGAATAAATTAAACTGCAAACAAAGGGATGGAAAAAATCTCAACATTATAAGACATTTTAATGGCTGATTTTGCCTCTCACAAGTGATCTTAGGCATATGATTTAAACCAGGTATACGCCCTCGAATCTTGGTATAGATGTTCATCATAGGGTTTCTCAATGTATGATAGGAAAACCACTGCATTATGATCCTCCTGGAATGCATGTTAAAGATTCTTGCTGCTGAATCAGAGTTTCTGGGGACCAGCAATTTGACTTTTTGACAGTCACCCAAGTGATTTTTATGCATACTGAATTATTAGATCCAAGTAGGTTACAGATTAAAACAGGCAGCTATTAGCTGAAATTTGACTTTTAATGAATTTTATAGACACTTGTTGTAATGGGATTTTATCTGTATTATTCTTTCTCTCATTACCCAACAAGATTAGCAAGATAACACAAACAGAATCAGCTATTTTAAACCACACTATTTACCAAGCGACTTCAATCTGCCTACATTTCAACATTTACTTGCATTGCATGTAGCCAAAACAAGAGGTAGCCAACAGAAGATACTGACCTAACTCAGTGGTTCATGAAAGAGCCATTGACACTTAATCATTTCCCAACACATGAATCCTTTCTTCTCTTCTTCCCTTATATTTTGCTCTTTTTTCTTCCCAGTTTGATTCTTCTTTCTCATTTTCCTCCCTCTGCCCCTCCCCCTTTTAAATATAGAAAAGTAATTCAGTGATTGGGTACATAAGTATTTAAACAAAACACTAGGAAACTTTTTAAAAAATCTAAATCCACTGATACAAACACACTGCCAAAGTATGTTAAGTGAAAAACAAAAGGTTCAGAACACAGTGATAGTATGCTGCATTTTATTGAATAACGGAGAAAGAAATTCATATTCCTATTTGCCTAAAGACACTATGGAAGGATAAATCAGAACCTAACAAATAATTATCTGGGTGGGAGTAGAGCGTGACACTAGGGAAAAGGAGAGAGGGAGGATGAAGAGGGAATGAAAACAAGAATTGTCTTATACAACTTTTTATACTGTTTTGATATCTGAATAATGAAAATGTGTTGCCTATTATCTAAAATATATACACTTAAAAGGAAAAAAGCTATTGACATTGGCATAAGGCAAATTCAACTGCTATTTATTCTATCCTGCCTCTTCTGGAACTTACGTAACCACTCTTTCACTCTTTTTCAGTTTTTTCCTTCCTGTATCATTCTTGTTTCTTTATGTGAATAGAGGCAAATATTAATATATATTCTTATTTCCAACTTTCTTACACAAATGCAATATATTACACACACACTACTTAGCACCTTTTTTTCCTACTTAGCAATAAATATATTGGTGATTATTACTTTTATCCCCCAGCTAGACAGTAATATGTTGTACAGATGTTTATTTAACCAGTCCCCAACTGAGGGATATTTTGAGTTGTTTCCAATTACTTGCTATTGCCCAAAATGTTGTAAAGAATAATTTTGTAAACACCTAACTGTGTGTAAGTGTGGTATAAATTTCTACAGATAAGATTGCAGATTCAAAGAAATAAATGCATTTATAATTTTAATAGATATTGCCACCTGCCCCTATAAGAGTTACATAATTTTGTCATAGTAACTGTCTTTCCATAGCCAACAAAGTATGTTATGAAATATTGGGACTTTTGCCAACCTGAGAAGTAGAAAACAATTTCTTATTAGACTTTAATTGACATTTCTCTATAAGTAAAGTTGAACATCATTGCATATGTTTATAGGTCATTAATATTTCTTTTTAATATTGGACTATCAGAAAACCTGATGGCTGGGTGCAGTAGCTCACATCTTGTAATCCTAGCACTTTGGGAGGCCGAGGCACATGGATCGCTTGAGCCCAGGTGTTTGAGACCAGCCTGGGCAACACGGCAAAACCTCACCTCTACTAAAAACACAAAAATTAGTTGGGCATTGGGGCATATGCCTATAATTCCAGCTACTCAGGAGGTTCCAGCTACTCCATCAGGTTTTATTAGTCCAATTTTAATATTGGACTATCAGTCCATCAGACTTGCTACTTACTGGCTATACAAACTTGGGCAAGTTCTAGTTCCTTCAATAGAGAAATGACCAAGAAATCTCAGTCTCTTTTCCTGTATGATGGGAATAATGATAACAGGCTGGTGCAGTGGCTCACTTTAGGAGGCCAAGGCGGGAGGATCACCTGAGGCCTGGAGTTCAAGACCAGCTTGGGCAACAAAGCGAGACCCCATCTCTACAAAAAATTTTAAAAATTAGATTAGCCCAGTATGGTGGCGCACACCTGTAGTCCCAGCTATTAAGAGGTTGAGGTGGGAGTATCCCTTGGGCCCAGGAGTTTGAGGCTGCAGTGAGTTATAATGGTGCTACTGTACTCCAGCCTGAGTGACAGAGCAAGACCCTGACCTAACATCGCTGACCTAAGTACTTTAGTGAAGATTAGATGAAATAAACAAAAATAGCTTAACTGAGTGCCTGCCACACAGCAAGTACCCTGTAACTGATGGGGCCATTACTCTTAATTTTGAACCTCATTGCTCTTCTGCCTCCTTTGTCATTGTATTTCCCCTGTTCTTCCCCATCTCCTGTTACTACTAAAAATAAACAGAGACAATTTATTGAAGGCTTACTATGTACCAAGTGCTATATCGCCTGCACTGCACTGCACTGCAACCTCTACCTCCCAGGTTCAAGTGATTCTCATGCCTCAGCCTCCCAAGTAGTTGGAATTATAGGCATATGCCACAATGCCCAACTAATTTTTGTATTTTTACTAGAGATGAGGTTTTGCCATGTTGCCCAGGCTGGTCTCAAACTCCTGGGCTCAAGTGATCCATGTGCCTTGGCCTCCCAAAGTGCTAGGATTACAGATGTAAGTCACTGCGCCCAGCCATCAGGTTTTCTTAATTGTAAGGAATCTAAATGTCATGATATTAGTTCTGCAGTGTTACTGACATACTTACGGGGGTATCTCTGTATTCTCCAAGGCTAGCAAGTTCATCTGTGGATGAAGACTGGGTTTTAAGTTGTTTGTTACATCAGAACTTGGAAGGCTGAAATCTAAAACACAAAATGGACTTGTTTGGCTTTAAAACATTTTGTCAGTCAGTTATGCTGGATTTTCTACAGTAAAAACAAAAAAAAAGAAAAAAGAAAAAGAAAAAAAAAAGAAAAACCCACCAAATAAAAGAGATTAATTTAGATATTTCTGTCACCCTAAAATCATGAGATTTCCTAGCTCTAAGAGAAATTAAAAAGCATCATTTATGGTAGGTAGAGAGAGAAAGAATTTCCCTGCCATGAGAAGAAGTTGTTGTAAGGGTAACAAATATTATTGTATTGGATTTTCTAAAATCCCAAGCTGATCCAGAATGCAAAGGATTTTACATCTTGTTCTGCCTAGCACAAAAGTAAAAAATTACAGTACATACTGAGCTCTACCTTCACCTCAAGCTCCAGTCCATAATCTTTTTTTTTTTTTTTTTTTTTTGAGATGGAGTCTCACTTTGTCACCCAGACTGGAGTGCAGTGGCACGATCTCGGCTCACCACAACCTCCACCTCCTGAGTTCAAGTGATTCTTCTGCCTCAGCCTCCTGAGTAGCTGGGATTATAGGCGCCCACCACCACTCCCGGCTAATTTTTGTATTTTTAGTAGAGACAGGGCTTTGCCATGTTGGCCAGGCTGGTCTCGAACTCCTGACCTCAGGTGATCCACCTGACTCGGCCTCCCAAAGTGCTGGGATTATAGGTGTGAGCCACTATGCCTGGCCTCCAGGCCATAATCTTAAGTGAGATACCCCAAAGGGAATAATTCCCTCCCCCTCTGAAAATTCTCAATTAAAAACTCAGGAAAACTCTCCAATGTAACTGACTCTACACATCCCACTGGCCTACATAAACAAGTAGCCAACATTTTAGAACTGAGTAGAGTTCTAAGAAAACCACAAATTCAGTGATACTGAATATTTTTACTCCGGAAACAGCAGATGACATATGAGAAAAACAAACTGCTTTTAATTTGACAAAACTGGATTTCAGCATTTTTCATCATCCTTATTTTGTAATTTGCCAAACCCTTGCTGGGAATAAGGACAGCAGAAGATAACAGGTAAGATAGGTAACTCTTTTATAAATGTTTATAAAATGCATTGTAAGCTTTGCTACAATGCATTTTATAAACATTAGTTTGTTAACCTTGACAACCACCCTTTAAGGCAATCATTGTTCCCATTTTATAAAGTGAGACTCTCAAAAGTTAGGTGGCTGAGAGGTGGCAGAACTGGCATTTCAACTTGGACTTCTCTGACTTTAAAGCCTGTGTTTTTCCTTCTACATTTCACAACCACTCAGTTCATACCTTGTAATCCCTGAATTTCTCCGCTTGCATCAGAGATACTCCCTTACCTGATGCTGAGGTATAGCAGAAAAACCCAATGATAATAGTGTGTAGGTTCACAGTAGACTTTAAGTATTGGCCATTGGGCTGAACAACTTCTACAAAGCAGGCCAGGTGAATTCCATGAGATTCTAAGTGAGTAGGATGAGTTTCAAGGACCTCCTCGCCCAGACACATCCCATTGCTATACTGGGTTTGACTCAACCATTTGCCGGGAAGTAATCACATCTCCTAACATAGCGCTCTGACATTCAACCTGACTTCAGTCCTTCTTAGGTGGTATTTAATCACGTAATTAAGGAGAACTGTTTAACATCAAGCTCTTCTGCTGGTCTGAAAAGACCTGAGTGTTTATTTACTTAAGCCTGAAAGTTGATTATTCATGGTGTTGAGTTCTCCCAGAGTGGCCCTAGGCATCCGGGGACTGGGACTTAGGTCGAGGAGATCTTGAGATGGGGCAGAAGGCTCACTGGTAGTCTGAAAACAAAGCAAAAAAAAAAAAAAGTGTCATGTAGTTTATCACAGCTTTCTCCCCATACTTTCTCCTTTGTAGAGGGGAGGATCCTATTTGGATGCATTTTAAGGAAGAATTCTCCACTCAACGAGCAACATTAGTATGAATCCCATCTTACCACCTACATAGGTTCCTGCTTCTTATTAATAACTTCATAACATTAACTTTACATTACA
Organism: Homo sapiens; assembly: GCF_000001405.40. Lineage (NCBI taxonomy): Eukaryota > Metazoa > Chordata > Mammalia > Primates > Hominidae > Homo > Homo sapiens. The sequence continues at coordinate 54,936,895 of NC_000017.11, read as the reverse complement.
TTAACAGTTTAACATTAACGTTAATAACATTAAGTTATTAAGGCAAGTAATCTATACCATTAAAACCACTCCAAATTATGAATGCATATCTTCCTCTTTTTAAGACTTGTTTTAGGTAAGCCTTGCTTCTCACTGTAATTGGCAAAATGTTCAATTGTTTATTTTATAACATTTCTCATCACTTACATTGGTGGCTTCCTTCTGGTTCTTATTTTGCTCCAAAATCCTTTGTTGGTTTCTAGTAAACCTGTTTAAATGATCAAAATGCATGTGTTTTTAAAAAAATATATGAAAATGCTATAAAAATCTAACAATTATTAATACACAAATATTTAGGAATGAAGACAATCAGCCTCATCCTCACACAATTATCAGTAAAATACTTTTAATAACCTTTTTCCAGCTTACAGAGTATTCATACCCTCAGAGAAAACTGTGAGAAAATAGAAAAGTATTTAAAAAAAACTCATCACCCAGAAATTGTTAAATCTATTAACATTATTCCAGTATTTCATCTATAAGTGCATCTATTTTTAAGCTTAGTTGAAAGGATACTTTACATAATTCTGTATCCTAATTTGAGTATGCTGTGAGAATTTTTCTAGCTGAAATACAATTTTTAATGGCTATATTTTACCTTATGAATCTATCACACTTTTAACCACTCTATTAGTGATTATTTGTTTTCTACTTTGCCATTATAAGTAATTTTCCAAAATATTCAAATATATTTAAAGTATTTTCACTATTTCACTGTGGTTTTTTTTTTTTTGAGATGGAGTTTCGCTCTTGTTGCCCAGGCTGGAATACAAAGGTGCAATCTTGGCTCACCACAACCTCTGCCTCCCGGGTTCAAGCAATTCTCCTGCCACAGCTTCCCAAGTAGCTGGGATTACAGGCGTGTGCCACCATGCCCAGCTAATTTTTGTATTTTTAGTAGAGACGGGGTTTCTCCATGTTGGTCAGGCTGGTTTCGAACTCCCGACCTCAGGTGATCCGCCCACCTCGGCCTCCCAAAGTGCTAGGATTACAGGCATGAGCCACCGCGCCCGGCCTTCACTGTGTATTTTTATAAGACACTTAACACATACCAAAAAATTGACCTTCTACAACTCTGATTTAATTTTACATTGTCCACTGAGAGTAAAGGAGCATAAACGTAAAAGACCAGAGAAGTTGAAGGCAAAAGTCCAAAGTTTAAGTGTCAGTGTTAGTACCTTGTAGCTATATGACTAAGGGTATGACTTCCTGAACCTTGGTGCCCCAGCTGCTAAGAGGGAATAACATTTGAACTATTTGCTCAGAAAGTTATTTTCAGGGGCAAAACTAGATAGCACAGGTGGATGAACGTGGAAATGCTTTGTAAACTGAGATTTGCTTTAGAAACATATAGTATTACTGTTATGACAATTTGACTTCAGGATCCTAAACACTTTAAAGTGTAAGAGTTTATACTGAATCAGGCCTCTGAGCCCAAGCCTGCAGGTATACATCCAGATGGCCTGAACCAACTGAAGAATCACAAAAGAAGTGAAAATGGCCAATTCCTGCCTTAACTGATGACATTACCTTGTGAAATTCCTTCTCCTGGCTCAGAAGCTCCCCCACTGAACACTTTGTGACTCCTGCCCCTGCCCTCCAGAGAACAACCCCCTTTGACTATAATTTTTCGCTACCTACCCAAATCCTATAAAACTGCCCCACCCCTAACTCCCTTTGCTGACTCATTTTTTGGACTCAGCCCCCCTGCACCCAGGTGAAATAAACAGCTTTATTGCTCACACAAAGCCTCTTTGGTGGTCTCTTCACGCGTGACAGAATCTGCACACACAGTTGAATGATTTTTCAAAAATATGTGTTTTAAATTCCACCTAGTTCAGCCAGGCACTGTGGCTCATGCCTGTAATCCCAGCACTTTGGGAGGCTGAGACAGGTGGATTACTTGAGGTCAGGAGTTTGAGCCCAGCCTGGGCAACATGGTGAAACCCCATCTTGACTAAAAATACAAAAATTAGCTGGGCGTGGTGGCATGTGTCTCTAATTCCAGCTACCAGGGAGGCTGAGACAGAAGAATCGCTTGAACCTGGGAGGCGGAGGTTGCAGTGAGCTGAGATAATGCCACTGTACTCCAGCCTGGGCAGCAAAGCAAGAGTCCATCTCAAAAAAGAAAAAAAAAAAAAAATCCATCTAGTTATAGCACTAGCTTCTTATATTCTAGTCAGTTATGTGCTGGGTATGAACAACCTTCCTAGATCAAGCCCTGAGTGACAAATTTCAATTTCTTTATTTGCACAACTATTCCCTGGATGTAATGAGCAGAGACTTTGGGGGATGTTGGAATAGGGTGAATGTATTTTGCAAGTGGATGGATATGAATCTTTAGGGGCCAGAGAGTGGACTGTGATAGATACAGTAACGCCCACCCTCACAAAGGTACCCACATCCTAGTAAACACAACCAGTGAATATGTTAGGTTACATGGCAAGGGGAAATTAAAGGTTGAAAAAAGAATGAAGTTTGCTAGTGTTAAAGGAAAATAAATCTCAGGACCCCAAAATCACTAAGCCAAAGGGAAAAGTCAAGCTGGGAACTGCGTCAGGCAAATTTTATTCCTAAATAATATAGCTACAAAGATAAAAAGCTACCTACCTCTCCCACAATTTGCCTAAGAGAAAACTCCTTGTGGGCCTCAAGATCTTTACCCTAAAACAGCTCTGCTGAATCTCACCCTGGCAATATAAACTGATAGCTTATCTTCATAAGTACAGGACAAAGGACAGAACTCAATTGCTTCCTCTGCCCTACTGCTTATGTAGAAGTGCAGATTCACTGAGCCAGACTAAGGCATGAGTGACTATTCCTCTAGCCCCTTCTCACACGTAAATTGTGTATTCCGTGAAAGGCTGATCAAAGACTCAAAATAATGCAACCATTTGTCTCTTATCTATTTATAACCTGGAAGCCCCCTTCCCTGCTTTGAGTTGTCCCACCTTTCTAGATGGAACCAATGTACATCTTACACATATTGATTGATGTCTCATATCTCCCGAAAATGTATAAAACCGAGCTGTGGATGGCCAGGTGTGGTAGCTCACGCCTATAATTCCAGCACTTTGGGAGGCCGAGGTGGGTGGATCACGAGGTCAAGAGATCGAGACCATCCTGGCCAACATAGTGAAACCCCGTCTCTACTAAAAATACAAAAATTAGCTGGGCGTGGTGGTACACGCTTGTCGTCCCAGCTACTCAGGAGGCTGAGGCAGGAGAATCACTTGAACCCGGGAGGTGGAGGTTGCAGTGAGCCAAGATCGCACCACTGCACTGCAGCGTGGTGACAGAACAAGACTCTGTCTCAAAAACAAAACAAAACAAAAAACCAAGCTGTGCCCCCACCACCTTGGGCGCATGTTGTCAGGACCTCCTGTGGCTGTGCCACAGGTGCATCCTTAACCTTGGCAAAACTAACTTTCTAAATTCATTGAGACCTGTCTCAGATACTTTTGGTTCACATTAGTAAGCTGCCCTTAATTGGGAGATTATCTGGGACTGTACAGATGAACCCAATGTAGTCATAAAGGTCATTAAAGGTGGAAGAGAGAGGCAGAAGTGGAAGTAAGAGTGATATGATATAATCAGGCCTGAACTAGACATGGTTGGCTTTGAAGATGGAGAAAAGGGGCCATGAGCCAAGGAAAGTGAACAGCCTCTAGCTGTTGCAAAAGCTAGGAAGATGGATTCTCCTCTGGAGCGTCCAAAAGTGGATAAAACAGAGGATAAGCCACTAAGTTTGTGTGAATTTGTGACAGCAGCCAGAGAAAACTAGGAGACTAGTATCTTTCTAGAGGCAAGAGTTTCTCTCTGAATCTTAGGATGTAAGTGTTTCACAGTTGTTCTGGTACACAGGGTTCAAAGCCCAGTCAGAACAAGCTGTTCACAGAAGTAATCCAATCTCCTGAGAGCTAGACCAAATAAACACAAGTTCCCCCTTGAAGGAAGCCTTTAGGCAATGGTCTCATGGTTTGCAATAGAATTCTCCAAAATGAAAGCCAGAAGGCAGCACTCTACTGAAAACAATGTGGTTTTCCTTGGATATTTTTTTGCTTATAAAAATTTGTTCCACAGAAAACAAGAGTAACAATTGTGAGTTTCTTCAGTGCTAAGAAAGAAAGCATGGTGGCCAGGCGCGGTGGCTCACGCCTGTAATCCCAGCACTTTGGGAGGCCAAGGAGGGTGGATCACCTGAGGTCAAGAGTTCAAGACCAGCCTGGGCAACATGGTGAAACCCCGTTTCTACTAAAAATACAAAAACTAGCCAGGCATGATGGTGTGTGCCTGTAATCCCAGCTACTTGGGAGGCTTAAGGGAGGAGACTACTCCTCATATTGTCTTATGCCCAATTTCTGCCTCCAAAGAAAGAAAAAGTAAAAACTCAAAGGCAGAAATGAAATCCACAAGCAGACAGCCCGGCGCCACACCCTAGGCCTGGTAGTTAAAGATCGACCCCTGACCTAATCAGTTATGTTATCTATAGATTACAGACATTGTAGAGAAAAGCACTGTGAAAATCCCTATCCTGTTTTGTTCCGATCTAATTACCAGTGCATGCAGCCTCTAGTCACATACTCCCTGCTTGCTCAATCAATCACGACCCTCTCACACGCACCCCCTTAGAGTTGTGAGCCCTTAAAACGGACAGGAATTGCTCACTCGGGGAGCTCGGCTCTTGATACAGGAGTCTTGCCAATGCCCCTGGCCGAATAAACCCCTTCCTTCTTTAACTCAGTGTCTGAGGAGTTTTGTCTGCGGCTCGTCCTGCTACAGGCTGAGGCAGGAGAATCGCCTGAACCCAGAAGGTGGAGGTTGCAGTGAGCCAAGATCGTGCCACTGCACTCCAGCCTAAGCACTCCATCTCAAAAAAACAAACAAACAAACAAACAAAAAAAAAACGAAGAAAAAAGAAAAAGAAAGAAAGAAAGCAAGCATGGTTCCTAGGCTTACATCTTCAGTCGATGCCCTTCTCTGACAGTAAATATGAGACAGTGAAGGAAAGAAACTACCATTTAATAGCTACTGGTTTTATGTTTCTCTTTTTTGAGACAGGGTCTCACTCTGTCACCCAGGCTGGAGTGCAGTGGCACGATCTTGGATCACTGCAACTTCTGCCTCCTGGGCTCAAGAGATGCTCCCACCTCAGCCTCCTAAGTAGCTGGGACTAAAGGCGTGTGTCACCATGCCTGGCTAATTTTTGTAATTTTTTGATAGAGATGGGGTTTCACCATGTTGCCCAGGCTGGTCTCAAACTTCCTGAGCTCAAGTAATCCGCCCACCTCAGCCTCCCAAGGTGCTGGGATTACAGGTGTGCACCACCATTCTTGGCCCATAAATACTGGCTTTATTTCATGGTTTCTCTTAATTCACTCATGATAAGTGGGAAGAAAAACCTAGTCAATAAATGTAAAGGTTAAATGGGACACCGGTGCAGAGGAAGAGAAGAAATTACTATTTAATGGATGTCAATGTGCTAGCACTCTGCTAGGTGTTTTCATATGTATTATCTCATTTAATCCTCAAAAAAAGCCCAACCCTCTAAAAAGGTATTATTATCCTATTTAATACATCAAAAAAATAAGAAAGAAAAAAACTTAAATCTTAGAAAAGTTATGCAACTTATCCAAAATCATCAGCTAGATTTGAATCCAGGCCTGTTCACCTCTTTCCCTTATGTCATACTGGTCTCATTCTTTATCAGCTGATTAGAAATACGGTCACTGTGCAAGTAGAGATTCCCAGTAATTCTCAACAGAAACACTGCCCCTAAGGGTGTCTTAACATGTCATTTTATTATTATTTCTTTTAGAGGTGGGATTTCACTCCATCACCCAGGCTGGAGTGCAGTGATGCGATCATAGCTCACCACAGCCTCAAATTCCTGGTCTCAAGCTATCCTCCCACCTCAGCCTCTCTAGTAGCTAGGCTATAAGCACCTACTAGGACCACCACACCCAGCTAATTTTTTTTATTTTTTATTTATTTATTTTATTTATTTATATTCTTGAGACAGAGTCTCACTCTATTGCCAAGGCTGAAGTGCAGTGGCATGATCTTGGCTCACCACAACCTCCACCTCCCAGGTTCAAGCAATTATCCTGCCTCAGCCTCCTGAGTAGTTGGGTCTACAGGCATGCGCGACCATGCCCAGCTAATTATTTTGTATTTTTAGTAGAGATGGGGTTTCACTATGTTGGTTAGGCTGGTTTCGAACTCCTGACCTCAAATGATCTGCCCACCTTGGCCTCCCAAAGGGCTGGGGATACAGGTGTGAGCCACCGTGTCCGGCCTTATTTTTTATTTTTTGTAGAGACAGGGTCTTACTATGTTGTCAGGGCTGGTCTGGAATTCCTGGGCTCAAGTGATCCTCCTGCCTCGGCCTCCAAAAGTGCTGAGATTATAGCTGGGAGCCACCATGCTGGGCTGAAATGTCACTTTAACTAGGAGAAAGACCTCTAGCATTTACTGAGTAGGAGCTGTACAAGGGAAAACTGTCCCACCCCACATGCCAATACCTTTCCTATTGAGAATGGAGAATCTAGAAAGAGGGGTCACTTGTAGGCACTCTGATAAGAATGCTGAGTAATTGGTGGTGAAAGTAGAAATGGAAGAGGGGTAAAGAGGGTACATGATCTGCTCACCTCTCATATCCAAGGATAGCATTATTCAAATCCTCATTCACCTGAATTAGCTCAACAGTTACATCTTCGTTCTCCACCACCACAAGCAGGTCCATGATCCTCTCCTGCATCTCCCGACCTGTTTTATAGAGTTTCTGTCAAAGAAAGGAGAGAGATTTCTTCTTCCACACTTGGAACATTCTATAAAGACATCTGACTCACCAATCTGCGCATACCTACAGTCACCTCCACGTTAAGTAGCCTGTGGGGCACTACCAAAGTACTTAACTATAAACAGCTTATCCTTCCTATTGGAAGGCAGTGAGTCATAAACTGATTATATTTTCCTTTAAAAATCAAAATAGGTGTCATAAGAATAATATGGTACATTGAAAATAATACTGGACTAAAACCCAGAAGTGTTGTATGGGAATTCTAAATGTAGTGCTTATTAGCTGTGCCATGTTGGGGAAAAAAAAAAAAAAACACATGTTTTTTAAATCTCAGTTTTCTCATTGATAAATGAAAATTATACCCCTTGCCACATCTACCTCAAGGGTTGACATAAAAATCAAATGAGATGTGTGTAATGAGGAACTCTATAACTATAAAGCATAAACATAAAATGTTATTGCATTATTAGCAGTAGCAGAAGTAGTTAAAATACATTTACAGTGGCATTATTTTATTTCCTGTTACGTTGTACTTAAACATTTAAAGTTTATAGTTATATCACATTTTGAGGCAAACTAAAACAGGATTAACAAACAAATCATGAATACCCTTATTTGGACTACCTAGAAATACTGCATTAAACCATGACTCAACCTCCCAAACCCATTTTTTTTTTTTTCTCATAAGCATCAGAGCCATCTACATTAGACTTACTGATCCAGAATCTTCAGGCTGGGTGTCTGAAAATCTACATTTTTTTAAAACAAGCACTCCAAAGTGTTTCTTATGTACACTGATATTTAAGAACTTCTGCCTTACAACTGACTTTTTTTCCAGGCACACCTTCGATTAACCCAAGGTACATAAAACTGATATTAATATTTCCAATCCCACCTTGGCTAGAGTTTTGTCTGTGTAATAGTACATTAACATCAAGCAAAACACAGGGATGCTGCTTCTCTCAAAATGAAAGCAACAGAACTTCCTTAAACACTGCACAATCACATCGGCTGACTTTTTCCCCTCAAGAAAGAAAGACCTGCTGAAAAATGTATGTATGCTTCATGAAACCATTCAGAATCTCAAACAATCTATTACAAGACTGCTGACAGGAAATCTCTAAACAAATAAATCAAACTATTACTAACTGGCATTTAGACTCAGAGGTAAAAGCCACTACCCTCTAAAAAATCATAACAAAAAATATTGAAAAGACAACATGACATAAAGAGAAAAAAAAAGGTGAGTCAGACAGATGATAGACTTTCTGATTTTAGACTTGCAACATGCGGCCAGAAAAACCATCCTATTTGCCAACCACAGGGCCATCTTCAGCAACAGTATAGTGTAGGGGTCAACAGTGTTGTTCTTAAAGCTCCAGATAGTAAACATTTTCTGCTTTGTGGGCCATCTAGTCTTTGCTGCAACTGCTCAACTCTGCCACTGTAGTGTAAAAGCAACCCTGGAAAATATATAAATAACTGGGTGTGGCCATGTTCTAATAAAACAGATATAGGTGGCAGGCTAGATTTGGTTCCTTTATATACCCCTGGTGTAATGCAAAGAGAAAACTTTGGACTCAGGTGCCAAAGGCATCTCCCATATATATGCCTGCTATGGAAGTTGGGGAAATGTGGCTAAAATTTAGCCTGAGGTTTTTTTGTTGTTGTTGTTTTGTTTTTTTTTGGTTTTTTTCCATCTATAATACAAGGAGAACAGCTATCTTGTAAGGTTGTTGTAAGAATTGGCAATGGTGCCATTGAAACCCCACAGTGTCTGGCATACAGAGGTAGTCGGTAGTAAATAAACGAATTATGGGTGCTTGACAGGGTGTCACTAGAAGCTCAACTAGATAACGAATACAATCCTGTAATATGCTATTATCCAGGATCCAATCTTCTACAAAGAATTAAGAATGGCATTTAATATAACCCCCGTAATGAATGAGAACTTTTCCTTTGTTCTTGCTTTAAAGAGTGTACAGAAATTGGTCTTCTTGTTGCTCACTGGCAGCCTTGCTAGAACAATGTCAAGATCAAGGGAATGCAATGGCTGATACCTATGACAAAAATGTAGAAATTAATTTGAAATGAATTTGAAGCCAACATCAACAGCCCTCAGTCACATGAAGACACTCCCTTTGCCCTTTCAAGAGACAGATGGAATGGAAACATGAAAGGAGTAGCACATCTCAACAGGTCTGCAAACCAGAATGTGAAAAACGTCTTCAAAAGCCAGCCCACTCTCATCTTTGCAATTGATGTCTGTCTCAGAGGAGGGCCAAGCCACCTGGAAGCCAAGCCAAGATCAAGCACCATGGACAAAAGGGATAGGTCAGAGTTCCCCATAGCAGGCACTTGCAGGGCTGTGGATGTGGGGAGCCAGGGGAGCAAGTCAAAATACAGAACAACAGCTGCTGGTGCATATGTCCATCACGGAGACCCCGGAATTGCCTCCTTTTATACCATATAAAAGCAAAGGCAAGCTTCTAAGTTAAAGTGAATTTAACAATCAATTCAAAAGTCTTTGGAGCAAAACAAAAAGGAGCTCATTAAGAGCTTCCTCTTCTGATATCCAGATGGCTCTTACTCCTCCATAGAGCACTCAGGAATTAAGGAAGGAGATCCCTCTGCACTTTCAATTCCAACTACAGTCATCCCACATTGACCAAGAGAGGGCAACTCAATAAAAAGAAACACAAAAATGCTTGAATATCTCTCTTGAAAGAGCCAAAACACGAAGAAATGTGTTTGCTTTAAAATGTCTCTGGAAATACTATCTGTATGGCAATATCCCTATTATCAGCCCATAACATATTTTCTTCATCCCAGTATTCCCCAAAGCGCAAGAAACCCCAATTTCTCTATCTGCTCAAAGTAAATACTCTCCCCACCTACTCTAAAACTAAACATTTTTCAACTTAACTTGCTCATATAGTCTCTTTCCTTATACAGGCTTCAGTCAAATGACAAATTGTCAGCATAATCCTTAAGAAAAGCATTAACATATTAAAGTCCTTCCAACTCTTCTTTCCAACAAAACAGTGTCTGCAAATAGTACAGGACTTGGTTGCTGCCTTGAAATTGCCTCACGTACCCACATGAAAACACAATAGGTTAGCCAGGTATACTAGAAAATCAGTCCTGGGTTCAAAATGAGAAACTAGTTGGTCTAATGGATAGAACATAAGCTCATGAGAAAGAAGTTCTCCTTCCAGCTCCACCACTTGTCATGGTGTGGGCAATTATTCTTTCTGCATATGCAGCCTCAACTGCAAAGAAAGGGAGATGGACTCAAAGATGCTGACAGTCCTTTCTACTCTTAATATCTTACACATTTCTGAATGGTAAAGACAAGAATGGTCTGGGAGGATGGCTTTCTTTTTCCTATTCTCAGGATTTTTTTTTTTTTTCAACTGGTTACAATCCTCATAGGATCAAATTTCAGATTCCCTTGATTTTAAATTTCTCCAGTAAGTTAGAGTAAGGCTTTCTGTAGTTGTCATTTCAAAATCTGAGCTCCCTTTATTCTAAATACTAGAGCATTCTCTTCTTGTCTTACTGGTGCTAGGCAAAAACAAACAAACAAACAAACAAAAAGATTAAAGTGGGAGGTACCAGGACAAGTCAGCTATTCAAGATAAGAGGAAGGTGGCCCAAAGCTGAGTACATAACACCAAGAAAGCAAATACACAAAACACATGTTGCAACTCTTCATTCCTATGGCCAAGGTGGCTGCCTTTAACTCATCACAACACTTGTTAGACTGGATAGAGTCTCAGAATCATCACGTTCCACTTCAGAAAACTAAAGAAAATCCAGTCCTCATCCCTAATGAAAAGTTCAAAGTTTACAAGCAACACAGTGGTGGGGAAATGTGTCTACTGCACAAAATGGTTTTACTGCCTAAGAGTCTAACAAAGAGCAAGACCCTCTTAGTTAGTAGGGCTTCAGGATCTAATTGTTCAGTGTGGGTTGGTGGAACAGAAAGGGGATTCCAAGTAAATATACTGGATTTCAAATGAAAGAAAACAGACAAGGAATAGGTTCCAAAGAAACAGAACAGTTACTAGAAGGTAAGTATAAACAGCCAAAACAGGAAGAACTTCCAAGTATACAGGCTGCTTTTTTTTTTGTTGTTGTTTTTTGTTTGAGAGGGAGTCTCGATCTGTCACCCAGGCTGGAGTGCAGTGGTGCCATCTCAGCTCACTGCAACTTTGCCTCCCGGGTTCAAGCGATTCTCATGCCTCAACCTCCTGAGTGACTGCGACTATAGGAGCGTGCCACCACGCCCAGCTGATATTTGTATTTTTAGTAGAGACGGGGTTTCACCATGTTGGCCAGGCTGGTCTCGAACTCCTGACCTCAGGTGATCTGCCCACCTTGGCCTCCCAAAGTGCTGAGATTACAGGCGTGCTCCATCGCATCTGGCCTCAGGATGGTTTTATAATAAACTGATACTATAAGACTGTGGTCACTGGTGAAGTATATGTGCAAGAGCAGCCAAGAAATTTTTGAGTGGAGGCTCTTCCTTTCTGCTGGAGAACTTTCCTTGGCCCTCCAGATCCACTGTCCATACTTTCTGCCTTAACTCTGTGCCCTGGGGCCTGGCTTGTAGGGATCACATCGCCAGATCCCCTGTCTTCTTGCTTCTGTGTTCAGCCAACAGGCATGCTGGCTGGCAGGAAACAGGAGGAAGGAAGGAGAATGAGGTCTGGATATTTATTCTTTCCACTCCTTCCACCAAAGGCACCCCTGCTTTCAAGTCTGCCCTCCCCCACATTATTCTTTCCTCTAGGTTCTGGCAAAAGTGCCCTCTTCTTGTCTATGTAATTCTAGGGATATTAGTTAATAATCCAGGGTAGCGATCAAGCCCTTGTAGTTTCCCTGAACTTTATAACATCTTACTAAATAAACAGTATTTTGATTAAGCTTTCTTCAAATTACCCAAATGAAGTATGTCATCTCTTTGCTAATATACCCTAGAAAGCATAAAAACACATCTTTAGAGTAATGAAAATAGTATGATGCCAAGTTAGGCACAAATAGGTCAAGGGACGAGAATAGCCTCGAGAATAGCCTCTAGAAGACAACCCTGAATTAGAATATACCGTATGTGATAAAGGGGCATTTAAAACCATTGGAGAAGGCGTGAATTGTTAATGGATGTTATTTGGACAACCAGCCATCAAATTGAAAAAATAAATGAAGGTAAAGTCCCCATCTCATACCAAGAATACAGATTTGAATTTTAAGTCACATAAAATCCAGGGGAAGAAAGCTATTGATTCATTAAGCCTGTTTACTGAATGATTACATCATGTTAGGCACTAATCTGGGAGCCAGAACCTGGTAATGAACAAGACAAGCCTTTTGGCATTTCCATTCTAGTAGGCAAAGACAGCTGACGACCATGCAAGAAAAGCGTCAGACACTGTGAGTGCCAGGTGAATAAATGGTGATGTGATAGGACGGTGGCTAATTTTAGACTGGGGAGTCACAGAAGACTTCTCAGGAGAGTAACATGCTAAGATCAGAATGATAAGAAAGAGTTCGAGATCAGCCTGGACAACATAGTGAAACCCCATCTCTACCAAAAATACAAAAAATAGCTGGGCATGGTGGCGGGCACCTGTAGTCCCAGCTACTCGGGAGGCTGAGGCAGGAGAATCACTTGAACATGGGAGGCGGAGGTTGCAGTGAGCAGAGATCGTGCCACTGCACTCCAGCCTGAGTGACAGAGTCAGACTCTATCTCAAAAAAAAAAAAAAGAAAAAAGAAAAGAAAAGAAAAAGAAAAAGCTGGCCATTTGAAGACAGGGAAGCATAAGAGTCAGGGATGAAACAACTCCCCAGCAAGAATGAACTCAGTGCACTCAAGGAATAGGAAGGAGGTTAGCAAGCACGTGCCACGGAAACAGAAGTAGGCTAAAGACGACCGAGAAGGGCTCTGTGGCCAGACTAGAGAGGTCTAGTTTTACTCCAACTATAATGGGAAGCCAATGGAGGGTTTCCAGCAAGGAACAACACGATCTGGTTTACATTTTATTTTATTTATTTTATTTTATTTTTTGACAAGTAGTATCGCCAGGCTGGAGTACGGTGGTGCAATCTTAGCTCACTGCAACCTCCACCTCCCAGGTTCAAGCTCCCAGGCAGCTCACTGCCTCAACCTCCTGAGTAGCTGGGATTACAGGCACCTGCCACCATGCCTGGCTAATTACCTTTTAAAAAGCTATAATACAACTTTGGGAGGCCAAGGCAGGTAGATCACCTGAGGTCAGAAGTTTGAGACCAGCCTGGCCAACATGGTGAAACCCTGTATCTACTAAAAATACAAAAATTAGCCAGGCATGGTGGCAGGCACCTATAGTCTCAGCTACTCCGGAGGCTGAGACAGGAGAATTGCTCAAATCCAGGAGGCAGAGGTTGCAGTGAGCCGAGATCGCGCCACTGCACTCCAGCCTGGGTGACAGAGCAAGACTCCATCTCAAAAAAATAAATAAATAAAATAATTAATTTAAAAAATAAAAAACTATAATACAGACACTCAAATTCATTAGTCATTAGGAAAATGCAAATACAAATCAAAATCAAAACCATAATGAGATACCACTTCACACCTACCAGCGGGCCATTAAAAAAAACACAATGGAAAATAACAAGTATTCATTGTGGAGAATCTGGAATCCTAGTAGTACTGCATACCGCTAACAGAATATACAATGGTGCAGCCATTGTGCAAAACATTTTGACAATTCCTCAAAAAGTTAAAGTTACTATACGACCCAGCAATTCTACTCTTAGGTTGATACTCAAAAGAAGTGAACACAGGTATTCAAAGAAAAACCTGTATGTGAATGTTCATAGCAGCATTAGTCACAATAGCCAAAGGTGGAAACAACCTAAATGTCTATTAATGAACTGATATATAAAACGTGGGATATACAATGAAATATTAGGCCATTAAAGTAATAAAATTCTGATACATGCTACAACATGGATGAACCTCAAAAACACTAAGTGAAAGATGCTAAACACAAAAAGTCATATATTATGTGATTCCACCTATATGAAATGTCCAGAACAGGTAAATCCACAGACACAGAACCAGATTGGTGGTTATCTGGAACTGATGAAAGGCAGAAAGGAGAGGCTGCTTAATGAGCATGGGGTTTCCTTTTGGGGTAATGAAAATGTATTGGAATTAAATAGAGGAAATACTGTTGAACCTTGAACAACATGGGTTTGAACTGCATGGCTCCACTGAGAGGTGGATTGTTTTCTGACTCTGCCACCCAAGACAGAAAGATCAATTTCTCTTCTTCTTCCTTCTCAGCCCATTCAGCAAAAAGATAAAGATCAAGACCTTTATGACCCACGTCCACTTAATGAATAGTAAATATATGTTCTCTTCCTTATAATTTTCTTAAAGAAATTTTTCTTTTTTAATTTTTAAACTGAGACAGGGTCTCACTCTGTTGCCCAACAATGGTGCAATCACGGTTTACTGCAGCCTCGACCTCCCAGGTTCAAGCGATCCTCCCACCTCAGCCTCCCCAGTAGCTGGGACCACAGGCATGTACCACCATGCCTGGCTAATTTATTTTTTGTAGCAACAGAGTCTCACTATGTTGCCCAGGCTGGTCTCAAACTTCTGGATGCAAGCAATCCTCCTGCCTCAGCTTCCCAGAGTGCTAGGATTACAGGTGTAAGCCACTGTGCCTAGCCTTCCTTACAATTTTCTTTTTTTGTTTATTTTTTTGAGACAGCCTCGCTCTGTTGCCCAGGCTGGAGTGCAGTGGCTTGATCTCGGCTCACTGCAAGCTCCGCCTCCTGGGTTCACACCATTCTACTGCCTCAGCCTCCCAAGTAGTTGGGACTACAGGCGCCCACCACCATACCTGGCTAATTTTTTGTATTTTTTAGTAGAGATGGGGTTTCACTGTATTAGCCAGGATGGTCTCCACCTCCTGACCTCATGATCCGCCTGCCTCGGCCTCCCAAAGTGCTGGGATTACAGGCATAAGCCACTGTGCCCAGCCTACAATTTTCTTAATAACATTTTCTTTTCTCTAGCTTACTTTAAGAATACAGCACATAACATATATAACATACATAATATGTGTGAATCGACTGTTTATGTTATTGATAGGGTTTCTGGTCAACAGTAGGCTATTAGTAGCTAAGTTTTGGGAAAATCAAAAGTTATACATGAATTTTCAACTACACTGTGGGGTCAGTGCTCATAACTGCTATGTGTTGTTCAAGGGTTAACTGTAGTTACAATGAATGTATATTTATTTTATTTTATTTTTATTTTTTGAGATGGAGTCTCCCTCTGTTACCGAGGCTGGAGTGCAGTGGCACAATCTCTGCTCACTGCAACCTCCGGGTTCAAGCCATTCTCGTGCCTCAGTCTCCTGAGTAGCTGGGATTATAGGCGCCCACCACCATGTCCGGTTAATTTTGTATTTTTAGTAGAGACAAAGTTTCACATGTTGGCCAGGCTGGTCTCGAGCTCCTGACCTCAAGTGATCCACCCGCCTTGGCCTCTCAAAGTGCTGGGATTACAGATGTGAGCCACCACGCCGGGCCCTGAATGTATATAAATGCCACTTAATTGTACCCTTTAAAATGGTTAATTTTATGTGATAATTTAAAATAATGGTTAATTTTTTGCCTCAATTTAAAAAATGCTATATAGAATTTGTATTTTTTGCACAGCACTGTACTCAATATCCTGAAAACCTTTCTCATAACAAAATACCTAAAAATGCTAGATATTAAAAATATTTTAACATTTGTGCCTACACTTTCAAGAAAGCATGAGAAATCCTCAAAGGCTCAAAACCAAATAAGATCTAAAGACTCAAGCAGCAATAAAGAAACAATGGTTCACAAGGCACCCATCTGCCAATCTCCAGTAGAGTTCTCAGCAGACGCAAAGGACAAAGCCCGGGGTGCAAACAAGATGGGGAGCTGGAGCAAAAACCCCTTCTATACTCAGGTGGAACCCCTGCATGACTACGCCCTATGAAAGTCAGTGAATCAGAAAAACCTCAGCCCCACAAAGCGAGATGGCAAGCCAAATCATGTCAGCGTCGGTTCTTGGTGGAGAGAGTGAAAATACATAATTTTCCTGAGAAATCTAACAGCCTTACTACATCCTCCTCTCTAGGGATGAGGCTGCCTGCCTTCAAAGTTTAAAAAATCCTAATGAGTGCTGATTATTTTTCTTCTAACTGCAGAGATTCCTAGATTCTTTTGGAAACCAGCAGTTATTTGGAGGAGAGTCCTTTTTTCTGGCCTTGACAGCCACCCTGGAAGTTCCCTGCTCCTGACTTAGCGGCTCAGACAGCAGAGGACAGAGGACAGTTGTTTTCCTTACCATGTGAGTGCCCAAGGCCTATTCATTCTTGCTCTGATTTTGAGGTTAGTATGGGTTGCTTCTGGGAAAAGTCCTTTGGAGGGGTCTCTTTCACCTGGGTGGGGCTGTGAGCTCTGAGCTGGTCTGATCCCACCTGCTTTATCAGGCACTGAATAGTCTCACTGTTCTGGAGGCCTGATGGTCAGTTTAGCCTTTTCTGTAATCCTTGGGGTTTATTTTTATTTTCATATTTCTTCTGTCATTTCAATGGGATTTGGGGAAGAAAGAGGATGTAAATTTTGGCAAGCTAAAAAAAAATTGTGAATATTGGTTGGTTTGGGGAGAAAAATGCCTGTTTTACAATTCATATAGCTGATTTCAGATACTTTTATTCCTTCTTTACAGTTGTACTCCTTCCATCAGAGTATGCCCGTGGGCCCTCACTGACCCCCAAGGTGGGTGCCACCCTGCTGATGACTCCCTAGGCTTATGCTGAAGCCTCCAAAAGCCCCTGCAGTTATAAGGGGGCAGCCAACCAGGGAGCCAGTATTATCTGGGCGTTCTAACTGTATTGACGTGACTCCTTCAGATGGGTATGAGAAACCTTTGAAAAAATACACCCTAAAGAATTCTTTGTTTATGACATAGGGTTAGAGGGGGAAAAAATGAATAAATAAAATAAATAAATAAATAAATAAATCAATAAAAAACCAAAACCAAAAACACCAAAAAAAGAATTCTCTATTTCCCCACAGTCTATCTTTGCTGACTTCATTCTGAAATTCTTAAATCAGATATGCTTCTTGTCCTTTTTCTCCATAGAAGACTTAATTGATTTATTTCAGATCAACCATAGTGGAGTTATTTAGATGTAAAAAAAAAATTATTTGTCAAAAGAAATTAAGAATAGCACTCCCCACACCAGATCTTTATATGTCACTAACAAAAAGTATACAAAGAAAAATAACATTCCACATTCAACAGTCTCTATAAACAAGTTGATCCCCTGCCAGAACCTATTCAATTTGAATTTGGCCATGAGTAGTATTCTCATGTTGATTTATAACCTAAGACTCTTTACTATTCAAGGCAAAACACAGCCCTGAGCTCTGGCATTAAAACAGCAACCAACAAATTAGCATTATCCTTGAAAAATTCAACCAAACATCTGCACCCAAACACCCTGAGACAAAGCACTTCAGATTGGAATAAAATATAAAACTGGATTCACATATTTAAATGAAATGTTTCAGTGTGTTTTTACTGAAGGATTGTTTGCCACAGATGGATGAGAATATGAGAGAAAAAGTCATAAATCATTTCATTTTAGAGCTCTGAAAGGCCCAGGAAGACCAGGTGGAACTAGAAATATTGCTGTGGCTATTTAAAAAATATTATCTGCCACATATCCGTTTACTTTGATATTTAATTTTTCAATTTTAGTTTAACACACGTGTTAACATCATAAGTTAAAAAGTTTATATCTGGAAAAGCCGCCATTGTGGACTACTACCTTTGAAATCTATTTAATGATGAATTTTCCTTTTTACATCCCACATAAAGAGGATATATTTAATATTACTCTTGCTTACTGTCATCTAAGCTCTTCATTTTATACATAAACTAAGTCCAGTGATAGTAAATGACTTGCCTAAGGTCAAGAACCCCAAGGATCCTTAGCAAAATGTTACAATTCTAAGATATTCCAAAAATAATATACTTAAAGCCACGGATCCAAAATACTGATTCATTTCTCAAGGTATACTACCCTGATGTTCTGCAGAATATTAGCAGATATTTGGCAAATTGGGATTCTTTGGATAAATAAGTTTATAAATGTTGGGTTAAACAAAGACTCTTAGCTGTATCAGTGAACTTTATGCATCTCCAAGAGGAGAAATACAGTAGACAATTGGTTTTACAAACTTATTTGACCAAAGATGCCACTTTCTACCCACAGAACACAGCATACAACCAATGAGAAATACTCTCTTAAGTTGTTTTCTAGAGTCTTGTCTTGCTTCCTGAGAATCTGTCATCACAACACCACCAGAGGATTTTTCTAAAATCTGACCTGGTTATGTAGCCCCTCAGCTTATATCCTTTCAACAGCTCCCCTCTGCCAGTCTGGTTAAGCCCACTCTTTGGCATGGCATGATACTCCATTACTTGTACAGGTCAGCTCTTACCTCACCTGGAATTTTATACTCCCACGTTGTGGTTTAAATCCTCTTCTCATCCCTACACACCTGAGCGATACCACAAACTCATATCCATTAACAGTGGGGTGGGGCATGGCAATGAGTTCCTTAAGAGGAATATCTGAGTTCCCAGGGGTCTCTGGGTATAGGTTTGCATGGATATAGGAGAAATGACCTCTAGCTGTTTTGTTTGTTTTTATTATTTTTTAAACAACCCTTTAAAAAGCCTTCTGAGCCTGGAGACAGCATAAAAGAGAGCAAGGCCCAGATTTGGCCCATAGGCCACAGTTTGCTAACTCTTAAATTAGAGGACAGCACAATTCAGGACATTCAAGGTTGCCCACAGTGAGTACTGCCTAGAACATGGAAGGAATATGAAGGGTGCTCCATGCCTAAAAGCCAGAAGCCAAGAAGCACAAGGGGCTCTAACAGATTGGTTGAGGTACGGCAGTGAAATAACCAGGAAAGACAACCCCTGCTCATGCCCCTTCTCTCATTTGAGACCAGATAGCTGAGAAAGGAGTAATGTTTCCAGGTGGAAACAATGATTGGGACAGAGGGATAGGGTATTATTTCTAGGCACTAGTAGCATTCAGGAAAAAAATAGAGAATACATAATCCAGAAGACCATCCATAAATGGATCCCAAACAGCATCATCCCATGTTGCTATACCATACTCTGAAAATATTATCAAGCACAGCAGTAGCAATTACATCCTCCCTTCAGCATGGGTGAGCTGGGTCAGCAGAGAATGCAGACCAGCTGGCAGAGAGTCTCACACAAAAATGAGCTCACTATCAGCAATCCAGCTGAACACTGGAGAATGCAAATTAAAAAATGAACAAAAAATTTGCAAAGGAGAGTCCACAGAACAAACAAAAAAGCAGCGTTAAATATAATTATTATCCTTGGAAAGATAAAGAAAAGCAGAACCATGAAATGAAAGAACTGTTATAAAAATCCAACATATTTTAAAAATATTTTAAAATTATGTACATATTTGTATATAGTAAATATGTTTAAAGTACATATTTTTAATAGAAAGAAATTGTTGAAACATTTATTAGAAGGACTGAATAAGCAACTCAATTACAAGTTTTAGAGAAATACATTAAACAGAGAAATTATCCCAGAACTTAGAATGAAGAAATGAAAAGTATAAAAGAAATGTTAAGAGACAAATGAATCCAACTGGAAGTTTCATCGTCTTAAAGTTCCATAAGAAGAGAATAGAAAGAATGGTAGAAAGTCAATATTTAAAGTAGGAGCTGAGAATTCCTAGAATTAAAAATACACATAAGTTGATAAGGCAAAAAAGCCTATCATCTACTAAGGAAGATAAGTAAGTTAAACAAACATCTGCACACATGTACATATATCTCTTCAGAGGGAACAGTACAATTTCTGAAATATTAACGTAGAAAAATAACAAATGCAACTAGAAAAAAATATTATTAATCAAAGGATTAAGAAGCAGAATAATATAATACTTCTATCAGCATTAGTGGGTGTAAGAGAACAGTGAAGCAGTATCTTCAAAGGCCTAGAATTTTGTGCCTAGAATTTTATATCTAGCTAAACTAACCTGCATTTAACATGACAATCAGAGGACATTTTTGGATATGCAAGCACTCAAAGTTTGCACCAAAGTTTACCAACATGGGTGTACTGCAGCAAGGAAAAAACAAACTATTCACGACAGCAGTGATATCTAAGAAACATTGTTGGGAAAATTTTTACAATTTTTTTGTTTCCCAAATAAGAAATGAGCAAGGAAAAAGTTATTTACTAACAATCTAAGAAGTTAAAGGAAAAATAACATGAGAGGTGGCGAGTGGGAATCTGAGAAAAGTAAAAATATCTTAAGCTTCTTAACTTGGCAACAAAGGGACTTAGAAACTAGAAACTGATTTTTTTTTCTAACTGCTTCTAAAATTAATAAGTTTTAAAATTTAAAATAATTAGAAGAGCAAACTGGTAGAGGGAAAAATAAAGTATATGTATACACAGACATAGCAGAAGGCATAGGAGGGCTGTAGAACTACTCATGCAGGTCTAAATGCCCTGTCTACTTGTTCCTCTATAGCTCGAGCATTGCCTCCATCTAGACCATTCTTAAAAACCTCACATCTCTCCTTCTCCCCACCCATGATCCCACCATATACTGAACAAATTTATACTACAGTATCTATAATACTTCATTATGTTTGTTGTTTACAAACCAATCTTGCTCATTAGGCATAAACTCTTAAGGACTAGAATAGCCTCCTTCTCATTTCTACATCCCTTCCTATATCACAGTTACTCAATGTTTGTTGAGTGGATGAAAATAGAGGCAATTTTTACATACTTAAAACAACTAGAGAATTGATTGTACATGACCAAGGTTATAACTTATAATAAATTATTTGTTGCAAGAGGCTAAAAACCATGTCTAAGTTACTACTGCATTTCTGACAAAGTCATTCTTGGATATTTTTGTTAAGTTTAGAAATCAACTGAAATCAGGATGTAGGAGGATGTACTAGACAATATTAAGGTGTCTTCCATCTCCAAACTCAAAGTTTAGAGAATAACTTTAAGAGACACTTTGACTGATAGTCCCTGAAATCGTACAACACCTGCAGAAGCTCTATGTCTTCATGGTTTTCAGACCCAGGAGTATTCTCCATCAATATGGCGGACATCACTCGCACATTCATTTTCACCATATCCAATTCACTGTGCAGTTTTCCAATCTGTAGAGAGCAACACAATCACCAGTCAGTGCGACACACAAAGAATAACTACCTTGTTTCCTGCCCCCATGGGACATTTGCTGGATGAAAAAATGCTTTTGCAAAATTTAATATTTTCAAACTTAAATTTAATTTCATATAAATATACATATAGTTATTTTACAAATGTATACCTTGTCACCTTCTAAAAGGACTTGAGATCTCTTGTAATAAACCCCAAAATATGCTTTAGGAATTTTAAAAATGAAAGGAAAAAAAAAGATTAGAACCCAATATGGAGAGGGGAGAAGTACCAGGTACCTAGCAGAAGAAGGTACCAGAAACCTGGATAAAATGGCAAAAGTTATCCTGAGTTTCTTGGCAACCAATAGGGTAAAAGAAAAACAAATGAGGGTTATCCAGTTCTCATGGTATTAAAGAAGAAGGAATAAAGAAACACCTTTTCTTCCTGTATTAAATTCTAAGAGGAATTAGTCACATGCATTTTTATATAAGAAAAAAATAATACAACAAAATCTTCAATTATAGTTCCTTTACAGCAGAACGGAAATTAGCCTCATATAATAATTGTTTATCGGTACCTTGGATAAACTGATATACACAAAGAAGTAAATACAATTCAGTTGGCATAATAAATACAAGTAATAAGACTACCATTTACTAAACTCTCTGAAATATGTGACAGTCCTACCAGAAGTAACAGGAATTAGCTGATGGACCCTAGATCCAGTCCACAGTCAAGGCTCCAGAAAGCCATGAAAGCCGCTAGGCAAGCACAACTCTTACAAAGTTGGGCTTTGGAAGCAGACAGAACCCATGGGATTACTCCTTCTTGGAACTGAACTATGGTAAGTCACATAGTATTACTAAGCCTCAGTCTCTTCCTCTGTGAAATGAGTGTACCTACATCTCAATGTTGTTAACCAGAAAAGACAAACTGTATATAAGGTGCTTACAAATCAGGAAAAGACATCAATTAAATGCAATGATTGTTGTTGTTACCTGTTCTGGGACCAATGTAACAGTCGAGTTCTTTGGAGCAATTACAGAAGAAAGAGCTGGTGCAGTAGGGACAGATGTTGGAGGATTTGATGAGATTTGAGCAGTCTATGAGTATGAAACATGGTAATATTATTATGTGAATTAACATAGCCACCCAACGCCAAGTTTTTTCCATTCAGCTAACTCAAGCACTCTCAAAGTCCTGTGTACAGGGTATCTGCCCAGAGTAAATCATCAGCTACACAACCCGTCCAGCATTTTGTGAAGAATGCTAAGCAAATGACATGCCCATAATAAAGCAGGTATTCAACAAAAGGTGGCTATTAGGATTATCATTTACAATTTAATAAAATGCCCTTTTTTTTTTTTTTTTAACCAAGGGTCTAAGTGATAAACTGCCATGTGAGATTATTGATGCCTTCTCTTTGGGTTGTTAATAACAAATGGTAGCTCAATTCATGTCAAGTCCTTTTAAGCCACAGCTGACAAGGCATCTCCTTCTCCATCAATGACCCTCCTTGGGTCAATGCCACATCTCCAACCTTGGGTGGAGAGGTGAAAGCTCAAGGCTCTAGGCCAGTGCTTCTCAACATTAATGTGCAGAGAAAACACCTGGAAATCTTGTAAAAAGGGAGGTTCTGATTAGTCTAGGGTGGAACATGCCAAACAAACTTTCATACTTTTAGTAGCAAAACACACTTTAAGTAGCAAAATCCCAAGTCTCGGTTATTCTATGAGATATTGCAATATCCTTCTAATAACTTCATCTTTTTGCTTAAGCTGGGTGGATTTAGGGTTGTCTCCTGTAATGAGAAAAGACCCAAGTGATACACTACTATAGTCTCCATGGGTCAAAGAAAGGCCTCCTACCTCTTGTCTTGCTGTTTCAGCCTCTGCTTCTGAGGGAGGAAACTGAACGCCTTTCTTAACCAGGTCGAGGTATACTTCTTTGACTTCGCTTACATCCACACCTCCTGGGAAGCCCTGTGACCAAGTCTGAATTCAAGAGATGAAAAAAGTTCCAGAGTTAAAACAGCAACAAAACCAAAACACAATTCTTTTTTTTTTTTTTTTTTTTGAGACAGAGTCTCACACTATTGCCCGGGCTGGAGTGCAATGGCACAATCTCTGCTCATTGCAATCTCCGCCTCCTGGGTTCAAGCGATTCTCCTGCCTCAGCCTCCTGAGTAGCTGGGATTACAGGCGCCCGCCACCACGCCTGGCTTACTTTTTGTATTTTTTAGTAGAGACGGGGTTTCACTATGTTGGCCAGGCTGCTCTCGAACTCCTGACCTTGTGATCTGCCCACCTCGGCCTCCCAAAGTGCTGGGATTACAGGCGTGAGCCACCGCACCCAGCCGAAAACACAATTCTTAAGCTCCTGATAGAAAATAAGAGATCAATAATTATGTACCCCACTCAGAAAGAGAAAGCTACTTTTGAATGCCATGGGCAAAATGCTCATTTTCAAAGGCTAGGAAAATATAAAATCTTTTAAATCAGATTTCCATGCCTCAAAATCTTGAAGAAACCCTAGGATATATACTATCAATTGTTTTTTGCTGCTCTGAATCCAAAATTAATAGATTCTAAAATAACATCAGTAGCTCTTTTTCCAAGTAACCTTGAACTAGTCAGTTAGCTGGAAGTTTCCCTACCTGCAAAGTGAACACACAGATCACTGTCTTTCCTATTTGACACAGATAAAATAGAAACTGAGAGGAAAGCAGGGAAATGACTACAAATTCTTCAGAAAAAGGGCACCATCCAATGCCAAAAAATTATTATTACACAGAAACTAAAATAGCAAAAATGCTTTTCTAGCTCAATCCTAGATATATAAAAGATAAGTGAAACAATCAGGAGGTAAGCTATTAAATCCCTAATCTTAGAAATTTACCATCCCATGAGGTATACAACAGACTTACCTTAATGAAATTCAAGATTCTATTCTGAATGTCTAATGGCAAGTTGTATCTGGGATTCAGTAGCTTAACTAAATTCTCTTTAACAAATTCCTTCTTCACAATCAGAGACTGGAAACTTGGACCACAGTTCTGCACACACATGTCAATAAGCTAAATTAGAAAAAAAATTAAACATTATATTTATCTGGCAAAACCACCTCCTAAAAATGTAAGGGAAAAACTGCTAAATAATGGGTTCCATCAGCATCCTAATTAACAAACATAATTTAGTATCTACTAAAATATATGGCAAAATGTTAGGTTCTGGGGATATGTGGAAGTATGAGCATAATGTAACAGTCTGGAGGACAGACTTATTGAGGAGTCCCAGCACATCCAGAAGGGCATTAACACCAATGCAGAGTACTAAATGCTAAATGCTGAAGGGACGTGCAGGCCAAACATATGAGCTATGGATGGAATAATATCTGTCCCAGTTTACCCAGGGTAGCACAGGTATATTCCCAATGTCCTGTTTATTAATGATGACACACCCTTTCACTTTCAAAAATGTCCTGGTTTGGATGATAAATTACACAGTCACCCCAGCTATAGGCCCTTATAGGCAAGAGTGATTATTTAGGGCTAGGTGGTCTTACAAGACTTTTGGAAAAGGCTAACTGGAAGCTGGGCTTTGCAAAATGGCTAAGAACAGTAAAAATGAGTATAGAGCTATATTCTAGACAGATAAATTGTATGAAAAATATATAAATGTGGAAAAATGGGTAAGTTATGAAGGGGGAGATAAGTATTCTGGTCTGTCTCTAGTAGAGGCATCCTGATATAGGTAAATTGGGGACACTGGAAAGATAGGGTGGATAAAGTCCGTCCAGGTTGTAGAGAAGTTTGTGTGGCATGCAAAGGGTGTGGATATTATCTTGAAGGCACTATGAAGTTATGGAGGGTCTCTGTTAGTTTGTCACCATCACACCTGTACCCTGAAATTGAGGAAAAGGTTAATGTGTGCAAAGTAATATTCTGGATAGGTTGTCAGGCAGCACTCTGCAAAGGCAAGCGGAGGGAGAAGAAACCTGGAATGATAGAAAGATCCAGTAGCAATGCACTATTTCAGGCATGTTATAGAAAAGGCCTAAACTAAGATGATGTGGGTACAAGAAAAGGAGGAGTCATGACACCATTATGAAGGAAGAACTTTGAATGACAGTGCTGGTCAAAAAAGGAAGATGACTGAAAGTTAAGTGACTCTCATTCTGCATGAGGACCCCTGTGACGGAAATTTGGAAGAGGGGGTGGTATGGCTGGTCTAGGTGTAAAAATGATGGGCTGAAATTTAGATATTTTGAGTTCAAAAGATAAGGGGCATTTAAGTAGGTGTTTAGCAGTGAGCTGGACACACACAGCTATAGTTCAAGAGAGTGAAGGGCCAAAAGTGAGTCATCAAGGCTGCCTACAATGAGAAGAGAAGAGGAAGGGCTGAAACACTGGGGTTCACCTACTATACGGGCCAACGAAAATCCAAGGAAGGCAATCAAAGAGTAACTGACAGAAAATGAAGCACAAAATCAGGAATACATAAGGCACCCCTTTGGTAAAGTCAAAAGAAAAGTTTCCTGGAGGATGGGGTGTTATACAGTTAAGAAGATGGTCTGAGGAACATCAGTTCCCTTGAAAAACACATTTGCAATAAAGCAACATGAGCAGAAACTTGACTAAGAAAGAATGAACCAATACTGAAGAACTGCATGCAGGAAGTAGATTTCTAAAAGTAAACTAAAAACAAAATTAAATCTTTAGTTTCCATGCTACCACCTCAAATTAGAAAGGTCATAGAAACCATAGCATGACCAGGATAGGTATAATCATCTCTGCAGAATAGAAGCCCTGAAAATGGACTTCATGCCATGCTTTGTATTTTTAGTCTCTCTTTAATGGCAATACATAAAGCGGCAGCATATAGCGTTTAAGTTATACTTAAAACGCTATAGTTTTAAGGCACTGTGACCAAGAAATAATCAGAAAATATAGAAACATGCAGCTGTGTGAAACACAGGGAAAACCTTTAAGGCAAAGAAAAATAAAAACAAAATCCAAAACATATTAAGATGAATCTGTACAGTTTGGTGAGACAAAGTTGGAAAGTTGAATAACATGCCATTTAGCTTGATGGATTATTATAATGAATTTTTAACGGGCGAAATCCTAAAAGGAAAAGTGCTTCTAGCTCAATGTGAGTTTACAGAAATATTTCACCTAACTAGTTGTACCGTCTTACGCAAATACCTAGCCTCCAAGTCTCACTCTCCCTAGGTGTATTTCTTGCTAAATAATTCGCAAACCAATTTTTGTTTGTTTGTTTGTTTGAGACAGGGTCTCACTCTGTCACCTAGGCTGGAGTGCAGTGGCGCAATCTCGACTCACTGCAACCTCTGCCTCTCCGGTTCAGGTGATTCTCATGCCTCGGCTTCCCAAGTAGCTGAGATTACAGGCGTGCACCACCATGCCCAGCTAATTTTTGTATTTTTAGTAGACATGGGTTTTCGCCATACTGGCCAGGCTGGTCTCAAACTCCTAGCCTCAAGTGATCCATCCACCCCGGCCTCCCAAAGTGCTGGGATTACAGGCATGAACCACTGCACCTGGCCCTCACAAACTAATTTTTATCTTTGGTGCCACAAGATTTTATGATAATGGGTAAGACTCCCAGGAGGTACATGCACAAAATCAAAGAGTCAACATGAAATGCTAAAAATGTGAACATCTGGAGATTAGCAGTCATGCCTTTTGTGTTTTCCCATTAGAATCAAGAATGTCAGGACTAATTAATTCTACATCACCTCCTCTATTATGTCACCAGAACCTCTTTCACCCTCCAACTCACTCAGATAAGTAATAAAACCTACGTGGCAAATTGGAAAAATTAAATATGTTTTCACATATTCTGAAATTGAACTTTGATGCAAATGTGTTCAGATAACCCATCTTTCGAAATAAGACAAATAAGAATCCATAATCTGAGGTGGGATTGAAAACTCAGGAGCCAAGGAACAAAGACTGAAGTGGGTGACTCCAGGCTTCACTGATCTTTTGGGCTTGGCTGGGCAAATCACTTATCCTAAGCTTCAGTGTCCTTATCTGCAAAATGGACATAATATCTCCCTCTAGAGACTTGTTGTAAGGCCCAAATGAAACATAACAAAGAGCCTGCCACAAAGCAGGACCTCAATACATGGCAACTATTTAGATCATCTTCCATGGAGAACTTCCTAGCAGGAGTGAATGTGATGATTAGCTGATCTAAGTATTTTAAGAGAGGGCTGGAAGAAAAAGAGGTAGTTGACAGTTTTCTCACTGTAAATTTCCAAACCAGGCAGAGTGACAACAACCAGGTTTCAGGGCCATCAGAGCTACACCTGGGCCGTGAATAGTGCCTACACCAAGGTGACTACCCCACTCTATGATGACACCCCTAGGACAGGCCTCAGTCTTCTCACTCCCTCCAACTGCAACAAGCTCCTGGGGGGACAACCACATGGTTTTGTTTTGCTTTGTTTTGCTTGGATACAGAGTCTCGCTTTGTCACCCAGGCTGGAGTGCACTGGCACAATCTAGGCTCACTGCAACCTCCGCCTCCTGGGTTCAAGCAATTTTCCTGCCTCAGCCTCCCGAGTAGCTGGGATTACAGTCACATGCCACCATGACTGGCTAGTTTTTGTATTTTCAGTAGAGACAGGGTATTACCATGTTGCCCAGGCTGGTCTCTAACTCCTGACCTGAAGTGATCTACCCTCCTCGGCCTCCCAAAGTGCTGGGATTACAGGCATGAGCCACTGCACCCAGCCTGATATTTTGTTTCACTGGTAAATTTGCCAAAGGAGAATAAACCAAGCTTTTTCTTCATTATTATTTTCAACCACATTTTACACATTTTATGAAACCCCTGAAGCTCACTGCTTAGGGGGTGCTCCACAAAGGCCTATTAACTAATTGATTCTCAGGAACCTGTTCGACCACTTTCCATTTGACAATAATAGTAGCCTCTTGCTGAGATTTATCACAATTGACTCATTCAAGAACAGAATACTCTCTGGCTCAGAGTAATAAAGCCTGGTAACAAAATTCTGCTGAAACACAAAACAAAACTGCTCCACCGACTGATGGTAGGAAATCATAGTACAGTCAGGTTCCGTCAAAGCCCAATCAAGGCTAACACGTCCACGGAGAACTCAACATGACAGATAACATAAAGAATATTTATAATCGAATTTGACAGGCTCTCATCACTTTACATTAATAAAATGGAAATGTCATATATAGGGATTACATTTTAAAGAGTTTACTGGTAAACTTATAATTGCTTTTGACAGACATAGGTGACTCCTGTGACTAATTTCCCTCATAATTAAATTTGGCTTACGTGAATATTAAAGTCAGTTCTGAGGCCTTAAGCATACCTCTGCAAGGCAGTGAGTAGTCTGAGACGAGGTGACTAGACCATTAAATACACAACTCAGGGAAATCAGCATGAAGATATGAAGAGTCAAAGGCCTATTTAAAGAAAATCCAAGGAAAAGCCAGATGTTTTTCCTGACTTTAATGTACTGTGACCCCAAGGATGAAGGTGTATTCTGACCTATGACTTGTGACTCTTGCCTGTTTTTAGGCACAGGCTTTAGATTGGACAGAAACCACGAGGTAAGGGAGCTACAGATCTGAGGTGGAACAGATAATGGGAAAGGCAGCGAGCAGATTAGACTACCTGATGAGAAGGAAGAGTGGAAGCCCAAAGAGAAACAGAGGGCCAGAGGCACAACACTCTGGAATAGCCCAACTTCCTCAAGGAGGGTCCCTGGTCCGTCGTCACAGGGAGGGAACCATGATGGAAGAAGATATGGAGGTGGGATTAAGAAGCAACCACTGAAACATCAAGTAGGCTGGGCACAATGGAGAAAGCGGCAAATTGTTATGAATGGTGAACACCTGTAAAAAGCAAAATAATAATACCCCATGCTGAAATAGAGAAGGGGGCATAAATTCATCTTCTGCCCTTCTCTTCCTTACTCAATTCTCCTAACCTTTGGCACCCTTGAGATATCCCAGATATACTATATTTGAGGGTACATCTACACATCTTTCTACTCCGGTTCTACAGTACCTTCCATTAGCCCTTGAGTCTTCCCGGATACTAGGAGAGACGGGATTAGGTGTGTGTATGAGGGTGGGGTGCTTAATCATTAATCCAGTCAACATCTGATATACCTGGCCCTGTACTACACAGGAAGAAACTAAAGACATAAAGGAAACACAGTAGCCTACTCTTTTAAGAGGCTTGATTCGTTCTTAGAAACAAAGTGGCATGAGGCAAGGGCATGGAATTTAGAATCTGAGGACTGGGATCAAATCTTGCCTATGCTATGTAATAGCCATTTTCATCTCGGAAATAAATCTGTTTCTGTTAGTCTCAATTTCTTCATCTGTTAAATGGAGTTAATAATAGAACTACTTCACAGGGTTGTCAAGAGCATTGGTCAGGTGCCAGGCATTTCTATCAGTGACCCATCATTCTGGGATTTCTACAGAAGTGCCTCACTCCTCTCTCCCGTCTTCTCCATTCTGTGACCTTCAAGAGTTAAGGACAGGTAAGAGGTCAAAAAAAAAAAAAAAAGGTGAAGGGGGAAAATGCCTCTAAAACTATATTCAGATCCCAATGTGAAGGGTTTCTTTAATGATCAAATCATGAAGACCGTTCACAGCATTTCTGCTTATTCAGCGAGCCTATGCAAGATGTCCATTTTCTTCTTCATGTAACTAGAAACCAGGAGCTATGCTCACATATGCCCCAAAGTCCTCTTGATAAAGACTAATGCTCCTAACGCAGCGTGATGTTGGCTGATTAGTGCCGTGACCATGCACAGTCTTGGGCTGGGCTGAGATAAACAAAGGCGTGCAGAATAAATCAGAAAGCTACACAGCTCACTCTCAGGCAGCAGGCAGGGCTTGCAACACATACTAAAGTAAAAAGGACAACTCACCAACGTGACTGAAGAGGTCATATTGCCAAGGATGGTGGGAAAATGGGAACACATCAAATAAGAGTCCACACTTAAATCACAGACAATACAACACACAGGAGAATTGCTTAAACCAACATAGAACATTCTCCAAATCACGCCAGGCAGCAGAACTTGTTTGGAATTTAATGAGCTGAGAGCATCTCAGGATTCCACAAAGCTGTTCAAGTAAGGCAGAAAGCTTACAGGGAGGTATTTTTCAAAATTTCAATTCTCCTCATCTTAAATTATGGTTAATTAATACATGCACAAACTTTTTTTTTTTTTTTTTGAGAAGGAGTCTTGCTCTGTTGCTCAAGCTGGAGGACTGGAGGACAGTGGTGCGATCTCGACTCACCGCAATCTCCACCTCCCAGGTTCAGGCAATTCTCCTGTCTCAGACTCCCAAGTAGCTGGGACTACAGGCACACGCCACCACGCCCTGCTACTTTTTGTATTTTTAGTAGAGACGGGGTTTCACCATATTGGTCAGGCTGGTCTCGAACTTCTGACCTCAGGTGATCCACCTGCCTCGGCCTCCCGAAGTGCTGGGATTACAGGTGTGAGCCACCGTACCCAGCCACAAACTTTTTTTTTAAGAGTTGAGGTTTCTCTTTATCACTCAGGCTGAGTTGCAGTGGCATGATCATAGCTCGTTGCCATCTTGAATTCCTGGGCTCAAGTGATTGTCCTGCCTCAGCCTCCTAAGTGGCTGGGACTACAGATGCAGGCCACCACATCTGGCTAATTTTTAAACATTTTGTAGAGACGGGCTCTCACCATCTTGCCCAGGCTGTTCTCAAACTCCTGGGCTCAAGCGATCATCCCACCTCGGCCTCCCAAAGTGCTAGGATTATAGGCAGGAGCCACCACACCCAGCCACTACACAAACTTCTTGATCAGTTCACCATGTGTAATACATGTTAACCACTAATTCCTATCTCCTGACCAAGAAAAATTGATTTTTCAGGAACAAGCTCCTTCCATGAAATTAAATGCTATTAAATGCTATTATAAACAACTAAACTTTCTTTATTCTGCAATTCTCATAAATGAAGAGTTTTAAGTCATACTGTACACAACTCCTAGCTAACCTATTAGTTTTCTCAGAATACTTGCTTCTTATTTTTTACCCAGGATTAAAAATGTAACTATAGCTTGAGAAATCCTCGAGTCTTAATTATAAAATTAAAGTACTTACTGACAAGGTAAGTTGGATTTCTTTATGATTGTAGTTTTTGGAAATCCTTTTCTTCAAAGCTTTCACTGCATCTTTTGGCCTATAGCAATAAATACACTGAAATCACCAATTTAGGCATTGCTGAAAACAAGCAGTCTCTCTGAAAAGCAACATGCATTTGGAGAGAGGAATGGCTAAGGAGCAGAAAACTAAGGCCTTGGTTCTACTGTGGGACCCTATGCGAATGACTTAACTTCTTGAACCTAAATTTCTTCACGCATACAGGCAGACAATACCACCTAACCCCTTATGAGAATCAAATAAAATATTTTCGTACAAGACTATTACCTAGAAAGTACTACCCATGAAATGCACTCATTCCTGTATCCCTCTATCAATGCACAGAACCAACTTATAGGAAATGCAACTTCCGAAACAATGAATGTTACCATTTTTATTAAAACTATTAGTATTTCCTGAGCACCCTATAGACAAGGGGATGTAACAGGAATTACAACAAACTAGGTCAGCTGCCAATACGCCACAATTTTATGTTACAAAGAAAGGACTGTTTATAAGGGTCCAAATTTACTTTAAGATTCTCTTTTTGTATTATCAATGAATTGGTATTATCAATGAAAATGTTCCCAGAGGAACTAAACATGGTAAATAGGATTATAGGAAAAAAACCATACACACTTAAAAGTACTAACCATAAGCGCTTTCCATTTATTTATAATCAATAATTAAGTTTGATGTTTTCTTTATCAACATAAGCTAGACTAAATCTCTTTTACTGCCAGTTATCACTTTAATATGCCCAGGAAAATTACCAGAATTGTGTTCCTTAGAATAACTTGTAATTGACTACAAGCAAACCAGTTTGCTCTTCTTAATGACTTTTTTCTTATAACTTCGATTCTCGAAAGTTTAAGAAGTTTAAGAACAAACGATAGCACATGCTATAAGAATACAGCTTAAACATGGGTGAGTTGACATTCAGAAGGAAAAAAATTGTCCTGGGACAGGGAGGAAAAAAGACTGCTAGATTGTTTCCTGGTTACTAGAAATAATTGCTCAGAAATAGGTCACCACCGGGAGTCAACCAGCTTCTTGATAATATTTGATGGTTTCATCAAATACTGGCACTGGGAGCTGGAGATATTCCTAAAGAAGGACACAATCTCTCTTTTTCAATTTTTTTTTTTTTTTTTTTTTTGAGATAGAGTCTTGCTTTGTTACCCAGGCTGGAGTGCAGTGGCATGATCTCTGCTCACTGCAAGCTCCACCTCCCAGGCTCACGCCATTCTCCTGCCTCAGCCTCCCAAGTAGCTGGTACTACAGGCACCCGCCACCATGCCTGGCTAATTTTTTTTGTATTTTTTAGTAGAGATGGGGTTTCAACGTGTTAGCCAGGATGGTCTCCATCTCCCGACCTCATGATCCGCCCGCCTCGGCCTCCCAAAGTGCTGGGATTACAGGCGTGAGCCACTGCGCCCGGCCTTTTTCAATCTTTTAGAAGGAAGGAATTTGAGCTTCACAGTGACAAAATTTGAAACTATTAAAGAAACTGCCAAGAGGAGAAAAATTATAGTGGATTTATGGATACTCCACATGTTGAAGCAAGCAGCTGCCCCAATATTTCAACCTGACAAGTCTTCAAAAGATAGAGGGTGCCTAATGAATGATGAAAACACTCTTTCAACAACAAAACCGAAATATTTGCAAGAGAAAACGTGCTGTAGTTCTGATGCTTCTTGTCAGAGGCAAATACATGGAAACCATGCTGTACTCACCCATCCTGGGTAGTGTTAATTATGTCACAGATGTGCATGAACTGGCCCCAATCTTCAGTCTGAACTCCAGCAAATGTAGCCTTTTCTGCCAAGAAAAAGCTGTTGAGTCTGAGCTACAACAGAATAAAAAATGTCTGGTATTCCTGAAATAATCTGCCTAGGCTGCACCAGCAAGTGTCATTAAGTTTACATTGCCAAAGGGCAAAGTGATTTTTTTTGGAACAGTTCTCAGTAATTCAGGAATCAATCAGAACCCAAGTTCAGAGTGCTGCTGCAGCAACAGTAATGAGTGACCTATTAATAAAGACCTCAAGCACAACAGCTGGCCACAGGCCCAGGCCAGGCCAGCTAAATCTCCGCCTGCCTGGCTTTCAGAGAAGGGAACTAGGGCTTAGTGAGCAGCTACCTAGAAGGTGAACTGCATAGTGCTAAGTATTTTATCATACGCAATTTCATTTAACCCACTGTGAGAGATGATGAGATAGAAGTTCAGAGAGGTTAGGAAATTACCAAAGTTATACAGTCAGTATGAAGTAGAATTGGCATTCAAATCTAGGTTGTTTGGTCCCACTGTTTGTTTTTAAAAATAATTTATTCTCTGGGGGGACAGGAGGAAAGAACTTTTAAAGGAGAGAAGTAATCCGTTGTTCTTAGGAGCCAAAACATTGGCACAACTCCAAATAAAAGTAATACGTTTATTGTCCTATCATCTTAATCTCACGATTCCTTCTAATTTTACCAATTATTATAACTTCAACCAATACTTGCAAAGACACTGCTTACCTCAACTATGTAAAAACTTCCATTGCATACACTTTTACTTTCAGCCTTAATTATTTCAAACTGGCGCTGGATAACTATCCGAACTAATAATAATAAGCATCTAAACTAACCACAGCTGCACCAGGCTGACCAGAATGCTTCTGCACTTGGAACCCTATGATTAGATAATCAGGCATCTTTCCCTCTCCAGACAGCCGCTTTAAGAATACAAGATGTTATCTGGAAAGGGTAATGGAACACTCAGTATGAATGCGCTAACATCTTCCTAAGAGAAGGACAAGATCCCTAAGCATGAAAACACCGGGTTCTGGGGGAAATGGAGAAAAAAACAAAAAAGATAGAGAAGGGGAAGAATAAGGACTTGCTTGGGGGAACCCCAAAGTTTAGCTTGCTTTCAATCCAGGAAAAGAACCACTTGAGGCGGGGCCCGGTGGCTCCCGCCTGTAATCCCAATCACTTTGGGAGGCCGAGGTGGGTAGATCACCTGAGGTCAGGAGGTCGAGACCAGCCTGGCCAGCATGGTGAAACTCCATCTCTACTAAAAATACAAAAATTAGCCTGGCGTGGTGGCATGTGCCTGTAGTCCCAGCTACTCGGGAGGCTGAGGAAGGAGAAGTGCTTGAACCCGGTAGGCGGAGGTTGCAGTGTGCCGAGAGCTACTGCACTCCAGCCTGGGTGTCACTCCCCGTCTCAAAACAAAAACAAAAACAAAAACAAAACAACAACAACAAAAAACTTGAATCTGGCACCGAATGGACAAAGCTTACCTCCCTAGAAAAGAAAACTCCTATTCACCCTTCAAAAGCCACGCAGAATTCATTTCTCCCTTCTCCTAAGTTTTGTGTGTTTTGCATTTTCTTGCATTGCAAAGGTGCCACACAAAACTGTGCCCGTCTTCTCTACAAGAAAGTGAGTTCCCTCAGGTTTGAGACCACGTCTCACCTTGGCCTCACCAGTGCCTGATCCAGGTCCAGGCACATAGCTGACAGTTAGTCCATGTTTACAGAATTAAAAAATTAAGCAGAAGAACTGCTGAAGTTTCGTTTGCCTATGAAGACACAGTCTGAATCCATTTCTGCTTGGGGTTCATTCTAATATCCAAAAAAGCACAGCCATTAAGGGAAAGCATCTCCTCAATGGTAGCTACTCTGACCATCTTATAAGGATGTGTAAACTAAGGTTCTGTTTAAGTGGTGTGTTCGGTGTCACAGCAGTTAGTAGAGCTGTGATCTAAATTTTCCAAATCTGGGCCTCTTTACTACAACTACTAGGTTCTCACGATTTCATCACCCCACTAAGTTCCTGACATCATCACACTTTGCCTGGCATTAATATGCACTCGTGCCACACCCAATTCCCAAGGGAGGAATCAGGGAAAAGAAGGAGCAGTGAGCTGGTGCTGGTAGGAGTCCAATCACTGGCTTCTACATACATCATGCAAGGTACATCCGGAGGAGAGAGAAATCATTTAGGTGGATGCTGGTGTAGTCCCTAGTGGCCTGCGAGAGACCTCCGTGGCCCCAGATGGCTCCTATGTTCCCCTCCTCTTCACTCCAATGCCAAGCATTTTCATTCTCTTTGTTTACCCAGAAAAGTAATCCAGGTTGTATAAGCTTGGCACTAGAGAAAACTGGTTTGGGGAGACCTGCCCCTCACAGTAAGGCCACATCACTTAGTCTCCCAGAGCCTCCTCTTCTGATCTGTAAAACGGGCATAACAATACCGTGCCCTGGAGAATGTGCCTTTAGGAATAACTTCCCCTACCGAGAAGTTTCTGGTGTCTCCTCGTGGAGGCCCAAACACTCCATGCCTGACTCCCGCGGTTCACCTGTTTGGTTCCACTCCCCAGGCGGCATCGAAAGGAAGGTACATTTTTGAGGACTGAGGTTCTACAGTGAGTTGGCCAAGAAGGAAACGACGAAAGGGGGCCGGGTGGAATGCGGGTGCCTTGGGAAAGTTGCGGGGGGAGGGGAATAATTTTTTCAAGTTGGACTAACTCCGTCCTCTGCAGGCCGAGAATGGATCAAGCAGGAAAGGATCCCACGGTCCCCTGCCTGCCTGGGCGTCTCTCCCCGCGCCTCCTTACCTATGAGGTGGCCCACGGAGGTCGCGTAGGGATCCCGGTGACTCTTGCCAAACGCCATGGTAGCGCCAGAGGGCCGGGCCCAGGAAATCCGCCTCCACCGCTCTCCGGCTCCCGACTCCACCCGCTCGGTACCCTTGGCTCCTCCTCTTCGCCCGAGCGCTTCCCGGGCTCTGGCAGAGGCGGTGCGTTCTGCGCTGCCGCTGCGGGGCGCGGGCACCGAGCGTGAGGAGCTGGGCGCGGGGCAGGGACGCGAGGGCGGGGCTTCGGGACGCCCAGCGCACCTGCAGCGCGCCCTGCGGGACCCGCGAGGAGGCTGCGCTGCCGGCTGCAGGTGGTACAGGCGGGTAGTGGCGGGTGTATGGAGCCTGCGAGAGTGGCGCGGCCGCCCGCTCGGATCCCAGGTGGGCTTTTCGCCCCGTGCAGGAGGAGCAGGCAGCCCAGAATCTCCAGCCTGGGAATTAGAGACCCAGGCTTTGATCCTGCCGCTTGCTGGGCACCTTGTCATTCTTCTCTGCGCCTCTTTGGCTGCCCTGGGTAGACCAAAGATAATAGGGGGTTAATAACACAAACCTCAGAATTATGAGAATTAAGGGAAGGACGTAACCGATTATGTCGGTGTCTGGTACCCACAAAATAAATAGTTAGCCACTGAATATACTGAATAACTAGAAATATTTACCCTCGACCTGCCTTTGTCCTAGAGATCCGGGAGGGGAGGTGTGCGCCCTGCCCTTTAAAGTTGTGGTCATGTCTAGGAGGAAGGATTGGCTTCGAATTTAGGGCTTCCCAGGAGCAGGCCCTCTTTGTCTCTCTACTATTTCCTCGAGGGACCACAGGGCGCCGCCTCGCAAGCTCTTGTTTTCTAACCCCACCTTCTGGGAGCCGTGTTTTCCAGCCTGATTCTAAAAACGGGAGAGGGGCTTTCCGTTTCTTCTGGCAAGGAGTATGCTTGGCTTTAGGCCTGCTTTGTAATGTAGGTTGGAATCTGAGAAGCCCAACACCTTTCCAGCTGCCCCTTCAGAACCAGAATTTATTTCCTATTCCTTTGCATTCAATTAACATCTGATTGGCGATGTTAACAATCTCCAGCCAGCAGGAGCCTGCCAGAGAGTGAGGTGTCCCCAGGCGATGTCAGATAGCCATAGATGAGCTCCTGGTGCTTGTAGATCCTGTTTCCTGTAGTCTAACTGCCACCCATTTCAAGTCTGTTTTTTAGCCCTGGAGATGGTGACTAGGGAGACGAAGGGGACCTGTTTTGACTTATGTCCGTGGTCTTGTGAATTTTAATATAGAGGTCAAAACCAATTGCCATGCACTCCAGGAGGCTAACATTTAATTATCTGTAACTCAATTATTTATAATTTTTCTTGACCAAAGTGAGCCAAAACCTGGGATTCTAAAATCTAGAATGAAATATTCTTGTTGTGATGATATGTCTCATAATGGGATTTGTCCCACGTGTAACTAATATTCTCCACCTGCCTATTCAGGGCGAGTAGCTATTTCAGATGTTGCCGTTTATCAACTTCCTTACTCATCACTATAGCCTCTGCTGACACTGTTGAAAACCTCTTTTGTGACATCACCAACCTAATCTGTATTCCATGCCTCTAGCAAAATATTTTGCCTTTTCTGCAACCTAGAATCAACCTACAATCTCTGAAAAAGAAAACCAATTTTAGCTTAGGCCAATGTTGGTGTCAGTGGCCTTCTATCAGTTAATGAGAACGAGAAAGGAACCGAGCATCCAGAGAGATAGATTTTTAACATACTTCTATGTGGGAGGTTTTTCTTTTCGTCTTCTTCTTCTTCTTTTTTTTTTTTTGTTTTTTTCTCCTATGTCTGATTTCCTTACATGACAGGACTGAGGCACCGAGAAAGAGGAGAAACAGTAGCAAGGAGTGTCTTCTGGACTTGATGCTTGGGTGAACAGAACCAAGGTTGATGAGTGCTACCTGTGTTCTATCTCAGCAATGCCTGGCAGAAGTTTTTCTCTCTCCCTGTGCCCTCCAGGGTGTTGTGGTGGTTGTTGCAGCCTTCTCTTCCTGTACTCTGTTCCGTTCTGCATGATCCCTCTTCTCTCCAGGCATGAAAATCAACGTGGTTAATGTTAGTAAAGTCTAGCAGCGGGGACAATAGAATTCACAGCTAAGTTGAGGTCAGAGAAGGAGCAGAATCCCACAGGGGTAAAATGACACCAGGAGTAAAATCTTACCACAATTTCAATTCCAAGAACACTTAGTCAACATTTATTTATGTAAAATGTGCTAAGTGTCTGCAACTAGAAATCTATCTTAATCTTCACAATCCTGAGAGGTGGGTAGTATTAACCTCATTTTTACAAATATATAATCTGAGATTCAGAAAGATCAAGTTTATAAATGGCTTCACTAAAGTTTGACTCATGGCTGCCTGGTTCCAAAGCCTATATTATTGTCACTAGGTGAATCTGTTTATTGAGCCTGATGTCTTGCTTTTTTAAAGGATCTGCTTGATTCAGTGCAAGACCTCTTGAAGAATACAGGAATAGGGGAAGTCATATACTTTGCTGGCACAAGGTCCTGCTTTTTTTCTGTTCTTGTTCAATAGCGAATATTTTTTGTGCTAGAACTATATGCCAGATATGTTCTAAACATATTACATGCGTTATCTCATTTAATCACATAATAACGTTATGAGACCAGTACGGTTATTACTTTATTTTTCATGTTAGAAAAACCAAAGTAATGGCTGGGCGCGGTGGCTCACACCTGTAATCCTAGCACTTTGGGAGGCCGAGGCAGGCATATCACCTGACGTCAGGAGTTCAAGACCAGCCTGGCCAACATGGTGAAACCCTGTCTTTACTAAAAATACAAAAATTAGCTGGGCATGGTGGCAGGTGACTGTAATTCCAGCTACACGGGAGGCTGAGGCAGGAGAATCGCTTGAACCCGAGAGGCGGAGACTGCAGTGAGACGAGGTCACGCCACTGCTCTCCAGCCTGGGCAACAGAGTGACTCCATCTCAAGAAAAAAAGGGGGGGGAAATAAGTCAATAATTTTTCACATAGTCACATTGCTAGGGAAGGACTGTCTAATTCCAGAACCTGTGACTTGAATGGCTGTGCTATGTCATCCCTCTTGGATAGAGCTCTAGATGGTAGGTGGTGCCCTTCACTAGTTCACATTTTGAAAGAAGTGGGTTCTAGGGGGCAGTGTCTGTAGAAAGAAGTGACCGAACTTGGCAAGTACACCTGTATAGAAAACAAAGATAACCCACCATCATGATTCATGCAGCTAAGAGATTTTTGCCTTCTCATTTGATTGTTTTTTTGTGTGTTGTGTGTTTGTGTTTTTTTTTTTGTTTTTTTTGTTTTTTTTTTTTTGAGATGGGGTTTCACTCTTCTTGCCCAGGCTGGATGCAATGGCACAATCTCAGCTCACCACAACCTTTGCCTCCAGGTTCAAGCGATTCTCCTGCCTCAGCCTCCCTAGTAGCTGGGATTACAGGCATGTGCCACCACGTTTGGCTAATTTTGTATTTTTAGTAGAGACGGTGTTTCTCCATGTTGGTCAGTTTGGTCTCGAACTCCTGACCTCACGTGATCCACCCGCCTCAGCCTCCCAAAGTGCTGGGATTACAGGTGTGAGCCACCACGCCGGGCTTGTTCCTTGTTTTAATATTTAAATGTGCTCCCTATAACCCTCCCCATAGTGTATCCACTAGCCTTCTCATTATCCTTCTCTTTTTCCGTGGGTCTAGTTCCAAACACTACCTACTCTCTCCCCCAACTCTCCCACTATAAAAACTAACTTTCATAGCTATGTGATCTTCAGCTTTAATAGTCATCCTCATCCTCTTTGACCCTCTGCACCACCCATGTGATGGCCCTTCCTTGTTAGCCAGCCTTATCTTTCAGGACACTTCTCTATCCTACTTTTTTTTTTTTCTCTCTCTCTCTCTCTGACTGCTAATTCTCAATGATCTTCATTTGATTTTATTTTCTTTCCATTCTGCTAGACCTAAGTAAGTCTTCCCACACTTCCGAGGTTCGCCTTTTTCTCTTTCTGCATTTCTCTCATCCCACCTTCTCCTTGTCCCTTCTTTATGAAGTCTTTTCTGACAACTCCCAGAAGAATTTAACTCTTCTTTTCTGTCCCAGGTACAGATTTCTGTCTTATAGTCCACAACATATTATATCACTGATTTGTTTAGAAATCTGTTCCCTGCCTCCTAGATATAGGCCCCACAAAGAAAAAGGACCCATTTGTAGGACTTGGTGTCCTGACACTCAATAGACCTTAAGGGATTTTTTTTTTTTTTTCTGAGATGGCGTTTCACTTTATCACCCAGGCTGGAGTGCAGTAGTGCAATCTCAGCTCACTGCAACCTCTGCCTCCCAGGTTCAAGCGATTCTCCTGCCTCAGCCTCCCAAGTACCTGGGATTACAGGCACACGCCACCATGCCTGGCTAATTTTTGTCTTTTTATTAGAGACAGGGTTTCACCATGTTGGCCAGGCTGGTCTCAAACTCCTGACCTCAAGTGATCCACCCACCTTGGCCCCCCAAAGTGCTGGGATTACAGGCATGAGCCACCATGCCCAGCCTAAGGGATGTTTATTGAATATATTAATGAATGACTCCTCAAAATCTTAAGTTGCTGTGTCCTTCCTGAGGTCCAGCCCTTAATTCCCTCCTGGATGCCTTGTTGAAACTTGAACTCAGTATGTCTAGAATTATACTCATCCTCTTTCTCCATTATCTCAATATCCTACCTTACTTACTTGTTTTGACCATAGCAGTCATTCTCAACCATATGCATAGAAATTTCTGGGTTGCTGTAAAGACTAATGATATCTGGGTCCCACCTCAGAGATTCTGATTTAACTAGTCTTGGATGCCTCAAGGTCATCAAGAATTTTAAAGGTCCCTGGATGGGCTAAAGGTACCATAAATTCCCAAACAGAAAATCTTGAAGTTATCCTCAACTTTCATTTCAGTCAGTTCTGGATTTCTCTATGTTCTTCTTTACCTCTCTCCTTGCTTTTTCTTCTCTATGGACACTGTCCAGTCCAGAAATTGTCGATGTCAAAAGCCTTAATACTGTTTAGGGATGAAACTAGATTGAAGTTCACGCTTTCCTGAACACAATCAAATCCCTGTGCATTTAAAGACATATTATTTCTCCTTAAAATGGACCTTCTTTTGCACAATTTCTTGCCCATTGTTTTTGAAAACCACATGTACATAATATATGTTCACTGTATTTCCAGTTATATATATATATAGAGAGAGAGAGAGAGACAGACAGACAGACAGACAGAGATGAGTTCTTACTATGTTACCCAGTCTGGTCTTGAACTCCTGAGCTCAAGTGATCCTCCAACCTCACAGCCTCCCAAAATGTTGGGATTATAGGCCTGAGCCACATCCAGCCTATTTCCAGTTATTTCTTAATATACTATATCTTTGCAACTCCTGATTGTGGAAATTAAAGAACAGCCTTTCTTTTCCAGCTCTTAGGATAACCCTCCATCAGCTTCACACGAGAGGGTTTCTCCCCACCCCAACCCCAGGGCTGTTTTGTTCTGTCTTTATGGGTTTCAGGCTGAACTCAGAGACCCAAGATGAGAGAGGACAAGGCACAGGAAGAGTGAAGAGGGGAACAGTTGTTGACTTCTTACTGTGCCAAGCACTGTACAAAGTGCTTTGGTATCTCCAATAAACTTCAGAATTATTTTTTAAAAAATAATTACTCTCATTTCATTAACTAACTTACCTAAAGTCACTCTGAATATGGAGGTGAATTTGGGTTTTTCTCATTTCCAAGCTTAAGCCTTTTTCCATTGCATCACACTGCCAGCCCCTGCCATCCCCACCAGCAAGGATCTGTGGCTGATCTTGGAGAGTATCTGAAGCAACAAG
This sequence comes from Homo sapiens, assembly GCF_000001405.40. NCBI lineage: Eukaryota > Metazoa > Chordata > Mammalia > Primates > Hominidae > Homo > Homo sapiens. The sequence goes on along the minus strand of NC_000017.11, from coordinate 54,895,015 downwards.
CCCAGTGCTCCTTATGCATCAATGCCAACCAGAAGTTTGTTGATTGATTTTAAACCACAATTATTCTCCAGACATTAATCTTTAAATCACAAAAACAGGTTCATTGGTTTCTCTCATCTGTACAATTAAAAAGCTCCATTGAGAGAGGGAACTAAAGGGTATCTGTTGGTTAAATTTGTCATCTCAGTGGATTCCTGTGAGGCTTAAAACCAAAGTTTTATCTGGAAAATAAACCAAAGGAATCAATATTTTCAAAATCCAAGCCAACCAGCTTTCTGTGAGTTTTATAATATCATCGGTGCATACAACTCATTTGGGGTTTGTCATTTAATTCCTGTGTGTTCCTTTGGGATGCTAGCTTTAGTCTGCAAATCAGATTAACTGGGCTCAAATCAGCTGTCAGGTGGTAAAAAATAATTTCGAATTCATAGGGTTGCTTTGAAAAATAACAAGATATTATATTTATAGCACTTGGAATGATTCTGGGCATATAATAAAGCTCAATAAATATTAACTAGTTATTGTGATCATTTATCCTTCCAATCTACCAGGTGGCCTAAAATTTTCACTATTAGAAAATGGCCTTTTGAAGTTTGGCAGTGTCTCTCTAAAAGCCACTACTTAAAGATGCTGTTTGGGAAAAGAAGGTCCTATCGGTACCTACTAGCGTCAGTATAATTACACATTTGGCTTCTGCTAGCATGTTATGAATAATGTGCAACTTGGTGATCGGTTCAATTGAAAAAGGTCTCATAGGAGTGGGGCTCTAAAAAGAGACCATGAGCTGGGATTTTGCGGCAGGGGTTGTGAAAGGCTAGCTGCTTTGAGGTTTGTCTTGCAGGAAAGCCTTGAAGGAAGGGGTGTACAGCAAGGGAAACACATTTAATTTCAATGTCAAATTTGGTTCTAATCCCAGGGCTACCATTTACTAATTGATCTTTGACAGACAAATCACTATTTCAGAACCTTAGTTTCTTTATCTGCAACAATGGAACTAATTGAACATATCTCAAAAAGTAGGTCTCAAGATTAAATGAGTTGACATTTGAATGCTCTTAATAAATGCCTGGCATGTCCTTGGTGTTCAATAACTGTTGGAGCCCAAAGCTTAAAGTAGGCTTCTGTTTCCTGTTTTCCATCATATCATCTTGGTTATGTCCTTTATAACACTGTTTATAATCTGAAATTGTTTTGTGCAATTATTTGTTTACTTGCCTTGCAAGACTTAATATTGCTCCCTTGCTCCACAAAATATACCCTTGTGATTCTATATTGCGCTGCAGCCACAGCCCTCTAGGCCAACTGTTTCCCTCAGGCCCTAAAGCAGATCTCCCCAAAAAGAGCAGATTTGGTCATCCATTCGTCCTATAACCTGTTTTAGTTTTAGTCCAGCTATAATACCATTTTTAAAAGACATCATCTTGCTGATATTAAGAACAGTCCTCCCACCTCACCTTCTTTTCTCTTCTAATACCATTTGTCACTGTTGACCTCTGCCTGCTCCTTGAATGCATTTCTTCTCCTACCTACTATGGTGTGATGTGCAGCTCCCCTGTGCTTCTCCTGATTCTACCTACAGTGCTGATTTAAAGCCTCCTTGCCCTCCCCACCTCTCTTTATCCTCTTATTCTGGGTTATTGTCTTCATAGCATTTACTGCTATTTGAAATGCTCTCATTTCTTCATTTGTTTGCATGTTTATAGATGTCTTCTTATCTGGCTTGGGGAGGGCACAGAAAGTTCTGTTTTGCTCATCACTGCATTATTCAGTGACTGCAACACCGCCTTGTATGTTCCATAGTTCATTATATCTAAAACTCTTTCTGTGATAAGATGCACTATTTTTTGGCACAACAAAAAGGAAAAAAAAGCTTCCAGTTAAACTATGAGATACTACTTTTTTATTAGTTATAATTTTTATTTTGTGTTTATTTAAATAACATTTTGAGAATCATTGGACATGACGTTTTGCATATATGACTCTTTTACAAATGTGAAAAGGAAAATGTAAGCAAAATAAATTAACAAAGATGGCCGGGCCTGGTGGTTCACGTCTGTAATCCCATACTTTGGGGGGCCTAGGCAGGTGGATCACCTTAGGTCGCAAGTTCGAGATCAGCCTGGCCAACATGGTGAAACCATGTCTCTACCAAAAATATAAAAATTAGCCGGGCATGGTGGTGGGCGACTGTAATCCCATCTACTTGGGAGGCTGAGGCAGGAGAATCACTTGAACCTGGGAGAGAGGTTGCAATGAGCTGAGATTGTGCCAAGATACTCCAGCCTGGGCGACAAGAGCAAAACTCCATCTCATAATTAATTAATTAATTAACAAAGATACTATTTCTTCTTCCCATACAGAATCCAGCTCTCCAAACTCACTCCTTGACTCAGAGACATCAATGTGTTTTTCCACACCCTGTCATCTTTTATGCCACTATCAGCACTGGTGACACTGCATTTTTTTAGAGAGTGCTGCTATTGTCTCCCAATACTTTATTATAAGCTGTTGACACTCAGTTTAAATTTTGATAGTGGTGCTTTTTTGATCTTACTAGAAAGTATCAATGAAAGCTTTTCCAGACAACAAACAGGACTTGTTTTTCTTCCCCAAATTGTCCTTAAATAGATTTGGGACTGAAATATCAAGGGTGTCAGTGTCCCATAAGCCATCAGAAATGACAAGCAGATCGCACATACCCACGCAATGACAACTATGTATGCATTTCTGCTGTTGCCTGGCTGACAGAGATTATAACATACCACAGGTTGTGAGGTGCATTAGAGATGTTTTTATTTTTATTTTTATTTTGGAGACAGAGTTTTCCTTTGTCGCCCAGGCTGGAGTGCAGTGGCGCCATCTTGGCTCATTGCCACCTCCGCCTTCCAGGTTCAAGCAATTCTCCTGCCTCAGCCTCCCAAATAACGGGTATTACAGGTGCCCACCACAACGCCTGGCTAATTTTTTTTTTTTTTGCACTTTTAATAGAGACGGGGTTTCACTGTGTTGGCCAGGCTGGTCTCTAACTCCTGACCTCAGGTGATCTGCCCAACTCGGCCTCCCAAAGTGCTGGGATTACAGGCGTGAGCCACCACACCTGGCTGCATTAAAGATGTTAAAAATATGGAGGAAAAAATTACATCTTACAGTAGTTGAGATTCTCTAGTATATTCTTTGCAGATATTTACTAAATGAATTAATATATAAACAGAACCAGTGTTACTGCTGTGTAAGCCAACTAAAGTCTAAAATAAATTACCTAAGACAGAAATCCCATGCATTAAGCAATTCTTTGTTTCATTTTTTATTATTGGCTTATCAAGTTTGGGCAATTATTTCATCTACTTAAATTCTAGAATCAGTAATGAATTCTTGTTGATTATAATTCAATCTAGAGCAAGTTTTAAAATTTGGAATATACTTTTTCACTTCTATTTATCATTCATTGTTTCTTAGAAGCTGACTGCAGCATACTTTAAATTATCTGCTTTAAAAAGATAAGTATTACACAGGTTTTTCAATGGGGTGCCCTGGATTTCTTGTGTTTGAAAAATAGAAAACATTTTATACAGGTAGTTTTTTTAACCATGAGAGGGCAGCCTTGTTTAACTTATCGAATTCTCCCAAAGGCCTAGCTGGGCAGCCACATTCTACAGAATGATTCATTGGAGGGGGAGGAGGGCTCCAGGAACCCCAGCCAGCTGTTTTCAGGGTGTTTTATTTGCTGAAGGCTAGTTGCTCTGCTGGGAAGCACATTGATGCTGCTCACTGTTTTTACTCCCTGAGGGTCTTACATTGGCAGTGAAACCTGGTATTACTTATTTAGCAGGCAGATGGGGGGTCCAGGGAAATGAGTTGCTTGGGAAGGTTGACATGTATCAGAAATTAGGTGGCTGCAGGAGGGGATGCTTTCACAAAGGCCATGTCTGGGATTTGAATCTCTGATAACACATACATACCTATAGTTATGCAAACTTTGTGTGTGTGTGTGTGTGTGTTTGTGTGTGAGGTTTATTTATTTATTTATTTGAGACGGAGTCTTGTTCTGTCACCCAGGCTGAAGTGCAGTGGCATAGTCTTGGCTCACTACAACCTCTGCCTCTGGGTTCTAGAGATTCTCCTGCCTCAGCCTCCCAAGTAGCTGGGATTACAGGCATACACCACCACACCCAGCTAATTTTTTTTTTTTTGTACTTTTAGTAGAGACAGGGTTTCACCATGTTTGCCAGGCTGCTCTCAAACTCCTGACCTCCAGTGATCCGCCCACCTGGGCCTCCCAAAGTGTTGGGATTACAGGCATGAGCCACCACACCTGGCCCCAACTTTGAACTATTGTTGGAGACCGTTTGGAGAGGCAAAACCATTAAGAAAGGGGAGAGGTTGAAGGTGGGTCTAACGAGGATGGATGTCACGATCAATCAGCTTAAATCATCAAGGAGATGAAAGGGGATAGTGACTTATATTTTACATGCTTATTAGCTCATTTATTCCTTCCTTCCTTTATCACACATTATTGAATTTTATACAGAGGTACAACATGGACTTCTAAGCCAGTGAGGGAAACTTCCTAGTAAGCAGATCATTGCAGTTCAGTCTAAGTGTTAAACAAAAATATGGACACAGTATCATGGGAGTACAAACCAGGAACTAACTTTGCATGGAGGATTGAGTCCTGGATTAAAGATCTGGGCAGCATAGGGTTAGACCCAGGCCTGTTAGTGTAGGCCTGAGAACAAATAATGTGATGACCAAATAGTGTAATGACCAATGCAACGTAGGGGAAGAGAGCTCTGGTCAGTCTGAAACTCACGTATTCTGTGCCTCACTCTTTTATAGAGACAACTTTTACTTTTCAGTGCTAGCCCATCTCTGTAGTGGTGAGAGCAGTTACAAAGGTGTCCTAGTGTCTTTTACAGTTATAAGTCCTTCTATGTTAGCTTTACCAACTGAGCAATGAGAACATATGACAGCATGCACTCATTCATTCCACAAACACATAATGAAGTCCCCAAATGCGCCAGTCACGATGCTAGGAATTAGTGTATATGAACAAGCTAAAATCCAATCTCTGCATCCCAAGTGCTCAGTGCTCACAATCAAGTAAGGAAGAAATTATAAACCAGTGGACAAAGTTAATTCTTCATGCAGATGGGCAGAAAATTTACTTTTCCTCAAGTCCTTGAGCCTAGTAGTCACACAATGTTTCCTCATTAAGCTTCTTAATTATAAAAAGATCAGGATGAGCTTCAAAAGTAGTAGGGATGAAAGTGGTAGAAATCATAGTATTTTCTATTAGTCTTAGCCCCAAGTTATAAAGTGAATGTCCTACCAACCATGTTCCTTACAAAAACATAGGAACAACAATAGCATTGGTTGCATTCCAGGGCTAAATAGGAATGCAAAACAGGTCATGTACAGTTTTGATATTGCTAAATCAGGGGTTTGCATCGTGATTAGAGTTGCATTCTGATTCATGTTAAAAAAAAAGTTATTAAAGATAGTATAGAATCAGTTTCACTTTTAAATGAATTAATTTATATCTTCATTTAAAATCATATATAAGTATATACTTGTATATACTTTTCATGTAAAATCATACATATATAAGTATATACTTGTATGTGTACATGTTTATTTAGTGTATGGCGTGTATATGGACCAAAGAAGACCAACCTGCAGCTTCCCTGAGATCTTTGGCCTCAGAATATCTGCTATACTCCTGAGCCCTTCCTAAGAAAACCCATTTACAGTTCCTTTCCGGTGCACTTTCTTACACTGAACGCTTATCCGTATTCTCAATCAGGAATCAGCAAATATTGTCTGTAAGAGGCCAGGTAGTAAATATTTTAAGCTCTGCTGGCATCTAGTCAACTCTGTCTGCCATTGTAGCACAAAAGCAGTCATGGACGATATATAAACTAATGAATGTACAAACATAGATGGCAGGTCAGGTTTGCCCTGCAGGTCATACTTGGAAAATCCCTGTGCTGAATCATTCGACCCCAGCATTTTGGCTGATTCGATTAGGAGGGGGCATCCAAAGTAAGGGTGACAAATCTGTTAGCCAGTCCCAATATGTTGGCCTGGCAGGGACCTTGTATGAGATCTTTGTAATAACTGGTGTCTCTAGATAGGCAGACAGATGGACAGACAGAGCAATTGTTAGTGGGATCAGCTGCATCAGGAGCCAAGAGTAATCAGAAGCTATCAGTAAAGTAAAATGAAAATATTTTAAAAAGATAACCAACTAGAGGGTGGGGTAGTTAGTTAATAGGATCGAGACTAGAGAATTGGAGAAAATTCACATTGGTGGGGGTTGTGGGTCTTGGGAATTGTGTGTCCTAAAATAATCTTACCATGATTAATCTGCATTCCACCTTCAGTCTAGCCATCGCTGGGTTCCTGGAGGAGTTATGTTTTTCCTATTTCCACATGTAGCCTCACAGCTGATTTTCCATTGCTAGAGGTAACCTCGATGAATATCTATTTCTGACAACTCCGAAGAGCCTAGGTGACATTCTCTTCTTTCTGTAGGTTGGGAACCAGAGGTGTGTGTCAAATATTTATCAGCAAATATTGGCTACGTTGGGAGATTTCTCCATCATTTGTTTTATACTTTCTGCCTAGTCGCTGAATGGATTGAGTAAGCCTAAGTCATTTTTTTTCTTGAAAATGCACAGCCAGTTTCTCTGGGGGCATTTGACGAGGAGGAAGCATGGATGTGTACCCACCTCAGGCCTGACAGTCACTGCTCAGTGAGGCATCAGGGCCCCATATGGTGAAAACTGTTCCATGACAAGTCTGGTTTATTGCAGTTGTTGCTTCTATTGAAAATCTTGAGGAAAAACTTTTCATGTTTCTCACCTGAGTGCAGTGAAGGTTTCTGGACTGCCTGGGAAAAGGTTTAAAGGAAGGTTACATTATTAATCAATACGCTTTTATGCCCAGTTATCTCTGACCAGAGATGAGTCCTTCACATTGCTCTTAACAGTTCCTGGAACTTAATTCAACCCTTGTCATCTCTGACAGTGTTTTATGGCCTCCTGCTCTGGCTGCCAATCTTAAGACAACTTCGATTTTGGAAGAAATTTCCATTCTCTTCTTCCACCATACAAGAAAAAAGGTACAATTTTGTAGCTATTCAGGGTAGAAGGACGTTTTATCATTGAAGGAGTGAATTCTTGGATGTGTTAATATATCTCCTTTCATAGGTATGTTGAAGGACATTTTACTTCTGGCTCATTCTTATTTTTTTTATTTTTTATTTTTATTTTTTGAGATGGTGTCTCGCTCTGTCACCCAGGCTGGAGTGCAGTGGTACAATCTCGGCTCACTGCAACCTCTGCCTCCGAGGTTGAAGCGATTCTCCTGCCTCAGCCTCCTGAGTAGCTGGGATTGCAGGCTGTGTCAACATGCCCAGCTAAGTTTTAGTAGAGATGGGGTTTCACCATGTCTGCCAGGCTGGTCTTGAACTCCTGACCTCAGGTGATCCACCCGCCTCAGCCTCCCAAAGTGCTGGGATTACAGGTGGGAGCCACTGCACCTGGCCTCATTATTAAAAAAACAAACAAACAACAACAACAACAGAAAACAGTTAATTGCCAAACGTTGCATAAAACATGGCACCTTGCTTTCAGAAACCGTTTTTTATAAATCTGGATGTACATTAAAGTTCATATGGACCCCCTAGGTATAACCTCTTGAGAACAAGAGAAAATAGACATCACTACCATTATCTTTCTGTTAGAGGCCAATCAGCATTAATAACATACCTGGCATTTGCACACTTGCCATGTGCTAGTCACTGAGGCACAGAGTATTGATAACTTGCCCAAGGTCTCACAGTAAGAAGCAGATACATGTGCAGCACTATCCTGCTTTCATGACATTATGTCCATAAGCTTAGGCTCCAGAAAACTTAAAGGAAGTCTTCATCCACAGAGCATGGAGATCTGAAGGGAAAACCTAGGTGTGAGCAATGAGATATTTCATCTCTCTAAAATTTCCTTTTTTCTGTAAATAGAAGAAATAAGCTCCCCTGAGGATTATATTTCAAGTAAAGAGTCAAGCAGTCACTGCGATGTATTGCTACCCACTGTGTGGCTGCCCTCTATTAGGCACTTTCACAATGAGTTTACAGATCAGAAACAGGCAGTTCAGGGGCCAGCTGATGAGAGATGGACAGAGGCCTGCCTGGGGTATACACTTGTTTTACATGAAGCTTGTCTTTTCTTTATACAGAGCTGTGCTCCATGCTGCTTACATGGCTGTTTCATGTCCTAATTAATTTTGGGGCTCTCTGTTGGATTTTAATTACAGATCTATTAATCCATGGGAAGAGTTGACAGATGCTGTAGGTTGGTCATAGCAAATTACTAGGCAAGTGCTGGGTAGAAAGTCCTGAAGACTCTTAGTAATTGACTCACAAAAAAAACTTGCCACTTGAAAGTGGGGAGCACAACCAGAATATCTTTAGCTACCTAGAACAGCATTTTTAAAAGGAAAGACACCAAGGTGGAAAACACTGACTCAGTTTGGGCTTGCATTTTCTATTGAGGTGGGAAGGGAAAGTTAGGGATGTCATTAATAGAATGAATGAGGATGGGATTGGGCTAGGTCACCTGGAAAAACTTGAGCAAAGTCCCTTGGGATGATATAAACATAATGCAGTCAAAAAAGAATAAACAGTTTATTTCTAGCAGGGTTTGTCCTCAAACCTCAATACAGTCATGCAACACATAAGAACGCTAAGGTCAATAGCAGGTGGCATATCCGATGGTGGTCCCTTAAGATTATAATGGAGCTGAAAAATTCATATCACCTAGTGACATCATAGCTGTCCTAACATTGTAATGCAAAGCATAACTCATGTGTTTGTGGTGACACTGGTGTAAACAAACTTACTGCTCTGCTAGGTTTATAAAAGTATAGCAATATAATTATGCACAGCTCATAATACTGATAATACTAAACAACTATGTTACTGGTTTATATATTTACTATGTTTTTTGTTATTATTTTAGAGTATATTTCTTCTACCTATTAAAAAAATGTTAACTGTAAAACAGCCTCAGGCAGGTCCTTCAGGAGGTATCCAGAAGCATTGTTGTCACAGGAGATGACAGCTCCATGCATGCTATCGCCCCTGAAGACAGTGGGATAAGATGTAGAGGTGGAAGACAGTGACATTGATGATCCTGACCCTGTGTAGGCCTAGGATAATGTGTATGTTTGTGTCTTAGTTTTTAACAAAAAAAGCTTAAAAGTAAACTAATAATAATTTAAAAAATAAAAAAATATAAAGGATATATAGCCTGAATAAGGATATAAAGAAAGAAAATATTTTTGTATGGCTGTACAATGTGTTTGTGTTTTAAGCTAAATGTTATTATAAAAGAGTCAAAAAGTTTAAAAATTAAAATATATGTAAAGTGCATTAGGGTTCTCTAGAGGAACAGAACTAATAGCATATGTGTGTGTGTATGTGTGTGTGTGTGTGTGTGTGTGTGTGTGTGTATATATATAAAGGGGAGTTTATTAAGTATTAACTTACATGATCACAAGGTCCTACAAGGCTGTCTGCAAGCTCAAGGAGCAAGGAGAGCCAGTCCCAGTCTCAAACTGGAAGAACCTGGAGTCTGATGTTCGAGGCCAGGAAGCATCCAGCATGGGAGAAAGATGTAGGCTGGAAGGCGAGGCCAGTCTTGCCTTTTCACGTTTTTCTGCCTGCTTTATATTGGCTGGCAGCTGATTAGGTAGTGTCCACCAGATTAAGGGTGGGTCTGCCTTCCCCAGCCCACTGACTCAAATGTTAATCTCCTTTGGCAACACCCTCACAGACACACCCAGGATCAACACTTTGCATCCTGCAATCCACTAAAGTTGACACTCAGTATTAACCATCACATAAAGTAAAAAAGTTACAGTAAGCTAATGTTAATTTATTATTAAAGCAAATACTTAAAATAAATTTAGTGTAGCCTAAGTGTACAGTGTTTCCATAGTCTACAGTGGTGTACAGTAATGTCCTAGCTTTAACATTCAGTCACCACTCACACCCTAACTCACCCAGAGCAACTTCCAGTCCTGCAAGCTCCATTCGTGGTAGGTGCCCCATACACGTGTAGCATTTTTTAATCTCCTACCGCATTTTTACTGTACCTTTTCTATGTTTAAATATGTTTAGGTGTGCAAATACCTGCCATTGTGTTCCAGTTGCCTACAGTATTCAGTAGAATAACATGTTGTGTAGGTCTGTAGCCGAGGAGCAATAGGCTATACCATCTAGCCTAGGTATATAGTAGCCTAAACTGTTTAGGTTTGTGTAAGTACACTGTGTGGTGTTTGCACAATGATGAAATCACCTAATGATGCATTTCTCCGAACTTTTCCTTGTCATTAATGGATACATGCCTGTGTAAAACTTTAGAAAGAATTTGGATTATGGAGAATTCTTTTTAGCCTTAGTTAAGAGGCTAGAACCAAAGCTGGGGAAAATGACCACTTTTTCCTCCTAAGTTCACTTCCAATTTTGGAACTTTGTCCCATTGTTCTGAGAAGAAGCCATTCCAAGAGAGCTGGAGTGCAAAAAAGCCCCTTTACCCCAAAGCAAAGATATCCGCGCCCTGGCTGTGCCCTGGCCTAGCCCTGGTAAGGGGGACATCAGAAGTGACAGAGCTGGTCAGCCTCTTCTCATTTGGAAGCAGCCCTGGTTGTAGCTGGTGTTTGAGGGACCCCTACAGAAAGGGGAGAAAAATCCATGCGAATAAGGTGACATTTTATCATATGTTAAAACTTCTACCCTTCAAAGCACAGCCTGCCAACTAAGTCTGTCATCCAGCACTCCTGCCCCTTGAAGGCTGAAGTGTTTTCCTCCTCACCCTGACTCATCCCTGGGCGGGAGCAAAAGGAGGATGGGGAGAAGAAAGGAGCCTTGAGTTGCCCATAGAGGTCAATACCTGTCTCTGTTCAGAAATCAAACCACCCAAGTGTTGAGATTATAAGGCAGGATTTCTTTCTGTCAACAAAAGCATCCTCTTAGGAATGAATTGGAATTACAGAGAAAAGAATTTAGAGCCTTTGAGAACTTCCTAATTAGTAGAATGGTGAGACTGTAGAATAAACGAAGAGAATGGAAAATCTCTCTAACACCTAAAAGGGAAAGGTAAACAAATGTAATAAGTAGTGTTATTACAGTAAGTTATGACAAATGTAATAAGTAATAAGAAGAAGTTAAGTAGGCCTCCTACCTTTTCAACATAATTCTTACCAATCTTTTAAGACCCTCAAATTAGGTGCCCCTTGTGTTTGCTTCCAGCACACACTTGCATATTTACTGTGATATCTATTCATGGACAGAGAACGTAGTCTATTCTACTTCTAAATATTGCTTTTCATTACAGAAACATGGTGTTATTTTTAAGAAGAGTTACCAAAACAACTAAATTCTAAATTTTGCTTTTCCTTACAGAAACATGGTGTTATTTTTAAGAAGAGTTACCAAAACAATTACAGTCAAGCATCACTTGACAATGGAAATATGTTCTGAGAAATGTGTTGTCATTGGGCAATTATGTTCTTGGTTATCTGAACATCATAGAGTGTACTTAACACAAATCTACATGGTACAGCCGATTATACACCTAGGCCATTTGATAGCCTGTTACTTCTAGGCTGCAAATCAAATCTGCATGACATGTTATTGTACTGTAGGCTATTAGAACACGATGATAAGTATTTGCATATCTAAACATTTAAACATGGAAAAGGTACAGTAAAAATATGATACAAAAGATAAAAAATGCTACACCTGCATAGGGCACTAACTATGACTAGAGTTTGCAGGACTGAAAGTTGCGCTGAGTGAGACAGAGAGAGAGTAGTGAGTCAGTGTGAAAGTCTAGGGCATTATTGTGCACTACTGTAAACTATAAAAGCACTTAGTCTACACTAAATTTATTTTGATTTTTTTCTTCAGTAGTAAAACAACTTCAGCTTACGATAACTATTTTACTTCATAAACTTCTAAATTTTTTTAACTTTTTATCTCCTTTGTAATAACATTTAGCTTTAAACACAAGCATATGGAACATCTGTACAAAAATATTTCTTTATATTCTTATTCTATAAGCTTTTTTCTTTTTGAACAGCCCTTCCCTCACCTCCCCTCCCCTCCCCTTCCTTCTTTCCTTTCTCTCTCTCTCTGTCTCGAGACAGGGTCTTGCTTGGTTGCTTATGCTGGAGTGCAGTGGCACAATCTTGGCTCACTGTAGCCTCGACCTCTCAGGCTCAATTGTTCCTCCCACCTCAGCCTCCTGAGTAGCTGGGACGACAGGCACATACCACTATGGATAACTTTGTAATTTTTATAGAGACAGGGTTTCATCATGTTGAAACCTGTTTCAACATGTTGAGCAAGGCTAGTCTAGAACTCCTGGTCTCAAGCCATCTGCCCTCCTCAGCCTCCCAAAGTACTGGGATTATAGGCTTGAGTCATCACGCCCAGACTGTAAGGTCTTTTCTATTCTTACAAATTTTCCTTATTGATTTTACTTTTTAAACGTTTTTGTTAAAAACAAAGACACAAACACAAACTTCAGCCTAGGCCTACACAGGGTCAGGATCATCAATATCAGTGTTTCCAACTCTACATCTTGTCCCACAGGAAGGTTTTTGGGGAAAATAACATACGTGGAGCTGTCATCTCCTGTAACAGTGCCTTTTTCTGGAATAACTCATAAGGACCTGCCAGAGGCTGTTTAACAGTTAATTTTTTTTTCAATAAGTAGGAGTGCACTCTAAAGTAATGATGAAAAGTATAGTATAGCAAATACATAAACCAGTAACATAGTTCTGTATTATCAAGTGTTATGGGCTGTATATAATTGTCATTAGGTGACAGGAACTTTTCAGCTCTATTATAATCTTATGGGACCGCTGCTCTGTATGTGGTCATTCATTGACCAAAACATCATTATGTAGCATAAGACTGTATTCAGATGGTATCAAATCAGCTGAATGTGGTGGCTTACACCTGTAATCCCAGCACTTTGGGTGGCTGAGGCGAGTGGATCACTTGAGGTCAGGAGTTTGAGACCAGCCTGGCCAACATGGCAAAACCCCATATCTACTAAAATTACAAAAATTAGCTGGGCGTGGTGGCACATGCCTGTAGTCCCAGCTACTCAGGAGGCTGAGACACAAGGATCAATTCAACCTGGGAGGCAGAGGTTGCAGTGAGCTGAGATCACGTCAGTGCACTCCAGCCTGGGTGACACAGCAAGACTCTGACTCAAAAATAAATACATAAATGCAATGAATGTTATCTTTCCTAAAAATTTTTTTAATAATGAGAGTGTTTCCATAGGCTAAACATATAGTTATAATCCTCAAACATCACTGAGCTGATCCAGCATTTAATTGTCTAAAGCGAAGTGGCTTTTTTCTCCTTTAACCACCGGCACGCTCATTATTGGAACATCTTGTACACTCTTTTTTATTGACTTGTTATATCTCTTGTTATTGCAAAACGAAGCTCAGAGCCTCTCAAACAAAGTAGATGCAATCGGCCAGCAAGAGCGTTCTTAATACACTATGTGGACGACAGAATTTTTTCTCTTTACTCACATTGCTAGTTGTTGGCCATCCCTTTACAATCAATACTTGTCCTTGCAATGCAAATAGTGTTCCCTAATTTCTCAAATTTTAATAGTCATGTTATGAAAACATAAATTGCAAGAGAACTGCCTGTTTCAGAGTTGTGCTTTCCACAACTGGCTGCACACCAGAATCGCCTGAGGATCTATTAAACACCACAGCTTCTTCTTTTTTTTTTTTTTTTTTTTTTTTTGAGACAGAGTCTTGCTCTGTTGCCCAGGCTGGAGTTCAATGGCGCAATCTCGGCTCACTGCAACCTCCACCTTCCAGGCTCAAGAAATTCTCCTGTCTCAGCCTCCCAAGTAGCTGGGATTACAGGCACACACCACCACACCCAGCTAATTTTTGTATTTTTAGTGGAGATGGGTTTTCACCATGTTGGCCAGGCTGGTCTTGAACTCCTGACCTCAGGTGATCCACTCGCCTCGGCCTCCCAAGCACCGCAGCTTTCTACCTGCACATCAGATGAGCAGAATCAGAATCAGAATTTCTGGGAGTAAAGTCTGGGAATCTGTGTTTTCAAGAAGCTTTCCCCAGGATTTAGTTGTACAGCCAGATTTGGAAACCATGATACAAGATGACCTTCTGTAGTCTCTCTCTCATTGTTTGGAAATCCTTTGAATGAAAAAAACAAAAAACCTCTTTTTTTCTTCCAATTAAGATTCTTGCAACTAATAGTTGCCCAATTAATTAATATAGAGAGAAGGAAAATAATTTATTATTCATTTGTTTGGGGAGGAGATAAATTTATTGAGAGACATCCTTAGAAGAAACTAAATGTAATTTTCTCTACAATGACCATGCAAGGAATAAATGTTTCCCAATAAAATGAAAGTGTCCAGTCGAGGCTGACCAAGGGTTTGATGAGACAATGGGTATGAAAGTATCACAACAAACATTGACACGTAATAGATTAATAACTGCTTAATAAGTATATTATTCCTTGTAGACTTTAATCTCATATTTTCTCAGTCTCTGTCTCTCTATGTAGGTCTCCAAACCTTCTTCTATTTTCTATTTATGGAGAATAAAACATATAACATTATTTTAAAAGTCAGAAATTTATAATATTAGGTATTATTCTCTGGAATGTAATTGGAATGAAATGTGATATTTCCAGTTTTACTGATTCACTGTTCCCTTAATTAGTCTCTAGTATACTAGCCCCTCTACATTAGAAGCTAGTTTTTCTCTATCCGTTTTCTTGAAGACTGAAGTTCAAACAAGAGTAGATCCCTTTCTTCTTTTTGATTGCAAAGCACTTTGTACCTAAGCTGTAGAGTTAACACACACTGGCTTTTAATTACCTAAATGTGCATTCATTTTTTCCATTTTGATTACTCTTTGTAAATCTCCATAGTTGCCTACCCATTGTAGATGCTCATTGAATGCTACTCTGTCCTATATATTTATTACCATTGTGATTGGTTGGATTTGGGGATATTATTTGCTCCTTTCCTGCCTTCTCTCTTGTATGAGAAAGCTCTCTGAGTCTTTACCGTCTCTCTTATACAGTGACTGGAAAGTGCCTTAACCCCAAATGGGCTTCCAATTTCTTCCGATTTATCTGTCATCGTTTCCAAGTTGTTTATTTTTTGCTTTCTCTACTTCCTTACCTCACATTCTCTCCTGTACACGTTCTAAGTGGTTTCTTTCACTGCATGGAAACTTCTCTCATCATGATCAGCAATGATCCAGGAGGGCCCATTGCTTTGTCTTGTGTTGTTGATTCCTCTGCAGCATTCAACAAAGCTGATGCTTCCTTTTTGAAAGATTCTTTCCACTTGACTCCATGACCCCAAGCGCTTAGTTTCTTTAGTGTCCTCCTAATCTCACACATTGCACTTTCTTCAACGGTTCTGCCCCTCAGTCAGATCAGTAAATATTAGGTGCCCAAGGGCTCTGTTCTGGGTGCTCTTTTCTTCTTTATTCACATCCTTTTCTCAGGTGATCCCATTTCTTCCCATGGGTTTAGATAAGATACACAGTCTATGTACAGGTGAATCCAAAAACATACTTTTGTTGGTACATTTTCTTAGAACTCCTGACTTTTCCATCAAACTGCCTGACACAGCCGTATAAATCTATTAGCCATGTCAAACACAACATGACTGAAAGAGAACTCCTGATTTCACCCCCAAATATCCTCCTTTTCTAATCTTCTTCACTTCCCCTAATGACATCACAGTGTACCTTGTTTCCTGGGACCCAAACCTGGGCCTTATCCTTGATCCCTCACTTTCTTTTGCCTGCCACTCACTGAGTCTTGGGGATTCCCATGATGTATCCTAAATCTATCCATTTCTCTTTGTCTCCATCCCTGGCACCCTAATCTCAGATACCCTAATTTCTAGGCTGAAAAACCTTTTAACTCATTGCCCTGCTCCAAGTCTTGCTTCTCTACATTCCACTTTGTCCAAAGCAGAGTAAACTTTTGAAAACAAATCCAGTGATGTCATACATCCTCTCCCCATGACTTAAACCTATCAATGGCTTTGACTCTGCAGTTTAGACTAAAATTCAAATTATCTGTCTTGATCTATAAAATTGTATATTAGTGGTTCTTAAGCTTGCACACGCACCATAGTCACCAGAAGGTCTATTAAAACCCAGAGTGCTGGGCCCCACCCCAGAGTTTCTGATTTGGTAAACATGGAGTGTAGGTAGAGAATTTACATTTCTGACAAGTTCCCAGGTGATGTGGGAACAAACTTTATAAACCATTACTCCATATAATCTGGCCCTGCCTACCCTTGATCTGAGCTCCTATTAACTTTCTTCTCTTTTTCTATGCTCTATCCACTCTGGGCCCCCTTTTCTCAAAATTAGAGCTCTTCTTTTAATTTTAACTTTTTATTTTTTTAGAGACAGGATATCACTCTGTTGCTCAGGCTGGAGTGCAGTAATGTGACCATAGCTCACTGTAACTTCAAACTCCTGGGTTCAAGCAATCCTCCTGCCTCAGCCTCCTGTGTAGCTAGGAGTACAGATGCATGCCACTAGCAGGCTAAATTAGAACTTTTATATTAACATTCAGTCTTTCTGGAAAACTCTTTTTCCAATCTTGACTTTGGGACTGATGTTTCTTTCTTGCTATTGAAATCTTAATTTAAGTCACTGACACAGAGAGGCCCTCCCTCACCACCCAATCTAAAGAACTCCCCAAACTGTATTAGTCCATTTTTGGTGCTGATAAAGACATACCTGAGACTGGGCAACTTACAAAAGAAAGAGGTTTAATTGGACTTACAGTTCCACGTGGTGGGAAAAGCCTCACAATCATGGTGGAAGGCAAGGAGGAGCAAGTCACACCTTATGTGGATGGTGGCAGACAAAGAGAGAGCTTATGCAGGAAAACTCCCCCTCATAATAACCATCAGATCTTGTGAGACTTACTGTCACGAGAACAGCATCGGAAAGATCTGCCCCCATGATTCAGTTACCTCCCACTGGGTCCCTCCCACAACATATGGGAATTCAAGATGAGATTTGGGTGGGGACACAGCCAAACCATATCATTCTGCTCCTGGCCCTCCCAAATCTCATGTCCTCACACTTCAAAACCAATCATGCCTTCCCAGCATTCCCCTAAAGTCTTAACTCATTTCTGCATTAACTCAAAAGTCCACAGTCCGAAGTCTCATCAGAGACAAGACAAGTCCCACAAGTCCCTTCCACCTATGAGCCTATAAAATCAAAATCAAGTTAGTTACTTCCTAGACACAAGGAGGGTACAGGCATTGGGTAAATACAGCCATTCCAAATGGGAGACATTGGCCAAAAGGAAGGGACTACAGGCCCCATGCAAGTCTGAAATCCAGCGGGGCAGTCAAATCTTAAAGTTTCAAATGATCTTCTTTGACTACAGGTCTTGCATTCAGGTCCCACTGATGCAAGAGGTGGGTTCCCATGGTCTTGGGCAGCTCCACTCCTGTGGCTTTGCAGGATACAGCCTCTCTCCTGGCTGCTGTCATGAGCTGGCAGTGGGTGTCTGCGGCTTTTCCAGGTGCAGGGTGCAAGCTGTCAGTGGATCTACCATTCTGGGGTCTGGAGGATGGTGGCCCTCTTCTCACAGCTCCGCTAGGCAGTACCCCAGTAGGGACGCTGTGTGGGGGTTCCAACCCCACATTTCTCTTCCATACTGCCCTAGCAGAGGTTCTCCATGAGAGCCCTGCCCCTGCAGAAAACTTTTGCCTGGGCCTCCAGGCGTTGCCATACATCTTCTGAAATCTAGGTGGAAGTTCCCAAACCTGTTTGTGACTTCTGTTCACACTCAGGCTCAACACCACATGGAAGCTGCCAAGGCTTGGGGCTTCCACCCTCTGAAGCAACAGCCCGAGCTGTACCTTGGCCCCTTTTAGTCATGGCTCGAGTGGCTGGGATGTGGTGCACCAAGTCCATGGACTGCACACAGCAAGGAGACCCTGGCCCTGGCCCAGGAAACCATTTTCTTCTAGGCCTCGGAGCCTGTGATGGGAGGGGCTGCTGTGAAGCCCTCTGACATGCCCTAGAGACATTTTCCCCATTGTGTTGGAGATTAACATTCGGCTCCTTGTTACGTATGCAAATTTCTGCAGCTGGCTTCAATTTCTCCTCAGAAAATGGGTTTTCCTTTTCTATCACATTGTCAGGCTGTAAATTTCCCAAACTTTTATGTTCTGCTTCCTTTATAAAACTGAATGCCTTTAATAGCACCCAAGTCACCTCTTGAATGCTTTGCTGCTCAGAAATTTTTTTCGCTAGATACCCTAAACCATCTCTCTCCAGTTCAAAGTTCCACAAATCTCTAGGGCAGGAGCAAAATGCTGCCAGTCTCTTTGCTAAAACATAACAAGAGTCACCTTTGCTCCAGTACCCAACAAGTTTCTCATCTCCACCTGAAACCACCTCAGCGTGGACCTATTTGTCCATATCACTATCAGGCTTTTGATCAAAGCCATTTAACAAGTCTCTAGGAAGTTCCAAACTTTCTCACATTTTCCTTTCTTCTTCTGAGCCCTCTAAACTGTTTCAACCTCTGCATGTTACCCAGTTCCAAAGTCACTTCCACATTTTTGGGTAGCTTTTCAGCAGCACTCCACTCTACTGGTACCAATTTACTGTATTAGTCCATTTTCACACTGCTGATAAAGACATACTCAAGACTGGGCAATTTACAAAAGAAAGAGGTTTAATTGCACTTAACAGTTTTATGTGGCTGGGGAGGCCTCACAGGCATGGCGAAGGCAAGGAGGAGTAAGTCACATTTTATGTGGATGGTGACAGGCAAAGAGAGCTTGTGGAGGAAAACTCCCCCTTATAATAAGATCTCACCATCAGATCTCGTGAGACTTACTATCCCAAGAACAGCACAGGAAAAACCTGCCCCCATGATTTAATTACCTCCCACTGGGCCCCTCCTACCACACCATGGGAATTCAAGATGAGAATTGGGTGGGTACATAGCCAAACCATATCACTGTCTTTATCAGATCACTCTATTATAATATTCTGCACAGCACTTATCACCATCTTATTTTTCTTCTTTAGTTGTTCATTTTAAGTAAGCTCCATGAGACCATGGGTTTTATCTGTTTGACTCACCACTGTAGCCTCAGCAACTGAGAAAAATGCCTGACACAGAGCAAATGCTCAATAAATAAACACCAAATGATTGAGGAAGGGCTCCTAAATACTTAATACATGAATGAGGCAAAGACAACATTGAGCACACTTAAACTCAACTACTGGTGAGCTTTTGTGGAAGAAGAGATTTCCATAGAGAATAATGGGCCAAGAGTCCTCCCTTTACCTCTCTTGCATTCCTCAGCTCGGTTTCCTTCTTTTGAGAGTTAAGTTTGATTGGATCCAGTTCATTGCTTCTCTGGATTAATGGTTCTCATATTTGGGCATTAGAAACAAGTCCTTTAAAGAGATGAGAGACGTAATTGTGTAAAATTGACAGGGCAGCAGAAGAGCTGTGCTTTTACTTAAAAGAAGTAAAAATAATAATGAATAATTATAATAATAAAAGTAATTTATAGATGGATTTCAGGGTGGGCATAGTGGCTAATGCCTGTAATCCCAACACTTTGAGAGGCTGAGGCAAACAGATCACTTGAGCCCAAGGAGTTTGTTTGTGTGTGTGTTGTTTTTTTTTTTTTTTCATCAAGATGGAGTCTTGCTCTATTGCCCAGGCTGGAGTGCAGTGGTGCAGTCTTGGCTCGCTGCAGCCTTCACCTCCCAGATTCAAGCAATTCTCCTGTCTCAGCCTCCTGAGTAGCTAGTACTACAGGTGCATACCACCACACTGGTTAATTTTTGTGTTTTTAGTAGAGATGGCATTTCACCATATTCGTCAGACTGGGCTCAAACTCCTCACCTCAGGTGGTCCACCCACCTCAGCCTCCCAAAGTGCTGGTATTACAGGCATGAGCCACCATGCCCGGCTGAGCCCAGAGAGTTTGAGACCAGCTCTGGCAACATGGTGAAACCCCATCTCTACGAAAAATCCAAAAATTAGCTGGGTGTTATGGTGCATACCTGTAGTCACAGCTACTTGGGAGGCAGAGGTGGGAGGACCACCTGAGCCTAGGAAGTCAAGACTGCAGTGATTACATCACCACACTCCAGCCTGGGTGACAGAGTGAGATCCTGTCTCAAGAATAAAAATAAATAAATAATTAAAAATAAAAGGATTGTAAATTAAAATTTTGAAACAATTAAATTAATAACAAATCGGTAGCACATTTCAAGTTTGGGAAATATACTTACTTTAAATGGTCACCTCTCATTCTCTATTTGAGTCCTTTTTGTTTCTTTCACAGCATTTATCATAACTCAATTTTATTTTTGTTTTTTTTTGGTCTAGTTTTCTCACTTAAACTTAGTATGAGATCTAAAAACAATTGTGAAACAGTGAATTAGAGGATGGGAAAGTATCTTTTTATTGTCATATTGACAACCCCAACACTTGTCATTTAGTAGGCACTAAATAAATGCTTGCTGAATTGAATTGTTTCCCCTTTCCAGATGTGGAAAGGTACATCTGCCAGTGAACTGGTGGCTTCTATGAATTTATTGATCTGTTTAGGTCAGAGTATGGTTAATCAGTGCTACATGCCATGGTGTGCTGAGACTGATTCCTGCTGGTCCACAAGATCTAATTGCTATGTTTTTAGGAATCTTATGAGCTGATTGATGTCACGTTGGTACCTTGAAAGCAGCTATGGTGGGAGTACTAGTAAATGCAAATTTTATTTATTAGAAATCAGCAAACGCTGGGAGGCTGAGATGGGAGGATTACTTGAGCCCAGGAGTTCAAGGGGGCAGTGAGCCGAGATTGCACCCCAGCACTCTAAACTGGGGCACAGAATGAGACCCTGTATCATTTAAAAAAAAAAAAAAAAGAAAGAAAGAAAGAAAAGGAAAAACTAAAGAGAAAGAAATCAAGGCAGGGCACAGTGGCTCACACCTGTAATCCCAGCACTTTGGGAGGCCAAAGCGGGCGGATCACGAGGTCAGGAGATTGAGATCATCCTGGCTAACATGGTGAAACCCCGTCTCTACTAAAAATACAAAAAATTAGCCAGGCATGGTGGCGGGTACCTGTAGTCCCAGCTACTGGGGAGGCTGAGGCTGGAGAATGGTGTGAACCTGGGAGGCGGAGCTTGCAGCGAGCCGAGATGGTGCCACTGCACTCCAGCCTGGGTGACAGAGCGAGATTCTGTCTCAAAAAAAAAAAAAAAAGAAATCAGCAAATGCAACATACCAGATATTTTATTTCTTCAGTTTGTTTGTTTTATAGCCAGTTGTTCCATTGCTGTCTGAACATGAGAATAGTAAACAAGTATTGATTTCTTTACTGCCTAGTTTCCATCTCTCGATTTTCTGATACTAGACTCTGGTTGAAATGACTGGTCTAAGACTTTAAGAAATAACTGAAGCTTTGTACCCTTTGACCATCACCTGCCTGTTGGCAAGATAAATAAGTTTTAGAAATCTGTATAGCATAGTACCTATAGCTAATGATACTGTATTGTAGACTTAAAATTTGCTAAGGTAGAGCTTATGTAAGTGTTTTTACCACGTGCACACACACACATAAAATAATAATAAAGGGAATGGCAGGAAACTTTGGGAGGTGATGGATGTCTATGGCCTTGTTGGTGGTGATAATTTCACGGTGTATACTTATCCCCAAACTCACTGAGTTGTACACATTAAATATATACAGCTTTTTAATCTGTCAATCATACCTCCTTAAGGTGGTTTAACAAAGGTAAACATAGGATACAAGTTGACTCCTGATCTCTATCACAATTTTTCCTTATGATTTCCAAACAGAACTGGGAAGGAAAAGTCCTCTTTGTTGTGGTGATAAAGCTGCAAAGATTAGAATTAGGACCGTTCATCAGGCTGTTCTATCTTTGCCTTCCCTATGGTTTAGTGATCTTAAGCCAGTGAGTTCTGCGTTCTTCCAATCCTCCCTGGCCCTTGACTTTTTTTTTTTTTTTTTTTTTTAATTTAAACTTGTTTGAATTGGGTTTTAGTCATTTGTACACTAAAGAATCTGACCAATACAGTACAGATAATCAAAGTTAATAGTTTATTAAAAGTGTACCTATAAATGTGATGCAGCATAGAACCGTGGAAGTATATTGGATTATTAAACCAGAAAACCCGAGTTCGTCCGAATGCCAGTTCCATCAATTAGTAGCTGTGTGTAGCTGGGAAAATTATTTAGCCTCTCTAGACTTTCATTTCTTTAACTGTAAAATGGGAATAAGACTGCCCACTCTGATTTTTCCGCAAGGTTTCTAAACTAATCAAGTATGACAATAGATGTGAAAATGTTTTATAAAGCATAAAGATACCTGTATCTGTGATAATATTAATAACTTCATGAGGAGAGAATGGGATTTATCAAACAAATTGATCACTAGAAAATATTTCTGCTATTTCTGAATAGAACAATTTATAAATGTTGAAAGTTTTCAATGTCCTTGGTCATTAGGTTGCACAAATGTGTACTGAATTTTAGGAATAAACAACAATAGCAGCAAAAGTGGTTCTTGTCCTCAAATGCTTATTTTTAGAATAGTTTGGGGTGAGAATATGGGAGAAGAAAGCATTGAGTAGGAAGTCAAGAGAACTGGATCCTAATACTGACTCAGTCACTAACCAACATATGACTTGAGGCATGTCATTTCACTTCCCTGGACCTCAATATTCCCACTTGTACAATGAAGAGTTTGGCCTAGTTCTCTAAAATGCCTTCTGGCTCAATAAGTCAATAATCCTAATTGAGTAGACAGGGCATGCACACATGAACAGATACAAGAATGCTTACAAAGTAATTTACCAGTAAGTACACACAAGCGAAGGGAGTGTATGTTAACTATTTAAGTGGATCAACTGAAAGAGTGACCCCCGCTGAGTGGTCCTACTCAGGAAAAGTATTGACATCTTGACTGATGAGCTCTATCTCAATGAACTGCTTATGATAGTAAATGAAAAAATAAATGTTCATCACATGAAACTGAACTGCATGCATTGACATCTCCACAATAGATGCACAAATCAAGTGAAGTTCTACTTGGTGTTTGCTAGTGCCAGACACTCATATTCCTTGTTTTACTTCATTCCAGAGAAGTTCAGCAACTTGCCAAAGGTCACCCAGCTAGCAAGTGGTATAATAACAATCAAATGTAAATTTTTTTTGATTTATTTTTTGAGACAGAGTCTCACTCTGTCACCCAGGCTGGAGTGCAGTGGCGTGATCTCAGCTCACTGCAAGTTCCGCCTCCTGGGTTCACGCCATTCTCCTGCCTCAGCCTCCCAAGTAGCTGGGACTACAGGTGCCCGACACCACGCCTGGCTAAATTTTTTTTTTGTATTTTTAGTAGAGACGGGGTTTCACCGTGTTAGCCAGGATGGTCTCGATCTCCTGACCTTGTGGTCTGCCCACCTTGGCCTCCCAAAGTGCTGGGATTACAGGCGTGAGCCACCACGCCTGGCCCAAATGTAAATTTTTTGATGCTAAGTTCAGCATTCCCACTGCAGTACCGTTATTAACTACAACCCACTTGACCTTACCCCATTGCTTGCAAACAGATTTGACTCTAGACCTCAAAGAACCTGGTCAAGCAGCTGTATTTGTCTCCCCTCAAACTTTGACTTGCATAATACTTTTATGTTTTACAAAATTAAGTAAATTTTTTCTGTATTTGCAACTCCGTTATTTTTTCTGTTGCTGAAATTCCAGGAGCTGGCAGTTGCAGTTCCTACTGATTCCCTGTATATCAGTGGGGACTAGTAACCTCAATACACATGTGACTTGCTTGGGCAGCTTCCTGTCCTTCAATTCCCACCATACCCAGATGACTCTTGCAACAATAATTCCTTTACAGTAAAGCATTCTTCTCAATTTTGAAGATAGAGAATTCTTTGTGAGTAGGAGAGAAAACATTATTACTAAGTTTCTTTGTAATACTTCTTCCTCTTCCATCTTGTTAGTCTTTACCACAGCCTCACTCTGGTTTGGCCACTGGAGTATTTCCTTGAGTTCCTACTAATAGATTAATGCATGGTGCTTTATTAAGACTTATGGATGTGTCACTCTAGTGCCATGCTAAGCATCAGCTGCTCTAGGGGGCAGCTGCAGTTCTTCCCTTAACATGAATCCTTTCATGATTCCTTCCATAACTGCAAAAAATTAAATGATTAGGCCATTCTGCTAGTGCCTAAAGCAACTTCCTACAATCCCCCTTGTGAGTCCTCTATGGGAAATATTCCATACAATGAGATGAAAATAAACAGAGAGAAGTAAGTATATCTATCATGTGCCAGGCCAGATACTCTGTTTCAGAAAGCTCAGAAACAATAATGAGAAGTTATATTCTTTCTCAGTCAGATCCAATTGCTTAGTTTCAGATTGCACACAGTGAGCTGGAATCAGCTCGGGGGTGTCAGTCTTCATGAGTGTGCATTTGCTGCAGTTATTCAGCAGGTTTGCCCTTGAAAGCATGCCTCTTCTTTCAATACTGCACATTAGAGAGTGTTCTATAGACCAGAGGTAACATGTCATGCATGTAGGTTAAAATAATCCTTAAAATTAGAATTATATAAAGGGTGCTCCTACTAATTGCTGTATTTTGTTCACTCTGAAAAAGCAGAAATGTGACTGGTGGAATCCACTTGGTTCACATTGCTATGTTTTAGAGTTCCTAAGAGAGGTATTTAACTTGGGGCTTTCTAAAGGTGACAAAAGATTAGCTGAGAATGATCAACTCCAAAGTGTAAAATGGGAAAACCTCCGTTCAGCTTAGCATACATTCTTTTACAGGGGAGAAATTTTTGAGATTTAGCAGCTCATCATTAATTATTTTTAAAAATATAAAACCATTTACTCATAAGTTTAGGTAGCAATTTTGTTTTTACTATTGAATAAATGATAATATTTGATTTACTACATACGACAGTTCTATCTGGAATCCAGGTTGTATAAAATACTTTTCTATTATTAAACTTTAAAGATAAGTCACATAAATATAACATGTCTTTTGTTTTATTAAAGTAAAGCTGATTGATATTTAATTTGTATACAGTAAGAGGCTGGGCACAGTGGCTTATGCCTGTAATCCCAGCACTTTGGGAGGTCAAGGCAGGCGGATCACCTGAGCTCATGAGTTATAGGCCAGCCTGGCCATCATCGCAAAACCCCGTCTCTACTAAAAAAAAAAAAAAAAACAAAAACAAAAATTAGCATGATGGTGCACGCCTATAGTCCCAGCTACTCGGGGGGCTGAGGCACGAGACTCACTTGAACCCGGAGGCAGTTTGCATTGAGTCAAGATCGCGCCACTGTGCTCCAGACTGGGTGACAGAGCAAGACTCCATCTCAAAAAAAAAATGTAATAATAATAGTAATTTGTATACTGTAAGATTTATCCTTTTTTGGTAAACAGTTTTATGAATTTTGACAAAAATATACAGTTGCATAACTGCCTCCACAATCAAGATATACAATATTTCCATCACCCACAAAATTTCATTCATGTCCCTTGTAGTTAATCTTCTCCACCTCCTTCAACTCTTGAGCCTTTGGCAACTATTTGTTCATTTCTTTAACTGTAGTTTCGTCTTTTCTAAAATGTCACATAAATGAAATGAACAGCATATACTTTTAAAATCTGGCATCTTTCACTTAGCATACAGCTTTTGAGCTTCATCCTTGGTGCCTGCATCAATAATTTGTTCCTTTTTGCTTTTAAGTAATGTTCTATTGTATAGCTATACCACACTTTCTTTATTCATTTATAAGTTAATGAACATTTTCCCACCAGTTTTGGCTAATACCAATAAAGCTCCTATGAACATCCATGAAGAAGTTTTGGTATAGACATATGCTTTCATTTCCCTTAGGTAACTACCTAGAAGTGGAATAGTTGGGTTATGTACTGAGTACATATTTAACTTTTTAAGAAGTTGCCAGCTGTTTTCCAAAGTGGTTATATAATTTTACATTCTTATTA
Organism: Homo sapiens; assembly: GCF_000001405.40. NCBI lineage: Eukaryota > Metazoa > Chordata > Mammalia > Primates > Hominidae > Homo > Homo sapiens. The sequence continues at coordinate 54,868,844 of NC_000017.11, read as the reverse complement.
GCAGTGTGTGAGAGATACAGTTGCTTTACATCCTCACCAGCATGTAGCATAGTTAGTCTTTTTAACACAGCCCTTCTAACAGGTGTGTAGTAATGTCTCATTGTGGTTTTAATTTGCACTTTCCTAACAAGTAATGAAGTTATTAGGTATGAGTAGATGCTCAACAAATCACAAGATATAGAGCATGTTTCCATATACATATTTGCCATTCATTTATATTCTTTGATGAAGTGTCTAAATCTTTTCCATTTTTAATTGAGTCATTTCTAATTATTAAGTTGTGAGGGTTCTTTATATATTCTGGATAGTAGTCCATTTTCTGATATGTATATTACAAATATTTTCCCCTTGTTTATGGCTTTTATTTTTACTTTCTTAACAGTGTTGTTCAAAAGAAATTTTCAATTTTTATTAAACAAAAGTTTTCTTTTATCAATTTTTTTGATACTTTATGCTTTTTGTACCTATCCAATAATTCTTCGACTAGCCTTCATACATACTCTTTAATAAGGAAAATAATTCTTTATAAAATCTGGAGAAAAGTTCTCTATAGCTGCAAAACTTTGCTGAAATTTACATCTCTGCAGATGTCTTTAAGGTAAATCTCTCTTATAGATATAATAAATCCAACTGAATTATTTTAGTTCACAGTGCACTTTTCCTAATAAGAATTTCTCTGTGTTGGTAGAGCTACTTGTAGATATTTTTCTTTTTCTTTTGATGTGGGCTCTCACTTTGTAGCCCAGGCTGGAGTGCAGTGGTGCAGTCTCAGCTCACTGCAGCCTCAGCCTCCCAGGTTCAAGCCATCTGCCCAGCTCAGCCTCCCAAGTAGCTGGGACCACAGGGGTACGCCACCACATGCAGCTAATTTTTGTATATTGTAGAGACAGGGTTTCTTCATGTTGCCCAAGCTGGTCTTGAACTCCTGGACTCAAGCTATTCACCCACCTTGGACTCCCAAAGTGCTGGGATTACAGGTGTGACTCACCATGCCTGGCCGATATTTTTCTTTTTATGCATGTGAGTCACTATTAGGTACTAAGGTATACATAGAGTTCTTTTGCCTGGTCACTATCATGAACATATTTTCTGTTGCAATAAGTTATTCAGTGTTCTTTGACCTATTTTTGCTTTTTAATTACTTATCTGTAAATACATTAGTCTACAGTTTAATGACATATTGAAAATCACTTTCTTTTTTATGTAAAGACTGAGTCAACTCTATAATAAAGAATGCTGTGTTTATTTCCTGAAGTGTTGATTTAGTTAAGTAAAATAGTGGAATTTCATTGTTGGCAATAATTATCATTGTGTTGTTAAATGCATTCTTGCTTTTTTGCCTCAGTTTTTAAAGAAGTCTTTTCTTACTGTTTAATTTTTGATGTGACATAATATATTTCATATAACAGTTGATAATTGTATAAGATTCTTCACAGAAACAAATCATAACAACAGAATTAGAAATTTACCTCATTGGGCAAGTTTGTGTTTGCCTTAGTACTTAATATTGATTATGTCAGTTAAGAATATTCATGGTTCTTTAGTGAAAAAAATTCATTTGGATTTCTTCTCTACATAGGCAGTTACTTCCTCATTCAGTTGTATCACCAGGACAGCCACTGGGCCTCTGTGCTACATTTCATGGTGCCAATATCTATTTCTTGTTTTGGATTATGAGTTTCTTGAGGACAGGAACTATGCTTTATTTGCCTTCATATCCCCAGTATCCCTTACAGGACCTTCACACAGACACTGGAGATCTGAAGGTGTGTTACTAAAATGATGTCTGGATTAGTGCAAACTAACAAAACATTAACTTTCTGTATTCATGTGTTCTTCTAGAAACAAAGGGCAGTATTCATGGAGATCAAAAGCTGAGTTTGACATCAGACTTGGGTTCAAATCCCAACTCTGTCACACAATGGCTATGCTACCTTGGACAACTCGTTTACCTTTTGTGCATCAATTTTCTCATTTATAATACGGAGATGGTGACACTCAGCTTCAGGTTGTTTTGAGTGTTTAATGAGTCACACAAAGTGCATAGCACAGGGAATTCAATACATCGGAGCTGTTTGTAGTGGAAGCAAAAAAATGTATTTCCATGTTTGCATTCACATCATTGCAGTATTCTGTCTTACAAAAATTTAAGATGTTGAGCACTACAGGCCACCATCAAAATGCAGTATTTGTTTTAGAGCAAATATGTTTTTCTATATCCTTTGAACCATCTAGAATTTTCCCTACCTGTCCAAATTCCATTCTATGTATCACAGATCCTATTGCATCTGTTGATGTCTGCTTCACTTGCATTTTCTTAATGATGTGTTATAGTTGAGTCTCATATCAGCTGGAAGGGTTACGACTTCCCAAAAGAAAAGTTCACAAAGTCATTTCTGTATTCCACTCGCAAATATAGGGCTCTCATCTGGTTTCTGCTTTATTCAGAGACAGGTAAATTCACTACCAAATACTGGAAAATGGTCATAAACATTTAAAATATGTTTGTAAAAATGTTCTTATAATTTTAAAATATTTTAAAGTATTATCTGCCTACACTCACATGCATATAGAATGCTGTAGCTGAATGCATATTATACCTTTCATTCATTCACTCATCTATTTTTCCATTTAAACATTTCTTAAGTACCTACTGTATGCTAGCTCACCATATGAATTCAGTCCTAGGAATTCTTAATAATATGCAAACTTGCTTCTCACAAGTGTCTTAAATCAGAAAATTATGGATTAAGTTCACCTAGAAAGTCTGTATTTTCTGAAAAGTAACCCATCCAGTAACATTTTTATGTGCAAATAACTGCAAGGGCACAATATGTGTTTTTAAAGTTTTAAAAATCAATCTTTGGAGAGTGATGGATTTAAACTAGCTTTACACGCATGCAATTACCCTTCAGCCAGCTTTCAAGAGTACCCCCAACCCATTTCAATTTAACATCCTCTAACCCCCCATGGATATTAAGACATTGTGTCTGTGCCATCAATTTTCGAATTTCTTGTGAACTGAAGAATTCAAGCATGGCAGAGACAATCTTCCCTAGGACACCCTGTTACTCATCATTTCTCCAGTGTATGTTCATGCTGATCCTTAGTTTGGCTCAATAGAGCTAAATACATATCTTGTTGCATCTGATAATTTAACAGAAGAAAGCCAAGATTCCTGGAATCATCTGGGTGTTGTTTTACAATAATTTTTGTTGTTATGATCAGATGTCTTCCATACAAAACAGGCAGATCATTGTGGCCTCAGGTGATGTGATTTTGCCTCTCATTTCCCCTCTTTGTTTTCTGAACCCCTTTCCTTGCCTCCCTCCTCTTTGACGGCTCACTCCCCACAAACACATACACTTATAAAACACACACACCTAGGTATTCAATTCTGCAATTTTCCTGAAGTCTTAGGCTAATGTTTCCATTAGTTTGTCTTTGCTTCTTAGGAGCAGGATAATTGATTTGCCTATATCCGGATCTATACATTATGTATTAGTAGATGGGAAATCACACGCAAATGGTAGGACTTGGCAGGAGGCATCAACACAGATTAGCTCAAGCTGATCAAATAATAACCACAAGTCAGCTCTGCTCTCTGCTCAATGAGTCTCCAGAGGAACATCACGGGAATCTTTTCTATTTTTCAGAATGGCTTTCCCTCTCTTGTACTCTTAATAAAAACATTTATTCCCTGGGCATCCTAGGGTAAAATTTAGTCCTGATCAGCAATAGTCATCATCGCATTAAACATTAAAGGGGAGAAACGCAATGGGGCTGTCGGAGTTCAGGGAATAATGGAGAGAGAATTAAACTGGCATTAAAGCAGCAATTAAGCACTTGCTAGGCAAAGTGTGGAATCCAAGGAAAACCAGAGGGAGTTAGGTAACTGACAGGTTGGCCCTGCGAAGAGGAAAGGTATTGGTGCATCCGCTGAATCTACAAATAGAACCTGAGAAGGAGGAGTTGCCAGAATTTTCTGGCTGAGAGAAAACGTTTTATCAGCAATGGGCTGGAGGCCAGCAGTGTAAATTTCCACTTAAGTCTGAATATCTGAAAAGGGTCCTTGCTCTTTTTAGCTGTCACTTAACAGATAGAATCTGGATGGGTATTTGACCAGGCTGAGTCATGGCCTCTTTCAGAACCAAAGAAAAAGAGCTGAGGGGTTTGTGAGTTCCTTGTCATTAGAATGTCTCATTAGAATTAAAATTTTTGCCTAACCTACAGTTTTACAGTGTTTAGGAATGCTGTGACCTCCTGCATGTGTCTTAACCTTGTACCGGTGGCTGGAGGGATGAAGCTAAGGGGCAGCAGGTCAAAGGAAGTCAGAGAAATTGGAGGCTACTCTGTAGGCTAAAGTTTCCAACTAGGGTTGGTGGAGTGGATATGTCTTATATGAACTGCCAGATACACTGAGACCAAGAGAACTTGCAGGGTGGAGATTAACATTCCAGATGAGGGGATTTAGAAGGGTCACTGGACCAGCCAGGGGAGGCAAAAACATGTACTGTAAACCAGGGAATGTGGATCCAGGGAAAGGAGCATGAGGAAGCATGGAAAAATCAATGCAAATGGTCAGATTCCACCTTTTAACTTCCTGCTGTTGCATGAAAGGCCAAATGATAATTGGGTGGATTTCACTCTTGATTTTGACCTCCTTGACCCCTCCCAGTGTCTTTAACTCCACTGTCTCTGACCTCCTGTGGGTCAGGGCTATATGGTGATGCGTACTTGGGCTTAACCACTTTACAAAGGCATTTCAAATCTCAACCACCTTTGCCACTTAACAAGCATGTCACTTCAGGTCAGTTTATTTACCCTTCTGAGCCTCCATCTCTGTAAAATATAGGAAATAATTCCTACCTTGCAGAAGTGTTATGAGGGTTAAATGGTAAGAGGTATGTAAAGCTGCTATTTTAGAATCTGACATGGTGAATGTATGATACTATAGTTATTAACCTGGCTTATTACCAAGAGTCTGACAGCATCCAACCTCGGTTTGTGTCCTGTAGAAGCCCATTGGTTTGTTGGCTTCTAACTGGAAAGGATTATTCCTAGAATATACCAGTTCCCTGGATATTCCTAGCCCAGCAACCATAGCACTCCTGGAGATGAGGGTTATTTGTCATTTTAGGGGTTCCACCAAGGAGTGCTCTTTAGTTATCTCGGTCATCCCAACTTGTGGGTTGTCCCTTAGCCTTTTGTTACTTTATTAAAAGATCTAAACTCTTCAGAAAAACAACCTAAGCGGCATTTCTCCCCCACCATTCGGTGATTCCTCTACAACTCAGGGACAATTTTAGTCTTGATTCACATGCTGGATGACCAAGAGTTAACTCAAGAGCTAGTGAAAAAATTCTGACATTACCTATTTTTAAACCACTGCTGTTAAGGTCCAACACAGTTTTTCTAGGCATTAAGCATTTGGTTAAGTGTTTCAACATCAACTGGTATATGGGATAATGCACTTTGAATTCAGTCCAAACAGCATATTTAAATAGCCAAGTACCATTTAATATTCCCAGGCATGGAATAGAAAAATGATATTTCTGCTTATTTCTTTTTCTTTAGTAGTCTCCCTACATAAGACAGACTAGGATCTGTAAACACAAACAATACGAAACTCACTTTAAAACAAATAGTTGGTTGCAATAACTGTGATCTAGGAGGAATAACTGACCTTTACTGGCATACAGTTTGCTTTGCCTGAGGAAATTCGATTTTTCAATGTGATATTCTTGGGCAAATCTCCTTTGTTGAGAGCATTTTTTTAACATGTGGGGCTGTCAACTCCTGCCTTGCTCTGCCTGCCCTTATTTCTCTTTCACTGCAAATTGAAAATATCCCACTCTAAGCACTTCATTTCTAGTGTTATTCTAGATCAATCTAATGGAGGCCAGACCTGCTCTGTGAGTGAGATGGCCACAGGCCAAACTTGAGCCTGCCATTTGACCAGGAACTCAACTGGCCAGCCAGTAAGGGACTTCTATATTTTCTAGGCCATTGTGAAGGAATCAGTGGCAACACACTGTTTTCACCATTATGACTTTCAATTTCCCATTTGTAAAAAGGAAGAATCTGTGCTTATTCCCATATCACGATCTTGAAATGAGATGTTTAAAGCCATGAGAGAATTAAAGATGAGATCAGGAATATCAAAGACTTGGTAATGTAAAAACATAAGGACGTCACTTGAGGTGAATACCTTTTTAATTATTTCTTCCAAGAATTCCTTTTTACTTAGAAACCAAGAGAGTGTTGTCATGATTATGGCAAAGTCAGCCCATTGAAGGGAGATGGATTAGAGAGTAGGACCTTTTGCCAAAGCTGTTTTGTGGGCTTGGAATGTTAACACCAGATATTGGTCAATGATTCCATTAGGTTGGGTCCATATGCAGAAAGACACCTGTGATTATCAGATGGCAGATATTGAGTTGTTTGAAAATTCCTAATTCTACCAGATTCCTTCTTAGAATTCTTTCTACTCTATAACTTTCTGATTCTGTTTTTGTTTAACTTGAGCAGTTTGTTGTAGGAGCTTGGGCTAATCACTTTCCTCTTGAAAAAATAGACCAGATCTCTTATGGAAAATGCTTGGGTAGGAGCAAATATGGAGGTTGTGAAGATAAAGTCATCTTTACAGAATGGAGTGGGGTGAAGGAGGCAAATACTAACTGTCATTTTTTAAAAAAATCACCTGTGCCAGGTGCTTTTCACTCATTATCTCATTTGCTGCTCAAGCAAACTTGGAAACATTTAGGTATTTTATCTATTAGTAAACAGATCAAAGAGGTTAACTGACTTCACCAAGAACCCTTTGTGAGTAAGTGGCAGAGATAAGATTTGAACCAGGTCTGTCTAAATCTAGAGCACATACTCTCTCCGTTGAAACCCACTACATCCAGCAGATATTGCAGTGGAGGAGGAAACAAAGTCAAATGAATAGTAGGACCTGGAAATGTAAGTGCTTCCATGGGTATATACGAACTCTTCTTGGAGGAAAGAAAATGCTGGTAAAGCCTTGAGGATGAGTAGGACTCTGAGAGAAAGAGATGAAGGTTGGAGAGAAGAGGTCAGGAGAGGGGTAGGCAATAGGCTGAAAAATTAGCAAATGAATGAAATGAAGGAAAATGGGTTGTTCCAAAATGGCAGAAAATTCAGTGTAACTCAAATGTAGGCTGTGGGAGATGAAACAGTCTGTGCCAGGAATGATAAGACTGAGAAGATGGGCGGAGGGCTTTAATTCCACAGCTCAGTGTGTGATTCAGTTCCAAGCAGCTTACACTGTCCGTGATGTGAGTTCAGAGGAGGAAAAAAGTTGCATGAGCATTTGTTCCTTGAATCATTTTGTGGAGGAAATTCTATGCTGACAATGCCTTTCCCGGGCTCTGTTTCTCATGAGATCTTTGAAAACACAGACCCTGGATCTCTATGTAGAAGAGTGCTTAGTAAGTCAGCTAGTGGATCAAGAAACCTTCTGTCATTCCTCAAACCCAGGGTTATCTGTTCCCTCAGCCAGCATAGCTGCCAGAGATCCTGGAGAAGTCTGAAAGAGCTTACCCATTCATAGGCTTATCAGTTAAGGCAGCTCAGAAGCTGTTTGTGAGAAGATAGCAGGCTTCTAAAGGGAGCAGGGGAAATGACAGAGCAAAACAAAACAAAAAAAGTGTGTGTGTATGTGTACATATATGTGTATGTATTATGTATGTATATGCATATTATATATAGGGGTGTGTGTGTGTATGCGTGTGTGTGTGTGTGTGCATGTGTGTGTATTTTCTTCTTGGCTGGGCCTTAACATTTTGTTAAGGAAAAGAATTCTTCACGAAAAGAAAATTGACATTAGAATTGAGCTGGGGAATTTTACTCAATCAGGGCTGTTTTCAAAGAATAGGGCACATAATCTCAGGTGAGTTTGCAGGGTTCAGGTCTGAGTGCACAGCCAGATGTCTGCACTGGGGATTCAGAGCAAGGCCAAGTAAGCAGACACCCAGTTTTGCAGATAGCTATCTGTCTCCTGTTCCGGAAGCAGTGACGGACTCATGGCACACAGACGGGTTATTATTATATTAGCTGCTGAGAACTCATGTAGGCTCTACTTCGGCCTGTCTGTGGGCCTGTGTGGCAGTGGAATCGAGTGGAACATAGTGGACTGATTTAGCAGTCAGATCTACATTAAAATTAATTCATTTACTTAGCACGTATTTATTAAGGACTTATTATATGCTAAGACCTGTGTTAGAGAATTATCTAAACTAGAAAATAAGACAGAAAATATTTCTTCCTTAAGGAACTTGCATTCCCTTTTGATCTACAGATTTCGTTTTTTGTTTTTTGTTTTTTTGTTTGTTTTGAGACAGAGTTTCACTCTTGTTGCCCAGGCTGGAGTGCAATGGCGCGATCATGGCTCACCGCAACCTCCGCCTCCTGGGTTCAAGCGATTCTCCTGCTTCAGCCTCCCGAGTAGCTGGGATTATAGGTGCTCGCCGCCATGCCCGGCTAATTTTGTATTTTTAGTAGAGATGGGGTTTCTCCATGTTGGTCAGGCTGGTCTCGAACTCCTGACCTCAGGTGATCCACCTGCCTCGGCCTCCCAAAGTGCTGGATTACAGGCATGAGCCACCGCGCCCTGCCCTGATCTACAGATTTCATGCTGTCTATTCACTACCATGCACAGAAAACCTTTTCCAGAGAGGGTTCTATTGCAGGGGTTGGCATACTATGGCCCACAATCCGAACTTGGCTTACTACCTATTTTTGTACAACCCAAGGATTAAGAATGGTTTTTACATTTGCTGGGGAGAAATTTTAAAAAATATTTTGTTACGTGAAAATTATATGAAATTCAAATTTTATTGTCCATAAATAAAGTGTTATTGGAACGCAGATATCCCCTTTTTCTTATATTAAATATATACAGTTGGCCCTTGAACAACATGAGTTTGGACTAACTGAACGGGCCCACGTATATGTGGATTTTTTACAATAAATCTCTCCTGCTTCCCCTTTAACCTCCTCCACCTCTGCAATGCCTGAGAGAGACAGCAAGACTAACCCCCTCCTCCTCTTCAGCCTACTCAATGTGAAGACAGTGAGTATGATGACCTTTAGGATGATCCACTTACACTTTAATGAATTGAAAATATATTTTCCTTTCCTTATGATTTTCTTAATAAACATTTTCTTTTCTCTAGCTCACTTTATTGTAAGAATACAGTATATAATACATATAACATATGAAATGCATGTTAATTGACTATATTACTGGTAATGTTTCCAGTCAATAGTAGGCTTTTAGTAGTTAAGTTTTGGGGGAGTCACAAGTTATAGGCAGATTTTTGACTGCCCAGGGGATCAGTACTCCTAACCTCTCCATGGTTCAAAGGCCAGTTGTAGACGTTGGCTGCTTTCACACAGCAGAGCTGGGTAGTTGTGAGAGAGACTGCAAGGCTTGCAAAGTCTAAAATGTTTACTATCTGGCCCTTTACAGATCCCCGGTCTAAAGTCTCTGCATGTCCTCACAACATTCTCCTCCCAGTTCATTCCACTCAGGCTGTCTCCATCCTTCCACAGTGGCTGCTTTTGATTAGTAAAACAATGTTTTTCATGTTGCCAGATCCAGGGATTTCCTGTTACTTGACCTTTCAACAACATTAAAGACAGTTGGTGTTTCTTTTTTTTTTGAGACGGAGTTTTGCTCTTGTTGCCCAGAATGGTGTGCAATGGCCTGATCTTGGCTCACCACAACCTCTGCCCCCCAGGTTTAAGCGATTCTCCTGCCTCAGCCTCTCAAGTAGCTGGGATTACAGGCACGTGCCACCACGCCTGGCTAATTTTGTATTTTTAGTAGAGACAGGGTTTCTCCATGTTGGTCAGGCTGGTCTCGAACTCCCGACCTCAGGTGGTCTGCCCACCTTGGCCTCCCAAAGTGCTGGGATTACAGGCGTGAGCCACCGCGCCTGGGTAGTGTTGGTAGTGTTTCTTTTCACACTTTTTTCTCCAGGCTTCCATGACACTATATCCTTATCTTACCTTACGACCCACTGTGCCACCCTCATTCTCAGTAAAGCCAAAGGTGTAGAAAAGTTCACTGTACTTGGACAGCCTGTACTTGCTTTGCAGGAGACATTCTGAAGTTATAAAACCCCTCCGTGGAGCTACATCCACATCTGCCCACATCCACCTTCAGGCTGGTTCCCCAGAAGTTGGGCTATCACCCTGCTACTAGCTATTCGAAAAGGGAAATGTCAGTGCATTTTAGGATCACTGTTTGTGTCTTGTGGTTCAGTGATATACCCAGATCTCCACACTGTGCTCCACTCAGGGATGTAACTGGATTAGAGGAGAGATCAGGAACACAAAGTTGGGGAGTTCTTCTCTGCAACACAATTCTCTGTAACATGAATACCAGAATGGTGAAAGAACTATAACCTTCAGTAGGAAAGAAGAAAACCCTCCGCTGCCTGAAACACGAGCAGAAGGTTTTATCACCCTATATGAAGAAAATGAAACACAATTGGAGGCCGAGGGGGGCGGATCATGAGGTCAGGAGATTGAGACCGTCCTGGCTAACACGGTGAAACCCTGTCTCTACTAAAAATACAAAAAATTAGCCGGGTGTGTTGGCGGGCGCCTGTAATCCCAGCTACTCAGGAGGCTGAGGCAGGAGATTGGCTTGAACTCCGGAGGCGGAGGTTGCAGTGAGCCGAGATCACGCCATTGCACTCCAGCCTGGGTGACAGAGCAAGAGTCCTTCTCAAAAAGAAAGAAAAGAAAAGAAAAGGAGAAAAAACACAAGCATCTGTACCCAGGTGTTTCTCCCCAGCGTGGGACTTCCCTAGCCTTTGGCAGGTTGCACTTCCTCCTGTGTGCATGATTCTAGTTCTACCAGCATTGTCTCACACCTACTAGATGGATTTCTACTCATGGGATGGAGGGCAGTTTAGTATTACCTGGGGCATTCTCCAGCCCCTCTGAGCTGCCTATTTGGATTGTCCAAGTATCTCCCAAGATTCCAATTATTGTTATCAATAGTTCCCCAGTTACAAATTTCCATAGGCATTAAGTGGGTTGCCCTAACTCCATACTCCACATAAGCCTTGTTGTTGTTAAGTAACGTTTTGTAAAACTTGAGGTTATTCAGAAATGCATATGTCATGTTATCTCAGCAACACCTATACTGTGCACAGGGTGAGATTTGATGATGGTATCAAACTAGAATTTAGGTCTTGGAGTCTCAGTGAAGCCTCTACAAGACCTCTAGCACAAGAAGGTGTGTCGCTTAAATGACATATTGCTTTTTAAACCTAAGTCTTAAAATGGTTAAGCAGTGCTAGAAGCTCTGAACCTGATTACCTTGGGTTGATAAATATGAATGCTTTAATTCATGGAGCTGAGGTTAGCCTTGGATTCCTGTGGCCCACCAAGCACTACCTCCCTCTGAGGCCCAGGGTGACACCAGGCATGTCTTGGACTCTTTCAAGGGTAGCAGCAACCTTCTCTACTTGCCTACAGGCTTGTCCCTCATTATGTTCTCAAACCAGAGCCCTTGGGATTCACTGGAGGCTTTGTCCTTTATTTGCTTGCCTTTCCTGGGAACAACCAGGTCATTTTGAGTTTTATTGTTTTCCTGTTTGGTTTGGTTATTTCATTTAGAAGGCTTTCCTAGAGTAAATACCTCTCTCATCTCCTCCTGTCATTCTCAGGAGCATATTTCCCCTCATCCTGCACTGCAGCGGTGAAAGGCAGCTGCTGTCATGGGCATCATAAAACGTGATGAATAGTTGGTCTTTTTGAATCTGGCATAGGATGACTTTCTTTACTTTCTATTCTATTGTTCAGGGAATTAAACGTTCTCTGTGAAATGCATCCAGCAGCTTTCAGTCACTCATTGCACTTGTGGTGACCAAGTGATGCAATGTTGGGAGGACTAATAATTGATGGGGCTTGGAGGAGGGAGGGAAGAAGTAGAGGCATCATCTCAAGTCCCAGAGACTTATCTCAAGTTACAATATCAAGTGAATGGCTTAACTCTGAGGTTTGTTCTAAAAGAATACTTGAAGAATCACGTATAATTTTTAACATATTTAAAAGCATACATTGAGCTCTCCGCAAAGAACAATTTCATTAATTGCTGGTGTTGCAAGCTAGAATCATAATCCCTTTCTTATATTGCAGAGCATGCTTCCAAAGTATCTTCTTTATATACTCTCAAATTAAGGAATAATTTTTTTTTTTTTTTTTGAGACAGAGTCTCGCTCTGTCGCCCAGGCTGGAGTGCAGTGGCGGGATCTCGGCTCACTGCAAGCTCCGCCTCCCGGGTTCACGCCATTCTCCTGCCTCAGCCTCCCAAGTAGCTGGGACTACAGGCGCCCGCCACTACGCCCGGCTAATTTTTTGTATTTTTAGTAGAGACGGGGTTTCACCGTTTTTAGCCGGGATGGTCTATTAAGGAATAATTTTAAAAAACAATAAAACTGAAATATCTTCAAGGATGCTGCTGACATAATTCTCTTCTTCAGATATCATGGGGTTTCCAAATGAGATCTGTTTGTAATAATATTATCATTCACAAGTTTCCAAAGGCTTTCACTTAATCTTTTTTAAATAGTCAAAATATTAATGAACAATTTCTTATACCATAGGACACTATTATTCCAAAAGAGGATACCTAGAATGGGGAAATGACAATCATACTGATATTTTGTATAATCAAACTAAGATTATAGGAATTTGTCTCAATTAGGAAATCAGATTAGGAAGAAACACAGAGATCATGTTGAGCTATTGTCACCAGTGTCCTTGAATTGGCAATAGTGCAGGAAGCATGTAGTTCCTAGGTTCCACTTTTTCCTTTTTAATAATAACTTCTTTGACACTTTGAAAGACCGACCCCAAATCTGCCATTGGCTTCTCATCACCTCAAGAACAGTTAAAACTTTCTAACATGGTATTCCAAATACCAGGTGTTCTATCTCCCCATCTCCATTTCCCTTTGCAGCACCATATGCATTGTATGCACAAGGCACACAGAATTCTCATGATTCAGCCATGTTATTTTTATGTCTGTGGTTTTGGACTTCTTAGAATGTCCTTGTACCCTTTTGCCTGCCTGGACAATTCCTTCTCAATGCTCAAGCTTTAGTTCAATGGTTACTGCTATGATTTGAATGACGATGTCCCCACCAAAATTCATCTTGAAATCTAACCTCAATCCAACAGTATAAAGAGGTGTGGCCTTTGGGAGGTGATTAAGACATGAGAGCTCTACCTTCATGAATGGGATTAGCACCCTTACAAAAGGGTCTGAGGTTGAAGGGAGTACTCTTGCCTTTCCATCCCTTCTGCCATGTGAGGACACAGCATTCCTCCCTTCTGGAGGATGCCACAAGGTGCCATCTTAGAAGCAAAGAGTAGCCCTCACCAGACCCCAGTCATGCCAATGCCTTAATCTTGGACCCTCAGCTTCCAGAACCATCAGAAATAAGTGTCTATTTTTTTATAAATTACCCAGGCTATGATATCTTGTTTTAACAGCATAAAAACAGATTCAGATAGCCACCTTCTAAACGAAGGCTTCTCCAACCCTCCCTCTCCACTTTGTGCCCTGGCTATGAACATATTATATCCTTTTTTGTGTCACCCCAAGACCTTACTAACATGTATATATATATCCATATATACATACATATATGTATATCCATATATACAATATGTAAACATATTGTCAATGAACAATATTGCAATTATTTACATACTTACTCTTTATTGAACTGTGTGTTTCTTGAGGGAAAAGGCTATATTTAATTAATTTTGGTTTTCCTAGTACCTAGGGTAATATCTGAAACATAGCAGGCACTCCAAACATAGAAAATATTTGCTGATTAAGGAATTAAAATAATTTTAATAATTTTATCAATTGACACATATTTACTGAGCTGCTCTATTTTCACACTGTGCAGGTGCTATGGGAATATGAAAGAGGCGATTATTTCTCTACTCTTGGGGACTTTATCGTTTAACTTGGAAGGCAAGTCTAACACATTTGTAACAATTACAGCACTGTTTGCCAGAGTGTTCTGCATAACACTCCTTGTGGAAGTGCCACTTCAGAAGGGTTTGTAGTCAATTAAATGTGAAACTTTGCATATTATATCTTCCTTTCAGATATTTCAATGTACATATGCACATAAACACTCTGAGAAATCTCGTGATAAAGTAGCCTTTGTAAATCCCTAATCTCATGTGACAAGGACACCTTTATTTGCCTGGGTGACACCTATTAATATCCTGTAGTTCTAAGGAATACACTGATTTAAAGAATAGAAATACGTGTTAAACTGTGCAGATGCAATTATTTGCAAAGCAATGCAAAGAAAAGAATCATCATGGTGAGTCTGAAGAGGTAGAAAAATATCCTAGTATGAGTCTGGCTTTGGGAATTTAAGGACTATTTTATAATTTTGATTTTTTATGGTTTTTTTTTTTTTCTGTTCTACATAATGAAAATTTTGCCTTCACCATGACCTGGGCAAGGCTGGAGGACTTCTGCTATTACTGAACATTGTGTAGACCTTTCATGTGCCAGTGAGCCAAGAGCTCTACTTCTATTACTTTGTTGCAACCCTAGGGGTTGGAGATATTTCAGTCCTATTCTACAAATGAGGAACCTTTGGGTAGAGGGTGAATGTGACCTTCCTGAGGTTACAAAAATAGTAGCAGAGCTCAGACTCAAAAACCAGGTTGAAACCAAAACTCATGCATTTAATCATTAGTCTGTGTTGTACCGCATCCCAAAGAAGAGAGGGACATTCCCAGGGAAGAATCAACATGAAAAAGTTGAGAGGTTGAGAGGCCACAGATAGTTTCCTTCTTTTGCAAAAGTAAGTGTGATCATTAATTTTATATGTCAACCTGCTGACCCATGGTCCCCAGATATATGGCTGAACATTATTCTGGATGTTTTTATGAGGGTGTTTTTTGATGATATTTACGTGTAACTTGGTGGACTTTGAGTAAAACGGATTGCCTACCATCCTGTGGGTAGGTGTCATCCAATCAGTTGAAGGTATGAATAGAATAAAAGACTGGCCTCTCTCAAGTAAGAAGAGATTCTGCCCGTGGATGGTCTTTGGACTTTAACTGCAACACTGGTCCTTCCTGGGCCTCCAATCTGACAGCCTTTGGATTTGAACTGCGGCATCAGTTCTTCCCGGGTCTCTCTAGTTTGCTGGTCCACTCTGCAGATTTTGGACTTACTAGCCTCCATAATTGTGTGATCCAGTTTTTAAAAATAAATTTCTTTCTCCTTTTCTCTCTCTTTCTTTCTCTGTCTCTGTCTGTCTGTCTGTCTCTCTCTCTCTGTGTGTGTGTGTGTGTGTGTGTGTATGTACTTCAAGGTGAGTTTCTACAGAATTTCTTGATTCACCTGTGGTGAATGTCAAGAACGTCAGTGGTTTTGAGTCAAAGCTTGATGGTCAATGTGGCTTCTAATTCTGGCTCTGCCACTTGCTAGCCATGTGATTTTGGGCAATTTGTTTGACACCTTTTGTCTTAGTTTCCTCATCTGTAAAATGAGGGTAACAGGATCTACTCCATAGGTTTTTGTGAAGATTAAGTAAAACAATACATATAAGGTATCTTAAAACTGTCACAAGGTAATCACTAGTCATTGTAATGATATTATTAATAAACTTAAAACAAAGAATCTGCACTGTAATGATATTATTAATAAACTTAAAGACTCCTGCACTGAGAGAAGATGCTGTGGAAATTTTGCTTATACAGATGGTGTGCTATTCATGAATGGCTTTACTTTGATCTGATAAGCAATTGAAACTAAATAGAAATTTTGATTATCCAATTAATCAAGCCGAGGGTGGGTCCCAATAAAACTAAATATGACTATGTTTTTCTCCCTGTCCTTAGTGGTAGGCTTTCTCTTCTGAGAGTTTTTTTTTTCATCTCCTGTAAAGACAGTTTTACTGCCAAATTCTTTTTATCTGAATTTGCTTTTTAGCACTTGCATGGTAACCTTTGATCTCCCTTCTTGGAAAAAGTGGATGGAATCATGAAATGTTGAAGGTGATGTTGATTCCTAAAACTTACACATGCTTTTCTTTATGTTGCCAATGACACCATCGATGGATCTGCCCTCCACTTTTACTTCTTTTCTTTTTTCTCCCTAATAGATTCTCTCCAAAATTTTCTGAAGTGAGGAGAAAGTAGTTTACTCTCTCTTTCTTTCAGCATCCATTAGTTATAGAATAAAGAATTAACTGGCCGGGTGCAGTGGCTTACGCCTGTAATCCCAGCACTTTGGGAGGCTGAGGTGGGCAGAATGCTTGAGCCCAGGAGTTTGAGACCAACATAGTGAAATACTACCTCTACAAAAAAATGAAAAACAGAAAAATTAGCCAGGCATGGTGGCGTGCACTCCTATAGTCCCAGCTACTCCGGAGGCTGAGGTGGGAGAATCACCTGAGCCCCGGAGGTTGAGGCTGCAGTGAGCCACAGTGGCTCCACGGCACTCCAGCCTGGTTGCCAGAGTGAGACCCTGTCTCAATAAATAAATAAATAAATAAATAAAACGAAGAATTAACTAATTAACTATATTTTTTTGGATTCAAAACAGATGTGGTTAAGTTTTTGCCAAACACCCTAGTCTGTCTTCCCTTCCATTACTCACCTACCTGGGTTACACTGTTGCCAGCTAACCAGTGTCTCTGCCTCACTCTTTCTCTGCTGTCACCCAGTTTGATATAAAAACTTAGATGGCATGTTTTTTACTTGAAAACACTTCAAAGTCTTCCCACCAATTCCAATGGTCCTGGCCCAGTCTGTCCCTTGGACTTGGTCACTAGTCTCCAGCCACACAGGGCTCTAAAGTCGTGGACCATCCCCAAGATCTTTCATACCTTCAGGTTTTTACTGTTGAACGCACTTTGTTTTACATCTGTCTCCTTCTTATTGTTCATGTCTCATCTCAGACATCACCTCTTCAGAGAGTTCTTCCCTGCCCACCCTATTCAAAGTGAAACTACTCCACTGATTGCTCCTATCACCTCACCCTGTTTAGTTTCCATCATGCTACTTAAGTCAATCTGAAATCAGCTAGTTTCTTACAGTATTTGATTTTCTGGTATATTCTGTCTGTCTCCCCAGTAACATATAAACTCTCAAGCATGGTGACCTTGTCGTTTGGCTTGCAACTGTATCTCAAGCACTAGAATAGTCCCTGGAACATAAATAAATATTTGTTGAATAAATGATTAGTTTCTTAGGCACGCTTTCCACTTGTATTCCTGTCATAAACATATGTGCACCTCTTGATTGAGGAGTTTGACCCCAACGATTGGTTTACCTGAGTAATCC
This sequence comes from Homo sapiens, assembly GCF_000001405.40. Taxonomy (NCBI): domain Eukaryota; kingdom Metazoa; phylum Chordata; class Mammalia; order Primates; family Hominidae; genus Homo; species Homo sapiens. The sequence continues at coordinate 54,851,465 of NC_000017.11, read as the reverse complement.
GAAACAAATGATGCCTATTATTGCTTAGGTGCTTATATTTTTGTGCCATGGATTGAATTTGAATTTATCTTAAGCCTGGACTGTCATAATGTATTAGGTGGTGAATAAGTTTGACAGCATCAAAGTATAAATTCTTTTGTAGGTATCATAGGAAATGCAGGAATGATGGCAGGACCCAGCAGGTATGCCATTGACTAAAGCCCATCAATGTGGAGCATCTAAAAATCAGGGAAGCGTCCTTCCTTGCCACCCCTCACCCTTTCCTCAGTCACGTCAAAAGTTTTCCTTAAACATTCTTCAATGCAATCCATCCTTCAGGTTATGGACCTTTCTAGCCTAAGAAAACAAAGGCAGCAAGTGACATATTCTGTCTAGTGGCTCTCCTCAGTGTGGCTGGAATTTCATTTCAATGAAGCAGATGACTTGTTAGGGAGGCTGAGTTGAGATATCAATTTATTTGAAGGAAAAGAGGAGGTTAAATTTGGGGCTGTCATTCTGAGCAATGCCCTTGCAAGACAGATGATACCATCTTCCCTTTTCAATAGCCTTCCTGGCATCTAATTTGCATGAGTTGTGAGATAACGCTCAGCCCTGTCTCATTTGCAAATCCAGAAACATAAGGGACAGACACTAAGGCCTCAATCAGTAAATCCAGAGAGTGTAGCAAGGTTAATTCTTCTCATTTTTAGTGACAGAAATAATGCATTGGTAACTTCATGGATGGGAAAAAAGAACTTGTGAAATTATAGCAATATTTACTTAAGTAAATACTTTTACAGCTCTCGAAATCAGTCAGATAAAGAAATTTATTTTCCCCAAATTGAAGACGTCTGCAGAAGCTCACTTCTTAACAAATGAATAAAATTCTCGATAAGCTAAGAGCAATCAGCAGGGTTGACAGTCATGGCTTCATGATATTTTGGAATAATTACTAAAAGTTGCTTTTTAAAAAAAATTTTTTTTTTTTTTGGTATTTCCTGTTCCTCATTGGAATCTAGCTCTGTGGCATTCACTGCCTTAAGTTAAGGGGAATGAAAAAGAAAGCCAAACAAACCAACAAACAAAAAACCAAGTTTGGAATTTTTTTCAAAAGAACAACCTAGCCTTCAAGAATACTTAGGGAATAAATGATAGAGCTGGAAGAATACAACATGAGCCAGAGCCAGGAATCAAGTCAGGAGACTACGTGGGATTCCACACATTGGGAGGTGGAAACAAGTCTAAGGAGAAACAATGTGATGTAGCTTAGATATTACAGGTTCCTAAAAAGCAGGAGCGAGGGGTGTGTCCACCTTGACCTAGCTCCTCAGGCTAATTTGGGATAAAGAGGGCAATAAAAAAGTAACAGGTGTTGTTAGCAGCCAAATGTATCTGAGCTACGTGGCACCAAATTATGTTAATGGCAACTAATCCGTAAGGATTTGAAGCAACCACAATTCTTGTCTCCACAGAAAAAAAGAATTCAACTGAGGGGCATAAGGCAGGAGAGACTGAGGCAAATTTTAGCGCAGGAGTGAAAGTTTATTAAAAAGTTTTAGGGCAGGGATGAAAGGAAGTATATTTGGAAGAGGACCAACTGGGCAACTGGTGAGATCAGGTGCACTGTTTGAACTTTGACTTGCGGTTTTATACGTTGGCATGCTTCATGGGGGGTTGCATCCCTTCCCCCTTGATTCTTCCCTTGGGGTGGGCTGTCTGCATGTGCAGTGGCCTGTGAGTGCCTGGGAGGGGTCGCATGTGCAGTGTGTTTACTGGAGTTGTGCACATGCTCACTTGAGGTGTTCTTCCCTTACCAGTCGAGTGTTCCTGCAAGGTTATATACCAGTTAAACTCTGCCACTTTCCCTCTTAATGCACATGCTTGAGCCCACTCACCCAGCTCCTGACATCTTATCGGGAAGCTGATCACTGGTTTCAGGTTTTTCTATCTATTGGGAGACTGCTGGCTGCAACCAATTATTACTTTGGAGAGACAGTTTACCAACCACCTGACCATCACCTGATAGTCAGCTGACATTCCCGGTAGTGGTGGTGGGGACTCTCCTGCCCTGCTCATGTCTGCCTAGCTACCTACTATAACAGCATGTCTAAAGATTCTGTATGCTCTTTTCAGAATAGAATGTCAAGAGAGGTGGCAAAACCTCAGAGAGGAAATGACAGTGAGCCTGGGTAGATGGGGCTTTAGAGAGCACACGGAGTTTCTACCACCCAGCCTGGTACTGGAGCAACAGAGCAATCCTATATTCCATGGGCACAGAGGTAGTTGAGGCTCCGTAAGTCTCATGGATTTCCTGCAGCTCTGCATGAGGTGGGGCTAGCTGGATGATTTCGTTGCATGGTGAAAAGTACCAAAGTAGATGAAGGAAAGCTGGATCCTAAGAGACTTGGTGGAGAATGAGAAGCCACTTAGAGTAAGCCAGTAGATGGATGACCAAGGACCAGAAGACAGTGAGGAACTCTTAGGGGAGGCAGCAAGGAAGAGATAGTGACATTGAGACTTAGTATAGCAGTTGTTAATACATTATCATTGCAGTGCAGGTCATCATTACAGCCTGACTTTCAACTGCTAGAGGGCTTTCCTTGGGAGCTACAGCCTGTTCTGCTTCTGTGCCAGGCAGGCCAGCAGTGCTGGAGAATTAGTGCCACTCACATCCCCAGCAGCCACCCATCAACCAGTAGATTAATGGGAGCTGATGACAAATACCCAAGCTGTCATGCATTCAGGAGGGGATAACTCAAAGGAGTGTGTTCTACATCAACTCTCAGAATTCCCCGGCAGGATGAAGCTCATTACCCCTAACAGTTGCCTGGTCTTCCCTTCCATAGATCACTTTCCATTCCCCTGCCAATATTTCCTGGGATCACCTCCAAACAAACTACGTGCACTTGAATCTTTGTCTTAGGATCTGATGCAATCAGATGCAACATATATACATCTTATCCTACTCCACCTTGCCAAGGTTCCATATACTATGAAATTTTCCTAGAACTTGCCACCACTTGAGTAAAGAAATAACTCTGAAATAACTGAAATTAAGTTTTATCACCTGGTTGAATTATGACTGAAAATAGAATTTTAATTCAGCCACAGAAAACCAAAGAAGGTTATATATGTCTGCCCAATTGAGTTTTGGCTAGAGATTCCTATATATCCATTTATGGATTGACTTGTTCAGAATATGTATCTGTCTATCAGAAAGAAAGACTTCCTTACTGCCAGCTTCTGCTCCATTACCTGGCTTCGTCTCCTGTGGTTTCCCACGTGTACATACAAGGAAGTGCCTCTGAAGACCCACACCTTCTGAAGTTGCTGAAAACTTTGTAAAAGCCAATCCTGGAGGAAATTAGAAGATTCAGTCATCTCGCCATCTGGAATGGGTAAACATATATAGCATACCCATATGCCTATATGACCTTTCAGTTGCTGTATAACCTCCTAGAACTTTTTATTCTTATAGAAGTGTTATCATCTTGGTGCTTACTCTGCAATCTGGAAACTTTCTGTACAAGAAAAAAAAGAATTATAATACTAAATTTTTTTTTCTGGCATTTTGTTATTCCATTCTGCTGATTTGGTCATGCCCAATGATTAAGTCCTTAAGGAAGCATCCAGAGGAATTTAGTAACAATTATTTACTTCCTACAACCTCACTGCTGGGTTTTCAAGAAAGCGAATCTTAGGGTCAGTTCTGATACACAGGTATGCCTTTCTTAGAAAATTTCCTAATGGAGGAGGCTCAAAACAACTTATACAACCTGCTCTGTAAACTCTATAGTCTCCGCTTACTGCACTTTTGTGTATTCTGACCATCATCCTGAAGGATGCAGGCATGACATTGTTTCAGAGGTAGGATTTTGTTCATCTTGCAGTTGGCATCAGTCAAATAGAAGTCCTCTCAATAAGGCTCCACTGAAGGGACCATTTAGGGATCAAGCCACAGAAGCCATCCGCAGTGGAAAAAGTCAGAAGTCTGTTCAGATTCGTATGTCTCTTGCAAGACATATCTCCAAAGTATTGTAGCAAATCCACGTATCTTAAACTCTTTAAATTTCCCAGAGTTCCATATGTATCATTCATCATGCTATTTAATATATCACACATTTCAGCAGCAAAAGCCCATTTTTGCTATTTTCTGTTTAAATTGGTTAACTTTCAAGTGTTGATTGAGATATGCCTGTAAACACTTTAGGAGGCTGAGGTGGGAAAGTCCTTGAGCCCTGGAATTTGAGACCAGCTTGAGCAATATAGGGAGATCCTGTCTCTACAAAAATGAAAAAATAAGCCAGACACGGTGGCACACACCTGTAGTACAGCTACTCAGGAGGCTGAGGCAGGAGGAACATCTGAGCCCAGAAGGTCAAGGTTGCAGTGAGTCGTGATTATGCCACTGCATTTCAGCCTGGGTGGCAGAGTGAGATCCTGTCTCAAAATACACACACACACACACACACACACACACACACACACACACACAGCTTATGAATTGTTTATTTCTGTAGTTTTCCATTTAATATTTTTGGACCATAGTGAACCATCAGGAAGACAAGAACTGAAGGGTAAAAGTTCCCTTGCAGGTTTTTGTTATCAGTGACATGTAAATGAGCAATTCACAGATGACCATAGGCAGAGCTTTGTGTGCTTTGTACATACAGACCATGCTATGATGTGTCTCACATTTGATGATATTCCATTTTCAGAGTTTTAGTATATTTGTTTATCTGTATTTAGTATATTTTAGTATAACGGTTTATCTATATTTGTATATAGAAAATGGGTTTGCTAACTCACCGTGGTTTTGATTTGTCTTATATTCATCATTTCTTAAAACTCTTGTATGTGTTTTTTATAATAAAAAATAAAAGTAAGCCATGGGAAAAAAAAACTGAACTTAACTGAAACCAAGGAATAAGGGGAGATTACTGCATACCATGTTCATAGAAGCATTATTCAAAATAGTCAAGAAGTAGAAACAACCCAAGTGTCCATCAATGGATGAGTGGATAAAAAGATGTGATTTATATATGTGTATATACAATGGAATATTATTATACCTTAAAAAGGAAGGTAATTCTGACATATGCTACAACTTGGATGGACAATATGCTAAGTGAAATAAGTCAGTTACCAAAAGATAAATACTATATGATTCCATTTATATGAGGTACTTAGAGTAGTCAAATTCATACAGACAGAAGGCAAAATGATGCATTCCGGGGGCTGAGGAGGGAGGGAATGGGGAGTTATTGTTTAATGAGCAAAGTTTTCATTTTGCAAGATTAAGAGGGTTGTAGAGATGAATGGTGGATATGGTTGCATAGCAATATGAATGCACTTACCACTACTAAACTCTACACTTAAAAATGGTTAAGATGGTAAATTCTATCTTACGTATATTTTACTACAGTTTTAAAAAGACCATGTAAGGAGGAGGTATTGAATTTTGTGTGTTTTCCAGTCCAGCTCACTGGGATAATGGATCAGAAAGGTATTTGGGCCTGCAAAGTCAAGTAAAGAGTGGGAAGTTTTACAAAGGTTTCCTTGAATCAAATAATCCCCAGGGACTTGTCAGTAGAGAAGTCGCTGTGTGTGGTAACAAAATTAACTCTGAAATCTCAGGGCTCATTACAGGATAAAGATTTATTTAACAATTATGCTGCCAATTCAGCGTGGATATGCAGAGGACCTCTACTTCACATAGTTGCTCAGGGACCCAGGCTGATGAAGGCTGCTCTACCTTTCTACCTTATGATGTTGCTCTTATTACAGCTTCTAGGGTTGCAGAAGCAGAGAAGATAATGCAAGAAGATAATGTGGAATGCTTTTAAGTGTCATGATTACAGTGACATACATTTGTTGCATCTAAATTTTATTGGCCAGAACCTACAGATATAGTGCCAATTTAATTGCAGGTTGGGCAGGAAGTGTACTCTTTTTGGATGTCCAAGGACAGGAAAATGAAATAGAGGATGATAAATGCATAGTGTTGTTTCTGCCACAGTGAACTTTCCTAAATACCATAAATTAATAGATGGATCGAACCATGGGTCATATACATTCATGAAAAAATCAAATCAGTTGTGAAGCTGTAATTATCATTCCACTTTATAATGATCCTTCCACATACTGGACATTTAATTGTAATATCTATTAATCTGCATACGTCCTCTTTCCACAAATGACTTCAAGGGGGCTTCCAATAAGACAAGAGTAGAAGAATACAAAATAAATAACAGAGAAGGTGAGAAAAATGTTAGTTTTGAGCTTTTGGGAGATCATGGTGGAAAACTTCAATGCTGTCATTTTTCTAATAAAGGTAACAGGGTGGTTACCTGTTACCACGGGACATAACACTTTTCTTGCACTGATTTTGTTTATGATATGTTTTATATAGAGGACATTGCATAACATACTAGATCATTTTTTCAATAGCAATTTTGCAAGAGATGACAAATTTTTGGTCTTCTCAATAAGAAGACATACTACTAAAGTGCCCCGTAAAAGCATTTCTACAGGGAACTAATATAATAGTCCTTGCACGTAGCTTTTCTGGCTATTTGACTTGATTCGGGGATAGAGCTTAGAGGATTGAGGGAAATGAATATTTATCAAGTCTCTTAGCCTATTTCTCTAAATATCAGTTGTCTCAGTGAGAATTTGGACATTAGATGAATAGAATATAATATTAAGTGAAAGTACAACTATCCTGTGCTATTCGTTCAGGGAGATTCATATACTTGTGATGGAGACAGATAAGTGGAAGAGTTAACATTTTGATAGGAAAATTAAGGAAACTGATTTGCATTGTTACCCTGAATATAAATTTTAAAGTAGAGGGTTTAGAACATAGCCTTTTAAATGTTTAAAATACTGGTTAGGTTCTAAATTAACCATGCCATGAGCCCATCCTGTGTGATCTATTTTTCACAGGGGTGATTTGACAAAGGCTTGGAAGAATCATTTAGAGTCCATGACCTATTTCGAGGTGATTGACCCCATACACTATTTCCATCTGTGTGATCAAAGGCTTCTGCGGCCTACTGCTGATGCCTTATGCCAGCTGGTTATGTTCTTCCTACTTGTCCAAGTGGAAAAGGACGCGCAGACATCTGAGTGTTCGTTCTCAGTTAGCTCTTTGGATCTTCTTTGCTGCTTCTTGATGTAGTCTTCATCTGATCTGACCTTCTGACTTCAAATTTTTGACCTCTTCTTTAAAATCTCCTCCTATTGCTGCCACTTTGGATTTTGCTTTTAAAAAATTGCTTCTGTAGTCTTTTACTTTCAGCTCTTTTCAATAGATTTTGGCTCATATGCATCCTTCTACTTCTTTTTATACTGCCTTGAATAGGTTGTCGCCTTTCAATTTAAGGTTTTAGGAATTCCTAGCTTATCAGATGGACCAGTCCTATTTCCCAAAGGAGGTATTACAGCCATGCTGGGTGTAGATCAGTTCTTACTTGTAAAAAAATCTTTAATTCTTATTAATATTCTCCATCAGATAAATTTGAAGATACAAATATACAAGGTTATACCAGTTGAACCTGGAAGTGGCCAATTCTTTATGAAGACAACGAGTAGAGGGCTGCTCTCATGAAAAGCATGGTTTATTGTACTTTGAACCCATTCCCAAGAGATGTATACCTGAGCCACTAATTAAATTAAATTGTTTTGCAAGGATTTAAAAATCCTTTTTTCAGGAATATTCTTTGATGAAGGTGCTTAATTAGGTAATCAATAATGAGCGGATGTAACATTTCCCAATTAGGTAGTGATTGAATTTTACATGGGGTGCAGTTATGAAGTTAGGGCATTTAGAGTTCAAAATATTTAAAACTTTATTGAATTAGGAAATCACTAAAGCTCTATGTATTTGTGTTTCTAAGCAGATTCAGTAATATCTAGTATTTTGATCTGTGTAAAGTACTGTATTAATGCATTTTTAACTTGGATCATTAAGTTGACCAGATAACTTCTAGGCATCTACATTGCTTTGATATCTCTTTGAGCAGCTTGACTATCTGGGACTGGCTGAATAGGGCTGGATGGCTGAGGGGAAGGAACCATTCTATCCACTGGATTGTACCTTCTGCTTTAATAGTCTGATCCTCTCCTTTTCCATTGGGCATCATGGCCAAAGCTCTGGGATTATTACTTACCTGGTGGGAAAAAATGTTGTGAAAAAATGGAGTGTCAGAACAAGGCCATATTTCCACAGAATGTTCTTGTATGGCCAGTTTCCAAATACTTCACATTATTTGAGTTCCAGTTTAACTTCCGGACTTAAACTTTTCAGAGGTTCCACTGCTGTAGTTCTTTACCTGAGGTGAGAAATGTGTCCCGAATTCTCTGTGGTTCCATAGAACCAAAGTAAAGCTGACATTAAACCCAGTCTCCAAAGGTTCACAAAGATTAATATGCTGCTAAATTATTTAAAAGGATTGACAATTCTTTATCTTATCCATATGCATTGCTTGGTTATCCAGCTAGCTTTGTGCAGTTATGAGGAGAGATTTTAAAGAGAAAGTTAATCAGAATCTCCTTCTTAGTTAAAAATCAGCTCAGGGGATAGATAAAAATGTGTACTCTGTGGGATGAGAATCAGCCTTACAAATATATTTCCACTCTTTTATGCTGATGTGTCTCTTCAATAATCCCTCAAAATAACTTTGTTTAAACTGAATCTCCTTCAGGAGTGCTACTATTTGGCCTTGGCATTAGTCACCAGGGAAGAAAAAGTAGGAATTAAAAGAAGAATGAAAGGTGGTAAAAAAAATTCTCAGGATAAACAACCAATTTGACTGGATTGGCTTAGCAGTCCTGGGTTCTAGAATGCCACCGGGCTTTCTTTGCTCTCCTTGCTCATACATTAGGTAACTTGCATCCATATCATCTTATATTCTCTTCTAAAATAAATGCTCATGAAAACCTGTGGCTGTGTGATGCAAATTAAGCTGTTTTTTCTCAAACTTCCAGAGGTAACCAGCATAGGCAAAGTCTTGCTGATTATTTCCATATCCCAGTCAAAGCGCTACCCTTTATTACTGCCCTAATCTGGTATAGATTTTGAAACGTTAGTGGGCAGTAAACACCTAAATTGGTGGGAGAGAAAACCAACGTGCTTTCCTTCTGGGAATAATTTAGGGTAGGCTTTACTTCTGGACTCACAGAAGGATAGCTGTAAAAAAATGGTGAGTGGATTTAGTACTTGGCCAAGGTAAATGCTTGAGAATTCATTTGGGGAGAGAGGCTGAGAGGCATCTTCAATGAGACTGTTGCTGAGTTGAGCTATTGACTTGACATGTGCTACTCCTTAGCTGCATGGCATATTGGAAGCAGAGCTGCACTGTCTCAAAAAATACTGAATTTGTGGAGGAAGGGAAGAAGTCTCTGGAGACATTCATACCCACAGCTACTGGCAGTACTACTGCAGGGCTGCTGAGGACTCACAGCTAAGTACCCCTGGAAAGACTATGAAGAAGGGCATTCCAGAAAGAACCGAGAGCATAACCAGAACCACAAGCCTAAGAGTACTCACTTTGTGGGAGGGGACGGGGAGGAGGAGCATCTAATGAGGTTGGAAAAGTAAGCAGGATTCAGCCCATAAGGAGCCAGTTATGGTCTGAATGCATGTCATATGGTCTTATTAGCATGTCATACTAAATAAGGAGCTTGAATTTTAATTTGTGGGTGTGTTTGAAAAAGAAAAGCAATCAGATTGGATATGGGATACATTTGACAGCAGCCCTGAGAGCCCATGCACTTCTCCTGTGGGGTAGGGGGCTTTTGGGAAAGGAGGCAGATTTGCCCAAGGTATGGCTGGTAAAATCTAAGATGCTGACAACCCAACAAGGTCCTCTGGTAAGATCAGAAAAGTAAACCATTTTTAAAATCTTTGAAATAACTATAGATTCACAGGAAATTGTAAAAGTAATACAGAGAAATTTTGTGTATGCTTCACCCAGTTTCTCTCAATGGTAAGGTCTTACATAACTATAGTACAATATCAAAACCAGGAAATTGGCATAAGTACAACCCATAGAGCTTATTCAGTGTTTACCAGTTCATGTGCACTCGTGTGTGTGTGTATGTGTGTGTGTAGCTCTATGCAAATTTGTCACATGTAGATTTCGTTACCACCGTCACAACCAAGATACAAGACTGCTCTGTCACCTCAAAAATTCCTCATGCAGGCTGGGTATAGTGGCTCATGTCTGTAATCTCAGCACTTTGGGAGGCTGAAGCAGGCTGATTGTTTGGGCCCAGGAGTTTTAGTCTCTAGAAAAAATACAAAAATTAGCCAGGCATGGTGTCATGTGCCTGTAGTCTCAGCTACTCAGGTGGCTGAGGTGGGAGGATGACCTGAGGCCAGGAGGTCGAAGTGAGACTGCAGGAAGCCATGATTGTGCCACTGCACTCCAGCCTGGGCAACAGGGCAAGATCCTGTCTCAAAACAAACAAACAAACAAAAAACCAAAAAACCTTCATGCTAACCCTTTGTAGTCACAACTATTACTACCTCCCCTCCCCATCACTCTCCACTTGCATCCCTAATCCTTGGCACACACTAATCTGTTTTCTAGTTCTATAATTCTGTCATTTGAACACGTTACATCAATGAAATCATATCGTGTGTAACCTTTTGAAATTGGCTTTTTTCCCTACTCAGCCTAATGCCCTTGAAATTCATCCAAGTATCCAAGTTTTCCTGTGTATCAATAATCAGGGGATTTTAAAAGTTTACAAATCTATTCTATTCTTGCAGTGTGCATGTTGGTAACAATTTAGATATTTACTGCCTTGAAATAGAGGCCAAAGAAAGTACAATGGTGGCTAAATGCTATAAAAAATTTTGCATTAGATTAAGAATAATTGTTAAACATGATGTGTCAGAGTCTAGGAAATTGGGTGACTTTTTCTCAAACGTAATAGTCATAGGTAAACCTGCAACTGTTTCTTTTACCTGTGACTTGCAATTTCTCTGGGCCTCTGTCCACATGTAAAATGTGAACTAAGTAAGATGCCTCTGTGCAGCGTGTTGGGAATCATGAATGATGATGAAAATCAGAAAGCCTGGGTTTGTGTCCAAGCTCTGCTCTACACACATTTCAACTTCACTGAGTCTCAGATTCTGCAGCTGAAATGTGGGGGGTTTGAAATCTGCCTTCTTTACCAAAAAACCATTAGTAGAATCAAATGAGATTATGTATGTTAAAGCAATATTTAAATTGTCAGGGACTACTTGAATGAAAGAAGTGGTTTTGAATATAGACATGTCCTACTAAAGGAATAAAAAAAATAACTTTCCTATTCCAAAGCCTAGGTTTACAACATAAGAGGGAGTTTTGTCATAAGAAAAAGCAGGGTGATCAGATTCCAGCTATTAAAGCTCTGTCACTTTGAAAATTTACCTAACCTTTCTCACAGTCAGTTTTATTTTTCATCAAAAATGTATTTAATACCTATTTTGAAGGGTGTTGTGTTGACAGGAAATAATATGAATAATATTATCATAATATATAATATGGAGATAATATGAATAACATAACATTAATAATATGGGCTTAGTCCATTGTAGGTGTTTAACAATGGTAGTTCTACCATGATTACAATTGTTGCTATTTTTTTTTTTAGGACCTGTGCATTGATTCCTTTTGGAAAATGTATGGTTACTCAATGTGAGTTGATTCCTTTTGGAAAATGCATGGTTACTCAACTCTGTCAGGCCCAACACAATTGTTAAAGATTCTGTTACTTGCCATATGTGTTACTCTTGTCACATGAAGTGCCACATCCCTGTCATGCCAGATTGGAAGCATAACATAATGAGAAGAACATAGGCTTTGGCAGACAGAGATCTGATATCAGACTCCAGCTTTGTTTTGCCTGCCTTGGGCAGATGAAATAATTTTCTTATCTATAAAATAGGAGCGAATAACATAATTAGTGCCTAATGCAATGACAGGTGCTTGGTAATGACATAAGCCCCCAAATCATACCCAGTTTGAAATAAAAAAAGAACAACAATTCTAGGGTGGACTGGATAAGTTATTTCTTCTGAGACTCTCATTCTCACTTGTTACATGAAGGATGGTTGAGGCTAGGAGTTGAAAACTAGTGGCTTAAGAGCTGAATCTTCTCCATAGTTGTGCTTCAGTTGAGTAACAGATTTGTTTATTGGTCTCTCTCTCTCTCTCTCAATCTATCATTTGTTTTCAGTACTTTGGACTTGAAAGCCTTTAGGAGAGCAAAGTTCCCCCACTAGTTCCACGTCCCTCATCATTCCCTCTTGTCTTATACCAGACTGCTTTCCACATTTATTTACATACCTGGACAATGAAAGCATTTGAACCTGCTCAGCTGAAATAGACCCTCCTTTCCCACAGTGTGATCTATGGAATGTTAATAAATATTTAAAATAAAGTTTATAGCTAAATAATTTTGGGAAATGGCGGGTAAACAAACAGATTTCTTTACTACTGCAGTTCACAGGCGCTGATGAAGAGAGTGTTATAGAATCCAGAATTTCCTAAGTATATAACAGTATTTGATAAGAGAATTTCTGTCTTAAACTTAGAGCATCTCACAGGATTAGTGAGCCATGTAGTAATCTACTTTGGGAAATAACACAGTAATCTAAGATTATGCCAAGTGATAACTTATTCCCAAATGTTTGGGTCTAGAGATTTGAAATAAGTACTTATTTGAAATGTCTGCAGAATATATGAAGGAAACACAGAAACACATGAACATACCAAATAGAAATTATGAAAGTGCTGAATGGAATCATCACCAAAGATTATAGTTTCAAATGTATTGCATAATGCAGCATCAATTAAAAAATTTGAGTCATTTGAAGACAGTGGTCTTTCCAACTACTTGATTTATTTATACTTTGAGAGTCTGAAGTTTAATATGACAATTCTTGAAATATTAAAGAGCAGGGGTTGAAGCGAGTAATTGGTTATTTTTCTGTTTGTTTTCATCACATTTCTGGAGAGTGCAGAATGAGCTGTACTTCCTCTACCACAGGGGACAATAAGCTTCTGCAATACATTAAACTCTATTCTTTGAGACTAGATCAGCTTTCTACATATTGATTTGGATGTTGTAACTCCCTTAACGAAATCCCACAGAACAAGAATCTGGGAACCTGGCTGAATGTGGCCATAGGATGAGTCTAGCCTGAGGGCCACAGGTCATAGAAATAAAGTGGACACAGAGACAATGCTTAGGAGTGAAGATCGGACACTAAACAAAACCTTAATCTGAAAGGACTTGGCTGAGGCATAAATCAAATAGATGTCGAAGAGGCAGATTTGGGGAAAAGAAAAACAGAACAGATTGATTTGGTCTGGGACATAAGCGATAGATCCCCAAAAGAGAGACTCTGAAACCCTACCCATAATCCTAGAGGTTTTCATGGAGGTTCTGTGGTGGCTGGAAGAGGAGCTTATTAGTGTGCTCACAATACAACTTGTTTTGCAAGCAACTTCCCCCCAGCCCTATCCACACCCACAACCTGCCAAAGATAAACTGTCCCTGGAACTGCCCTGGATACACCTAGTAGCACACTCTAAGGTCTCAGCAGCAAGCAAAAATATGGGAAATGTATTTTTGAAATCAGTCCTCTGAGAATTAAGCTTTCAATATTTAATGTCAAAACTTATTAGAAGTTATATTCCTAAGAAGCAAAAATAAAAAAGTGACTAATGGATATGGGAGCTGGTTCCCTAACTTGGGCTCAGAGCAGTTTTATTTCATTTCAGTGATTAAAAAAAATGCATGAAAAGAATCTGAATTAAAGAGCAACCTATTTTTTTTTTGGAAAATCAAATGAAGATGTTGATATTATTTAGAACACAATTTTAATTGTGATAAAAAATTCAGATATTTCACTTGTCGGTAGTGTAATTTGGGTTGACAAATGAAGATCTAATAACTATTGGGTACTAGTCTTGGTACCTGGGTGATGAAATTACCAGTACAACAAATCCCCATTACATGAGTTTACCTATATAATAAACCCATGACGGTAGCAGCGGCCTATCTGAAGTGGCCACTGTGAAGACGCCAACAGCATGTTCCATGGAGCCAGTGGGAGCTGGGAACAGGGGGAAGCCCCACTGCCTTCCTGAGTTCACGGGGTGGCAGCCCCACCCTCCCAGGCACAGCTGCTGCTTCCTAGCCATGGCTGTGGACCCGGGCATCCCTGTACTCCCTGAGACCCAGGAAGCCTCCCTGCCCCTGCAAGCTAGAAAGTGCCTGCTCCTGCTGCCTGGCCTCTCGCCATGCCTGCTCCGATTTGGGAGCAAAGTTGAGGACAAGCCCAGGTGCTGTTGCAACCCAGCCAAGTGTGTGAGTGCTCAGGGTGGTGCTGACCCACCAAGCCCCTGCTGCCTTGGACCCCTCCAGATTTTGGGCACTGACAAGCATGGGAGGGAAGCTGAGGTGGGGCTAAGGGTGGCTGGGTGTGGGCCTGCAGGCACCCCTCTGCACAAACAGCCTGGGCGCCAGAAAAGGGATGACATGATTGATGGTAGCAGGATAAAGACAACCTTCTGGGTGGAAAGGGGCAGGTCTCTGATGAAGCCCGACCTTCAAGCCAGGAAGGGCCTTAAACATAGAGTCTGTGGCCCGAAGTGAGAACTGTGGTGCTTTTTCCGGTGCCCATGGCCACCTATGGACCTATCAGCATGCACTTTCCCTCTTCCAAAGTCCATAAAAGCCTAGGACTCAGCCAGACTCACAGAGATGTCCGTACTACCAGCTGCAGAAAGGAGCCACCCACTCCAGGTCTCCTGAGAACTGTTGTGTTGCTCCATGAAGCCCCTGTCTGCCTTGCTCACCCTCCAGTTGTCTGCCTACCTCATTCTTCCTGGACAGGGGACAAGAACTCAGGACCCACTGAATGGTGGGACTGAAAGTGCTGTAACACAAATAGGGCTAGAACATGCCCCCTGCTTGTCACATTGTGGGCAATGGGAAGGAGAGAAGAGCTGCAGCCCTTTAGGGAAGCCAGACCTAGGGGCTCCCTGAGCCAAGGCTGTGACACCTTCTTTGGGGCTCTGTAGTTCCTGGCAACTCTGATCTTCTGGGTGCCACTGTGTTCCCTGGTGCTCACAGTGGAATCCGCTATTGGTATGCCTGGTCCAGCCACTGCCTTACACAAAGCCATGGCCTGTGCTGGAGCCTGGAACTGCCTGCCCCACTGCAGCTGGCATGCCTAGCTGTGTGCAGTGGCTGGACCCCATGCTCACTCACACACCCCTCACTGCTCCACACCTGGCTTGCCCTTGGCAGGCATGACATCTGGGCCAGTAGCACAAGCTGAGCACGGCCTGCTGGGTCAAGTGGGTGGAACAAGCCCAGCGGGCCCAAGCAAAATTTGGGCAAAGGTGCCACCAGCCACAAAGGTTTCTGGCTGGAAAAGCAACACCCTAAGGATCCTGTGACACCTGCACATGGACTCCTGAACCTAAAATAAAAGTTTAACCAACCAACCAAAACCAATCATATGGCTGTATGTCCATGATGGAATATAGCCTAAGAATGAAATGATGTACAAAAAAAAAAATGCAAGTGAAATCTGATTTATGCTGCTAAACTAAATGTGAGAAAGACATTTGATTCAGCCTTTGAGATGTCCCTGTGATTTGCAGAATATTGTGCTAAACCTTTAATCCTCTGATCCAAGGTGATGAGTTGTTCTTTCTGGAAATTTGGTGTGGAATTCCTGTCAATGAAGCAATTCCAGTAAAGAGCAATCCTACTGAAACAGGACTGATAGCATCATTAGAAACAAATATACCTACAGAATGAGAAAACCTACAAATAACAGCCTTTGAGACAAAATGTTAATGTTTCTTGGGAATTTATTAAGTGCTTATTTTGTGTGAGGCATTCTTCTAGATCTAGGATCCAGAAACTTTTTCTGTAAAAGACCACATAGCAACTACTTTAGACTTTGTGGGACATCTAGTCTCTGTTGTAACTATTCTACTCTGTTCTTGTAGCACAAAGGCAGCCATAGACGATACGGTAACTAGTACACATAGCCATGTTTGAATGAAATTTTATTTACAAAACTGGCAGCTGGCTGGATTTAGCTGCAGCTTGTGGTTTGCTGACCCCCGTTGTAGGGGTTGCAGATGTAGTCAAAACACACTCATTTCTTACAGGTTGCTTATATTTTAGCAGTGGGGTAGAGGTACTGGAGGAAACAACAAAAAAAGGAATCAATAAGCAGGAAAAACATGACATCATAATTACTCTGCAGAGAATTAAAAAGGATGCTATGATGGATGACTGCATTTGTGTGATTGAAGAGAAAGACCATTTTGAGGAAGAGGCATTTAGTTTGAGATCTCAATGCCAGGAAACAGCCAGTTTACACCGATCTGGAGAAAAAATATTCTGCTAATGAAGATTTACTAAAATGAAATGAGCTTGGTGTGTTCCAGAAACCAGTAGAAAATCATTGGGAGCACAGTGGGTGGATGGGGTGAGAGTATTTTTTCTCATGTAAATAACTCCGAAGAAATTGTATGCATCATGATTTTCAGCTTGGAATTTTTTTTTAATAGAGCAAAATTGAAAACACTGTTAGTTCCTTCATGGGAAGGAATGTGTCATATTTATTCAGTAACCCAGATAACTGGTACATAGAAGACCATCTGTAAATGTTTGTGGAACTAAACAATGTACATTTCTGGCAAAAAGTAAATGACTAATTTCATTATATGAAGTTGATGAACTTTTCCAAAGGCATTGAAACCATTATATTAGTTTGGAATGTTTTCAACTGCAATAACAGAAACCTTAACAATGGCTTCTAGAAACTTGAATTTATTTTTCTGACATAACAAGAAGTCCAGAGGTAGGTGGCCACAGGTGCGTCAAGGGCTGATGTCTCTGAAATTCTTAAGCATTTCTCTTGTATACACAAGATGGCTTTCACAGTTCTAAGTGGTGCATCTGGGTTTAAGACCGAAAGAAGTGGGAGAAAGGGAGGGCCAGCATGGTCTGTTCCTTTTGCCAGTAAAATGAATGCCTTATCAGAAGCACCCCTTTCTCCCACAGTGCATTTCCCCTTAGGTTTCAGTGCCAGAATTTAGTCACACGACCCCACGCCCTGCTGCAAGGAAGGCTGGGAAAGTAGGAAACAGATTTGCCATCATTGGTGTAGATCAATCATGATTTATCACTAGGCTAGGCACAGTGCCAATCTCAGATAAAATTGAGTTCCTGTTGGTGAAATGAGGGAATGGAAATTAGGTAGGCCACTATGTAGATTATGTGCTATTGTGGAAATGCTAATTATAGAGGAAATGAGAAGAGCAGAATGAAGAATTGTATCCACACTGGGATCACCAATATTAATGTAAATTACCAATCATTTGAGCAGTGCTTATAAATACACATTATCTAACTTAATTCTCACAACAATTCTGTGAGGTAGAGAACATTTTTCTTCCCTTTTATAAGTGAGCAAACTGTGATTTAGAGAGATTAGGTAATTTGGCTGAGATCACACAACTAATAAATAGCCCAGCAAGGATTCAAATTAGATTCTCTGATTGCAAATCCTGATTTCTTCTATATAGAATTTGTGTCCCGAATGACTCCTTATGTAATGTTGTATACAGATCAATGGAAAAGGATATGCAAGAGAACATGAATAAATAAAAACAGTTCATGTTTTAGGGTTGAGTTATAAGTGGGGATATATGTGATTAAAATCTTCTTTTATAAGATTTTAATAATTACATGGCCAACATAAAAATGTAAAGGGAGGCATTAATGCTTTATGGGAAAAGAAATAATTTATTTACCCTCTTTTGCCAGACCTGCACTTTTTCATTTGCTTCTTTTGATACTTTTTATTTTGGTTGCTACAGTCTTTAAATTTATTTTTCTTGAGGTATAACTAAGGTAAGTTATAAATATTAAGTGTACAGCCCAATACATTTTTGCACGTGTGTGAACCTATGTAACTACCACTTAGATCGAGATACAGAACATGTGTAGGGGCCCAGAATGATTCATTGTGCCTTCGCCTGGGAAGGTTTTCTCTCACAGAAGCTAACTACTGTTCTGACTTCTACGGCTGTAGACAAGTTTTTGTTTTTAAACATCAAATAAATGGAAATGAAATCCTCTTTTGTGAATGTATATAATATGTAAATATATACTCTTTAAGTAAAGTCTGACTTCTTTCATTTAACATTTTATTTGTGAGATTCATTTACATAGTTATATAATCAGTAACTTGTTCTTTTTTGTTGCTCTACAGTATTTCATTGTATGACTATACTATCATTTATTTGCTCCTTTTACTGTGGATGAACAATTTGGGTCATTTCCAGTTTTTGGCTATTTGAATAAAATTGCTGTCAACGTTCCTGTGCAAGTCTTTCATAGGCATGGAACTAATTTCTGTTGAGTATATATCCAGGAGCAGGACTGCAGGGTCATAGGACATATGTTTAGCTT
Source organism: Homo sapiens (assembly GCF_000001405.40). Lineage (NCBI taxonomy): Eukaryota > Metazoa > Chordata > Mammalia > Primates > Hominidae > Homo > Homo sapiens. The sequence goes on along the minus strand of NC_000017.11, from coordinate 54,832,976 downwards.
TGGTAGATATTACCAAACATTTTCCAAAGTTATTCCAATTTACAGGACTACCAGAAAAGTGAGTGAGGAAAGCAAAGATCACCTAGTGGCTACCAAGCAGACAATCCAGAGGCAAAACTCCTTATCTGAGTAATTTAGAAGTAATTACACTTCCTTATTATCTGAAGCCAACACCTGGTACCAGATTTCTTTCTCCAAGATTTATAAATGACTGGGATTTCTATACATCTCTGAAATGCATACATGTCAAAACTCAATATGCAACCCTTGCTGATGTCAAGGCACCAAAATGTCTACAAATGTAATCATTTATCATGACTTATGTAGCTAACATAGTTCAAATTACCCTGAAGGTCCCGTTTAAGGTCCATAAATACCCCTAAGGAAAAATCCATCGTGACGCACTCAGTCCTCTCTTGCTTAGGCACCCTGCTGCACTCTTCTGCAGTGTCTATCTAATAAAACTTTCCTTTTCAACTCTACACTGTCATCAGTAAATTCTTATTTCTTCCTGTGGGTCAACCACTTTCTGATGCCGGGGCTCTGACACCTTGCTCGGCAGTGAGAAAGTTCCATTTGTTCCATGTCCTTGCCACTACATGGCGTTGTTGATTTTTTTCATTTTAGTCAATTTGATGAGTGTATGGTGGGAACTCAGTTTAGCTTCATTTTTTATTTTTTTTTGCTAATTAATGTGGACATGTTTTTATATGCTTATTGGCTTTTTGAAATCCTTTTCTGTGAAAAATCTATTCCAGTCTTTGTGTAATTTTTTTTTTTTTTTTGTGACGGAGTTTTGCTCTTGTTGCCCAGGCTGGAGTGCAATGGTGCGACCTCAGCTCACCACAACCTCCGCCTCCTGGGTTCAAGTGATTCTCCTGCCTCAGCCTCCAGAGTAGGTGGGATTACAGGCATGTGCCACCACTCCTGGCTAATTTTGTATTTTTAGTAGAGATGGGGTTTCTCTATGTTGGTCAGGCTGGTCTCGAACTCCCAACGTCAGGTGATCTGCCTGCCTGGGCCTCCCAAAGTGCTGGGATTACAGGTGTGAGCCACTGTGCCCGGCCAGTCTTTGTGTATTTTAAGATTGAAGATGTTTGTCTTTTTCTTACTAATTTTTCTTTCTTTCTTTTATTCTTACTTTTTTCTTTTCTTTTTTTTTTTGAGATAAGATCTTGCTGTGTCTCCTAGGCTGGTGTGCAGTGGCGTCATCCTGGCTAACTGCAGCCTCAAACTCCTGGGCTCAAGGGATCCTCCCATTTCAGCCTCCGAGTAGCTGGGACTGCAGGTGTGCGCCACTATGCCCAGCTTTTTTTTTTTTTTTTTTAATTTTTAGTAGAGATGGGGTCCACTCTGTTGCTCAGGCTGGTTTTGAACTCCCAACCTCAAGTGATCCTCCTTCCTCAGCCTCCCAAAATGTTTGGGTTACAGGCATGAGCCATCATGTCCAGCCTCTTAATTTTTCAAGGGTTCTCTATGCACACGCATATGCACACACACACACACACCTCACTGGATTCTCCTTGACACTCTTTATATTGCAAATATCACTTTATACTATAGCTACTCTACTCCAGCCAAGTCAATCTTCCATACTCAATCTTGGCTGACACTAACTCCTGCTGGATCTGTGTCACATACTTCTCCATGATGAATGCCCCTTTACTTTCTTTGGCAAGGCATACCTGTTCTTTAAAATTTAGATGAAAACTTATCTCTTGGAGGTCTTTGTGTGTAGGCACTCATCACATACAATCACCTTAGTACTGATTTTTTCCCTGTGTAGAGAAGGGAAAAGGCTGATGTATTGCTTATATTGCTCATAAATTCCTGTGTGCATTAGTGTGTTTCTGTCATGGCACATATGTGGCATTTGATAAATGTGAATTCTGTTGGTTTAATCTACATATAATCTTACATGCATATTTATTTTCTAGTTCAAATAATTTCAGAAACTGCTTTATTTGGTAGTCCTCATGTTTATCTTATTCTCATCTGCAATGTTAACATTCTCAGCACCTGAATAATTAAAGTGAGAGGTCAGAGGAATTGAGACATTAGAGTTTACTATACGGTAGAATGAAATAACTTCCCAGGAATTTTAGTTTTTAAATGTTTAATTTTGTAAACATTTCGCAAATTTGAAATAAAACACACATATAGAAAAGTGCATAATAATTACAGAAGTAAATACTTGTATAATCACAACCCAAGTCAAGTAATAAGCCATCTTTGTGAGGCCTTGCCCCATTAGACTACCTTCTCTCCTTTCAGAATATCTCCTTTAATTAATTTAATGGTAATTAATCCCTTGGTTTAAAAAATTGTTTAACCACATATGCAAGCATTCCTGAATGATTTAGTTTAGTTTTGCAAGTTTTTGAACTTTATGTAGGACAAAGCATGCTGTAAGAATTCCTTTATGTCTTTTTTTTTTGTTTAACATTTGGATTGAAAGATGAATTCATGTTGTGTGTCTAATTAACTTTTATTCTTGCACAGTGTTCCTGAATGGAGTTGTACAAATTACTATGATTTATTTACCTATCCTACTGTCAATGGACTTTTGGGCTGTCTTCAGTTTGGAGCTGTGGCAAACAGTAATATTATCAACATTCTTAAGAAGGGATCTTGGTGAATATTTGTCTGCATTTCTCTGGAGTACATACCCAAAAGTGGAATTACTGGTCATATAGTATGTGTTTCTTCAATGTTACTAGATAATGACAAATTGATTTCTCCAAATAATATGAAGAAGATAATCACAGTAGACAGCTTCGAACGATTTCTAGTCAAAGCTGAATTTGGAAGTTTGTTCTGAAAGCAAATAATCTGATGCAGGGCAAAAGATTACTATTTCACCTGCCCAGTGATAGCAAATGTGGTCTTTGTGGCCGAATAAGAGAGGAGCATAGTGTAATAGATACATAGGCTTTGTTGTAAGACATAAAGGTTTGGGGGTGTGGGGGAGTGGAGGTCAAACCCTGCCTCTGCTACTAAATTGCCGTGTTGATTAAAGCTCAGGTTCAGTGTGGTCATCTGGAAAATATATTCAACACAGACACACAGGGATAAGTTTGTAATGGAGAATAAATGAGGTATTGAATATAAAGTGCCCTAATGCAGTGCTTTGCACATGATAAGTTCTTCAATGTTATTTTCCCTTCTTTTTAAAAAGGAAAGTATCAACCTATCTTAATGCTCACCTTCTATTTCCTGCAATATGCGGATAAGACTTTAAGATGCGTCTATTCTCAGGGTCATTTTCTAATTTGCCAAGATTTTTGGGCTCTTATAGCCACTTCTTCTGGGAAAAGCAAGTCACAATTTTATGGAGTGAATATTGAGAGTTGTCACACTTCTCCAGGGTTACCAGTGTCTAGGAGACACCGAAGAAGGACTCTCTCTTAAAGGAGAAAAAGATGAAACATTGCAAAATAAAGTGTAATGCTTATGTTGATCCTTCTATGCGAACATGTGTGCTAACGTGGACCTACCTCTGCTTCCACAATTCAGAGAAATCCCAGTTTCATCAGATTATTGTGCTGTATGTTGTGTGTGTGTGTTGTGTGTGTTTATAACACAATTTTTCTGTGCTTATTACATTGGAGTATGTGTGCTTGGGGGAAATAATCCAAAGAGCTAAAGGATAAACATTACTTATAGTTAGCGAATTTGGGGAATTTCCTAGAAATGGGTGATTTTTGTTTTGTGGAAAGTTTGATTTGGATATTAAAACAATCACTGGTAAATTATGAAGCAGAGTGCAAGTTTTGCATGGATTTTTAAAATAACAATGTTTTCAGGAAACTCTGTACTTCTGCAGTGTACTTTGGGCTACACCCTAACCTCTCTAGGAATACACATTTGCTTCTGTCCTCCGTTAGAGAGATCAGAAAAAGTTGAAAATTATTATTATCAAGAGAGCCTTCTCATATGCACTTAGGTCATCTGCCATTCTCCTTCTGTGACTTTATTTCCTGGGGTGCCATAAAAACCTTGTCTCATTGGTGCAGACAGTACTAGGCCTGGGATGGTAGCATGAGGGTGTAGGGTTTGGGTGGGGTTTCTTGTCTCTTTTGCATGTTTGCAGAAAATACCACCCTGAGTTCTACACCAATCTACAGAACCAGAAGTAATTATAAAATGCTCCAACAAAATCCACACATTTTTAAAAACAAAGTCAGTAGATTAATATATATGTAAAGATTATTTTGGCCAGTTCTTCTTCTCTGCCTATTTCATATGCAGATGTTTCAAGTTTCATATTCTAGTCTGAAACCACCTGTAATTAGCATAAGAGCTTAAGGTCTGTATCCCACATTTTACAAGGTAAGACAGTTTTGTATTCTTTTATGAGATGGTCAGTCAAATGTGGCCCCAAGAGGAGACACAGGAGAGGCTCAGGAGAAAGCAGAGTTTATTATACTCACAAGTCCTAGAGACAGGAGGCACAGCACACCATGCAGGGCCACATGGGAAAGATACCGAGACTGTCAGGAGGCTAAAGACCGGAACAAAGGGAGCGCTTGGGTCATGGGGTATCATGGGAAAGGCAAAGCAGTGCAGGGTGAATAATTTTGTATTGACAAGTTTGAACAATTTCGGTGGACTTTGGGATATAGGGTTAGGGGTGGTCTCTAAGCACCTGATACCCGGCTCTGGGATGGTTAAGGTAGAGGAATATTGCTTCCTGATGTGCAATGGCCTGATAGAGAAGGTATGGCTCTGGATTTGTTAGTTTGCACATCAAAGTGGTGCTTTCAGCCAAGTCCTCTGTATTGCTAAGAATTGGCTTGGGGTTGGGAGGAACAGTCTCTCTTGCCAGAAAGATTTTTATTAGGATGTTGAAACATTATAATATATCATAAAAATATGTAAAATACAAAGACAGTATTTCAAGTTTATAAAATGAGGGACTTGATCTGATTCTATGATCCCTGTAGTTTCTTCCAATTTCTCAAATTCTAGGATTCCCCTTTAAGTTTCTTTCTGATTAAGTGCTTGGTGTGACAAGGGGAACTTGAGTTTAACATAAAGTTGGTTTGCTACAAACACTGAGGCAATTAAGAAATGTTCATTATCTTGGCAAAACCTTTTTAGCTGGGTATATTTTGCCTTAATTATGGTAATAATAACAAAGTCAATGAACTTAACACCTTTCCATTAAGTGCCTCTAATGTTTTATTCAGAAGTGCAGTAATTTTAAGAGGGCAAAATTAAATGTTCTGTCTGCACAATGAGCTTTATCATTGGATTAAATCACATACATTTTGAGTTAAAGGTTAAAATTAGGTATGGAAACATTGACTGTTAATTTAATTTCATATGCCATTATGAAAATTTTTACAAAAGCTAGATGTTAATGTTCTTATAATGGTCTAGGGACCTGGTGTTTGGGCATGGTTTCTATTAACTTTTTCTGGGGATAAAGTGTTAATGGTCTATCTTTCATTTTTCTGTATGTTCAGGACTATGTAGGTGTTTAAAAAAAGCTACATGCAGTAAAATTCACTCTGTAGTGTAAATTCTATGCATGGAGTTGTACATCCACTATTACACTCATAACACAGTTCTATTACCAAAAAAAAATTCTCCTTATTACTTCCATGTTGTCAAAACTTCTTCATCTAGCCCCAAACTTTGGCAAACATAGATTTCTTTTCTGTGCCAACAGTTTTTGCTATTCAGAATGTCATATAATAAAACCATATAATATGGAGTTTTTTGAGTATGGCTTTTTAATTTTTATTGTTTTGCTTAACAAAATGGGAATTGATCCATGTTGTTGTGAGAGTCAACAGTTCATTCCTTTTCATTGCTGAATAGTATTCCATTTGGTGGCTGCATACAAATTGTTTATTCATTCATTCATTCATTCATTCATTCATTCACAAGTTGAAGGACAGCTCAGTTGTTTCCAGTTTTTGGTAATTATGAATAAAACTGATAAATATTAGCATACAAATTTTTCTGTTAGCATAAATTTCTATATTTCTTGGGTAAATACCTAGGGAGTGACATTACTGGGTAGTATGGTATGTATATAGTTAATTATAACAAACTACCACACTATTTTCCAAAGTAGCTGCACAGCTTTTTCTTTCTTTCTTTCTTTCTTTCTTTCTTTCTTTCTTTCTTTCTTTCTTTCTTTCTTTCTTTCTTTCTTTCTTCTCTCTTATGCATTAAATTCTAGGGTACATGTGCACAACGTGCAGGTTTGCTACATAGGTATACATGTGCCATGTTGGTTTGCTGCACCCATCAACTCATCATTTACGTTAGGTATTTCTCCTAATGCTATCCCTCCCCCAGCTCCCAACAGGCCCTGGTGTGTGATGTCCTCTGCCCTGTGTCCAAGTGTTCTCATTGTTCAGTTCCCACCTATGAGTGAGAACATGCAATGTTTGGTTTTCTGTCCTTGTGACAGTTTGCTGAGAATGATGGTTTCCAGCTTCATACATGTCCGTGCAAAGGACATGAACTCATCCTTTTTTTTTGGCTGCATAGTATCTTACGGTGTATATGTGCCACATTTTCTTAATCTAGTCTATCACTGATGGACAAGTGGGTTGGTTCCAAGTCTTTGCTTTTGCGAATAGTGCCGCAATAAACATATGTGTGCATGTGTTTTTATAGTAGCATGATGTATAATCCTTTGGGTGTATACCCCGTAATGGGATCGCAGGGTCAAATGGTATTTCTAGTTCTAGATCCTTGAGGAATCGCCAGACTGTCTTCCACAATGTTTGAACTAATTTACACTCCCACCAACAGTGTAAAAGCATTCCTATTTCTCCATATCCTCTCCAGCATCTGTTGTTTCCTGACTTTTTAATGATCGCCATTCTAACTGGTGTGAGATGGTATCTCATTGTGGTTTTGATTTGCATTTATCTGATGACCAGTGATGATGAGCATTTTTTCATGTGTCTGTTGGCTGCATAAATGTCTTCATTTGAGAAGTGTCCATCCATATCTTTTGCCCACTTTTTGATAGGGTTGTTTGTTTTCTTCTTGTAAATTTGTTTAAGTTCTTTGCAGATTCTGGATATTAGTCCTTTGTCAGATGGGTAGAATGCAAAAATTTTCTCCCATTCTGTAGGTTTCCTGTTCACTCTGATGGTAGTTTCTTTTGCTGTGCAGAAGCTCTTTAGTTTAATTAGATCCCATTTGTCTAGTTTGGCTTTTGTTGACATTGCTTTTGGTGTTTTAGTCATGAAGTCTTTGTCCATGCCTATGTCCTGAATGGTATTGCCAAGGTTTTCTTCTAGGGTTTTTATGATTTTATGTCTAACATTTAAGTCTTTAATCCATCTTGAATTAATTTTTGTACAAGGTTTAAGGAAGGGATCCACTTTCAGCTTTCTACATATGGCTAGCCAGTTTTCCCAGCACCATTTATTGAATAGGGAATCCTTCCCACATTTCTTGTTTTTGTCAGGTTTGTCAAAGATCAGATGGTTGTAGATGTTTGGTGTTATTTCTGAGGCCTCTGTTCTGTTCCATTCATCTATATATCTGTTTTGGTACCAGTATCATGCTGTTTTGGTTACTGTAGCCTTGTAGTATAGTTTGAAGTCAGGTAGTGTGATGCCTCCAGCTTTGTTCTTTTTGCTTAGGATTGTCTTGGCTATGCAGGCTCTTTTTTGGTTCCGTATGAACTTTAGTTTCTTCCAATTCTGTGAAGAAAGTCATTGGGAGCTTGATGGGGATGACATTGAATCTATAAATTACCTTGGGCAGTATGGCCATTTTCATGATATTGATTCTTCCTATCCATGAGCATGGAATGTTCTTCCATTTGTTTGTGTCCTCTTTTATTTCATTGAGCAGTGGTTTGTAGTTCTCCTTGAAGAGGTCCTTCACATCCCTTGTAAGTTGGATTCCTAGGTATTTTATTCTCTTTGAAGCAATTGAGAATGGGAATTCACTCATGATTTGGCTCTCTGTCTATTATTGGTGTATAGGAATGCTTGTGTTTTTGCACATCGATTTTGTATCCTGAGACTTTGTTGAAGTTGCTTATCAGCTTAAGGAGATTTTGGGCTGAGACGATGGGGTTTTCTAAATATACAATCATGTCATCTGCAAACAGGGACAATTTGATTTCCTCTTTTCCTAATTGAATACCCTTTATTTCTTTCTCTTCCCTGATTGCCCTGGCCAGAACTTCCAACACTATGTTGAATAGGAATGGTGAGAGAGGGCATCCTTGTCTTGTACTGGTTTTTAAAGGGAGTGCTCCCAGTTTTTGCCCATTCAGTATGATATTGGCTGTGGGTTTGTCGTAAATAGCTCTTATTATTTTGAGATACATGCCATCAATACCTAATTTGTTGAGAGTTTTTAGCATGAAGGGCTGTTGAATTTTGTCGAAGGCCTTTTCTGCAACTATTGAGATAATCATGTGGTTTTTGTTGTTGGTTCTGTTTATGTGATGGATTACGTTTATTGATTTGTGTATGTTGAATCAGCCTTGCATCCCAGGGATGAAGCCAATTTGATCATGGTGGATAAGCTTTTTGATATGCTGCTGGATTCAGTTTGCCAGTATTTTATTGAGGATTTTTGCATTGATGTTCATCAGGGATATTGGTATAAAATTCTCTTTTTTTGTTGTATCTCTGCCAGGCTTTGGTATCAGGATGATGCTGGCCTCATTAAATGAGTTAGGGAAAATTCCTTCTTTTTCTATTGATTGGAATAGGTTCACAAGGAATGGTACCAGGTCCTCTTTGTACCTCTGGTAGAATTAAGCTGTGAATCTGTCTGGTCCTGGACATTTTTGGTTGGTAGGCTGTTAATTATTGCCTCAATTTCAGAGCCTGTTTTTGGTCTATTCAGAGGTTCAACTTCTTGCTGGTTTAATCTTGGGAGGGTGTATGTATCCAGGAATTTATCCATATCTTCTAGATTTTCTAGTTTATTTGCATAGAGGTGTTTATAGTATTCTCTGATAGTAGTTTGTATTTCTGTGGGATTGGTGGTTATATCCCCTTTATCATTTTTTATTGCATCAATTTGATTCTTCTCTCATCTTTATTAGTCTTGCTAGAGGTCTATCAATTTTGTTGATCTAAAAAAACCAGCTCCTGGATTCATTGATTTTTTGAAGGGTTTTTTGTGTCTCTATCTCCTTCAGTTCTGCTCTTATCTTAGTTATTTCTTGCCTTCTGCTAGCTTTTGAATGTGTTTGCTCTTGCTTTTCTAGTTCTTTTAATTGTGATGTTAGGGTGTCAATTTTAGATCTTTCCTGCTTTCTCTTGTGGGCATTTAGTGCTATAAATTTCCCTCTACACACTGCTTTAAATGTGTCCCAGAGTTTCTGGGACATTGTGTCTTTGTTCTCACTGGTTTCAAGAACATCTTTATTTCTGCCTTCATTTCGTTATTTACCCAGTAGTCATTCAGTAGCAGGTTGTCCAGTTTCCATGTAGTTGTGCAGTTTTGAGTGAGTTTCTTAATTCTGAGTTTTAATTTGATTACACTTTGATTACACTGTAGTCTGAAAGACAGTTTGTTGTGATTTCTGTTCTTTTACATTTGCTGAGGAGTGCTTTACTTCCAATTGTATGGTCAATTTTAGAATAAGTGCAATGTAGTGCTGAGAAGAATGTATATTCTGTTGATTTGGGGTGGAGAATTCTGTAGATGTCTATTGGGTCTCCTTGGTGCAGAGCTGAGTTCAAGTCCTGGATATCCTTGTTAACCTTCTGTCTCATTGATCTGTCTAATATTGACAGTGGGGTGTTAAAGTCTCCCATTATTATTGTGTGGGAGTCTAAGTCTCTTTGTAGGTCTCTAAAGACTTGCTTTATGAATCTGGGTGCTCCTGTATTGGATGCATATATATTTAGGAGAGTTAGCTCTTCTTGTTGAATTGATCCCTTTACCATTATGTAATGGCCTTCTTTGTCTCTTTTGATCTTTGTTGGTTTAAAGTCTGTTTTATCAGAGACTAGGATTGCAACCCCTGCCCTGCTATTTTTTGCTTTCCATTTGCTTGGTAGATCTTCCTCCATCTCTTAATTTTGAGCTTATGTGTGTCTTTGCATGTGAGATGGGTCTCCTGAGTACAGCACACTGATGGGTCTTGACTCTTTATCTAATTTGCCAGTCTGTGTCTTTTAATTGGGGCATTTAGCCTATTTACATTTAAGGCTATAATTTTTATGTTTGAATTTGATCCTGTCATTATGATGTTAGCTGGTTATTTTGCCCATTAATTGATGCAGTTTCTTCCTAGCATTGATGGTCTTTACAATTTGACATGATTTTGCAGTGTCTGGTACCGGTTGTTCCTTTCCATGTTTAGTGCTTCCCTCAGGTGCTCTTGTAAGGCAGGTCTGGTGGTGACAAAATCTCTCAGCATTTGCTTGTCTGTAAAGGATTTTATTTCTCCTTCACTTATGAAGCTTAGTTTAGCTGGATATGAAATTCTGGTTTGAAAATTCTTTTCTTTAAGAATGTTAAATATTGGCCCCCACTCTCTTCTGGCTTGTAGGGTTTTTGCCAAGAGATCTTCTGTTAATCTGATGGGCTTCCCGTTGTGGGTAACCCGACCTTTCTCTCTGGCTGCCCTTAACATTTTCTCCTTCATTTCAACCTTGTTGAATCTGACAATTATGTGTCTTGAGATCGCTCTTCTCGAGGAGTATCTTTGTGGTGTTCTCTGCATTTCCTGAATTTGAATGTTGGTCTGCCTTGCTATGTTGGGGAAGTTCTCCTGTATAATGTCCTGAAGAATGTTTTCCAACTTGGTTACATTCTCCCCGTCACTTTCAGGTACACCAATCAAATGTAGATTTGGTCTTTTCACATGGTCCCATATTTCTTGGAGGCTTTGTTCATTTGTTTTCACTCTTTTTTCTCTAATCTTGCCTTCTCACTTTATTTCATTAATTTGATCTTCAACACTGATATCCTTTCTTCCACTTGATCGAGTCAGCTATTGAAGCTTGTGCATGCATCATGAAGTTCTTGTGCCATGGTTTTCAGCTCCATCAAGTCATTTAAGATCTTCTCTATGCTGTTTATTCTAGTTAGCCATTCATCTAACCCTTTTTCAAGGTTTTTAGCTTCCTTGTGATGGATTAGAACATGCTCCTTTAGCTTGGAGAATTTTGTTATTACTGACCTTCTGAAGCCTACTTCTGTCAGCTTGTCAAAGTCATTCTCCTTTCAGCTTTGTTCCATTGCTGGTGAGGAGCTGCGATCTTCTGGAGGAGAATAGGTGCTCAGGTTTTCAGAATTTTCCGCTTTTCTGCCCTGGTTTCTCCCCATCTTTGTGGTTTTATCTACCTTTGGTCTTTGATGTTGGTGACATACAGATGGGGTTTTGGTGTGGATGTCCTTTTTGTTGATGTTGATGCTATTCTTTTCTGTTTGTTAGTTTTCCTTCTGACAGTCAGGTCCCTCATTTGCAGGTCTTTTGGAGTTTGCTGGAGGTCTACTACACACCCTATTTGCCTGGGTATCACCAGCGGAGGCTGCAGAACAGTAAATATTGCAGAACAGCAAATATTGCTGCCTGATCCTTCCTCTGGAAGCTTCATCCCAGAGGGGCACCCATGCCTGTATGAGGTGTCTGTTGGCCCCTCCTGGGATGTGTCTCCCAGTTAGGCTACACGGGGGTCAGGGACCCACTTGAGGAGCTAGTCTGTCCGTTCTCAGAGTTCAAACACCATGCTGGGAGAACCACTGTTCTCTTCAGAGCTGTCAGACAGGGACGTTTAAGTTTGCAGAAGTTTCTGCTGCCTTTTGTTCAGCTATGTCCTGCTCACAGAGTTGGAGTCTATAGAGGCAGCAGGCCTTGCTAGGCTGTGGTGGGCTCTGCCCAGTTCGAGTTTGCCAGCTGCTTTGTTTACCTACTCAAGTCTCAGCAATGGTGGGTGCCCCTCCCCCTGCCAGGCTGCAGCCTCGCAGTTGGATCTCAGACTGCTGCGCTAGCAGTGAACATGGCTCTGTGGACATGGGACCCACTGAGCCAGGCACAAGAGAGAATCTCCTGGTCTGCTGGTTGCTAAGACCATGGGAAAAGTGCAGTATTTGGGTGGAAGTGTCCCGTTTTTCCAGGTACAGTCTGTCATGGCTTCTTTGGCTAGGAAAGAGAAATCCCTAGACTGCTGTGATTCCTGGGTGAGGTGATGCCCCACCCTGCTTTGGCCACCCCGTGTGGGCTGCACCCACTGTCCAACCAGTCCCAATGAGATGAAAAAAGTACCTCAGTTGGAAATGCAGAAATCACCTGTCTTCTGCATCAATCACACTAGGAGCTGCAGACCAGAGCTGTTCCTATTCAGCCATCTTGGAACAGACCCTATCACTTTTTATTTCTACCAGTAAATGTATGAGATTTACCGATGCTCCACATCCTAACTGCACTTTATTTTATTAGTTTTTTATATTTTAGCTATTCAATTTGATATATAGTTGTGTCTCTTTATATTTTCAATGATGTTGATTATCTTTTTATAGTTTATTTTCCATCTGCATATATGCTTTGGTGAAGTGTCTGTTCAGATCTTATGCCCACTTTTAAATTGAGTGGTTTGTTTTCTAATTGTTAAGTTTTAAGAATTTTTTGTGGATTCTGTTTACAAGTTGCTTGTCAGATAGATGACTTGGAAATATTTTCCCCTCATCTATGGCTTGTATTTTAATAGGTCAAAGGTTTTAAATTTTGATAAAATTCAATTTATCATGATTTTCCTTTTATGAATCACACCTTTGGTATCATATCTGAGAACTCCTTGTTTAACCTGAGGGCACAAAGATCTCCTATGTTTTTTTCTAACATTTTTATAGTTTTACATTTTACATCAGATCTATTTTGAGTTAATTTTTCATAGGAAAGGTAAGATACAGGCTGTGATGAATTTTTTTTTTTGCACATATGAACATCCAATTGTTCCAGCACCATTAGTAAAAGACTCTCCTTTCTCCACTAAATTTCTTTTGCAATTTTGCCACAAATCAATTGTCCATATATGAGTGGGTCTATTTATGACTGCCTGTTCTGTTTTATTTACCTATGTGGCTATCCTTTCACTAGGACTACACTGTCTTAATTACTAACTCAAACTCCTGACCTCGCTTCAAATAATCTTCCTGTCTCTGTCTCCCAAAGTGCTGGGATTACAGGTATGAGCCACCATGCCTGGCCAATTACTGTCACTTTATAGTAAGTCCTGAAATTAGGTAATGTGAATCTTCCGGCTTTTTTCTTCTTCAGAAATAATTTGGTCATTTTAGTACCTTTGCCTTCCCATATCAATTTTAGAATCTACTTGTCAATACTTAGAAAAGGACTGTGGGATTTCCATGGGATTGCATTGATTCTATATATCAGGTTGAAAAAAATCGATATCTTAACAATATTGACTTTTCTAATCCATAGATATTGTATATCTTTTCATTTGTTTAGATCTTTGATTGCTTTTATCAGTGTTTTATATTTTTCATCATATTGGTTCTGTACACATTTTGTTAAATTTATCTGCTTATTGTGTTATTGTAAATGGCACTGTTTCTAATTTTGACTTTCAATTATTCATTGCTAATATGTAGGAATACTATTAATTTTTGTATATTGGCCTTGAACCCTAGCACCTCGCTAAACTCATTTAGTATTTCTTGGAGCTCTTTTGTAGATTCCCTTGGATTTTTGATATATACAATCATAGTATCTGCGAACAGAGGGCATTTTCTTTCTTCTTTACAATTTATATACCTTTTTCTTCTCCTCACTTCGTGGCACTGGTTAGATTGTACAGCACAATATTGAATAGGAGCATCTATCTTACCTTATTTCTGATTTTAGGAAAAAAATTTAGTCTTTTATCATTAATATATGTATTAATATATGTTATGTACTATATATTTTCTTGGTAGATGACTTTTATCAGGATAAAGAACTTCCTGTGCATTCATCATTGCTGAGAGGTTTTTTTTTCAAAAGTGTCATTACTGGATATGAATTTTCTCAACTGATTTTTCTGCACCATTAAAACGATCATGTAGGTTTTCTTCTTTAGTCTGCTAATATGATGAATTACATTGAATGAATTTTGAATGTTAAAACAACTTTGCATTTCTGGGATAAACCCAATTTTGTCATGATGTATTATCCATTGTATATATTGCTTGATTTTATTTGCTAATATTTTAAACTCTATTTTTATGGCTTTTAAATTTACATTAATGCACTGGATTTTCTTTTTGTGTAATGTCTTTGGGTTTGGTAGTAAGCTAATGCTGGCTACATGAAATAATTTGGAGGTATTCTTTCCTTTTTTATTTTATAGAAATTATTGTATAAATTTTATGTCTTTCTTTAAGGACATGAAGAAATTTCTTTAAGAAAATTCTACTAAGAAATGTTTAGTAGAATTGGCCAGTGAAATAATCTGGGACTGGAGTTTGTTATAAGGTTTTAAACTAGTAATTTAATTTGTTTAGTGGCTGTAGTACAATTCCAGTTATGTATTTTTTCTTAAATGACTTTTGGTAGTTTGTATTTTTAAAGGCCTTTGGACCATGTATTAGTCAGAGTTCTCTAGAGGGACACAACTAATGGAATATATATATATATTCCAAAAGGGCCAGCTATTGATATCATTGTTTTCTCTGTTGTTTTTCTATTTTAGTTTCATATATATACGTATATATATATGTGTATATATATATACGTATATATATGTGTATAAATATATACGTATATGTGTGTGTGTGTGTGTGTGTGTGTGTATATATATATATATATATATATATATATATATATATAAAGGGGAGTTTATTAAGTATTAACTCACATGATCACAAGGTCCCACAATAGGCCATCTGCAGGCTGAGGAGCAAGGGGAGCCAGTCTGAGTTCCAAAACTGAAGAACTTGGAGTCTGATGTTTGAGGGCAGGAAGCATCCAGCACAGGGAAAAGATGTAAGCTGGGAGGTTAGGCCTGTGTCTCTTTTCACATTTTTCTGCCTAGTTTTTACTCTAGCTGTGCTGGCAGCTGATTAGATTGTGCTGACCCAGATTAAGGGTGGGTCTGCCTTTCCCAGCCCACTGACTCTGATGTTAATCTCCTTTGGCAACAACCTTACAGAGACATCCAGAATCAATACTTTGTATTCTTCACTCCAATCAAGTTGACACTCAGTATTAACCACCACAAGTCCACCCCTTGTCAACTTGAACCCATACACATCTCCTGAGATTATACGTAATCTTCAATAAAGACTATAAGGTCCTAGTTATGCCTAACATAATACAACTATCCTTCATACAACTGGAAATGCCCCAATCCCCAACCCAAATACTATTATATAAAGTTAACAATACTTAAATGCTGATGTGAAGTCAATAAATCTTATGTCACATGATAAAGGAGAAAGGAAATAAAATGAAGATATTTTCTTAGTACAAGTATATACATGCACAAACATGTTTTTAACAAAAGAAGGAGGACATACTCATGACAATTACAATCCTTGGTTCTGCAGCTAGTCATGTGTTCGTAGCTGGTATTGATGACTACCTTCTACTATACATTCTGTATTCCCTTTGCCTTTAGCAAGCGCCTCAGCAGTTGTGGATTTTTTCCTGGTGGAGTGACCCAAACTTTCATTCTGGAAGGGCCTGGGTCATTTGTAGTTCTGCCTGGATTGGGCTGTTGTAGTTTCCCATTGACCTTAATCACAGGACATGGTAATACTAAGAGACACCCAATGGATCTCCTGTACACCCAATGCATACTCCTCTTTACCTCTGTTGTGGAGTAGTAGACTGATTTCATCTTGATAATCTGGGTCAATCGCCCCAGCCAACACCGTAACTCTCTTTTTAGCATGTTGACTTAAAGGTAGGAGAAGCCCAAAGTGTCCAGGTGGCAATCTTAACTTCCAGTTTAATGGAATCATTTTGTCTCCTGGTGACAGCATTCCTCCCTCTGGAACTAAGACCTCTAGGCCAGGAGAATGAACGAACATAATGTTGTAGGAACAGGAAGCAAAACTTTTGCTAGCGGATTACTAAGGGTGATGGTGAGTGGTGCCACTTCCACTTCCACCCCTTGATTCCTGGACTCATGAATCCTGCCTTTGGGAGAAACAGTACCATATACTGGACACTGATTCAGAGCATACATGGCCTTCTGGAGAACTTTTCCCCCAGTCCTGGAAAGTATTGTCACCTAGTTCACATTGTAATTCTGACTTCAAAAGGCCATTCCACCATTCTATGAATCCACCTGTTTCAGGGTGATAGGGAACATGGTAAGACCAGTGAATTCCAAGAGCCTGAGCCCACTGCCACACTTCTTTAGCCATAAAGTGAGTGCCTTGGTGAGAGGCAATGCTGTGTGTAATACCATGACAGTGGAGAAGGCATTCTGTGAGTCCATTGATGGTAGCCTTGGCAGAAACATTGTGTGCAGGATAGGCAAACCCATGTGCAGAGTAAGTATCTATTCCAGTAAGCACAAACCTCTGCCCTTTCCATGATGGAAGAGGTTCAATATAATCAACCTGCCTCCAGGTAGCTGGCTGATCACCCCAAGGAATGGCACCATATCGAGGGCCCAGTATCTGCTTCTGAAGCCAGGAGATAGAATCCCTGAGTTCATCATTTTCTTTTATCACTTTGTCTACTGAACTTAGGACGAACCAATCAGCTTCATTATGTTTCTTGTTTCTCCACATATGGTCAAAGGTATTATGTACAGAGTCATTAAACTCCTTGCCTCTCATAAGCGATGAATCAGGAGTGTCGAATGCATTTATTTTGCATAACTCTCTAAACAGTTGACACCAAGGACTATCAGTGTTCTCTATACTATTGGAAGTACAGTCGTTAGCAATTTTGGGTCTAATCATATTAAGCAGCCAACTCCAGAGACCCCAAAACCAATGAAATAACTCCATCCTTAGTATTCTGTTCCTCTAAAACCACTCCTGGTACCAAAATCTGTATTGGGGTTCTCTAGAGAACCATATATATATATAAATATTTATATCTATATTTATATCTATCTATATAAATATATCTATATCTATATATATAAAGTGAAGTTTATTAAGTATTAACTCACACGATCACAAGGTCCCACAATAGGCTGTCTGCAGGCTGAGGAGCAAGGAGGTTCAGTTTGAGTTCCAAAACTGAAGAACCTGGAGTCTGATGTTTGAGGGCAGGAAGCAACCAGCACAGGAGAAGATGTAGGCTGGTAGGTTAGGCCAATCTCTCTTTTCACATTTTTCTGCCTGCTTTTTATTCTAGCTGTGCTGGCAGCTGATTAGATTGTGCTGACCCAGATTAAGGATGGGTCTGCCTTTCCCAGCCCACTGACTCAAATGTTAATCTCCTTTGGCAACACCCTCACAGACACACTCAGGATCAATACTTTGGATCCTTCAATCCAATCAAGTTGACACTCAGTATTAACATCACAGGCCATTTCATTTATGTTGTTGAATTTATGGGATTGTTTGTAGTTGCTCCTTTTTATCATTTTAATATTTGTGCTGTCTTTAGTGATATACTGCTTTCATTCCTGATATTGGTAAATTGTATCTTCACCTTTTGTTTTTCATCAGTCTTTCTTGAGGATTATACATTTCATTAATCTTTTCAAAGGACCAGCTTTTGATATTATTGTTTTCTCTGTTGTTTTTCTATTTTAGTTTCATTTATTTGTGCTCATAAGAGAAATTAACAACTCAAGGGGAGAAAAAGAGTCTATTACATTTCCCCAGATATTTACCATTGTTACTGCTTTTTCTTCATTCCTAAAGTTCCAAGTTTCTATAGGGTATCATATTTCTTCAACCTGAAGAACTTCCTTTTGCATTCATTTTAGAAAAGGTTTGTTGGTTTTTCATCTGAAACTTCACAAGCATTCCTTCTTCTGAAAATTATTTTTTCTTTATTTTGAAGGATATTTTCACAGGATATAGAATTCTAGATAAACAGCTTTTTTCCTTTCAACAGTTTAAAGATGTTCTTTTGCTGCCTCTGGCTTTGAAAGTTTCTGATGAGAAATCCATATTCATTTGGATCATTTTGTTTTATTTTATCCAAGGTTTCATTTTTTTCTTCTGGTTGCATTCAAGATTTTTTCTTAACAATGAGACTCCTAGAGTGCAAAATTTCAGGAAGCACTCACTCTCAAGGTGATGTATGTACAGTGTTGGCAGTTGATCAGCCCTGAAAGCCAGTGACCTCTCATGAAGATTCTTTGCTTGTCCAAACTTTAGTCGGGCTCCTGAACTTTCTCCTCTGCCCATTTGTGTACTTCCTTGTAAAATCCAGTTTTACCAAAGAACCCTGCTAAGTCAGTTTAGTATCAACCTTTACTCTCATTATCTGATCACTCTTGATGTCTGATCCTGTTCCTCTTCCTCCACCTTGCCCTAGGCAATGTCTGATCACCCAAGCCTGTCTTTAGCATAAGTTCTGTTAGTTTGCTTTAGCTAGAATTTCCCTTACCCGATGCTTCCTCTTAGTAATTTTCCATCCACTGACCCTCACTCTGCTCCTTAGATATAAATTCCCGCTGGCCCATGCTATATTTGAAGTTGAGTCCAATCTCTGTCCCTTACTGCAAAAATCCCTTTATCGTGATGGTCACTACACCTATCGCAATGGTCCTGAATGAAATCTTCCTTACTGTTCCTTAATAAGCATCATTGAATTTTTTTTTAAACACCTCTTAAAATTTTCTCCTTAGGTGCCTACCTTGCATCATCCTAGTCCCAGCCTTGCTTGAACTCCTCAGCTCCTGGGAGCCTGCTATCTTAGTTTTTCCTTCCAGAATAGCAGGAAAAACTGGGTTCCCCTTGCACTGTCTTGTATTTCCACACAACTGGGACTGTCCTCAGTATGATGCAACAAGAGGAAAGAGAGAGGAAATTTCACAGGGATTTCTCCTTACACTCTTTGGAAAACAAACATCATTTTCCTCATCTCCTTTGGCCAGAGAGATGGTTTTCTCTCAGGGATTCAGATACCCACACAACCATCACCATCAAGTTCGCAGTGTGGCTCTGTGACTTGGGCTGACCTAGGGGCAAGTCCCAGAGAGAAAAAGAGAGAGAGAGGGTTAAAAAAAAATTTAAAAAAGCCAAACTAGGAATTTCTCACATACTGATTGCCTTGCAGGAGTCCTTTTTCTCAGTTCTCTTGTCAGAAAAAGGATGATTCTTTTAGAGTTTTTGCTGTCAAAGTCACTGTGCAGTTCAATTGTCATTTTCTAATCTTTCTCACACATTGAACCATGCAGTTCTTAAGAAAAGGAGCTATGTCTAACTCTCCCAGACATTAGTGTCTAACTGTAATTCCTGGCAATTGATAACACTGAATAAATATTTGTTAAATAATTGGATAAACTAAACGATGGAGGGCTCATGTCCATCTTTTCTAAATATAGGTAACTACACATAAAGGATACTTTCACCCAGACATATATTTTTTACCCAGATGTTGTGAAGTCGACCTATTTTTTGAGATTTAAGGTCTGATTTAAGTATAATACTTTCCTACACACTTTGGCAGATTCCTAGGGACTATGTTCTGATCATCTCATTTTCACATTGAATTTTCAATCCGACTACAATTTGACTCCTGTGACTCTTCTTTCTGCTGCACAGTCAATCAAATAGGAAACTTAGCTTTTTTCTTTGTTCTCCAAATCCTTGATGCAAAGCATTTTTGTGTGTGTGTATGTGTGTGTGCAAGAATGTCTGTGTATCCGCATGTGTATGTGTGCGTGCAGACTTCGAGAAGGTCCAGGATGATGGAGGGCTAGCACTTCACAGACAATAAACTTAAAACTGAATATTAAATGATTTAAGGGTCCATCTACCACATCACTACAGTCCCCTTTCCCCCTCTTTAGATCCAATTTCCCTCACGTTATTAAACAGAATAACTTATCTTTCCACTCTTCCACTCAGTTTGGATCTACTTTTGCATTTTCAAAGACTCATTCATAGGCTTTTCCAAAATAAAGAGTAATCTAACCCTTTAGTCCAACAGAAGAGCTGGCAGACGCCTTTAAGATTTCAGTTTCCTCTCTTCTCTTTAATGAGTGCATAAGGATTTCTTTTTCAGTTGGTATGATTTAAGCTAGGCTCTCCACACTTTCTTGCTTTCTTTACAAAGCACAGAAGCTATTAAAGTCAGCTTAAGGTTTTAAGTGAAAATTTATTCACCCTGCTACACTTCCTGACACATATACATGTTTATTTGCTAAAGACCGGGAAAAAAGGCATCTCTCCCTAAGAAGAGTATCACTGCTTATTTGCAAAAGAGCATGGGATTTGGAGTCGAAAGACCTGTGCTTGAATCCTGGCTATATGACTTCATACTTGAATTATTTGGAGATAAGTTTATATCTCACAATACATCTTTTCCACATAAAGGTACTTACATATAAATACTCATAGTTGGGTTCATCTATTGTAAGTCCCTGTAGTTTTGTTCATCTATTGATCATCTCTTTGAGCCTATTTTTATTATCTGTAAAACGAGAATAATCATATTTTTTGGAATGCAAAGTTGCTGTAAAAATGAAACAAAAGAATACCTGCAAAGGCATTTCATAAAGCATCATTTGTGCTATAAATATTAGCTATTATTTTCTTTATAATGTCTCCATTTTAACAGTGATTATCTCACAGGTAGTTATTTATTCTACAACATTAAATCCAAAAGCTTCCTCCACTCTCAATCAATTTTGAAGCAACATCTTTATAATGGAAGTACCTGGAAGTCAAACTGTAGCTGAGGAAAGATTCTCCCATGCAGAAGATCCTCTATGCTGTAAGGATACTTTTTTTTTTTTTTAACCTCCACACTTCACTTTCTCTTCTTGCTGTACCCCAACATAGGGGTCAAAGAATTTTCATGTGATGATGGAAAAGATTAGCGGTGGAGAGAGGAAAATAGAATATAAATGGAGGGTCCTATAAATTACTGGCCTCTAGTTATATTCAGGAAATTTGACTTGTATTGGCAAAGAGTCAGTCATCCTCTTAGGGTAAGTCCAATACAGATATGTTTAGTATCCTCCTTAATGTCTGTGTGTATCCATTATCTCTATGACCAAATCACACATAATGGCAATTCTTGAATAATCACACAAACTGGCAAATTGTGAAATAGACTCTTGCTGGGGAAGATATATCTATGCCTTATAAGCTATAGAACTCTATATTAGCCATATCAAATCTCCTATGGAAATAGCACTGGGCCTTTTGGTATTTCTTTGGTTTGTACATGAATTTAATTAAATGAAAAGGGCAACTGCATTCTGGAAAATTGTTTGTACTGATGAGCTACCCAAAAGCATATGTGTGGCCAAATGCTCTGACATTATCATTTAATAAATCTGTTGGAAGTTTAATGATCATCTTTCAAATCCATTTACTGTGATTAATGTCCATGCTAAAGTTCCTGGGTTTGGAAGGCCAGCTTGCGCTATCTCTCCCTCATTAAAACAATTTCCTTAAAAAAATTTAAAGGCAATTTTACAACAAAATGAAAGAAAATGTAAACAACGAAATATAAATCACTTACTATGCCACTATCCTAATCCAATAATTGACTTACTTGTTTTCAGATATCCTTCTGAATCCAGTAGCATATATTGTTTGTAGTTATTATCCTAATGATCAGACAGATTTAGAATCTATGTTTTTTACTTAACATTATGTCATTAACACTTCCAATGATGTTATGTCATATTTATCATTACCTCTTGTAATTGGTACTTAATAATATTTTGGCAGTATCTTACATTATTCCATTAATTTAATGGGCTATCATTTACATGGACATTTAAATTGTTTTCAAATATTTGCTGTTACAGGTGTTGGTGCATTATCCCATGGATATAGCATTTAGCTATTGTTTTTTTTTTCTTTCATTTCTTTAGAAAGCATTTCCTAGTAGATTCAAAAAATTATTGAAATTTTTCCATCTCTTAGTGCCAATCAGCACATAGGAGTATGGCAAAGTTGACACAATATTGCCAGTTTTTCAGTGTGAATATTTAAAACTTCAGAATAATTTAATAGCTATAAATTGTTATCTAAAGGTTGACTTTAGATGTTTATGAAAAACAAGGTTGAACATTTTCTATATATTTGTTTATTAGAACTTTCATTGTGCCTCTATTCATTGCCCATTTTATCTAATGGTGGGTTGAGATATTGTCTTATAATATATAGTAACAATTTGCTGCAAACATCTTCCTATTTTAGTTTTTCTTTTAATCTTTTATTTTTAATGCAAAATACTTTTAATTTTAGATGATCAAACATATTTTCAATTGTCTTTATGATTTCTTAGCTTACTTCAAATAGAGGAAGTGATCATTTCTTCAAAGAATTGATAAATAATATTTTGATTTTTTTCTATCTTCCTATGGTAAAATATAGTAATTTAACTCTTTAACCCTTGAGTTTATTTTGAAAAATTGGGACTTATTTATATATTTCAAATTGGTGGTGCTAATGAAATAATAATGCTCTTAGATTTCTGTGTACAAACAGAGAGAGAAACTTGATAAGCAAACATGAAGATTAAAAATAAAAATTCAAAGGCAGAGTTATTACAAACTGACCAATGTGTAACTATTTCTTATTTCACATGATCATATTGAGAAACTGAACATTTGAAAAAATTATATTCCATAAGTGTTGCTTATTTTTCTATTTTCTGGAAGATTTTGTGTAATTTTAAAATTGCAAGTATTTTTGAAGTTTGGTGGAAATTTCCTGCAATATTACCTGAGCCTGAAATTTTTATGTGACTTCATAAAGTTATGCAACTATTCTATATCTTTTCAAATCTGTTTTGGTAAGTTATTATTTTTTTCTAGTATATTTTCATTTCATCTAAGTTTTCAAAAGTGTCTGGCATAGTTTTTTTTTTATAGTGCTCTCTTAGCATTAAAAAAGTCTGTAATGTAGTGGTAGTTGTTCCTAGTTTATTTTATGTTATTTATTTATGTTTTCAGAGACAGGGTCCTGTTGTTCAGACTGGAGTGCAGTGACACGATCATAGCTCACTGCATCCTGAAACTTCTGGGCTCAAGCAATCCTCCCACCCCAGCCTCCCAAGTATATAGGACTACAGGGCGTGCCACCATACCCAGCTATTTTTTTTATTGTTTAAATTTTTCATGGAGATTGGGTTTCACTATATTGCTCAGGCTGGTCTCGAACTCCTGGCCTCAAGTGATCCTCCCTCGACCTCTCAAAGTGCTGGGATTGTAGTCATGAGCCATTGCCCCTGGACTATTCTTCCGTTTAAATCACATTTTAGTTTGTTCCTTCTCTTTGTCTCTCTTTTTGTAGATTAATCCTCCAGAGAATTATTGAGCTTTTCTCTTTAAGGAGTTGAATTTGTCTTCTTTCATGATGCTCTCTAATGACTCTTTGTTTTCTGTTTTATTAACCCTGCTTTCAACTTGGTAACTTAAAAAAATTTTTCTTACGTTTCACTCATTAATTTCAGCTTTTATCTATCCTAGTATATGCTTATATTAAATCTAAAATTTCCCTCTAAGTATCACTTTAACAGTATTCCACAAGTTTTTACATGTAATTATTTTAATTATTTTCTTCTAAGTATTTTAACATTCCCTTTATGATTTTTTTCAACTTTTCAGTTATTTAAAAGAGATGTTTTGGGGCAGGTGTGGTGGCTCACGCCTGTAATCCCAGCACTTTGGGAGGCCGAGGCAGGTGGATCACGAGGTCAGGAGATCGAGACCATCCTGGCCAACATGGTGAAACCCCATCTCTACTAAAAATACAAAAATTAGCTGGGCATGGTGGCATGTGCCTGTAATCCCAGCTACTAGAGAGGCTGAGGCAGGAGAATTGCTTGAACCAGGGAGTCGGAGATTGAAGTGAGCCGAGATCGTGCCACTGCATTCCAGCCTGGTGACAGAGTGAGATTCCATCTCAAAAAAAAAAAAAAGATGTTTTAAAATTTCCAAATATAGGAAGATTCTCAAATTTTTCTTTTTATTATTGATTTCTAACTTAATTGCATTGTGGTAGGAAGACATAATCTGTATGATATGAATTCTTTGAAATTTGTTGAGACTGTACCTATGGATAATATTTGCAAATGCAGATGTCCCTAGTGCACATAAGAAGAATTGTATCTTAGTCTTCTCAGGCTGCCATAATTAAATACTATAGACTGGATGGCTTAAATGACAGGAATTTATTTCTTACAGTTCTGGAAACTGTAGTTCTGGAGATCAATGCGCTAGCCAACTCCATTCCTGGTAAGAGCTCTCTTCCTAGCTTGCTTGCAGGCAGCCTTCCTGGAAGCCCTCTTGCTGTGTACTCACATGGCCTTTACTCAGTGCAGGTAGCATTGGGGGGAAGGTGGTGGAGGAGACAGCAAGAGAGAGAGGAAAAGAGACATAGAAAAAAAGAGAGAGAGAGAGAGAGATCGATTTTTCTCTTCTTATAAGGCCACTACTGCCATTTTAAAGGTCCTACTCCCATGAGTTAATCTAACTCTAAATACCTCCCAAATGCCCTATCTCCAAATAGCATCCCATTAGGGTATAACCCAAAAGGTATCTGAGACAAGTCTCAATTAATTCAGAAAGTTTTTCTTGCCAAGGTTGAGGATGCACCCATGACACAGCCTCAAGAGGTTCTGAGGACATGTGCCCAAGGTGGTGGGGGCACAGCTTGATTTTATACATTTTAAGGAGACACGAGACATCAATCAATATGTGTAAGATGTACATTGGTTCAGTCCAGAAAGTCAGGACAACTCAAGGCGGGGAAGGGGGCTTCCAGGTTATAGGTAGATGAGAGACAGATGATTGCATTCTTTGAGTCTTTGATTAGCCTTTCACTGAATACACAATTTATGTGTGAGAGAAGGGTAGAAGAAATAGTCACTTATGCCTTGGTCTGGCTTAGTGAAACAATAGGAAAGAGGAAGCCACCAGATATGCATTCATCTCACATGAGCCTCAGAGGGATGACTTTGAGTTCTGTCTGCCCTTTGTCCACAAGGAATTTCCTCATGGGAAAATTGTGAGGGAGGTATGTATCTTTTCTATATTTGTACCTATATTATTTAGGAGTAAAATGGGAGGCAGATTTGCCTGATGTAGTTCTTAGCTTGACTTTTCCCTTGGCTTAGTGACTTTGGGGTCCTGAGATTTATTTTTCTTTTACAGGGGATTAGGGCTTCAACACATAAATTTGTAGGAGGACAGAAACATTCAGTCCATAGCAATGTGTATTCCTTAATTAATAGGTACTGATGTATGTACGTCAAGTACTCAATTATGTTATTTATGTTGTTCAAATTTTTAGTATCTTTGTCAGAGGCATTTGAACCAGAGCAATTCTATCTTGAATAAGAACTGGCTAAAATAAGGCTGAAACCTACTGGACAGCATTCCCAGATGGTTAGGCATTCTAAGTCACAGGATGGGATAAGAAGTCAGAGCAAGATATAGATCATTAAAACCTTGCTGCTAAAACAGGTTGCAGTAAAGAAGCCGGCTAAAACCCACCAAAACCAAAATGGCAAGGAGAGTGACCTCTGGTTGTCCTCACTGCTACACTCCCTCCAGCACCAGGACAGTTTACAAATGCCATGGCAACATCAGGAAGTTAGCCTATACGGTCTAAAAAAGAAAGGCATGAATAATCCACCCTTTTTTTTTTTATCATATCATCAAGAAATAACCATAAAAGTGGACAACCAACAGCCCTCAGGGCTGCTCTGTCTATGGAGTAGCCAATCTTTAATTCCTTCACTTTCCTAATAAATAAACTTGCTTTCACTTTACTCTATGGACTCACTCTGAATTCTTTCTTGTGCAAGATCCAAGAACCCTCTCTTGCGGTCTGGATCTGGAACCCTTTCTGGTAACATCTTTATTAGTTTTTATATGTTTAGTGTATCAGTAATGTGGGAGGTATGTTGAAGTCTTCCACTATGATGATGGTTTTTAATTTTTTTCTGCAATCTTATTGGTTTTTGCTGATATATTTTGGAACATTGTTAAAGAAAAAATTACTTATTACACTTGTTAAAGGAGGTAAGAAAGACTCTTCAAGGGGGCCATAGCAATAGATACAGGAACCCCAGCAATGGGGTCTTGTGGTGGGGGAGAGAGATTAAACTCAACTCTGAGTCCAACAAGAACATGTAGGATTTATAACCGAGGAGCAGAGTCAGGGTCAGCGGATGGAAAATTATCCAGAGGAAACAACAGGGGTAGGAGGGTAATTCTTGCTAAGCAGATAACAGAATTCTTGTTAAAGGCAAGCCAGGGTGATAAGATGTCGAGAGAGGTCACATATTAGGGGTGATTAAGTGGTCACATATTAATTTGGTTTTGCAAAACCAGATTCTGTGAGAACAGAGGGAAGCCCAAGGTATAGCATGGTCAAGCACAGGACCCAGAAGAGTGGGACTAAAGTTTTTGTAAAAGAAGAGGATCTTTTTCAGCATTTTTATTAGGATTATACAAGTTTAGAACTGTTATATCTTCAAGGGGAATACATATCAGTATTAGTGGCTATCACTTATAAAGGTTTTCTCTTAAAGTTCATTCTTCTTATGTGAATATCTTTATGCAAACTATTTTTAAAGTATTTTACTGGCATACTTTTTGTCCTTTAATTTTCTTTCTATGCCATTTTCTGATTTTAAAAACAATCCAGTCTGACAATTTCTGTCTTTGACAAGTTTAGTCCAATTGTTTGGTCCAATTGCAAGTTTAATCTGTAATTACTGATATATTAGGACTTCTTTATATCATCTTTCTTTGTGCTTATTATTATTACCCCTACTTTTCTACACTTTTTTTGTGTGTTGAATAACTGATTTTGAGATCCCTTTCAGCTCCAACATTTTATAATTTTATACAGTAAATAAAACGAAGTGAAAAGTAGTATGGTTCAAGCTATACATTTAATAGCAACCAATGTGAGTGGGAGAGGTCAGAAATGGCTTCATTTGAGTACATTCTTGAAGAATAGATTCTATTTGAGTAAGAAGAAAGATAAAGATTAACAGTAGGAATCAAGATGAGAGATACATGGTGTGAAAGAAGATTATGAATTTGGGAGCAAAAAATAAACCGAAATCAGAGATGAAAGATGTTAGGGCATGACCGCTAGAAGAAAAAAGCCATGAAGTCTAGAAGAAAGAGGAGAGGAAGAAGAAATGAGGGCAGCAATAAAGAGGAAGGGGCTGAGAGATGATCATATTGTTACCGGTCGAAGGTGTCCAGGTTCTTGGCGTCTTAAACAAAGAATTGGATTAAATGCACAAACAAGGCAAGGAAAGAATGAAGCAACAAAAGCAGAGATTTATTGAAAACGAAAGTACGCTCCACAGGGTGGGAGCAGGCCCGAGCATAGGGACTCAAGAGACTCGCTACAGAATTTTCTGGGGTTTAAATATCCTCTAAAGGTTTCCACTGGTTACTTGGTGTACGCCGTATGTAAATGGAGAGGATGAAGTAAAGTTACAAAGTCATTTACTCCATGTACACCCTATGTAAATGAAGAGGATATTTCCTGTCATAGCTGCAGTATTTTCATTTGATTTAGTTCTAGGAAGTCCTTAGGTTCCCTGCCTCCAGGCCCTATTCTCCTGCCTCAATAACAGTGAACATAATAAATACAACAAAAGTATGTTGTAGATGTTTACACCAGAGGTTAGAGAAATAGCTTTAAATTTTGTAATGGTCACTCCATAGTGTCAACAGTGGCAGTGCACAAGAATCTTACATTTTGTCTCATTTTGATTTGGGAATAGCAGGTTGGAAGTGAGTTGTTTCTGATAGCTATGGGTGCAGGTAAACCATGGGTGTCATTTTTGACCATAAATATGGGGACTGTATCAGCAGAAGTGACATCCAAGCTGTCACAGCATGCCAAGGACCCCATATGCTGTGTCTGTGGGCTTCTATGGGACAGATGACCTTTCCAGAAATGTTTATTAGAAAGCTCAGAAAGTAAACTTGACTTTTCCATACCATTTATAGTTTTTGTAAGTGTAGGGCAAAGGGTATCTTTGACAATGTTCTAGAAAATGTTCATAATTTTGAAAGAAGGGAATAGAAAAGACTGGACAAAAAAATCCCATTATATGAGAGTAAGTTTTGCGTAGCCTTATTTACATTCCAGCCTGGGAAATGACCTTTCATGGTGACAGAATAAAGACAAATGCTTGTTCATGATCTTTCTATTAAAAACAAATTTATAAGTGAGAAAGAAATAATGATTGAAAATTTAGAAGAATTATGAGGCAAAAATTGAGCAGTGTGTTCTGCAGCTTTTGCTCTTGCTATCACTAATAAATCTATGCTGCCCAATTGCTATTGTTTTCCCAGGGAACTAAATGATGATGATAAGATGTCTCTCCTGCACTAGCAATCAGAATGGAGTAAAAAAACCACCGCTTTGCTGAAGATTGGTTGTTAGCAGGGTGTTAAAACAGTAAATGCACAATTCAACTCCACAAAAGTTCCCCTACTTTTGGTGCTGTCTAAAGGAAACTACTATGAGAGCTGAAATTTGTGTAACCTTCCTGAGGCTGCATTTGGAGTTTTGCCTCAGTATATCAAAAGATCACAGTACAGGGAAAACTGAATAATTTCTTTGGTGCTTAGCTGTCAAAACTCTTTTCCATAAAGCCACAATAATTAAAAGGCTACACTACTGGCACAGAGGTGGATGGATTAATCAATGAACAGGCTAGATGACCCAGACCTTCAAATATCTAAAAACTTAGTACACAGCTAAGTTCTCATCCTGCATCATTTATATCCTCAAAAAACACATTAGATTTTAATGTAATAAAATATGCCCACATTGTAAGAAACTGTTGGTGATTTCTTCTCTGATCTTTGTACGGGAATAAAATTTGTAGGATAAATGTAGGTAGTATAGAATGCTTTGATTAAGAGCTTGGTTCTAGAGTCAGTAACCTGTGATTTAATTTTCCCTAGAAATTTAGTGGTTTTTACATTTGGGCAGGTTGATTAATCTTTCCAAATGCACAATTCTGCAATCTGTAAAATAAGAGGAAGACTTGAAACTATCCCCTAGGGTTATTTTAAGAATTAAATTTAATAATGAATGCAACACCCTTTTTACAGTATCTGGCATGTAGTAATAGCTCAATAAATGTTCCAGAGGCAACACAGCATAGTGCTTAAGAATTCAGGCTCTGGAGTTAGATTTACTGAGTTCAAATTACAGTTCTTCCACATGTTTCCTCATCTCAAATTATATTGCAATAATAAAGCTTGTAATTGGAATAATAATAAACTTTACTGTATAGGGTTGTTGCCAGGACAAAATGTCATAATGGGTAAAGAGTTTAGTGTAATAACTGTCTCATAACCACATCCCTTGTCATCCATTATTATTACTGTTAATTCATACATTGAGACAAAGAAGGGAACGATATTGTTATGTAAAATGTAAAAATATATTTAAATATAAAATCTTAAAAGGAAACATAAAGCAGAAAATATTTTTGAAAAATATGTGTAAAATATAAACTTGTGGTAGATCCAAATTTTTTGGTAAAATTTCTAGTGGCAATAAATTCACTTAGCTTTCTTTTTTTCTGAAAGCATTTTTACTTTACCTCCATTTTTGAAGAATAATTTTACTGAATACGGAACTCCAGGTTGACAGTTTTATTATCTTAGCACCTTGAAGTTGTCATTGTGTGATAATAATATGAAGTCAGCTGTCAGTCTTTTCATTGTTCCCTGTATGTAATGGGTTTTTTTTTCTCAAAGGCTGTTTTTAAGATTAAAGAAAACTCTTTGTTTTCCAGAAGTTTACCTCTGATTAACATAAGTGTGGTTTTCTTTGTATTTATTCTGATTAGCATTCATGGATATTCCTGGATTTGGGGGTTTCTCCTTTTGATCAAATTTGGAGAAAAGTTGACCAAAATTTTTGTATTTTTTTCTCACCCTATTCTCTTCCTCTCCAATTACATAAATGTTAGAGTGCTTGATATTGTTCAGATGTAACTGAGGCTTTGTTAGTTTTTTTTTTCTAGTCTTTTTTTCTCATTATGCATTTTAAATTACTTTCATCGACCTGTCTTCAAGTTCACTGAACTTTTGTTTTGTTGGGTATAATCTGCTGTTAATATCATTCAATCAAGTTTTTTAAATGAAGTTTTGATTTCTGATATTATATTGTTTAGTTATTAGATTTATTTTACAATGTTCAACTCTCTTATAAAATTTTCATTATCTTCACTTACATCTCTATCTTTTCCTGTAGACTATTTAACATTCTTATCTTAGTTGTCCCATCTAAAAATAGTTTCACCTGGTTTGTTCTGAATACAGATGGTCTCTGGCTTACAATAGTTCTACTGATGATTTTTCAACTTAATGATGGTGTGTAAGCCATACATGCTCAGTGGAAGCCATACATTAAGTATCCATACAACCATTTTGTTTTTCACTTTTTGACCAGCATTCAATAAATTATCTGAGGTTTTTCAACACTTTCTTATAAAATAGGCTTTGTGTTAGATGATTTTAGGCAATTGTAGGCTAATGTAAGTGTTTTGAGGACATTTAAGGTAGGCTAGCATAAGCTGTGATGTTGGGTAAGTTAGGTGTATTAAATATACACATTTCTGACTTATGATATTTTCAACCTACAATGGGTTTATTGGAACCTAACCCCATTGTAACTCAGGGAGCATCTGTATGTTTCTGTTGAATGACATTCTTCTTGACTACTGGGTCTATGTTCTCTGTGCCCCCCAAATCTGGTAATTTTGATGATACTGGTGTGCTGAATGACACCTTATAGAGGCTTTAGATCCTGTTATCTTTCACTGGAGAATGTCGAGTTTGGTTTTAGCAGGCAGTTAAATTACTGACTGATCATCTTGAACCTGTGAGGGCTTAATTTTGTAATCTGCAAGACAATGCCTATTTATTTTTTCACCCTTGGCCCTTGAAAAAATCTGTTAGTCCTGGAATGTTGTCTTTACTCCTAAAGTGGGAGATCTTTCTGGGCTTCCATGGAAAGCTTGAGGTGTTTTCCAAGTCTCTCCAATTTGGGGTACTAGAATTGCACTTTTTTTTCATCATTTAGCTCTTTAGGGTTTCCAGCTATTGTTTTTCCTTTGGAATCTTTGGCCTCTCTCCCATGCATGTGCAATACAGAGGTCAGCCAAGCATTTGAAGGGGAGTTCACATGCCAAGTTGGGTCCCTGTGGATTTTTTTTATCTGCAATTTCTCCCTTCAATTTCCACTCACTCTTGCAGTTCCAAACTCCTTTTTCTGATTCCTTGGGCAGAAACAAAACAAAACAAGCAATCTATGCCTTGATCATGAGTTTTAACCACTTCACACCTGCAGTTGTAGAGTACCATCATGGAGCAAGCCATATAAACGTGAATCTCACTTAACATGGTACGCTTTCAGGGGCCAAATCTTTTCCATGTTTTGCATGATTTTGGTTGCTTGCCTATGCCTTTCAATAGCTGTTTTTAAAAATTTGATCTAGAGTTTGTAATTGTCATTTGTAAGAGGACTAATCTAATATAGAAGCTACTCCATCATTACTGGAATTCTGCTGGTAAATCACTGCTGATGTCCAAAAGACTCAGGAGTGATATATTTAGATAAAGAGAGGACAAGTTCACTTGTGAGGAGGGGAGGAGAGTGACAGAGACTTCAGATGGATTAGCTCATGAAATATACAATACAACAAGTATCTTTTTTTTTTATTATACTTGAAGTTCTGAATTACATGTGCAGAACATGCAGTTTTGTTACATAGGTATACACGTGCCATGGTGGTTTGCTGCACCCATCAACCTGTCACCTACATTAGGTATTTCTCCTAATGTTATCCCCCCCCCAGCCCCCCACCCACTGCAGGCTCCAGTGTGTGATGTTCCCCTCCCTGTGTCCATGTGTTCTCATTGTTCAACTCCCACCTATGAGTGAGAACATGTGGTGTTTGGTTTTCTGATCCTGTGATAGTTTGCTGAGAATGATGGTTTCCAGCTTCATCCATGTCCCTGCAAAGGCTGTGAACTCATCCTTTTTTATGGCTGCATAGTATTCCATGGTGTATATGTGCCACATTTTCTTAATCCAGTCTATCATTGATGGACATCTGGGTTGGTTCTAAGTCTTTGCTACTGTGAATAGTGCTGCAGTAAACATACGTGTGCATGTATCTTCATAGTAGAACGATTTATAATCCTTTGGGTATGTGCCCAGTAATGGGACTGCTAGGTCAAATGGTATTTCTGGTTCTAGATCCTTGAGGAATCACCACACTGTCTTCCACAAGGGTTGAACTAATTTATACTCGACCAATGGTGTAAAAGTGTTCTTATTTTTCCATAACCTCCCCAGCATCTGTTGTTTCCTGACTTTTTAATGATTGCCATTCTAACCTGCATGAGATGGTATCTCATTGTGGTTTTCATTTGCATTTCTCTAATGATCGGTGATGATGAGCTTTTTTTCATATGTCTGTTGGATGCATAAATGTCTTCTTTTGAGAAGTGTCTGTTCATATCTTTTGCCCATTTTTTGATGGGGTTGTTTGCTTTTTTCTTGTAAGTTTGTTTAAGTTCTTTGTAGATTCTGGATATTAGCCCTTTGTCAGATGGATAGATTGCAAAGATTTTCTCCCATTGTATAAGTTGCCTATTCACTCTGATGATGGTTTCTTTTGCTGTGCAGAAGCTCTTTAGTTTAATTAGATCCCGTTTGTCAATTTTGGCTTTTGTTGCCATTGCTTTTGCTGTTTTGGACATGAGGTATTTGCCCATGCCTATGTCCTGAATGGTATTGCCCATGTATTCTTCTAGGATTTTTATGGTCCTGGGTCTTATGTTTAAATCTTTGATCCATCTTGAGTTGATTTTTGTATAAGGTGTAAGGAAGGAGTCCAGTTTTAGTTTTCTGCATATAGCTAGCCAGTTTTCCCAACACCATTTATTAAATAGGGAATCTTTTCCCCATTGCTGTGTGTGTCAGGTTTGTCAAAGATCAGATGGTGGTAGATGTGTGGTGTTCTTTCTGAGGCCTCCGTTCTGTTCCATTGGTCTATATATCTGTTTTGGTACCAGTACCATGCTGTTTTGGTTACTGCAGCCTTGTAGTATAATTTGAAGTCAGGTAGCGTGATGCCTCCAGCTTTGTTCTTGTTGCCCAGGATTTTCTCGGCTATGCAGGCTCTTTTTTTGGTTCCATATGGAGTTTAAAGTAGATTTTTTCCAATTCTGTGAAAAAAGTCAGTGGTAGCTTGATGGGGATAGCATTGAGTCTATAAATTACTTTGGGCAGTAAGGCCATTTTCATGATACTGATTCTTCCTATCCATGATCATGGAATGTTTTTCCATTTGTTTGTGTTCTCTCTTATTTCCTTGAGCAGTGGTTTGTAGTTCTCCTTGAAGAGGTCCTTCACATCCCTAACACAACAAGTATTTTAAGGAAACAAAATGTAAAACTGTCATGGTTACTAAGCTTATCTTGTTCTGCTCGTAGTGAAAATCAGCAATGCTCTCACATGATTATCATATTCAGAAATGTCATGACCTATCTTCAGGCAGTAGCATAGCCAAAATTCAAGAAAATAATTTTGTTAGTTTAGATTTATAGAAAACATTTAAGGTTTTATTATTTTGAAGACCAGAATCAGTTAGAATCATCTTGGCCTTTATTTTTTTCTTATCTTGGAGTGAAAAATGTATTATTTTTGTTTTCTTTTTGAATGACATTTGGTTATTGGGAAATGGAGATTTGATTACTGGGAGATAGAGATTTTATGAACCTGTCTTATTTCTCATTATTATGCCAATGTGTCATATTCATTTTAAGAAATTGGATATATGTATCAAGTTCCTCAAAGCTGTTTATACTCTTTTGTCAACAGTTTTGATGTACAAAAAGCTTACACAAATTGATAATAAAAACACTAAAATTTGAATGCAAGAAGAGGCATATCTGAATTAGACAATTCACTGAAGAAATGATAAATGATTATAAATGATAAACAAAGAAAAATGCTACAACTTATCAAAAATCAACAAATTAAGTCTAGCAATAATATCCAATTTTCCTGGTATCACATTAACAAAGAAGTTAATACTTAATAATTCACAAGGATACAGTTAGATGAATACTCACATGCACTGCTGCTAAAAGTATAACTTGTCAAAATTTTTTTGAAAAGCAATTTGGTTATATGTGTGAACAGCCTTAAAATATTCATGAATTTTGACCCAGTAATTCTCTTTTCAAAACCCCACTTTAAGAAAACAGTTGATAATTCAGAAAACGTATATTTTATACAGATGTAAATAAAGAAATTTTTATTGCATGCTAGTTACTGATATACATGCTAAAACATTTAGAGATTAGACCTATTATTATCTGTAATATTTACTTTAAAATGTATCAGAATTGACTGATAGATATCTACAGGAAAAATAGATAAATGGATATGTGAGTAATTAAATATAGCCAGATATGTAATTAATATTAAATCTCAATGGTGGATATATTCTTGTTCAGTGACCAATTCTTTAAACTTTTGTATACATATGAAAATTTTCAAAATAAAAAGTTGGGATAAATGCCTTGCAAATTAGAGAAAATTATAATAACTGCCAAAAATAAAAATAGTTTATTATTTTAGTTAATTATAGTGCATATTTAAATTATTTATAGTGCATACAATTATATATGTAGTTATAGTGCATATAATTATATCTAATATATATAAATGGCACTGACGGGGAGGCTGTACTGTACACCAAAGTGTTATCATCAATGTCTATCTTGGTGGTGGGATTTCAGGAGATCATGACTATGATAATATTTTTTTGTGTTGTCTGAAATATGGTTGGCTCATTATTGGGTAATATAGCTTCAACTCATTGATTGAGTTTGTAAAGAGAGGACAATGGGGCTGGGGGTGGGGAAGAAAAACCCTTTTGATTTGTTGTAGCTCAATGGTTTGTTTTCATTGCTTGATGAGGCTGTAGAAGTTTTTGAGTTCACATTGACTTCTTTCCCACATGGCTCCTCTGCTTGTTTCCCTCTACACATTTCAAATTGTAACTTTTCAATTGAAAGTGTAAAAGGTTAAGTGGCCAGTTAGCAAGATTCCAACAATTTTAGAGGAGCAACCGAAAAGTAGGTTTTGGCATCCAAGAGATTTGGGTTCGGATCCAAGTTCTGCCGTTCTGTGCACACACTTCAAATTTAACTTTCCTCATCTGTAAAAATGGGAATAAAATACCTACTTTAATGCGTTCTTGTGAAAATGAAATAAGATAACATGGGAAAGAAGACCAAATGTTGAAGTAAGTGATTACATTAATTAAAGTTTTAAAGTCCATATAGCTATTAGGCTCTGGGCATTTTCTGACAAAACAAGTTCATATGGCATCTAAGTTTGTTTCTTGGGATGGATAGTATGAGAAGTGAAGCTGTTCATGAAAAGGACACATATGTGCTCACAAAATTAAGGGGAAAATTGATTATCAGGATACTCACAATTCCCAACTAATCAATGTATTCCATGTTAATGGAGCAAGCGTAATAACTTGTCCATTTTAACCATCTTCTGTATCCCTCTCCTCTTTACTTATTTAATACTTAATTACCTTTTGTAGATTCAAGCCTACTCCAATACCAGAAAAAGTCTGACCTGAGGCCAAAAATTACTGTAAACCAGGGCTAGGTACTAATCTTTAACCTTAGTGTCCTCCTAGAAATCAGAGCCCTTCCTCTGAGCTTTCACCCAATGGCTACAGGCCTACTCTTCTTATATGGAATATTCTAATTCTACTTACCTGTTTGGACTTGAGATATCGTCTGCCTTGGATTCTCTCTTCCTCTTGTGGGCAACCTGGTTTGTGATTCTAGCTTTGGACCTGAACTGAGACAGTAGAATCAACTAAAGAATGTTTATTTGTAAGAATAAAACTATAGTGCTAACCTATATCTGGATTCTTTCAACAAATATTTATTAAGCTTCCGTTGCATGTCAGGATCCCAGAATATGGAGAGGACCATTATTGAGAAATGTTGCTATATAGTACCAACTTACTTGTAGTAAGAATAAAATAACTGCTTGGTAAAACTTGAGTGGGAGGAGGAAAGACTCTAAGGGAAGTGGGGTGTGTGTGTGTGTGTGTGTGTGTGTGTGTGTGTTTATGTGTAGGTAATATTTATCATCACTGATATGGGAGCCTGGTCAAGCTAGTTGGCATCAAACTGCTGCTGAACATCTCATTCCTGTATGAAACTGGAGGGCCTTCCTTCCCAGGCTGCCACAGTGACACTTTCTGAAATCAGCTTGTAAGCCCAGTGCTAGTAAATGGCATTTAGCATAGTTGGCATGTTCCTGAAGCAACAGTTACCTATGGAGAGCAGAGGTGGAAGCAAATTGCTTCTCAATTTTATGCATTGCTGACTCTTCAACACAGAGGATGCATTTCATTATGTGTAACATTGCTGGGGATTACTCTGGATAGCTCATTGAAGCAAATCTGCCCATCAAAGCAATGCTCACTAGAGGGCTTTCTTTCTTTCTTTCTTAAATTTTTTTTCTTCTATCAAGGAAATTAAAAGCAAAAAAAGTAAAAAAAAAATTAAAATGTCAGTAGGAATTACCAAAAAGAGGATAAAAAGATGACAAGAAACTTGTTGGAACAGTCCTTTTTTCTAGACAGAATGACTGCAGTGGTCATTCCTTTGCCCTGGGAACAGGTTCAAGAGTCAGAAAATGATGAGCTGCCCTACCCTCTTTCCTTCCATTTTTCTCTGGTGGTGCCTATGAAGGAAGGTATTTTTGTGATTCCTTTCCACTATTTTAAGTTACCAGAGTTCTGAATTCTATACCAGTATGGCCTTATTCCCTGGAGATTAAAACACTGGAGCCCCAGGGTCTGAGATGGCTCACACAACACCCTCCTTTCATCATTAATCCAAGAAGCCAGGAATAAATGTATTCCTGACCACCCATGGACTAGAAGAAGAGGTTTTGGAATTTATTACACAGAAGCTTTGAAAAGACGCTGAAGAATGGTGGTTTTCAACTTTTTCTTAGCTCTGGAGCCTCTCATTAAAATTAAAGTTTATAAGAGCTTGGTAAAAATGGTTGGAAACTCAACACCTCACTTGCTTCACTCTAATCTGGGTTGTTCAAATAGCTTCTTGAGCCAATGCTCAATATTTTAAACATAACTCATGCTTTATTTATTATATAAAAATTTGGAAATTTCAAAAAAAAAAGAAATCAATCACATCACACAATATCCATTTAACTATTCGTATATATGTGCCTGCATATATGTGTTTGCTTTTAAAATTTTGAAAACACTGATTAGATAATTTTATATCTCACCTTTTATTTGGAACTTTTAATATAAAATATATTCTGTATTCTTTGAAGACACTGTATTTAATGCTATAACATATGGCTCTGCTCTTTCTCTATTGTTGTATATATAGGTTTTTCCAATTTTTGTCTATTATAAATAATAATGTGATAAATGTCTTTCTGTATGTCCCAAGAATAGATCACAGAAGTGAAAAAAAAATCTGTGGTCTCATTGAAAACATTATATGAAAGAGAAAGAGAAAGCAAGACTCTTGTGTATCTGTATATCCAATGGCTCCATAGGGGAACCTGAGGGGAAGCCACACCCCAGATGGGCTTGATTGCTAAACCAATGGAGTAACAGAAGCAGAAGTGAGATAGTTAACTAGGAAGGCAATGTCCCCTGCTTCTCTTCTTTTTTTCTCTGCCTTTTCCTTGCTTTCCCATATAAATGATTTATAAATATCATTTAGAGCAGAAATTAGCAAACTTTTTCTGTAAATGGCCAGAAAATAAATATTTTAGGTTTTGCAGACCACATAGTCTTTGTAGCAACTATTCACTTCTGCCATCATGGAGTAAAAGTAGCCACAGACAACACTGAGAAAGGAGGTAAAAGGAGGCTAGCTAGGCAGATTGTTAGGGCAAAGAGTCCTTGGCAGAACTTCTCTTCTAACAAAAAGCAGCCCAAGAAATCACTTCTTTTCTAACAAAGAGCAGCCTGGAAGATCGGGCTGCAAACATTGATAAAGAAGCTGGGAGCTTGCATGGGGGCAGGGATACCTGCAGCTGCACAGATAGAAAGGGGTACCTGTGGCCAGGCATGTTCACCATGGAAGCTCCTCCTCTCCTTTTTTAGCACATGCACAGTAGGAAAGCAACATGGAATATTTCAGGCAAAAGACCCACCTGCATAATAAAACTTTGGAGTGGGGGCTGCCAGAGATTTGTGCTCTATGCAGATGGCACACTTGGTCCTAACCATTTTTTTGTGCCCTATGTAGATAAGATACCCCTTCTCCACTAGCTCATTTATAAAAACCCTTGCATTTCACTGTGGAATGGCAACCCTTTTCAGGACCCCTCTCTGCAACAGAGAGCTGTTCTCTCTCTTTCACCTATTAAACTTCTACTGTAACCTCACCCTTGGTGGGTCCACATCCTTGATTTCCTTGACCATGAGACCAAGAACTTTGGGTGCCACCCCTGGCAATATGTCATTTCAACATGTAAGCAAATGGGCCTGGTGGTGTTCAAATAAAACTTTTACAAAAACAGACAGAGGGCTGCATTTGGCCTGTGAGCTATAGTTTACTGATCCATGACTTCAAACTCAAGTTATTAATTGGATGAGGTTCACCAGCAGGCAGGGTAGCTGTGTTTTACTATGCACATTGATTCTGTATCCTGAATCTTTACTGAATTTGTTTATTAGTTGTTACAGTGTTTTTTTACAGATTATTCAATCTGGTAATTGAAACTAGTAAACTTCTTTAGGCCTTGAAACTAGTAAACTGAGACAGCCCACTAATGGGGCTAGTCATCTTCCTTTTTCTTTCTCCACCTGAATATTGGTTATTGCTTTGTCTCAGGGGGTGGAAAAAGTTGGATCTAGGCTTGCATGTGAAATGTATATGATCATACAAAGGCCTTGGATCTAAGCTGTGTGTCACTACTCAATTATTATTGGCACTTGTCTTCTAGGAGTATTGGGCAAGGCTCAGCTAAAAACGAGGGATTTTATTAATCATTTGTTAAAATTTTATTGATGTTAAGCTCTTTTAGAAATATTACTTGGCAAGAGAGCAATCGTCAGGGCATGATTTGGAAATTTTTGGATTCTTTAGTTAAGTACCATAAAAAATCCACCCTTTAGCTTTTGTGAAAGCAGTATCTTTTCTGCAAGCATTGTTAACATGATATTTTACCACAATGGACTATATTTTCTTCCCTGGATGAAACAAACAAAAAAAGTCACTTGAGTATCAGTCTGCATGTGACTGTTGTTTCGAGGTTAGCATTGAGAGATGGCAGGAATCCAGATGGACTAATCTGATTGCGAGCGGAGCAGGGGCTTCTCTCCTGTCCCATGGGATCTTCTGAGAGGAAACTCTAATGAAAAATAGATTAGATTTTACCAAGTAGAGCTTCAGGTGTCAAATGCTTAAATTGTACCATTTCCCATTCTCATTATAATCACTGTCATAAGAATGGATTCACATCATGCTATTTGTTTTGTCCTCTTTGCAATTTTAGCAGAAAAAACAAGACCTAGGAGTGCATTATCTGCACTGCACGGGAAACCGCTAGGGTTCCTGTAAATATGAGGTTTCTTTTCTTGCTCAGGCAATCTGTAAGTGGAAGTACCTTATGAAAACTCATGTTCTTACCTAGGAAAAGCATGGCATGGGATGTAGAAGACCGAGAGTCTGTTCAAAAGGAGCAGAGAGTAGAGTCAGCAGCAGAAATAGGAGGCATAATTGATACATGCAAAATGATATAGGTATTGTGCTGGAGAAGCATTATAAATTGCAATAAAGATGATAATGAATAATAACTAAGGAGGCAAAAACCAAAATGGTGAAGGGATTCTGTAATTAACCGTTAAAGAACTTAAGACTTTGTAATATTAAGTTATTTGAATAATGCCACCTTCGAGGGAATAATTTCAAAAAATAGGAGTATTAGAATGGAGCATGGAGATTTTCTTATCCATGCCCTGCATTGTGCAGAAAGGGATGGAGTCAAAAAGCTCAACAATAACCAAAGGGCCTGATCACCCTCCCATCTCTATACCAGATATTTTCAGTCAGATGTTCCTCAAATACAAAAAAAAAAAAATCTAACATTGAAATTACCATCTTCCCAACCACACCCCTACATTGTCAAATTAGCTCAACTTTTGAATTCTTTCTGTTTTAATAACACCTCTGATCTTCCATGACTTAGCGACAGCTAGTCAACTACCCCTTCTTCTTTCTTTCCATGTATGATCAGTGCCCTAGTTGTGCAGGTTCTTTCCTTCCAAGGCCTCCTTTGCTAAAGTACCCCTTTTCCACTGCCACTTTCCTAGTTCAGTGTGCCACTTCTGCTTTAGTTATTATCATGGCCCCTATTGTTGTTTCTAAGCTTCCAATGTTTTCACTAATATAATCCATCTTGTGAACTCTTGTTTGCTAAATAATTCTTCATAAAGTAATAGTTTGATTATACTATTCTTCTGTTGAAAATTTATCAGTTATTTTGCTAGGCCCAGATGATTAAAGTCTAAACTCATTTATTAGCTTATTCATCAATACCCTGTTTTCTGGCTCAACATTCCTTTCTTGATTGATTTCCCTCTCTCCCCTGATAGACTTGGTAACTTCCTGCCTTTGTGCTTTGCCCCAGTTTTTCCCTTAACCTGAAATGTTCTCCATGCCTTCATTTCTCCAGCTATAGAAATCTTATGTGATCCTCAAAAACAGATCAACGGACATGACTTTCCTAATTCTGTACTGATTATTCTATACGTAAATTGTCTCATACTCCAACTTAACTACAATTTCTGTAATTGGAGCTCTCTTAAATTTGACTACTTGTGAGAATCATTTGAGCTTTGTAAAGGCATACAGATTCTTAGGTATTGGCAAACCTATTGAATCATAATCTCCATGAAATTTCAGGTGTGAAATACTGACTTATGTCAAACACACCAGTGTTCCTTTTCACGTATTGCCTTATGGTGTGTTTTAGTTCATTTTGTGCTGCTGTAACAGACTAGATAATTTAGGAAGAACAGAAATTTATTGGCTCATTGTTCTGGAAGCTGGAAAGTCTATGTTCAAGGCACTAGCACCTTGGTGTCTGGTGAGGCCATTCCTTTCTTCCTAGATGGAACCTTACATGCTGCCTCTTTTGGAGGGGAAGAAGGCTGAATGCTCATATCACAGAAGGTGGTAGGGCCAAGAGAGTGAGAAGGCAGCCAAACTTGCCCTGGGATTAATCCCACCAATGGCGGAAGAGACCTCATGGCCTAATCATTTCTTAAATGTCTCACTTAATATGGTTACAATGGTAATTAAATTTCAACATGATTTTTGGAAGGGGCAAACATTCAAACCATAGTGTGGTGACTTAACATTTCTTCTGTATAATAAGATATTTTCTACTATATTACAGAGTTGTTTAGAACTTGGGATGCATCTTTATCTTTGTATGTCTGCATTTCTCAGCAAGGCTGTTTGCATATAGTGGGTGCTTAATGCATATAGATTGAATAAGTACAAAATGTAGTCCTCCAATAAGTTAACCTGACTATTTTTTACAATGTATCAGACCACACCAGTCAAACCCTGTCTGTTATGGGCCTTACTTTCTTTTTCCAAAATATCTTTTGATCACACTCTTATCCTTCCTTTTGGCTGAAAGGACCAATACTTCCTTTCAGCTAAAAGGACTGAGACTGTTGGTCTCAGGTTCTAATATCTTCCACGAAATGGAAAAGTGATTAATCCTATGTCAAT
Organism: Homo sapiens; assembly: GCF_000001405.40. Taxonomy (NCBI): domain Eukaryota; kingdom Metazoa; phylum Chordata; class Mammalia; order Primates; family Hominidae; genus Homo; species Homo sapiens. The sequence continues at coordinate 54,791,046 of NC_000017.11, read as the reverse complement.
ATTTCTTATCTCTAGGAAAACTTAGGTCTGAGTCAATTCAGGTACACTGTTTTGGGTGGGGAAAGGGGAACATAATTCACTCTAACAGAATCACAGCGCTGAGTATGATATGGAAATCATTACTATAAAATGATCTTCCCCATGTGTGTGAAGGTACAAAGATATCAAATTGCCCAGAGTGATTTGTTCTTACAATTGTTCATGGTGATTTATTCAACTTCAAGTCCCTCATAAGTTTCCCAAAGAAAGATAAGGCCAATTACCTGCTGGTGCTTAATCTTTCAGTAGATTACTCAAGAGAACACTTTGGGGCAGTTTTCTGCTGTGATGATATTAAGGCGCATTCACTATTTAACAATGGTGAGATGATTGTCATTTAGAGGGCCCATCCTAACTGCACAATGGGTTCTGATTAGGATAAGACCGCAATTGTTGCTGATTAGAGTAACACACTGTGGTTGGCTGTTAGTGCCCCATATCTCCTTAGAAAAAGGTGGCACCTGTAAAAATCAATAATGCATGAGTTGAGAAAGCTCTGCGATAGCATTTCTCTTAAGTCCAGAAGGAATGACAGAATCAAACTTTCTCAGTTTCCCAAGTTTCTCATTTCATTCGTATCGAAGAGTTTATGTGAAGCACCTGTGTTGTGCTTTTCACTCTGCCAGCTGTTGTGCATCAGACAAGATAAATATAAGACATTATTCCTACCCTCAAGTAGTTTATAATCTCATTGAGTGAAACAAGACATTTAAACATATACAATTGAAAAGGCAACGCAAGGCAGTATGTGGGCAGGTTGCAAAGTATGTAAATAGAGAATAGGATCAGGTTTATAAAAGAGAGAAGAAAATGTGCTATCCTTAAGGGAAGTTGGACCTAAACCTGATCTGTGTTTTATCTGAGGGTAAAATGAAATAAGCAAATAAGGAACAAAACCACCAATAGAGCTGTTTATATCTTAGCCTTTTGGGCAGAGGGGTGGAGTGCTGAGTAGGAAACTTAAGAATTTTTAAATGAACATCTTCAGTATTTCTTAATGTGTGTTGTGTTTATTACCCCTGCCAGAACATAAACAACCCCCCTTTCTAATAGTGTTATCTCATTTTGCATTCTTAAAGTTATTTTATTTACAACTGGGCTATTAATTATCTTCATCAGTGGCAGCCTTTGAGGCATTCATTTCTTTGCATTCTGGTATTTTCCTGCTGTCCCTTTTTGTGAGTGCACTTCTCTCTCTGCAGTGATCTATAGTGCTGAAGAAAGGATTTTTAAATTGACAGACTGAAAGATACCAGCGCCCGGGAGAGTTTATTAAACCCACAGCCAATGAACTTGGTTCACAGCAATGCCTTTAAAAAAATGAGTGTCTGAAGATCTGCAGGGCACTGTATCGTTTTAGCACTGAAAAATGAGACAGGGATTTTTAACAGTGTGAAATGGACGTTCTGTTCTATAGTTGAAAGTGAGTGTGAGAGAGGAAGAGATTACACTAGTGAAAGAAAGGAGAAGAAAATATGAACAGGGACAAATTCATGCATGAGGCAGTTTTCCAGGGACTTTCGGAGTCTGTTCTTTTCTGAAGGGTCAGGGTAAGGGAATGGGATTCTTCTGGATGGAAACCAGAAGCTTCACAAAGGGAGATTTTTGCCTCCTTTCTATTTAAAAAAAGCGAAGCTTTAAATAAAACAGAAAAGCCCCTCGATTATTTAGACACTCACTTGCCTGCAGGCATGGATGGACCAGATGGTTCTTGGAGACCCCATCCAGCCCATGATTTTGAGAGTCTCTGTCTCCTGAGAAGGCAGTTTGTGTTTAATTTAAACATGGTTAAAATATAGACTCTGTTGAACGTTCTACGATATTGGCCAAACGGCTCAAACAATAATGCAGTAAATTGTGTTAAATTACATTTCCCAGTATGTTACCTGGATTGTATTCTCCAGTTCCTTCTTTCATCCATCTGTTCATTCTCATTTATTGAGCACTTCTAAGTGGCAGGAGACCAGAATACAAGAATGAATTAGGTATGACCCCTGACCTCGAAGAGCTTATAGTCCAATGGGGTAAAGAGAAAATTATCAAATGTAATTTGTGATGGAAACCGGATTCGGAGGTCAGAAATGCTTCCAGAGATGAGCCGAGTTTTAATGGCTAGTAAGAGTTCACTAGGTAAAATGTGAAAGCAGATTACTTCAATAACAGGACTTCAATGAGAAAGTTAAGCTCACATAACATTGGAGAAATTTATCTTTGTAAATTGCAACTTACTGTAATGTGCTGTAAATGTTACTAATACATATGTCATAATAATAATTATAAACTCAAAGATAAATGTGTCCAAAAGAAAAATGATTCACTTAACCATCTATAGTTTGGTCATGTCATATATATTTCAAAGAATAATTATTCCCTGTAATAAGCTAAACTTTGACCAAAATGCCACATTACATTGTCTTGGCCACTTGCAAGAGACTCAGAAAGTCTGAACACAAACTCTACTGACATGTATGTTTTTGAATCTTTAGTTGTTTCATCTGGTTGCTTTTTGGGGTTGGGGAAGGGCTGTTTGAATTATTAACTTTTGATGGCATATTTTCTGCTATTGTGTGTTTTCTTTGTGGGAGTCTCGCTCTTTCGCCCAGTCTGGAGTGCAGTGGCGCGCGGTCTCGGCTCATTGCCAGCTCCGCCTCCCGGGTTCAAGCCATTCTCCTGCCTCAGCCTCCCGAGTAGTTGGGACTACAGGCGCCCGCCACCATGCCTGGCTAATTTTTTGTATTTTTAGTGGAGATGGGGTTTCACCGCGATAGCCAGGATGGTCTTGATCTCCTGACCTCGTGATCCACCCGTCTCGGCCTCCCAAAGTGCTGGGAGTACAGGCGTGAGCCACTGCGCCTGGCCTATTGTGGGTTTTTTTTTTTTTTTTTTTGAGACGGAGTCTCGCTCTGTCGCCCAGGCTGGAGTGCAGTGGCGCGATCTCGGCTCACTGCAAGCTCCGCCTCCCGGGTTCACGCCATTCTCCTGCCTCAGCCTCCTGAGTAGCTAGGCGCCCGCTACCACGCCCGGCTAATTTTTTTAGTAGAGACCGGGTTTCACCGTGTTAGCCAGGATGGTCTCGATCTCCTGACCTCGTGATCCGCCCGCCTCGGCCTCCCAAAGTGCTGGGATTACAGGCTATTGTGGGTTTTTAACAGGTGCGCTGGTGCGTGCAAATCCATAAAAGGCTTCCTGAGTGTGTTACTTTGGACATAACCCTTAATGCACCTCCGCCTGTTTCTTCACCTATTAACCAGGGAATATAACGCCCTTCCTTTACTTCACAGACTTGAAGTGAGAATCAAAGCCATGTGTGTGAAAACCTTCATAGACTATAAACTAATACCAAGCTAAGGCCTCTTTGAAAAATTCTGACTTTTCAAGCAATTCCACAATGCTCTTGATTTTCAGTTTCCCATCTTCTTACTTTTGAGCCACCTTTCACATAAAGCGGAATGACCACTCAAGACCAACTGATCATGCCTAGTAATCTTCCTTCTCTTCTTAGAATCCTCCTACATAGATCACTGCTCCAAGATCTCTTTTGCTGTCATGAAATTAATTGCAGAGCTAATTTGTTTGCTCCCTTGGCTAGGTTTGTTGTCATTTAAGACTTGCTGTGATTTCTAAGAGTGTGTGGGCTGAATTACTATAGGGAAAGTGTTGGTAAGTGTGTGTGTGTGTAAGCCTGCATGTGCTTGAAGTCATTCAAACTCAGATCTGACAATCTGTCAGTAAAGTGTAAGGTGGTGATTCCAGCTCAATGTCCTTTATTGAATCATGAAAGGGATCTTAGAGAGAATTCAGTTCAGCCACATCTCTTTACCTGTTGTGGAAATAATGCTAAAATGAATTTGGCCAGGGTTATGCCACAAGGACCAGAACTCAGGTCTCTCAGTGTAGAGTGCTTTCCAGACAGCTCTTTTCCTTTCTCATTTTGGTATTTTAAAACCAGTACCGAATGCATTCTTTTTTTTTTTCATAGTCCAATGCAGGGTGTGCCAATGCTATTTTGAGGGAATTTTGGTTCATTGTTCAATTGAGGCCTTCATCTTGTTAGCCAGGAAATGAATTGTAGTTCACTTTTCAGAATCATAATCTTGAAAAAAACGTTTGCACAAAAACATTTGGCTCTTTATGGGTGAGTGAATGGCTCTACTGACATAAATTGATGTGGCTTACAAATTAAGTACATATATGTGGAATAAAATTTAGAAAACCTGGGTTCTTGGTCTTGGTCTCTCTCATGTGGCTGTGAGAATATCAGCATGTCACTTAATGTTCCAGAATCTCATTTATTTTTCTGCAAAATAGAGATACAGCTACCTACTACATAAGATTGCTACCCAGTTTAAAAGAATTTGCAAATGAGAAAGTTTATATTGTTTGTAACAAATTATGCAAATACATTAATGTTATTTAACCGCATGCTCCAGAGCCCTCTAGCTTTGCTGCCTCTGATAGGTGGTTGAATCAAGGCACATAAAATTCCAGTGTTGTCAGGTGGCTCCATAGGAAGGATCAAGGGTCTTCCTTAAAGCTTCTTGCTTCTAATCTTAAACCACCTTCCTTGTTGAAACTGCAGTAACACATACATTCTAATCTTCAAAAGCTTTGACTCTAGAAATGAGAAATGTCAGGAAAAAGTCATCTGTATATTTAAAAAAGCCCAGAAGTTAGCTTCAAAAAACTGAAGCATATTAAACAATATAGAGGGCTTAGTATTCAGAGCCTTAAAATAAACTACAGTTTATTCTGAATGTTCATTTTGAAGCAGAATTCTTGTGATTTCCCCCATGCCCATGTCCATACTAATGTTAACAGATGTCCCACCTTCCAAAACAGAGAGGCAAGCTTGGCAGCTCTTCTCAGTTCGCAAATTTAATTATGGCTGCAAATGTGATAATGGAGCAACCTTTCCAAGTTTTAATTGGATCTGCATTTGGCACAAGCAACCTTCGTTTTTCCACCATATGGGTAACGGCGGTGCAAGGTGCCATCATGTGCCCTTGATATGAGTTAGTCAACTCTGATTACCTGCAGAGGAATTGGCCGTGTAGTGGATCTGTCATGGCTCTTCATAACCCCATCCAGCTATTCCTGCACTTAGTATTTAGCTGGTTTGACTCCCCACATTATCACTTGGGGACAGTAAACTAATTTTAATATTTACTTGGCAGAATACCAAGTTTTAATCTGATGCTAACTTATTTGTCACTCTTCGCCATCAGAAAATCCATCCCAGATGTCATATTCACATGGTCTTCAATGTGTATTGTGCTTTATAATTTGCAGAATACCGAACAGCTTATGAGATCCAGACACCAGTCCTATGGCTAGGCAAGTTAAGCACTGCGGGTGAAGAAATTGAGTTTCAGAAAGGTTGAATGACTTATCTAAGGCCTTATAAGTAAGCAGTGTGATTTCAGCCTTATGTCTCTCAAGCCAGGGCTCTTGCATCTATATGATACATTCCCACAAAAGTATGGGGGCTTATTTAGATAATCTATTTTGAATTACCTATACTATGGGTTCCCTTTATTAGTACAGATAATGGGAAGCTTGAGCTTGAAAAAACATGGGGAAAATGTAGGGTAAAGAAGTAGGGAAATCTCAATATCATATTCATTAACTTTCTAAACATTCTTCTATGTCCCCTTTCTTAGAATTAAGTATCCTTTTGTGCTTTCAGGAAGAGCTGGGTGGCAGGACTTCGGTAGTTCATAGAGTAAAGAGCAGGTGAACATGAGAAAAAGTAAGAAGATCTAGGACCAGTGCCTGAGGGGATTAAAATAATTGTCAGGGACCAGTAAATTTTTAATCCAAAAACATACGTATTGGATACCCATTAGGTACTGCCAAGTACTCGGTTAGACTTTGTGGATAAAAAGATGACTGACATACATTGCCTTTGAGGCACTTATTGGCTACTGGGAAAGAACAATAGAAACAGACAATTATGACAGCTAGTTAATAGAAAATTAAAGGTAAGCTTGGAGTGCTGTGGAAACCAGAGAAGGGAAAAACTAATTCAGTATGGTGGTGAATTTCAATTCTTTCTGGCTTAATTTGGGCACTATGGGAGAGCTGAAGCCTTTAATAATCATGAAATTAAAGAAAATCTCTTGAGTCAAGTGAAGATATTATTCCAAATTAAAGCTGAGTGTACAGAAATACTTAAAAAAACACTGGCCTATTAAATCTAAAAAAAAATACTTAATCTTGCAAGACTACAATTCAACCTTTTATAATCGACTGTTTGGGATCATATTTAGAAGGAATCTTTTCGGCCATAGTGTGTATCATCAGCATGAAAGCACAATGATGAATACAGCAGAGAAATAACCCTCAGCAACAAAGCAGCACAGATCACTGGGGGATGCAACTCCAAATAACTGAAGGCCTTCTATTTAAAAACATGCTTTGGTCACAGCAACCATCCTGGAAGATTCCAAAGCACGTTGAAATAGCAATGTTCTGGGCACCAGATGGTTCCTGGAAGTGCTCTGAACAACGTGGTCTGGGTTGGGCTCGGGGGTGGATGGGATGAAGCCACTTTACAAAATGCCACATGCTGTCTAGGTGTAGGGCAAGGAGGTAGCCTCTCCAATTTGTCAAAAACTCATTTTTGGGCCCCAAGGTCTCCTAGCAGCAGAACAGTTTCTGGAACCTGCCTTTCCTTTCTTGTGCCAAAATAGGAGTATTTACCCAGATGCAAAAGATGAAAAATAATGGCATTAAAAAAGATTGGAGTGCTTAAAAAATATGGATTTAATTAAGCATTTCTACCATTTGGGGATGGAGGGATTCAGATTCAGAGAGTCACATGTTAGATGTAACTTCTACCATTTCACTACCTTACCACCACACCATGGTCTGAATGCTCTCACTCCTTGGCCTTTCTCTTGGCCAAGTAGGTGGATAACATGGAAATTATTCTTTCTTTAATTTTTTTTCAACCAAATATTAGCTGATTAAAACACACTGCCTCTGCTACAAAAAAGAATTGCTCTGTGTATATGTGTATGTGTGTGCCTGTGTGTTTACATACATGCTGCAGAACATAGCAGAAGTAGTGGATGTTGCAGTAATCTAGCTTTGGATGATATGAAGGTCTACAATTCCATTTTATGTAATTCTGTTGTTTCTTTCCCTATAGGCAGCTATTATGGCATAGCTAGTATAGCTAGTATAGGCCACACTATGAAGTAATTTGGCAGTAGGATATTTTGAAAAAGGAGTGGATTCCAGAGCAGTGAACTTTAAACCTACTCCTGCCACTTACCAAATCGTGAAAATGGCCTACTTCTGCTGAGCTTCTGTTTTCTCACCTGTCAATGTAGATCACTCATTTTCATTTTACAGAATCATGGCCCCTTTCATTTTCTTTATTTTTTATTTTTTTGAGATGGAGTCTCACTTTGTTGCCCAGGCTGGAGCGCTTTGTTGCAATCTCGGCTCACTGCAAACTCTACCTCTTGGGTTCAAGCGATTCTCCTGCCTCAGCCTCCCGAGTAGCGGAGATTACAGGCTCCCATCACCATGCCTGGCTAATTTTTGTAGTTTTAGTAGAGAAGGGGTTTCACCATGTTGGCCAGGCTGGTCTTGGACTCCTGATCTCAGGTGATCCGCCCACCTTGGCCTCCCAAAGTGCTGGGATTACAGGCATGAGCCACTGCGTCCGGCCAGTAGCCCCTTTCAAAGTTTCCCCTAGTTATATCTGGGAGTGCTCAGGATTTTGTCATGTGCACGCATGTGCTCAGGAGCAGGTTGGTGTGTGTTCTTTGCCTCTTCTTTCTTGTCAAGGCTCCTGACTGTGGCTCGGCACTTTTACAGCCAGGCTCCATGGAGTTAGCTGCCATCCATGGTGGCCGTGAAGTCAATGTGCATTGAATTTGTGGCAAGGGAATATGAATTTGGAAATGGGATTGGGGGGATAAAAATGGACCTCATTCTAATTCAGCCTCACTTCATAACGTGTCCTGAAGAAGCACTATTTATTCCCAGAATCTCACATATCCTTTATCAGACTTCATCATGTGAGTTCTAGAGCTATTTTCTCTCTTTATAAGACTTAAAACTGGTTCCTCTGGCTAGCAGGGAGCAGATGCCAGGTAATTCTCCTGCCACTGCTTCCCTATATCTAATTATCCCTTATATCTTTAATTCAAACTTACCTGCACTAAATTCTTTTCTCAAAATTCAGTTCTAAAGCATAAAATCTTATGAATATATATACTCAACAGTGTTACCAGCCCGCCAGTTCCACAAACAACTCAGCTCTGAATCTTGCTTTTGAATCTCTGCACACACAGAAACAGCAAAGAAAGCACTCAAGGTTTCTCAGCAACTGGAAGGTTTCGTGAGTTAGCATGCTGCAGCAATAACTCAGAAAGTAGAAACTCGGATACTTATCAGGTCCATTCCAATGACAGATGAATGTAATGTACTTGGTTAGTGCAAATTGAGTTTTGATATCCGGTGTATACTGGATTCATTTGAGTTACAAAGAACAACAGAATTATAATTCTGTAAATAATAAAAGTTGGACTTATACAGTGCTTTTTAAAACACTTCCAGATTCATCTCACTTTCAAAAACTATTTTTAAAATATGTATTTAAAATATACCATAATCTAGGCATGTTATTTATCATATCATCATTGTACTTCACAAGAAATAATAAAAATAACTAATAACAATGAATATAATAGATCACATTTACTGGTATCAGGCACAGTTCTAAAAGTTCTAAACATCTTACATATGTTAACATATGTAATCCTCTTTATGGCCCTGTAAATTGGATACTGCTATTATTCTAATTTTATAGATGAGGAAACTCTGGGTCAGAGAGGTTAAAATAGCTTGTCAAAGTAACATAGCCATTAAGTGGTAAAGCTGAGATCTTAAAAGTCTAGGCAATTTATTAAGTTTCTTCACCTCTGCTTTATAATCCTTTATACTTATTTATGGCACTTATGACATTGCATAATGGGTACTTGTTTAATATCTTTCTTACTCCACTGGATGATGCTCCCTAATGGCAAGGACCATGAGTTGGGTGTACAGCTCAGCGTTGCACTGGCACATGGCCAGAGCCAAAGTGTCTGCTGAATGTAGAACAATTTCTCAGCAAATCTCGGGGTTATTTATCGAATTACTCCTTTCTGTTTAGCAAAGGTGACTTTGTTAGACAATGAGAAGTAACAAAGAAAATACACGTGAGCCATACACTGCTGTTGTTCACAATGAATTAGGGGAGAAAAGTCCTCCCCAGATGAAGACTTATGTGATAATCTGAAAGATAACACTAATGCAAGACAATAAGCTGGTACAGCTATTGTGTGATTAAGTCCTACGGGAGTAACAAATAAAGGCTATGATTCAGAGGACAGAGGGGCAGCCTTGGGATCTGCTGAGTTGCTCAAGAACCCAGAGTTAACGTTCAATCAAGAACTAAATCTACAGTCTTTCGCCTACCAGACAACAGCTCTTCAGTTAGACTGATGTGGGACAGAGTCAAAAGACTAGAAAAGAATGAGAGAATAAAAGAAAACTAACATTACTGATTTCCAAATGATCCAAATAGCAAACTCACTGGATTTATAAAACTTTTGGGTTAGTCTCATGTTAATTCATTAAATTATTCACTTAATCACTTACTCGTTTGCTCACCACAGTTAATATTTACAATTACTATGTGCTAAGCTCTGTATTAGGTGACAGAAGTCTCTGGGTTAGAAAGTGGAGTTTGAGAACTTTTCTGGTCAGGCATTCATTTCTTGGCAGCAACTTTGCACTGTGGGAGTGCTTAAGAAACCACCACTGATTTTGGACTTGAATTCTTTAAATGAGTTGGGAGTCAGGTACCTGACTAGTTTTATAGATTCAACTAGCACATTTTGTGTGCCCACTATATTTAAACATTGTGGGAATAAAGTGAAAAAAAAGTTCCTATACTCAAGAAGATTACAGTGTACTTTATTAGGTTTTATAGTGGGTCTATAAACCAGATGGTGTGGGGGACAAGGTTGGGGAAGATCTCTTCATGAAATGTAGGATGAAGAACTGTGTAAATTCATTAACGCCTTGGCCAGGTGTCTCTGATCCAGTGCTCACAACTATTCATATTCTGCTCTTTCTCTTGGGTACCAGCAAGCTTGTCATTTCCAGTTCCATTTGTAGTTAGGCATGGCAATGTGATTTGAGTTTTGTGTAACAGAATGGGAGGAAACATGATGTGCACCTGCTTAGAAAATCCTCCTGTGCTCTGCCTTCCCTCTGTTTCCCCATTGGCTGGTGTAATGAGAGGGCTCTGAATCTAGATTTGGGTGAGGCCATGAGATCCAAGAAACTGAGATGAATAATAAACTGCTGACTATGATGGAGTATGAGATGAAGGACATATTGTGCCAAGCCACCGTTATTAGGGGGCTGTTATTTGCAGCAAGTGGTTAATTCTAACTAGTCAGTATTTGTGCTTGACTTACTCAGGGCCAAATCCTCAATGTCCGGACACCAGGTATGGGCATAAGGAAGAATAATAAAACTTGTAACCATAAAATGTGTTCCAATTTACAAAGTACTTTCAGATATATGAGTTTATTTTGGCAACAGTTATTACAATAACTATAGGAATACAGGGCAGGTAGTATTATGTTCATTTTGCCAGTAGAAAAAACTAGGCTGTTTGTGTTAGACTGCTTGGAAAGATGAGACTATCAAAATAAACTTTATTTCAGTTAGGGAAAATTTCTCCTTAGGACTATGTAGGGACTAGGGATTTTGCTAACATAGACTTTAAAATTGTTAGCTTAAATGTCTTTTCCCACTGCCCCCCACCTTCCCTGCTTTAATCGAATACATGAGTCTGGAATGAAAGGAGAAGAAAATAAGAGAGGTGGGATCATCCTCCTAAGGGGCCATGGTCCTTCCTTGGATAAGACCCCACTGGCTGTCCTAGGGCTGCTATGATGTAGGGTCATGATTCACATGGTAGTCTCCATGACATGGCAGTACTGGGCCTTCTCCTTACCAGATTATGATAATTAATTGAGGGTGTCCACATGACTTATGAGAGTATAACCGTTCTCTTTCTACTACCAAAGCAGTGTAAGCAATTCTACTTTCCCTAGGGCATCAAACCTTTGTACAGCCTCTGGTATACCTTTTGCTTGTTTTAGGCATTCTTATTATGATTTTGCCTTTTGTTCTTTCTCATAAAAAAGAATTTTCTCATGCAACATTTTTATATAGCCTACAGGGACCCTGTCCTGGCAGTTATCCATTTCAACTCCCCCACCCAGTGAGTTTTTCTAATTCATTTTAACTTTATTAATTTATGCAACCAATATGCTTAGGATTTTCCTAGGTTCAGGGCATATAGAGATAAACAGAGTATGACTCTCACTGTTAAGTAAATGATCTTTACAGAAATACTTAAAACTATTTAAAACCAGTCAGTATTAATGTTCCTTTAGGTTGACTTCAAAAATATCTGTTGAACACCGACGACTTCAACAGGCAACTTATTGTGGTACATTGCACATATGAGGATTGGGATGAGTAAAAAAGTAGAAAGACATAAGGCTCATCAGCAAGGAAGATCTGAGGATGAAAGAAAGAACAGATAATACTCAGGCTTGCCCAAGGCTATAAAACTAGATAAGCCTATTGTCGTAGGCAAGCCACTGTATTAGTTAAGACTCTTTTGGCTTCAAATGACAGAAAATGCAATTCAAATTGGCTTGAGACAGAAAGAATTTATTGGCTCCTGTACCTGAAAAATCTAGGACATAGACTGTGTATTAGTGGAATCAGAAACAAATTTTCTAGTTTCAGAGGTGGTAACTATAACAGATTCTTTATCTTCTAAATAAGTGGGTTTTATGCATGGAATTAGAATCGCTTAATGTAGATAAAACATAAGTAAGCTTCAAGACAACCACTTGTTTTTCTTAGACATAGCAGGGAACCACATAAAGCATTCCAGCCAAGAGGATAGTGAAGTGGTAACAGAGTCTCATTAATACAGCCAAGAAGATGGTAAAGGTGTCCTGACAGCCCAGGGTCTTCAATCCTCAACAAAGTTGGGTGCTTTTTTTGTCCTGCAACATGGGAAAAAACATGTCTAATTAGTGACTCCCAGTAGATGCAGTAGCAGAAGGACAGGCTAGTGTGTGTCCTCTTACCTTGGGAAGTCCAGAAGAGATGAACTCTCTTTTATGGAATCATCTATATAAGTTAGGCAACTTAAGCACATCAAGCTTTGCCAAGCACTTAGGCAACTGAGCTAAATTAAAAAAAAAAAAAAAAGGCCGGGCGTGGTGGCTCATGCCTGTAATCCCAGCACTTTGGGAGGCCAAGGCGGGCGGATCACGAGGTCAGGAGATAGAGACCATTGTGGCTAACACGGTGAAACCCCGTTTCTACTAAAAATACAAAAAATTAGCTGGGCATGGTGGCAGGTGCCTGTAGTCCCAGCTACTTGGGAGGCTGAGGCAGGAGAATACCCTGAACCCAGGAGGCGGAGCTTGCAGTGAGCCAAGATCACGCCACTGCACTCCAGCCTGGGCGACAGAGCAAGACTGTCAAAAAAAAAAAAAAAAAACCCACAAATTCTTTAAATATATAATTAAAAACCATCTACACACTGTCACTTCAAATATAATGGTTCTATCTATATTAAAATTGTTATGAGATTGTCAAGTTGCATTAGTCAACATTGTATCAGTGGCTAAAAATTGTTTTTTTTTTTTTTTTGAGACAAAGTTTCACTCTGTCACCCAGGCTGGAGTGCAGTGGTGCAATCACAGTTCACTGTAGCCTCTACCTCCCAGGCTTAGGCGATTCTCTCATCTCAGCCTCCTGAATAGCTGGAACTACAGGGGCACGACTCCAGGCCTGGCTAATTTTGTAATTTTTTTTGTGGAAATAGGGTTTTGCCATGTTGCTCAGGCTGGTGTCAAACTTTTGGGTTCAACTGATCCACCCACCTTGGCCTTCCAAAGTGCTGGGATTTCAGGCACAATCTAGGAAGCTAGGAGCTAGGAAGGTTGAGGCTGCAGTGAGCTGTGATTGCACCACTGTACTCCAACCTGGGCAACAGAGTGAGACCCTGTCTCAAAAAAAAAAAACAAAAAACGAAAAACAAAAAACAAAACAAAACAACAACAACAAACACAAAAGCTTTTAGCCACTGATACAGTGCTGGCTGATGCAACTTGAAAATACCATAGCAATTTAAATACAGACAAAACTAAAAGCTTTAATAATGTTATAGAAGTATCCAAGATATCAAAGAAGGAAATTATTTTTACAAAGCTGTATTTATTTTCAGGGCCTCAGGTATTTGTAACAAGATAATATGCAGGCCTGGCTACATCTAATTTCTCAAGCAAATTTGCATTCTCCCATTTCTTGGCTATGCTTTCCTCTGTATCGATTCTTTCTTAGGCAAATTCTCTGCTTGAGTTCCCAAGACTGCTGCTAGTAGCACTAGTTGTATGTTCTAGTCCCTCATTAAGCAATAGAAAGAGACTCTTCCTTCCTAACAATTCAAATGAAAGCTCTAGACTTGAATCTTAGTGAATTAAGTTGGGTCATGAGTGTATACTGAATTAATCACTTCTAGTGAGTCTTGAAGATTTGATGATTCAGTTGGCCAACCTGGATCACATGCCACCCAAGCCACAGGGACTATGGGATTGAAGAATCCTTTAAATAACTACTGTGGCATCAGTTGATATACCTTACTGCATTAGTTCATTTTCATGCTGCTGATGAAGACATACCTGAGACTGGGCAATTTACAAATGAAAGAGGTTTAATGGGCTTACAGTTCTATGTGGCTGGGTAGGCCTCACAATCATGGTGGAAGGTGAAAAGTATGTCTCACATGGCGGAAGATAAGAGAAGAAAGCTAGCGCAGGGAAACTCCCATTTTTAAAACCATCAGATCCCGTGAGACTCATTCACTATCATGAGAAGAGCATGGGAAAGGCTCCCCCCCATGATTCAATTACCTCCCACTAGGTTTCTCCCATGACACATGGGAACTGTCGGAGTTACAATTATGAGATATGGGTTGGGACACAGCCAAACCAAATCATTCACAGTTTAAGATCATGGGGAACCACTGCTCCTACTTTACCTAGATTAATTCCACATTTCAGAAATTTTTACTTATAGCATACTCCTTCCTAATGCTTATTTCTTTTTGATTCAAAATTCTGATTGCATGAAATAAAAAGCAAGTTATGGCTAGTTAGAACCACAAACAAAACAAAATACAAAAACAAGCACAAACAAAAAAGAAACCCAAACAAATCCAGCAACAATTATTGGAAGAACCCTTAGGTATCTCACAGGATCAAAGGAAGAGTTGAACATGCCTGTGGAGATGCAAGGAAAAAAGATAATCTGTAGAACCTTAGAAGCAAGGGTCTATGGTCTCTTTAGAGTAATGGTATCAATGTCAGTCTACTACAAAGGCTTTTAGTCTTATCTTTCCATTAAAATTTCCAGTTTCTTAGGGGAAAGCATCTGATTAGCCATTGCTGGTCAAATGTAAACCTCTGGATCATTCAGCTATTCCTGGGAGACTGAACTATATATATAACATGAAAAAAATACCACTACCACTACCTTCTTTAGAAAAATAAGGAATGATGTTCATGGAAATGCACTTTTCCAATATTGCATAGCTAATAATAGCAGAGCCAGTATTTGAATCTAGTTTTGATTAATTAATTTATATTCTGTAATTAGTACCATGTCTGTTGAACACATTGTGATATCCTAAGTTTACAATTCTTAAATGTAATGATTTTGATTTTACATTTGTGTGCCTTCTTTGCACTTTGCTAATTCCTTAATATTAATCAAGCTGTGCTTAAGACATTTCAGTCTGTTCCAGCAAGAGCAGTGTCTGTGGAGGCTGAACGTGCTTGGTATCAGGTTTAAAAGTAGGATGTGCTCATCAAAGAGGCAAAACTCCCTTGGAAAATTGCTCTCCCTCCGTTAGTGATTCTTCCTGAGAGCTCTTCTCATCTCACTTTTTGTAGGATTTTGAGTTTAGTTTATTTAAGGAATGATTCTGTATCACACCAACTCTACCCCCATGAATGTAAATGATTTGAAAATTACAAATCCTAACAGTTTCTGCTCACATATGTGAATCTAAGAGTCAGGAGAACATTTCACAGTAAGCAATGTGACAAAACTAGATTAAAAAGATCCCTGGTGATGACACAATTCTGTTAGGGGTGATGAGGCTGTTTTCTTCACCCATTCTGAACAACAGATTTTGACTATGTATCAGTTGCTTTTCACTCATGTCAGGTAATTTCTTATAATACTTTTTGAAAGTTACATACACACAGACACATTTATTATATATATATAAAATATATATAGAGAGAGACAGAAAGAGACAGAAAAACTATTAGGACAATACATCTTAGAAGCGTAACTATCTACAAAATAAATTGAATTCCATGCAATATGGTTTTATGTATTTATCTAATTTTTATAGTATGATTCTAAGCCTATTCATTAAGGAACATTAGAGTTTTTGCAGTGGACTTATTTGGTTCCTTTTATTTCACAATTCTTCATGGACGGTTTTGTCCTGATCTCAGGCAGCTCCTATCCCACACAAGTTTATGCTGTATTAGTCACTTCTTACTGTTGAAGAATATTGGAATACAAAAAAATTCAGTCTCTCCACCGACAGTTGTTAAGGTTTTACTATTAGTCAGGCACAGTGGTTCATGCATGTAATCCTGCACTTTGGGAGGCAGAGTCAGAAAGATTGCTTAAGCCCAGGATTTCAAGACCAGCCTGGGCAACATAGTGAGATTCTGTCTCTATAAAAGAAAATTTAAAATATTATCCAGGTGTGATGCTACATACCTGTAGTCCCAGGTACTTGGGAGGCTGCGGTGGGAGAATCACTTGAGCCTGGGAGGTTCTGGGAGGTTGAGGCTGCAGTGAGCCATGATCACACCACTACACTCCAGCCTGGGCAACAGAGTGAGACTCTGTCTCAAAAAAAAAAAAAAATTTTACTATTGAAGTGCAGAGTCCTCATCTTTTTCTACACCTTGTGAGAATTGCCTGTTGCCATTTTAGCATGGTGTTCCCTTGTGCCCTGTTCCAATTTTCTGTTTGATCTCTTTGATCTGTAGAAATGAATTAAACCATTTCTCATTGTGGGATCACTTGGGAAAAGCTCCTCCTTCTGAAGAAATCATTTGACTCTGGTGTAGCATCATCATAATATTCCCTTTATTCTTTAGCTCATTGGTTCTCTTCTTTTCCCCCTAGACCTCTCTACTGCCACTAGCTAAATGGCTAAGTGGAGTGGTATTGTTCTTAGTATTTCAGGCCAACATCAGTGTGGGCTACAAAAGCACATGTTTACACAATTTGCAGACAGTGATATGGGAGCCAAACAACTTACCTGATACCTGATCCTATCCAAGGCAATCTGGCTCAAGGGAGAGTAGAGTTACATTCACGAGATGACTTTCCCAGTATAGAGAAGTAAAGTTATCAGGCCAACAATAACAGATTAGCACTGTGCAATCTATAAAGCATCTACAAAGCATTTCTACATGCATTATCCCTTTTAATCCTCAAAATGTATTATCTTCTTTCATCTTCACAACTCTGAATGAGATGATAATACGATCCCCTTTTCAGATGAGGCTCAGAAAGGTTATGATTTGGCTAAAATGTTCACAAAGTTGAGTCTGAATCAAGATCTTATAGCTCTGAATCCTACCTCTTTTCCTGATGTCTCATAGTTGTTGCCAGAAAAAGTACCTTTCCTAATTTTTGTGTCTTCCTGACACAGATACAACCAGTATTGCCTTTTGCATGAGTAAAAAAGTACAGGTCTTTTAAATGATTCATTAAAAGAGAGACCAGACAGGCCAAAAGGAGATCTCCTCATAGTGCAAATACAAGAAAATCTGCAGTAGATGAAAGATCAGGGATAAACTATAAGTAAAGATCACAAGATCAGAAACGGGGCAAAGAAGGGCTACTTTTTCTATAATCTAAGAACCCACCCAAATTGGACCTTCTCTAACAAACAGAGGAAAACTTACTGTATTCTTTTGCTTGAAAATATTCTGTTCACTTGAAATTTTGAAAATATACATTAAAAATTAAATAATAACTCTATAGAAAAAATCTTTATGTTCTTTAGAATAAATCAATTATCAGAGGTTATGACTGGGTTACTAGTCGTACTACATAAAAAATCATAAAGTGTAGAGTTCTTGCTAAGAGAATCTTTTGCAGCAGCCAGAGAAGTTCCGTTATAGTGTTGAAAAGAAGCCCAATGTGTGCACAAGGTTATATTTTAGGTGATAAAGGAGACTTTCTAACATCTTTTTTCTCTTTGATTCTATAAAGATCAAACAAAAATTCTGTTCATTTTAAGAGAAGCCTAAAATATGAGAAGGAGCCAAGGTTCCTTTTCTCAGTGTGACAGTGTTGCTGACACACAGCTGGAGACTGATTTATCATCACATTTAAAGAAAGCCTTTAACAAATGACAACACATATGGACATTAGGCAGTTCCTTTCTCTCACATAAAACAGAGTGATAAATGGTATATGAATTTTAAAGGCATAATTCCTCAAATGAAAACTCTAAAATATGAGAGTTAAACTATCTGAATTGCTGGTGATTCCCCCATTTCAAGTTTTTGTATGGCATCCCATGGGATAAGATTGAGAAAAGTTAGCTAAGAGTCTATTAGTCTTTTCTCATCTCAATGCCAGTCTTACATCACCATTTCCATGCCTCATATTTATAAAACGCTTTGTGTTTCTCATTTAGAGAGGTGAAGTGGGTTGGATTCATCACAAACCAACCCCTACCCCTCTCTTCTATGATATCCACTTTTTATTTCTGACAATTAAATTAGGATTCCTTAAATCAGAGTAGACCAGGAGCATACACTTAATTCATAAATCTTTGATTTTTATGTGGAATGTCAAAAATGTCAAGTCAAGAGAAAGTCAAGGAATATTCCAAAATTTTATATAGCATCCATCAACATGGGATCTATGGTAACCCCATACCTCCATTTCACACATGTACTTTCTTTTTCTATGAAGGTTCAGTTTGAAATTTGACCCCCTTAGGATTTTAAGCAGCCAGCTTTGGCATGAAAGTCAAGACTGGGGCTGGTAAACTACAGCCAGCCAATAGGCCAATTTCAGGAAACTGACTGCTCTTATAAATAATGTTTTATTGGAGCACAGCCCCACCCATTTGCTTATGAATTGTCTGCAGTTACTTTCATAGCATAACAGGAGAGTGAAGTAGTTGTGATGGTTTGAGGCAGAAAAGCCTAAAATATTTACTACATGGACCTTTAAAAAAATAGTTTGCTGACCCCTGGTCTAACCTAATTCTGGTTAGCATTATAGGGCTGAAAGCAAGACATTTTTTTTCCTTCTTGATTCTTTCACATATAGAAAACTATTTTTTCAATTAAAAATCTATCATTTGAAAATTCATCAGAACTGGCTGTAACCCAGATACTGTTTTTTTAATACATATTCAAAAGAAAGCTATTAACCCTGACAGACATTTCTCAGTCTGTGCTTTTTTCTATTTTATCATTTTAAAGTACTTAAGATAGAAAGATGAAAAAGCATTTGTTGGCTACTTGGTTAGCTTCACAAATTTTCCCCCTTCCTACCAGCAGAAATCTCCAAATGACTTTTTCAGTGACTCTAAATCGCTGAACTTCTACTTTTCACCTGCCATTCCACCCCCGACCTGCAACTACATTTCCAGTGCTCAAAGTGGTTGGTCCTGACAGAATCATAAGGGCCCTTTTAGGTAAAATAGCTCTAATTTTCACAGGAATTTTCCTAGTTGCAGAAATTGAGTTTACAACAAGGAAATAACACTCTCTTTAGTGGGTTTGAGTTGCGATCCTGAAACTGTAAAGTTTCCTCCAAACAGTCTGCTCATAAATCCTTTTAAGTATGCAGTCCTTAGCACAAGTCCCTACTAAATTAAATATCAAGCAGAGCTAGGAAAGGACTGGTAGGTACATTTGATTATTTTATAAGGTTGGGATAGAGAAAGTGGCACAGGAATTTGAAACTCTAATTGCTGCTTCTCCCTTGTTGCTCTTTTAGTCTCCTGAAGAGTGTAAAAAATTCCAAGCTCATGCTCTCCTGGCCAAGCATGTTCAGGCTTTTTTGTCCTCAGTTCTGATACCAAGCACCAATTGTACATACCCAGAAAGCACAGGGAATTCAGTGTGGTTTTTCTTTGCATTGTTGAGATTATTTCTTTAAACAAGAAATTTTCACCTTTGGGGCCCGTGGCCTCATTTTCTGAGGCAATAAAACCATTCAGCAGTGACTCAGCAACTTGTCAACTTTTGTCTCAGACATCTCATCTCAATAATTCTGCAAGCCAGAAGTTAAATTTTCCAGATATCTCATCCCCCAAAATATTGAAGAGTAAAATGAAAATCACTGTAATATTAAAAGAGAAACTAGAAACATGAATATATTCCACAACTCAAGGAACTCAGGTTATTTGGACAATGTGCAATAATTGAGTTATAGTCCTTGTCTGCCTTTAGCTAGTTACATGACCTGAGAGAGTCATCGTGTAGAGCTGGGTTTGTTCAATGATTAGGTTTGGTTTTTAAAATCTTTCTTGTATATAGATTCAGATTGTACTCAAATTCTGAACTGTGAGTGCTGTCAATCTCTGGGACAGGTTTTTAGAGAAAGGCAGTCTTAAAAGATTTACTGTCCTATGTTATTCCCCCATTGGCCTCAAATAAACTTACGTGGAACTTGCAGAGTAGCACAGATCCTTGAATACCCTTGATAAGATAAATGGCTCTTCTGTTTAGAAGGCTGTGCTCCTTGACCAAATGTACATCGTTGGCAGGTGCCCAAATAGAATGGTGAGAGAAAGAGAACATAGCTGTCTTCCCTGCCAGATCAGCTGAAGCAACCTTGGCCCTCAGTGGAGATGTGTTACAAACAGATGGCCTTCACATGCCATAGGGAACTGCACCATTTTACATACTGTCTCATCTAGAGCCAAGGGAATAAGAAGTAAGTCATACAACTTCTTTCCTAGGCCTATAATTTTATGATTTTATAGCTAATGAGGCTCTGATTTTCTTAAGTCTACAATTAAAACTTTGATAACCACACATTTTTACTGAGATGAATCTTGCCTTAACAGCTGCAAGTGGGACACGGTTCATTAGGGACCTCTATATTATAAGACATGTAATCCTCCCCTTAGTTTTTATGGAAAAAAACTCTCGACAATGACACCATAATATTTGACCTTAATAACTGCACCTGGATTCATTCACCAAGAATACCAGAGGACTTTTGCCAACAAATTTAGCCCTGTACATTAGCAATACAATGATTCTGAAATCACATTCATCTGTACTTTTTAGGAGGTTCTAAAGCAGCTCAGTCAGCCTTGATGAATTAGTTCTTTCTCTAAAATAGAGGGATGATACAACTCATTATTAGCACCTTTTATGGAAATGGCATTAATCCAAATTGTTAGTAATTTGAGATGCATATTTCAGAAGTGCATGAATTAATTCAGTGAAATGGATGAGATTAAAAATAAATTCGCTCTAACATTTTGTTGTGAAATGAGTGCATGGAGATGTTGTAATGAATGGGAGGTGTGGTCTTGGTAATACAGCACACTTAAGGATTTAAATCCATGAATGTCTTTTTACCACTGGTGTTCCATTCAGCACTCCTGTGCACAAGCAGACTGCTGCCTGCCTACTGAGGCCAGTGATTCTTCTATATTCTTTCTATGTTGACAAACACTCACAAAGCATCATCTTTGAGACCATTCAAGAAAAGAAGTATATGTTGGGGGAAAAGAAGAAAAAGAAAGAAAAGCTGTATCATTCAAGTCCCAGGGAGGAAAATGCACAAACAGCTTTATTCAACCCCAATCTTTGGGTAAGAAAATTAAGGCCAGTCTTATAGGAAGTCTTCAACTCTACCGTCCCACCTGCAAGAAAGCCATCCATTCTCACTGCCAATGCCCAGGGTCAAGATTCTTAGCTTTTTCACTTGGAAAACTAACTGCAGTAGCACTGGTTGTTTCTTTTCAATCAGTTTCTTTTGTCTTCAGCCTGCTTGCTTTCTACATTGTTAACAGAGAGAGCTTGCTAAAATAGAAATTAGATCTGATCATTTCCATGTTTTAAATCCTACATCTCCCACAGTAATCATGACAAAGTTCAGAGAACTCGAGGAGGACTCGAGGCCCCCTCCTTCACTATCTGGGCTCTATCTGTACACCTAAGGAGTGCTCTGCTCCTGTCAAATCAATCTATGTGAAGTTTTCCAAATGGTTCTATGTTCTCATGTCTCTGATCCTTTGTACATGCCATTTAACTTCTCATTAGGGCTGAAATTTGAAGGATGAAAAAGGATAGTTAAAATGTAATGGGCACCTAGTTATAAGCCAGATATAATTCTGAGGATTTTACATGTATTAATGCATTCAGTTCTCCCAGAAACAATATGAAGTAAGGTACTCTCAGTATCCTGGTTTTATAAAGGAGGAACTTGAAGCATAGAGCAGCTAAGTTCCCTACCTGTGGTTACACACGGAGTAAGAGTTTCATATGGGATTCCAGGGCACATGCTCATAGCCAAGGTGTTATACTTCTTCTAGGTCTCATGAGGCATTTACTCATCCTTCAAAATCCAGTTCAGAGGGCATTTTCACTGGGAAGCTCCCGTGATGGCCCCCATCTTATGGAGGTGATGTGCATCTGTGCTCCTTGGTACCCCATGTGCATCCCCCTGTTATAACACAGACAGCATTGTACATGCTAGCATCTCCACAGTCTCTCCTGTGTTTCCATCTCTAGTGCTCTGTAAACATCTGTGGATTGGAGAAAAACTTGTTTTCAAAAGAAATCATTTCCTTTTGTTTTAAAATGTTCTGTATTTCTAGTGAGTAATTCAGCCCCTAGTAGACAATAAGTACTCAGTAAGTGTTGGGTGAAATGAAAGAGCAAATGAGTTTGGGATCTTTCTTGGTACCCATATGAAGTAGGAGCAGATCAACTTCCATTAATATTCATGGAAGTTCTCCTTATTTTGCTTTACCGTGTTTTGTTGTTGTTGTTGTTGTTTGTTTGTTTTTGCGACTCCATCAATTACAAATACCACTACCCCACATGACTATGAAACTATAAAGAAAAAGCTTCTCTAGTGTAGGCTTTGATTTATAGGGTATAGCTCACTTCTTAATTTTAGCACAATAATGAAAAAAATTACAACAGATTTTTTTCAGATCGATATTTGATATAGCAAGAAAGGGAAAGAAACATCTACTATGTGCCAAGTCCTAGTCCAAACACTTTATAGGATTTCATTTAATTATCAAAGGATTCTTTTAGGATAAGTATTATTATCTTCATCTTACAGATGAGAAAATTGAAGTTCAGGGTGATTAAGTTTTTTATCCAAAATCATATAAAGAGTAATCTGCAGAGTGGAAACCCAAACCTAGACCTGCCTGATTCCAAAGAATCTACATTATTTAAAGCATGGCCAATGACATGGTGTCTGAGGCCAGGGTTGGTGCGTATGTAACTGACCACTCTCTGAGACTACAACTTCAAGTAGATTCAGAAATAAAACAAACCTAATTAACTTCATTATTCAATGGCAGGATTTGTATTGAGTTTGCCAGTAAGTAGAAAGAAGGCATCATTGCCTAGTGATCAAGAGAGCAACTCTGTTTCTAGACTGCTAGTTTGAATACCTCCTTACTTGCTGTGTAACCTTGGGCAAGAGGCAGAACCATTCTGTATCCAGTTTCTCTACCTGAAAAATGGCACAATAACAAAACCTACCTTATGTAGTTATTGGACCCTGACTCCTGATCTATGGTTTAGTTAGAGCTTTCCTGCCAGCATTTCGGCACTAGATCAACAGGAATCTCATGTCTTTTTAGCTTAGTGAATCTGCTGTCTACTTTTGTCCAACTCCAAAATGCCACTCCTCATCATGCTACCTGACTTCAAACTATACTACAAGGCTGCAGTAACCAAAACAGCATGGTACCAATATCAATGGAACAGTACAGATGCCTCAGAAGTAGCATCACACATCTACAACCATCTGATCGTTGACAAAACTGACAAAAACAAGCAACGGGGAAAGGATTCCCTATTTAATAAATGGTGCTGGGAAAACTGGCTAGCCATATGCAGAAAACAGAAACTGGACTCCTTCCTTGCACCTTACACAAAAATTAACTCAAGATGGATTAAAGACTTAAATGTAAAACCTAAAACCATAAAAACCCTAGAAGAATACCTAGGCAATATCATTCAGGACATAGGCATAGGCAAAGACTTCATGACTAAAAGACCAAAACCAATGGCAACAAAAGCCAAAATTGACAAATGGGATCTAATTAAACTAAAGAGTTTCTGCACAGCAAAATAAACTATCATCAGAGTGAACAGGCAACCTACAGAATGGGAGAAAATATTTGCAGTCTATCCATCTGACAAAGGTCTCATATCTAGAATCTACAAGGAACACAAATTTATAAGAAAAAAACAACCCCATCAAAAAGTGGGCGAAGGATATAAACAGATACTTCTCAAAAGAAGACATTTATGTGACCAACAAACATATGAAAAAAAGCTCATCATCACTGGTCATTAGAGAAATACAAATCAAAACCACAATGAGATACCATCTCACACCGGTTAGAATGGCGATCATTAAAAAGTCAGGAAACAACAGATGCTGGAGAGGTCATGGAAAAATAGGAACACTTTTACACTGTTGGAGGGAGTGTAAATTAGGTCAACCATTGTGGAAGACAGTGTGGTGTTTCTTCAAGGATCTAGAACCAGAAATACTATTTGACCCAGGAATTCCATTACTGGGTATGTACCCCAAATATTATAAATCAATCTACTATAAAGACATATGCACACGTATGTTTATTGCACCACTATGTACAATAGCAAAGATTTGGAACCAACCCAAATGCCACTGATGATAGACTGGAATGTGGCACATATACACCATAGAATACTATGTAACCATACAAAAGAATGAGTTCATGTCCTTTTCAGGGACATGGATGAGGCTGGAAACCATCATCCTCAGCAAACTAACACAAGCACAGAAAATCAAACACTGCATGTTCTCACTCATAACTGGGGGTTGAACAAGAGAACACATGGACACAGGGAGGGGAACATCACAAACCGTGGCCTGTCAGGGGGTAGGGGGCAAGGGGAGGGAGAGAATTAGGACAAATAACTAACGGATGTGGGGCTTAAAACCTAGATGACGGGTTGATGGGTGCAACAAACCACCATGGCACATGTTTACCTATGTAACAAACCTGCACCTGCACGTGTATCCCAGAACTTAAAATAAAATTAAAAAAAAAAAAAAGCCACTCCTCATTACAGGCTCTGCTGCATGACGGATGAAGTCATGGGATCATGAATCCCAAAAATCCTTTTGCTAATGCACTTCTTTTTTCAGGAAGTGATAAAAGATTTTTTTGTCTCAGCTCTAACAGTCATGCAGTTTATGTCTACACCATGCTGTACAAATTGCAGTCAATTACTTAAGGTTAACAATAGGAATTCCCCGTAGTAGTAAAGAAACTAGCTATTTGTAAGTCATTTGTAGTAATCTTTAGTAACTGATAATTAGACACTAATTAGCTCATTTGCTTAGTGTTGTTTTTACATAGTAAGATGCTTAATGAGTTAATTACAAGAAAAGGAATTGAGTGGTAATTAAATGCCAATTAAAGGGTTTTATATGTAAGCAAAGTACATTGGTTAAATAATAATGTTTAAAACTAAAGCGATGAACTAAATGATTCAAGGTAATGTGATGAGAATTGTTCTATTCTTACACTGATTATCATGATGCATTAGTCTTGCTTGATATTCAACAGATTAAACAAGTCTTAGGTTATTAGGGTTTCTCAATTTTAGCTCCATTGACATCTTGAGCTTAATAATACTTTTTTGTAGGGGGTGGGGGATGTCCTATGTGTTGTAGAATGTTTAGTAGCATCATGGTCCTTTACCCATTAGATGCAGTAGTACTTTCTCAATTGTGACAAATAAAAATGTATCCAGACATTGCCAAATGTCCTCTGTGGGGGTGGGGATGGTGAAGCAAAACCCCCTCCAGTTGAGGATACTAGGCTGTCTCCTAATATTTTGTTTTTGTTGTGTTTTTCTTGAAGATTACTTTATTTTCATACTTATGTGAAGTTGAATTTTTAGAGCTCATAATAACATCTGAGGGCTCCACTGACCAAATATATTACTAAGAATTAACTGCTACAGTGGTAAGAACACTGAATTTGGTACCCAAAGACTTCAGCTCAGAGTAAGTGTCCCCCACCATTACATGACCTTAGATGAGCAATATTAACATCTTTGAATATAAGTTTTCTCATCTATATAACAAGGATAAGAGAATAGTCTCTAGTTTCATGTAGGATTCTAAGACTTCTCAAGTAAAAACAAACCAATACTTTGCAATATGACTTTTCACCCTTAGTCACAAAGATATTTTGAGATCATCCAGAACCCTCCTTGACCAATTATCTATTTTTCAAATTCAAATACATTTGTTGAGTGCTTTCTACATGCCAGACACTTTTTCTAGGCACTAGAGACAAATTAGTGAGCAAAATAGACTAATTCATGTTATGTTCTAGTGAGCAGTGTGTGGACACAAAAAAGTAGAATTCAGTTATAAATAGGGTGATATAGAAGTTCCTACTGAGGAGAAAAGACTTAAAAGAGATGGGGAAATGAGCCATGTGGGTATCAGTGGGGAGAGTGTGGTGTCCAAGATAGAGAAACAGCTAGTGCAAAGCCTGTTTCCTTTTTCTTTTCCAAAAGGCAAAATGTTTATTAACCTAAGTGGACATTATAATTGAAAGTGTTGCTTATAATGTTAAAATTAGGTATTTAATTATAAATGTCTCATAATTTTCCTTTTAAAGGATGTGAATATATGTCTACAAGATATTTTAAAATAAGCATATGTATGCCTTTTAATACAATATTGGGCTGATTTGAATAAATGGAGAATAGTCCAACTAAGAATAGTGAAAGCAATGTTTTATTGAGAGTCAATTATAAAATAGGCAAACACTGTTGCATTATTGTCTTTCTGTAACATTAAATTAGTTACTCTTGTCAGATTGAGGTTTTGACAATAATATTTTAGCACTACATTAAGAAGTCATACTATGACCTTTACAATTTGAAATCTTCCAGAGAACTGTAAAAGCTCTACTCAATGTAATTGGAAAGTCTCAATGTAAATCTCTCAGCCTAGATGATACTCAGCCATCTGTCCTCAGCTTAAATAATCCTCAGGAAAGATGTAAAGGAATTATATTCCACAAATTATTGCATGTTCATAACAGTTTGTCTGTGGGCTTTATACTTAAAAAATAACCAATTAATATATATTTAGGAGTATAAGTGCAGGTTTCTTACATGCATATATTGTGTAATAGTCAAGTCTGGGCTTTTAGTCTACCCATCATCCAGGTAGTGAACATTGTACCCAATAGGTCATTTTTCAACTCTCAACCTTCATCCCTCTCCCATCCCCTCCTTTCATACTCTTCAATGTCTATTATTCCATTTTGTATGTTGATGTGGATGCATTGTTTAGCTCTCACTTATAAGAACATGCAATACTTGACTTGCTGTTTCTGAGTTATTTCACTGAGGATAATGACCTCCAGTTCCAGCCATGTTGCTACAAAAACCATGAAGTCATTCTTTTTTATGACTGAGTAGTATTCCATTGTATATATGTACCACATATTCTTTATCCCTTTCTCTGTTGATGGACGCGTAGGTTGATTCTCTATCTCTGCTATTGTGAATGGTGCTGCAATAAGCATACAAGTGCAGGTATCTTTCTGATATAATGATTTCTTTCCCTCTGGGTATATACTCAGTAGTGGGATTTCTGGATTGAATGGTAGCTCTATTTTTAGTTTTTTGAGAAATCTCTATATTGTTTTCCCTAAAGGTTGTATTAATTTACATTCCTACCAACAGCATATAAGTATTCCCTTTTCTCCCCATCCTTGCCAATAACTATTGTTTTTAGATGTTTTCATAATAGCTACTGAGACTGGTGTAAGATGGTATCTCATTGTGGTTTTAATTTGCATTTTTGTGCTGATTGGTGATGCTGATTTGTTCATATGCTTGTTAGCCACTATTGTGTTTTCTTTTGGAAAGTGTGTTCATGTCTTCTGCCCACTTTTGAAAATGATTAATTTTTATTTCAATAGTTTTTGGGGTGCAAGTGGCTTTTGGTTACATGGATAAGTTCTTTAGTGGTCACTTCTGAGATTTTGGTGCACCCATCACTTGACGGTTGTATACTGCACACGGTGTGTAGATTTTTTATCATCCACTGTCTCCCAACCTTCTCCCCCAAGTCCCCAAAGTTCATTTTATCATTCTTATGCCTTTGCATCCTCATAGCTTATCTCCCACTTACAAGTGAGAACATGCAATATTTGGTTTTCCATTCCTGAGTTACTTCACTTAGAATAATGCCCTCCAGCTCTATCCAAGTTGTGCAAAAACCATTATTTCGTTTCTTTTTATGGCTGAGTAGTATTCCATGGTGTATATGTATCACATTTTCTTTATCCACTCATTGGCTGATGAGCAGTTAGGTTGTTTCCAAATTTTTGCAATTGCCAATTGTGCTGCTATAAACATGTGCACGCATGTGTCTTTTTTCACATGATGACTTGTTTTCCTTTGGGTAGATACCCAGTGGGATTGGTGGATCAAATGATAGTTCTATTTTTGGTTCTTTGAGGAATCTCCATACTGCTTTCAGTAGTGGTTCTACTAGTTTATATTTCTACAGTGTAAAAGGGTTCTCTTTTCACCACATCCATGCCAATATCTATTGTTTTTTGACTTTTTAATTAAGGTCATTTATGCAAAAGTAGGGTGGTATCTCATTGTGTTTTTAATTTGCATTTCCCTGATAATTAATGATGTTTAGCATTTTTTAAATATGTTTCTTGACTGTTTGTATATCTTCTTTTGAGAATTGTCTATTCATGTCCTTTGCTCACTTTTTGATAAAATTGTTTTTTTCTTGCTGATTTGTTTGAATTCCTTGTAGATTCTAGATATTTGTCCTATGTCAGATACACAGTTTGTAAATATTTTCTCCCACTCTGTGGGTGGTCTGCTTACTCTGCCGATTATTTCTTTTGCTGTGCAGAAGCTTTTTAGTTAAACTAGGTTCTATTTTATTTTTGTTTTCGTTGCACTTGCTTTTGGGGTCTTAGTCATGAAGTCTTTGCCTAAGCTAATGTCTAGAAGAGTTTCTCTTATGTTATCTTCTAGAATTTTTATGATTTCAGGTTTTAGATTTAAGTCTTTGATCCATCTTAAGTTGATTTTTGTATAAGGTGGAAGATGAGGATGCAGTTTAATTCTTCCACATGTGGCTTGCCAGTTTTCCCAGCACCATTTATTGAATCGAGTGTTCTTTTCCAAATTTATGTTTTTGCATGCTTTGTTGAAGATGAGTTGGCTGTAAGTACTTGGCTTTATTTACAGATTCTCTATTCTGTTTCATTTCTATACTAGTACCGTGCTGCTTTGGTAACTATAGCCTTTTAATATAATTTGAATTTGAGTATGTGATGCCTCTAGATTTTCTTTTCTTTTCTTTTTTTTAGCTTATTATTGCTTTGGCTATGAGGGCTCTTTTTTGATTCCATATGAATTTTAGAATTATTTTGTCTAGATCCATGAAGAATGATGATGGTATTTTGAAGGGAATTGCATTGAATCTGTAGATTGCTTTTGGCAGTATGGTCATTTTCACAATATTGATTCTATGCATCCATTGAGCATGGAATACATTTCCATTTGTTTGTGTCATCTATGATTTATTTCAGCAGTATTTTGTAGTTTTCCTTGTAGAGGTCTTTCACCTCCTTAGTGAGGCAAAAGTATATTCCTAGGTATTTTATTTGCTTCTTTTATTCCTTTCTACTCAGTATAAAAACATTGTCTATTCTGAGAACTGCCTCTTCTGTGGTGCTCCCCTATCTTTATCAGTGTTACCTTTTTTTCCTGTGCACCTATTGTTCCTGCCGGGTTCAATTGGAATTCATTTTCCAGCAGTTTCCCTGAGTATGGGGTTTTGTCCTCAAAGGGGGCTTTGGTTTATTAGTTTTGAGAGTGCATGTGGTCCATATTTCTTCCAGTGCTTTCAGATCTCTTTGCGGATTCCTGGTACAGATGACTATGAGGAAGAGTGCAAACTCTCTCCCAGAGTTTGCTTCTCTTCCCATTAGGCCTGCTGTGTGTGCTCTGCAGTGAGTACCTGTGGACAAACTTGGGGCTCTCCTGTTCTCAGGTGTGCATGATGTCCAGTGATTTCCCTTTGCCTCATTCCAAATAAATGCTGATATTACAAGGACCTTTTGGCTCTAAGCAGTCTTTCTTCACCTGTATATATTTTGCGGCTCATGGCAGTAACGTTGTTACATCGTTTTGTTATGGATGTCACCTGTGTGACTTTTGTTTTGCTATTTTAGTTGCTCCATCTGTTTTAATGAGAGGATTCAGGGAGAATCTTATACTATATATGGTCACGACTATTGCTATCAACCCAGCATTCCATCTGATACATATTTTGATCTCACTCTATTGTATGTAACTGCATTTCTGAGACTACCTTAGAAAAACTTTTGTCTATAAAAAGAGGGTTAAATAAGTTTAGAGAAAGGACGTGTGACATACCACCTCTGCCCTCCTCTAAGTCAACTTCCAGGAAGCAGCCGTAATCTTTCTAAATGCTGCCCATTCTAGTGCACTCTACATAAAACTTCATAGGTTAGAAATCTATGAAAGGAAAATATAGGCTTTATGACGTGAGGAAAAATACAGGGTTTCTTCTGTTAGGACATTTTTTTTTTCTGCAGACATAACACTCTGTTAACAGTTCCACCCCAGCCTTCAGAAACTTGAGAATAATTTGGAATGTGGAGGGGTGAAATGGAGTGGGGACTGGGAGAAGTGGGGTAAAGGAAAATGGTGGAATGGTGGAGATTATGCTAGCTCCAGGTTCTTAAGTCTCATTACTTCTTACAAGAGCAATGTGCAGCAACATACTAAAAAGTTTCTTCTCCATGCTCCACACTTCATCCCTTAACAACTGGATACATCAGACTTGCTCCCACCAAGAACAGGGTGGGGAAAAAATCCTGGAGTAAATGAGAGTAAATGTAATTTCATCAGCACTGCCCTTAAGCTTTTATTCTGAATATTCTCTTTTCAAAGCCTTGTAATTTGGAGTCCTCTAGAAACCTGAGTTTCCCGATCCTACTAAAGGTGTGCTGAGCACAGCGTCAGCTCAAACCCAGATGTTTCTGACTTTAACTTAGCTTTAAGGTGTTAAGGGAGATGAGCTTTGAATTACTT
Organism: Homo sapiens; assembly: GCF_000001405.40. NCBI lineage: Eukaryota > Metazoa > Chordata > Mammalia > Primates > Hominidae > Homo > Homo sapiens. The sequence continues at coordinate 54,760,438 of NC_000017.11, read as the reverse complement.
TTGGGAAAATAATCTCCACTTTACTATTATGAAACAAATAAATCTTTACTAGTATTAAAAAGACACTTCAAAGTTTTTCTGCCTTTTTTTTCCCCCACAAAACCTTACTTTCTAAACAGCATATTACTGAATGAAGTGTAAACGAATCAGCACCATAAGGCTTAATCGTCTCTTAAATCCCCTTTGGGCTTGAGAAATTAATTGACAAACTCAGTGGCAAAGCTTTCTTTTGGTGTTTGGAACCCCAAATTTAGGAAGCATGACTGCGATCATTTGGGGCCTCTGGTTCCACTTAATGCCTTCTTCCCTATCAACAAATCTTATAGGGCTAGTGGGAATGCAGCTTTCAGAGCTGACTGCCTCAAACTCTGTGTCTCAATTTCCCCTCTGTCTTTATTTCTCTGAGATTTGATTAGGAAATGCACATCAGTTAAGTGCAAACCAAAGGGTTTGTTGCCTCCTGTGAACTGAGACAATCATGCTTGGGCAAATGCAGAGACTGGGAAAAGCAAGTCAAGCTGTTTCTTTGCTATTAAATGTTTCAGAAGTTCCATGAATTCTAAGTATCTCATAGAGAACTCAACATGAGATAAAAGAGGTTTATGATTAGTCCCTGAAGATTATTTTTCAGGTTTCTCTCTATGGGCAGATGTTAATTAAGATTCCTTTGTGTTTGCAAGTGTGTAAATGGGAAAGTCAGTGAGGTATGCAGGACTATGGGTTTTTGGAGTGTTGAAAATTGTTCGAGACACTTCTCTGCCTCTCACTAGTTACCTGACGGTCAAAAAAACTGAGCTGAGGCCGGGCACGGTGGCTCACACCTATAATCCCAGCACTTTGGGAGGCTGAGACGGGCACATCACGAGGTCAGGAGATCGAGACCATCCTGGCTAACACGGTGAAACTCTGTCTCTACTAAAAATACGAAAAAATTAGCCGGGTGCCCTATAGTCCCAGCTACTCAGGAGGCTGAGGCAGGAGAATGGCGTGAACCCGGGAGGTGGAGCTTTCAGTGAGCTGAGATTTCACCACTGCACTCCAGCCTGGGCGACAGAGCGAGACTCCATCTCAAAAAAAAAAAAAAAAAAAAATTGAGCTGAAACTGCAGGTGCATTGCGGGGACTGTTAGGAACACCATTGAGCTCTTGCCTGAGGCTCAGCTAGGGGTAAAGTATAGGGTGAGCCCCTGTAGGGCTGAGGAACTTCGGGCTAACAAGGTAAAATCAATCAAGTCAGCACCCTCAGCTTAGATTCCAGTCAGTTGCTTCACACATGTTGAATAAGTGATTTAAGAACTATAGACATTACATTATTAGCCATGCAAAGGCAATTTGATTTCTCTTTTCTGGTAACTCACTCCCACCACTTAAGACACAAGTAACTGCCTTCTTGCCTCCAAAATAATTTATTTTGCTCTTGCCTAATCCTGTACCTTTTCCCTGTTAGCAAGTGAAAGGGGAGGAGTGAGGCTGAACTGTGGCTAAGGGAACTCAGACACATGTTAGAAATTGCATCCACTCCATTTCGGCTATGAGTCTTAATCTCATAAGCATCTATTTCCTCATCTGTAAAATGGGTAGGTCAGGATCTCATAGCATTACAGTGAAGTACAATGATGTATTAATATGTATTTAATATGTTCAATCCAATAAATGGCACTTGATAGGGGTCATTGTTAGATCTCTTCCAACTTGCTATCTCTGGTTTATGAAGTGCTAGACATTAACAATGAGGGTTATTGTATCCTGAAGGTTATAGGACAGGGTAATTGTGAAGTTCAGGTGGTTCTGCTTGTGTGTAATTTGATTGAATGCTTTAGGAGTTAGAATGAGTCTTGGAAAGGTTATTCCGAAAAACCCTTTAAAAGACACACCTATCAAAAGCAAGGTGCCCTTGAAACCTCAAGCTGCTGTTTTATAACACTTTTACATGTGGGAATGGAGCTTTGTTTCCCCCAAATAACCACAAAATTCAATCATGTAATTACAGAAATCACAACTGACTCATATTTTTTTCTTTTGCTGTTTTATGTTGCTTTATTATCTCTGTCACTAGTTACTTTATGGTTATTTTATTACTCTCACAATGTTTTGAGACACAGACTTCAAATAATTTATTTGAATATTTTGGAAAAAAATTAAATAAAAATGCATGGAGAATAATATTGCTAACATCTATGTATCCACTATAGAAATTTAATAATTGTGAAATTAGCGAATTTCTTTTTACTTATTTTTCATTTAAGTTGAAATCTCTCTATACCTCACTAATCCTATTCCCCTTACTCAATGCCAATTCTATCGTTAACTTTGCATGAATCTTTCTAGTCCATGTGTTTTTATTTTCACTATATATAAAATCTTAAGACCAATATGTAATACTGTTTTGTATTTTTAAAAATGTATGTACAGTTGACCCTTGAACAACATGAGTTTGAAACGTGTGGCTCCACTTAGATGCAGATGTTTTCCAAACACAGATTGAAAATACAATATTAGCAGGTTGTGAAACCAGCCTATATGGAAGGCCAATTTTTCGTATATACAGGCTTCACAGCGCTGCCTATGGGACTTGAATGTGCTCAGACTTTGGTATACTCAGGCTCCCTGGAAGCAGTCCTCTGCATGTACTGAGGGACAACCGTAAATGTTCCGAAACTCCTTGTTTCATTCAACAGTGTTTTTGAGACCGATCCACGTGGACACATGTGGGTCTAGTGATTCATATTAACTATTAAATTACTAGTAATTCATTTTATCACATGACTTTACCAGAAAATCACTTATCCATTATGGATCCACATTTAGATTATTTCCAACTTTTTGTGATTTATTTCCCAAAATGGTTAATAGTTTGACAAAATATAAATCCATGTAGCTGCAAGATAAATACCGCCAGTTTCTGTAACATGCAGTATAAACAGGAAGAAATCACTGTTAAGAGAGAATTCTATGAGAAGCGGTCTTGCCCATGAGGAGCACTGGAATCATGACTGTAATGACATTGATGTGATACAAGTTCATTCTGTTGCCATGATTCTCAGATTTCTTTTCTTTTATTTATTTATTTTTGAGACTCAGTCTTGCTCTTGTCACCCAGGCTGGAGTGTAGTGGCATGATCTCAGCTCACTGCAACCTTCACCTCCTGGCTTCAGGTGATTCTCCTGCCTCAGCCTCCCGAGTATCTGGGATCACAGGCTCCTGCCACCACACCCAGCTAATTTTTGCAGCTAATTTTTGTATTTTTTTTAAGCAGAGATGAGGTTTCACCATATTGGCCCGGCCGGCCTCAAATTCCTGACCTCAAGTGATCCGCCTACCTTGGCCTCCCAAAGTGCTGGGATTACAGGTATGAGCCACCACGCTGGGCCTCTTGGGTTATTTTTTTTTATCAGGATCACCCAATCCATGTCTTTTAACAAACCATGTAGTCTGTCCTTGGTTTATATTTTAGGAAACATTATCCTATAATATGGGGCTGAGATTAAGAGCATACATTTGCATAGAGTGCCTTCTATGATGTTGCTCCTTAGGAACCTTTGATGATTAGAGGCTATTTACTAAGAAATCTTTTTCCTTGGAGACATGAGAAATATTGACATGTTTAGAGCCTTTACTATATACCAGTTCAACGTTAGGCACTTTTAGACACATAATTCATTTAATCCTCAATGATCCTTGAAGGTTCATTTTATAGATAAAAACTCTAAGATTCACTCATGTGTGAAAATGACCCAAGGTTGTATAGCTACTGAGCAATGATCTGAAACTTGAACCTAGCTCTATGTGATTCTAAAATCCTATCTTCTCTATTCTACATGTTCACATATTCTCATGGGGTGGTAGAACAAGCAATATCATTACTAGACACAGAGTCACTGAATCAGCAGAAATTTATTGGCACCTCCACCATGCTGTTAGTTTGGTCAATTACCGTAAGAGTTTAAAAAGAAATACTCCCTTCTTTTGAGGAGCTCATAAGCTACTGAAGAAGAAAAGATAAAGATGACAGGAACAGTAGATAGCACTGTGAACTGAATTTGTGCATATTGGGAGGGAGCAGCATGAGTGGGAGAAGGAAAGCTATCCTGGAGGTGAGAATTGGGCCACTCTGAGAGCATGGATGGCATTTTCCCAGGCAGGCAGGAAGCAGCAAAGATTTTGGACAGATAAACTTATGTGAGCAAAATCTTGGCACTTGACACTACAAATGGCCTATATCGACTGTTGTTGAGGATGCGTGTAAAACCCAACAGAGTAAGAGGGAGCTTCGACATGTAACTCCAACCTATGATCTCCTTTCACTTTTCATAACTCTTGTCTCAATTCTTCTCAAATTACAGTATAGTAAATGGAGTTCACCAGGACACACAAGAGGCACAGAACACCAATGTCTTGAGAAAATCAGAAAGAGCTCTCTAAGCAGAGCAAGCCAAAAGTTCCTGGTGACCAAAGGAGGGACAAAAAAACCCACACAAGTTGAATACTTATGTTTGATGGTTGTTTAATGATAAAAACAAAACAAAACCCTATGATAATGTCATTTGCTCTGAGGAGGCAGATGGAAGCTAGAACTATGTATTATAACAAGGTTTGTTGACTAGCCTGAGAGCCAGCTGACTCTAAGCAAGTATGAGTTTAAAATGGATAGCCAGTTTCTTTCTCTTTCTTTCTCCTTTAAGAAATAATATTAAACCAATGCCCAGGAAGTAGCTAAGTCTCCAGGGACTACAGCTGCTGTTTAGCACTCTCATGCCTGAGAGATCAGTTCTACGTGACTGTTGAATTCACCACCTCCCATCCCATCCCTACCTGACTTTCCTTCCCAGTGCATTGGGAAATTAGGTTTGGAGCATTGGAGTCAAACTGATCTACTTAGAGTCTTGCTTTCCTCCATTACTTGATGGAGATGTAAGATAACCTTTCTGAGCAACATGTCCTTATCTGTAACCTAAAGATAATCCTGCTCCTAGAGTTGTCGTCAGAGTAATGTGTTGTGAAGCACCACATGCTGTTATTCTCAGAAAACAAAAGCTAAGGGATTTTTAGCATTCACTGAAAAAACTTCTAAAAGATGTGCTTCAGGAAAAATAAACTTGAACTCACAAAGAGTGATATTTGAAGGTAAGTACTCATCAAAGAAATTTGCAAAGATGTAAATACCTTTAAATAATCTCTGGCGGGCCGGGCACCGTGGCTCCCACCTGTAATCCCAGTACTTTGGGAGGCCGAGGCGAGTGGATCACCTGGGGTCAGGAGTTCAAGACCAGCTTGGTCAACACGGTGAAACCCCGTCTCTACTAAAAAATACAAAAATTAGCTGGGTGTGGTGGTGCAAGCCTGTTAATCCCAGCTACTCTGGCAGATGGGGCAGGAGAATCGCTTGAATCTCGGAGGAGGTTGTGGGGAGCCGAGATTGCGCCACTGCACTCCAGCCTGGGCGACAGAGGGAGACTTCGTCTCAAAATAATAATAATAATAATAATAATAATAATAATAATAATCATCATCATCATCATCATCATCATCATCATCTCTGGTGGTGCGTGCGGAGCAGCCTGGTGAGATGAAGAGGCCCAGCTGGTGCGCTGCGTGACCACAGCTGGAGCGTGAGGCCAAGCTAGACATGCAGGTGCTCACCTGGCCAGGCAGTGAGCGGGGGGGCAGCCTGGGCCACGAGGCTTGCTCCCAGCTGGCCGACCGCCGTGCCCTCTGTAAGAGTTGGACAGGGCAGGAGCCCAATTCGCCCGCTTGCCCACTAGGGGGCGGTGATGGCAGCAGAGGCGGCCATGGGTACTTTAGAAGAAGAGAGCTTCAATCTGTCCTTCTCCGCCTCTGATGCAGAATTTGATGCTGTGGTTGCATAATTAGAGGACATTGTCATGGATGAAAAGTTCTACTTTTTACAGAGAAATTTCATAGACAAGTACTACCTGGAGTTTTGAGGACACAGAAGAGAATAAACTAAACTACATGCCTATTTTTAATAAATATATTTTTTTGGCAGAAAAAATATATTGAAGAATAACCTCTGTAGCAGATTCCTGGATTCAACATAGCAGTTTTCACAACTATGTTACGGTATCATAAAGATGAAGTGGCTGGTGACATATGCGACATGCTGCTCACCTTTACCAATGTTTTGGCTTTTAGATAAACGTTTTTGGACTATAGAGCAGAAAAAGAAGGCTGGGGACTGGACTTAAGCAGTGGTCCAGTGGTGACTTTGTTGTGCAAATCATCTATACCAACTTTCCAGAAAAATCTGCAGCACTAGATCCTACCTCCAGCCAATAAATGGGATCATTCTGGATGTCACCAACCCAATAAGCCAACAGAGTCTGCTCATGATGATGACAGAAGAATATGTCTTGGAAAGACTGACTGTGTTCTGGAATTCTTCATTCGTACTAAGTATCAGTAGGTCAAAACCAAAATGACCTAACCCTCCTGGACCTATTTCTCCTGAAACGCCTTATTGTATTTTTTTTTTTTTTTTGTATTAATTAACCTTAGTAATCCTCCCCACTTAGTAACCCTGGTACTCCTCCCCTCCTCAAGTAGACACCTCTCTTAGGTGTTTTTGAGTTTGACTCCTCTGGAGCAGGCCGTGTCAATCATTCCACCTGGGAGACCCCTTCCTCCAGTATACATGTTGGTGTGTAACAGTGTGGAATAATCCACCATCAACACCTTCTGTCCCAGCAGGCTTTACATGAATCTTTTTTGTGCACTCACACCTCTTATTTACATGAGTCAGAGTTTCAGTCCTTCAACTTCAGTGTAGTTTCTGATATTTATCTAGGGTGTTATTCAAGCCAGCTGCCCATCTTGAGATTTCAGAATCTCCTATGACCACAGCTTGTATTGGCCATAGGAATCAATGGAAAGAGATGTCCTTTACATAAAAGCTACATGCAAAAAACAACTCCTCGTTTTAACATTTGTAGTCCTTGTGTCACTGTCTTCTGCTAATCCCATTGTCTCTAGAAGTGTCTTTTAAGTTTTAGTTTTTTAAAAAATTTTATAGATGAATACTTAGGCTAACCTAGTAGGTATGATCTTGGAACTTCCATGATTACCCACTTAAAGATCGAAGTATTATATGCTGTGTGCTTTTTAGTCAGTGCTGTGAAGGCAAACATACTTTCTACGTTGGCATTCATTCTTATTTTACTGGGTACCTATGAATGTATGCTGTTTGCTAGAAATAGACTAAAAGATATCTTGCTCTTATAACATGTTGGTGTATTTGCATGTTTGCTGAAAATCCTTTCTGTATAAACCAGTTTGCTAGGTCTCTGGGTTAGGTAGGGACTCTGCAGTTTTCTCCTGCCCTAAGTCTCTCCTACTGGGATGGTGTTCCACTGGTCCAGCTGAGCATGAGTAGGAGGTAATAAACAGCTTTACTGGTCATTTGTCTGCTTTGGTTTACTGCAATATGTGGTAAACTACTTATCAGGAAACATGTATACAATCTCTAGAAAGAAGAAAAAACATAGTAGTTCAATTCCCAATGGGTACCTTTGAAATTTTTAATAGTAAAAATAAGAATCTGTACTGAAAATAAATAGATCATCTGTAATGGAGGTAGGAGGTGATATGAACAAACGGAAGTAAAATACCACAAAAAAGAACCCCGTTTAAGTGGGGAGGTGTATGATTAAATTTCAAATATTTCCTAGTTTTTGTATTGTTCAGAAAGTGTATATAAATGTGATTAACTTTTGACTTTTAGTAAGCAAATAAGTAAAATTTTAAGTTACTTCTGGATGAATTTTTTTTATTTTTTTTATTTTTTAAGACAGGGTATTGCTTTGTTACCCAGGCTGGAGTGCAGTGGTGTGAACACAGCTCACTGCAGCCTTGACATCCCAGGCTCAGCCCCACAAGTAGCTTGGACTACGGGGGTGCACACCACCATTCCTGGCTAATTTTTGTATTTTCTGTAGAGACAAGGTTTTGCTATGTTGCCCAGGCTGGTCTTGAGCTCCTGGGATCAAGCAATCTGCCCACCTTGGCATCCCAAAGTGCTGGGATTACAGGAGTGAGCCACTATGCCCGGCCCAGAATGTTTGTATTTTTAACCAGTGGAGAAAATAAAAGAATAAAGGGAACTTGATCAACAAAATAGAAGTTAGAAAGGGGGAGACAAGGAAAAAAATAGAAAAATAATTAAAAAATCAGAATACTGTAAATAGAAAGTACAAAATAACATGACAGACATGTCAAAATGTACAAATAATTACAATGAATGTATGAACTGAATTTACTAACTGTAACAGATATTATTATTACAAAATGTAGATGTAAGTTGTTTATAAGGGAACCACTTAAACTTCAGGATTCAAAGAGGTTGACGGTAAAAGAATGGGAAAAGCTGTAGCTGGAAATTACCAACAGATATAAGGCTGGGGTAGCTATATTAATATTAAAAAATAAACTTTAGGTCAGGAAACATTATTAGAAATAATAATGAAAAGAGGAAAATTCTCTAGGAGGATGTAGCAGTTATAAACTTGTTTGCAATTAATAACCTCAAAATATGTAAAGCCAAAATCAACAGAATTTCAGGGGAAAAGTAATAAATAATGAACATAGCACAAGATTTTAACAAATGTCTCTCAGTAATTGATGCATTAAGAGAAACAAAAAATCTAAAGATTAGCAAAATTTAAAAATTTAATATAATGGAAAAATGTAATTATATTCAACAATTAGGGGATTTATATTCTTTTAAATAATTCACGTAGCATTTACAAAAGTATACTAGGCCAGACAGCATAAGTTGTCAGCTTTTTGTTTCTAGAGATTGGAATTTTATGTAAGTAGAATCATACAGTGTATACTCTTCTATTTTGGCCTAGCTTCTCTCAGTATAATTATTCTGAGGTTCATCCATGTTGATGTATGTATCAATAGTTCATTCACTTTTATTGCTGAGTAGAATGCTTTATTTATTCATTCAACAGTTAATAGACATTTGAGTTTTTCTAGTTTTTGCCTATTACAAATCAAACTACTACGAACATTCGTGTACAAATGTTTACATGGACTTATGCTTTCATTTTCATTGGAGTGATAGGGCTGTTATATATTAGAGATGTGTTTAAGATTTTTAAAAATTGCCAAATTTTTAATAAACATTTTACATTCCCACCAATGGTGTATGATATTCCTTGGTGCTCTATATTCTCACCAAAAGTTGGTGTGCGTTTTAATTGTAGCAGTTCTAGTCGTGCTATCTCATTATGGTTTGACATTGCACTTCCCTGGTGACTAATGACGTTGAGCATCTTGTCAAATTCTTATTTATCATTTCTAGGTCTTTTTTTTTGTACAGTGTTCAAATCTTTACTCATTTTTTTTTGGTGTTGTCTTATCCTTTTTGAGTGGCAAGAGTTCATTATATAGTCTGGATACAAGTTCATTATTTAATGTCTTAGTCCATTTGCACTGTAAAAACAAAATGTGAGACTGGGTAATTTATTAAGAACAGAAATGTATGTCTTCACAGTACTGGAGGCTGGGAAGTATAAGATCAAGGCATTGGCAGGTTTGGTGTCTGGTGGCCTGTTTCTCATAGATGGCTCTGTGTAGGTATTCTCACATGATGGAAGGTTAAGGGCAAAAAGGGGTGAATGCTATGTCCTCACATGGCAGAAGAGCAAAAAGGGGATTAAGTTTCAAATTTGAGCTGGGTGCTGTGGCATGTGCCTGTAGTCTTAGCTACTTAGAAGGCTGAGGTAGTTCAAGGCTGTAGTGTGTGATGACGCTGCATGTATCAATAGCCACTGCACTCCTGCCTGGGCAGCATAGCAAGATCCAATCCCTAAAAAGAATGGTTTGAACATGAATTTTGGAGGGAAAGAATTCAAACCATAGCATTGGATAAATGTTTTGCAAATATTTTTTCTCAGGTGGTGGGTTATATTTTTATTTTTATAGCAATGCCTTTTGAAGAGAAGAAGTTTTTAATTTGAGTGAAGTCAATTTAAAAAATTTTTTTCTTTTGTGCTTTTTGTGTTCTTTAAGATATATTTTCCAAACTCAAAAAGAAATTGTCCTTTGAAGAGAAGGTGAAGCAAGATGGGCGAAGAGAAGGTGAAGCAAGGTGGGCAAAGAGAAGCCTTCACTGAATGCCCTCCTTGCAGGAATGCCAAACCGCACAACTATCCATGCAAAAACGAACCTTCATAGGAACCAAAAGTCAAGTGAGTGATCAGAGTACCTGGTTTTAACTTCATACCACTGAAAAAGGAACTGAAGAAGGTAAGAAAGATTGTCTTGAATTCCTGATTCAAGGGGAATCAAAAGGCCACGCTTCCCCACTTCCCCAGCAGCAACTGTGTGGCATAGAAAGAGAATCTATGCACTTGGAAATGGGAGAGTGCAGTGATTGTGGGACTTTGCATTGGAACTCAGTGCTACCCTGTCACAGTAGAAAGCAGTACAAGGGAGAACTCAGCCAGTGCCCATGGAGGGAGCATTTAGACCAGCCCTAGCCACTGGAAGATTGCCTATCCCAGCAATCAGAAACTGAGTTCCAGTGAGCCCCACTATAGCAGGCTAAGGTGCTCTGGTGTCCTAAGCAAAACTGAAAGGCGGTCTAGGCCACAAGGATTACAATTCCTGGGCTAGTCCTGGTGCTGTGCTGGGCTTGAAGCCAGTGGAGTTGAGGGGCATGCAACGTAGTGAGACACCAGCTTGGAGTGGCCATGGAACTGCTTGTGTCACACCTTCCCCCACCCCAGATTGCACAGCTCACAGCTCTGGGAGAGACTCCTTTCATCCATGTGAGGAGAGGAGAGGGGAGATTAAAGCAGACTTTGTTTTGCAACTCAGATACCGACTCAGCCGCAGCAGGATTATATAACAGGCAGAATCATGAGTCTTCCATTCCAGACCCTAGCTCCTAGATGACATTTCTAGATACACCCTGGGCCAGAAAGGAACCTGCTGCCTTGAAGGGAAGGAGCCACTCCTGGCAGGATTTATCACTTCCTGACTCAAGAGCCGTAGGGCCCTGAATAATCAGCAGTGGTAGCCAAGCAGTACTTGCTGTGGTCCTTGGGTGGAGACATAGAGTTGTGCTGGCTTCAGGTATGACCCAGTATATTCTCAGCTGTCATGGCTGTGGGGAGAGACTCCTTCTGCATGATAAAAGGAGAGGGAAGATTAAAGGTGACTTTGTTTTGCAGCTTAGGTATCACCCCAGCCACAGTGGGTTAGAGCACAGGCTTTTTGGGTTTCTGATTTGAGGCCTTGGCTGTTAGGTGGCATTACTGGACCTTCCCTGGGGCAGGGGGTGCCACTGCCGTGAAGGGAGAGTCCAGGTCTGGCAGCATTCACCAAAAGCTGAGTAAAGAGCCTTTGGTTCAAACAGAAATTTTAGAGCTGGAAAATGCAATTGACATACTGTGGAATGCATCTGAGTCTCTTAATAGCAGAACTGATCAGGCAGAAGAAAGAATGAGTAAGCTTGAAGACAGGTTATTTGATAATTCATAGTCAGAGGAGACAAAAGAGAAAAGAATAAAGAAGAGTGCAGCACACCTACAAGATCTGGAAGGGCAAAATCAATATGCAAAAATCAGTAGCATTTCTATATGCCAACAGCAAATAAACAGTAAAAGAAATGTTAAAATGTCCCTACTACCCAAAACAATCTACAGATTCAGTGCAACCTCTATCAAAATACCAATGACATTCTTCACAGAAATAGAAAAAAAAATCCTAAAATTTACATAGAAACACAAAAGACCTGTAATAGCCAAAGCTATTCTGACCAAAAGAACAAACCTGGATGAATCACATTATCTGACTTCAAATTATACTGCAAAGCTATAGTAACCAAAACAGCATGACACTAGAAAGAAAACAGACACATATACCAATAGAACAGAATAGAGAAAAAAGAAACAAATCTGTACATCTACAGTGAACTCATTTTCAACAAAGGAGCCAAGAACATACGTTGGGAGAAAAGACAGTCTCTTTATTAAATGGTGCTGAGAAAATCAGATATCGCTATGCAGAAGAATGAAACTAGATCCCTATTTCTCACCATATCCAAATTTCAAATCAAAATGGATTAAATACTTAAATCTAAGACCTAAAACTTTAAAACTACTAAAAGAAAACATTGAGGAAACTCTCTGGAATGTTGAACTGGGCAAAGATTTCTTGAGTAATACCTCATAAGCAGAGCCAACCAAAGCAAAAATGGACAAATGGGATCACATCAAGATAAGAAGCTTCTGCACAGCAGAGGAAACAATCAATAAAATGAAGAGACAACCCACAGAATGGGAGAAACTATTTCCAAACTACCCATCTGACAAGGGATTAGAACCAGAATATATAAGGTGCTCAAACAATTCTATAAGAAAAAAATCTAATAATCTGATTAAAAGTAGGCAAAAGATTTGAATAGACATTTCTCAAAAGTAGATATACGAATAGAAAACAGGTATATGAAAAGGTGCTCAACATCACTGATCATCAGAGAAATACAAATCAAAACCACAATGAGATATCGCCTCACCCTAGTTAAAATGTCTTTTATCTAAAAGACAGATATTAATGAATGCTGGTGAGGATGTGGAGAAAAGGAAATCCTCATACACTGCTGGTTAGTATAACCACTGCAGAGAGCAGTTTGGAGGTTCCTCAAAGATGAAAAATAGAGTTATCATACAACCCAGCAATCCCACTGCTAGGTATATATTTAAAAAAAATGAAACTAGAATATCCAAGAGATATCTGCACTCCTATGTTTATTGCAGCACTATTCACAATAGCCAAGATTTGGATGCAACCTAAGTGTCCATCGACAGAAGAATGGATTAAAAAATATGGTACATATACACAATGGAGTACTAGTCAACCATAAAAAAGAAAGAAACCCTGTCATTTGCAGCAACATGGATAAAACTGGAGGTCATTATGTTAAGTGAAATCAGCCAGGCACAGAAAGACAAACTTTGCATGTTCTTGCTTATTTGTGGGAGCTAAAAATTAAAACAAACTAATGGAGATAGAGAATGAATGATAGTTATCAGAGGCTGGGAACTAGAGCAGGTAGGGGGTGGAAATGGAGATGGCTAATGGCTTCAAAAATATAGATAGATAGAATGAATATGATCTAATAATTGATAGCACAACAGGGTGACTACAGTCAATAATAATTTATTGTGCATTTAAAAATAACTAAGAGAGTTCAATTAGATTGTTTGTAACTTAAATAAAGGAGAAATGTTTGAGGTGATGGGCAACTCACTTATCCTGATGTGATTATTATGCATTGCATGCCTATATCAAAATATTTCATGTACTCCATAAATACATTCACCTATTATACACCTACACAAATTAAAAAATAAAAATTAAAAAAAATGTACTTTGGGAGGCTGAAGCAGTAAGATTGCTTAAGCATAGGAGTTTGAGTCCAGCCTGGGCAACACGACATAACTCCATCTCTACAAAAAATTAAAAAATTAGCCAGGCACGGTGGTGCATGCCTTTAGTCCTTGCTACTTGGGAGGTTGAGGTGGGAAGATCCCTTGAACCTGAGTTCAAGGCTGCAATGAGCTATAATCATGCCACTGTACTCCAGGCTGGGCAACAGAGCAAGGCCCTGTATCTAAAAAAAAATTGTATTATTTTCTTTTTAAATCTTTTGTAGAATTCACCAGCGAAAACACCTGAGCCCTAATTTGTTTTGTGGAAATATTTTTAAAATACAAATCCAATATCTTTAATGGGTATTAGAGCTGTACAGATTATCTAATTATTCTAGAGTGAATTATAGTTATGTATTTCAAGGAATCTTTCCATTTTATTGGATATCTCAAATTTGTAGGTATAGTATTTATAATATTCCCTTATATTATATTTTATTATTTGTGGGATCTGTAGTTATGTCTCCTCTCTCTTTTAGGTTATGTCTTTCCTTTTTATACTGATGGATCTGGCTAGAGATTTATCACTTTCATTTGTCTATTCAAAGGACCAACTCTTGGTGTTTTTATTGATTTTCACTATTGCTTTTATGTTTTCTATTTCATTGATGTGTACTCTGATGTTATTCCTTTCTTCCACTCATTTTGGTTACAATTTGGTCTTTTTTGTTGTTGTTGTTTAAAGTCATGTTGGGAACAGGCCCCCAAATCTGGCCATAAACTGGCCCTCAAACTCGCCATAAACAAAATCTCTGCAGAACTGTGACATGTTCTTCATGGCCATGACGCCCGTGCTGGAAGGTTGTCAGTTTACTGGAATGTGGGCAAGGAACACCTTGCCCATCCAGGGCAGAAAACCGTTTAAAGGCTTTCCTGAACTACAAACAATAGCATGAGTGATCTGTGCCTTAAGGACATGTTCCTGCTGCAGATAACTAGCCAAAGCCCATCCCTTTATTTCGGCCCATCCCTTTGTTTCCTGTAAGGAATATTTTAGTTAATCTATAATCTACAGAAATAATGTTTATCACTAGATTTCTGTCAATAAATATGTGGGTAAATCTCTAACTGAGGCTCTCAACTCTGAAGGCTGTCAGACCCCTCATTTCCCACTCCACACTCTATATTTCTGTGTGTGTGTCTTTAATTCCTCTAGCACTGCTGGGCTAGGGTCTCCACAACTGAGCTGTTCTCTGATTGGAGACCTTCTTCTTTTCTAATGTAAGTTTTAAGTGCCATGAATTTCCCTCTAGATGCTGTGTTTGCTGCATCCTGCTAATTTTGATATTTTATTTTTACTTAGTTCAAAATACTTTGTAATTCATATTTTGATTTCTACTTTCTACTTATTCTGGAATGCAACTAAGTTATATGGAAACTATTTTATCCTTTCTAAGCTTGCTTTGAAACTTTTTAATATGGAGCAGAGCAGTCTTTAGTCTATGCCTAATCTTTCTCCATTACTATGCCCTTCTGAATACTCAATGTTGCCAATGTGTTACAAAGTTCTTTCATTCTGCCTGGTGAGGACACAAACTATTCCTGGTGCCAAGTGAACTCTGGAGACTGTTCCCTCTAGTCCTTTTGAATGGTTCTTTCCTTGAACTTGCATACTTTCCCTATATGCATGTGCTGGTAAGTTCTCAGCTGAAGCTTCAAGGGGAACTCTCTACAAACCTCTAGAGCCACTTCTTTGTGCAGTTTCCCTCTCCTCCATGGTAGTTTGCTCTGGGAACTCTTGCCACTGTGGATTCTTAGATTTATCTCCTTGAATCAGTGGTGTGGAAACTTTGCAGATAATAAGCTAGAACAAGTGTGGGACTCACATTTGCTTCAGTTTTCTCAAGGATCATGATCCTGTGTTACTCAACATAAAATGTCTGAAAAACCTATTTCATGTATTTTGCCCAATTTTAAAATTACTGCAGGCAGGAATCAGTCCAGCCACTGCTACTTCATCTTGCCATGCAGTTTTTTTTTTTTAAGTAAATATGACCTTAGATTTTGTTGATAGAACTTGTGTATACAGAGCAACTGAGGTAAATAGTTTCTTTGTACTTGGAACCGGATAGACAACACTTGAAATGTTATGTTAAATATACTTTTTAAAAATGCATGGGTAACCTTGGCTGTAGCCAGAAGTGTGTGACTAGAATTAAAATGTGTTTAGTGTGGGGAATGATAATTGTTTTCAAGAATTTCTTCCCCATATAGCAGTCAGAGTGATTCTTTTAAATTAGAAATCAAATCATATCACTAATTTCCTGAAGACACTTCTATGAGTTTCCATTACACTAGAATGAAATCTAAATTCCACACCAAAACCTATAAGGCCTTATATGATCTGACCAGAGCCAGCTTCTGATCTCCTCTTTTTTTTTTTTTTTTTTTTTAGATGGAGTCTCGCTCTGTCTCCCAGGCTGGAGTGCAGTGGCATGATCTTGGCTCACTGCAACCTCTGCCTCCTGGATTTAGGCCATTTTCCTGCCTCAGCCTCCCAAATAGCTGAGACTACAGGCGCTTGCCACCACACCCAGCTAATTTTTTGTATTTTTAGTAGAGATGGGGTTTCACTGTGTTAGCCAAGATGGTTTCAATCTCCTGACCTCATGATCTGCCTGCCTCGGCCTCCCAAAGTGCTGAGATTACAGGCGTGAGCCACAGCGCCTGGCCCTGATCTCCTCTTCTAACAGGCTGTCTCACTTTCTTCAAACCTTGCTCACACAGACCTTCTTGTTGTTCTTCAAACATGTTAGGCTCACTGCTACCTCAGAGTTGTTACCCTTGCTGTTCTCTCCACATGGATAACTTTTCTCCATATCTGTCCAAGGTCAGCGTTTTTTCTTCATTTTTCATATTGTTATTCAAATGTTACCTCTTCAGGGAAGCCATATTATTTAACTTTCTTATTTAAATAATCACTTCTCATCCTACATTTTATTCTTCAGAGCACTCACTCATCAATATTTTTCTCTAATTATATTCTGTTTTATTTGTTTATGTATCACTATCTTTTACCCCAGTATTTAGACTTCATGAGGGAGAAGGCTTTGTCTTGTTTGCCATAACAAACCCAGTCTCCAGAACAGTATCTGGCATTGTGTTGACATGCAATAAATGCTCATTTAATGATGAAGAAGTGCATATGAGTAGACTTTCTTGTGTGCTCCGGATGTTCTTCTTTTAATTGTACCAAAGACAGTAGAATGAATGATCATTATTGAGTAAGTACAAGCCACTTTATATATATTCTCTCATTGAATACAACAAAATGAAATCAATTTAGAGATACTGGATAAGGTTTAGGAGGGTTCATTATTTTGTCTAGTTAATAGAGAAGCAGAGATGTAAATTCAGGTCTGATTTTTTTTTTTTTTTACCAAATGCTATTATTTTTCTGTTGTATCCCATTGCAAATTCTCAGCTTGATCATTAGAACCTTAAGTAATTTGTTAATTTCATTTAAAGGAATCAGTCACATTGGTCTTATGGCCTACTGTGTAGGACAAAAACAACTGGTGTTTTTACTTTGTGTTGATTGTCTTAGTGCAGGTGAAATAACTGCTCTCCAAACGGACAAAATATGTGCATGCCATTCTTCACTGTTTCGTGTTCATCCTTTCTCTCTCTTTTTCTTTCTTTATACTCTCAAGACAATTAAAAATGCTGTCTTGAGTTCCAAGACACTGCCTAGAGAGATGTAGGTCTAGCTAGCAGGAGGTATTTGTAGTAGAGGTTAAAGAACTATATTTTTTCCTGGAGGAATCTCTAGTGAGGCAGAAAAGAGAGGATGGTTCTTCAAACTCTTTCACCTAAAACATTTGTAAAAATTGACAGGCACTGAATTTATTACCAAGGGCAGCAGTAACCTAGTGAGTTTAAGTCAGGGTCATGGTTCATGAGGACAGAGCAAGTTACATGGGCTACTTTAGCACACCTTCTCAAGATCTGAATTGCAACTCAGTTGCAAGAATTCTGTGAACTGTCTTTATAGGCAGGGTGGCATCTCCTAATAGGCTGAGTGACCTTACAAAGAGCATTTGAGCAGAAAGAATAACAAGGAAGAAAGATACATATCTTACATAAATATATCAAGCCATGTAGTGGAAATTTGTTGCATGTTCAACAACTCAGCATTTATTTCCCAGCCACCGCCTGCTTTTTTGTAATAGCATTCCAATTAACTTTTGAGTAACAACTTTTCTCTGATTCTGTGCCATCTTGTTGGCACTGTAAATTAAGTTAGTCTTTATTCTCCTGTCCAAGGAGTGGGCACATGATCTAAGTTTGGCTAATTTAGAATCTCTCCTATGATATTGGTGGTGCTATAAAAACATGGAAAAATATTTAGAGCTTCTTCATTCTAGTGTGGGCACTTTGATCAGATGGCTTAGTATGGCACTGCTACCCAGAACTCCTTCTTAGGGCCAGGTTTTCCAGCTGTTCTACTGACTACGTGAGCTACCCAAGATCTTTCCAACAAATAATCATTTCCTTTTTAAGTGGGTCGGTGTTTATTTTTGTTGCTTATAGTCAAAGAAGCTGGCTGCAGTCTTTCAGTCTATTTCTGAATATGTGTCTTTGGATGCCAAAAGCATTTTCCTAATTGTGACACAGAAGTCAACAGAGCAGGGAAACAAGTCACTATGGCATAACAGGGAATTTCTTTATATGATAGTTGGTACAGCCTTCAGTGCTGCTTTGTCCTCTCCCTAAGCTTATGACTCTGGGTTCTTTAAATTGTATGCAATCCTAGATCACAAAGCTTTGGGGTCTCTATGAGGAAAAAGTGAACATTGTTAAGCTGCCTCCACCTCCTAGCATTTTTATTTCATGTATTCTTTTACATTGATGATTTTCTGATTTGGTAGCAAAGGGAAGTGGTAGCAACCGTGAAGCAGATGAAAATTATTATTTTCATGCTCTCAAACTGGCCTTTTGTCATATGACCTAGTTCAGCATGTTTCCTGCTTGGCAATCAGCTTGCCTAAGACAAACCATTGAAAGTAATGGATCTTCTTTATTTAGAGCACAATTCAGGTTATTTCTTTTTCAACAAGAACACAGGGCACATGAATCTTACCTCAAATTTTGGGAATTTTATAGACTTCCAGGAGTACTTTTTTTTTTTCTTTATAGAAGTCATGTAAGGATATTTATATTCCCAGCACACTGAAATAAATCTAAAAGCTCAATACACTGAATTGTTTCTCCTCAAATCTGGACTATGTGTGCTATTTTTTTTTTTTTGAAGAATTGAGCACAAAAAGCTAAATCTTCCTATACTTTATGTGATTAAATCTAGGATACCTGCTGCTAGAAATTAGATTTGTATTTCAAACTAGTAAGAGTCAAGGAGGCAATGATATCTAAGAAACACAAACCAGAAACAAAGGAACACAGCTTATAACTGTAACTCTGAAGGACTTTGATGTAGTATATAAGGTTTAGACAAAAAGTCTGGTAAGCATGAAAAGAAATATGGATCACTCAAGTATAAAGGCTGAGAAATATACTTGGTTATGGAGCTTGGTTCTGGGAAGGGAATTGGAAAGTCCTCTGACAGATCTTTGAGGAGAGGCATGAAAGGGATGGAAGTCAGATGTCCAGGCAGAGGTTCCTTATCTGAATTGATAGCAGAGATTAATCTAGAGAAAGGGGTACCACATAGGTAGGGTTCAGGAAGAACATCTGTTCTACAATGAGCTTCTAAAGTTTCAGGGTGAGGGGGCCTATGTTAATAAAGTTAATGGTAGCAAAAGAAATTCAGAATGGAGGAGGAAACTTGGGAGAGAAGGGCCTGCAGATCCTAATTTCTGAGATAGTGTCTTATTTACAAGCTCCAGTAGTCCTGGGAAAAGGAGAAAGCTAGAGCATACTGATCAATTATGGAGGTAGGACAGGGGGTGGTGGAGATGAGAGGTTATGAAGGAGCTGATAGGGAGGATAGGGCTGAGGTTGTGATGGTGGGAATGATGACGGCAGAGACACAGAGACTGAACATGGAAACATGGCGTCATATTTCATATCTTATAACTACTGGGATTAGCAAGTTTGACTCTCTGAAAGGGATTCTTCAGTGGATTCAATGGAAATATTCTGAATAAGACAGAATCAGGACAAGCAAAAGAAGGGCTGATATATGTGACTCCCAAAGAATTAGAATTGGCTTTTGTTAAATCACCTGTAAAGATCAAAGAGATGAATATAAATTCTATAAGTATTTGTATCTTAGTCATTAAATGTTTTTTAAACTTCAATGAAATTAGAAATTGAAATGCACCATGGGGTGAGAACAGTACCAAATGTGGATAAATTTATCCTTAAATTAATATAAATTAGGAAAAATCAAGGAGACAAGTGGCTTCCCACTTTGATAATTTTGAGAGAGAAACATATTTGTGGTATCATACAGTAAAACAGTAGTAGATCTTTTCAGGTAAGTGGCTGTAGAAGTTGCAGTCATTGCAAATATTTTCTCTTCCATCCAGGTCCATTGTTAATTGGACCCTTTTAACTCCTTATGGTAATATTTTGAAAGAATCAGAAACACATTTGTGAATGGGGTAGTTTCTGTCCTGATACTCTCTCTGTCAGGATGTGTGGATTTTCTTTATTCCTGCTCACAGTTCTTTTAAATTCTCTTCTCGGGTTTACAGGTCCAGGACAGTTTGATGTGCACACCTTCCAGTTCCACTTCAAGTTTCTATCAGGGATTTATCTGGTTTGGTCTTGCTATACTGAGTTGGGATCTCATCTTATTCCCCAGCAGCTGTTCACAATAAAGTATGAAGAACATAAAAAATATATCAACAACAATAATAATGAATCTAGATAAAAACAAAAGGCTTTGTACTTGAGTTTCAAACTATAAAATCATGAGAGTTCTCCCGATCACTTTTTGCCTTTGTTGTTTTACTGTGGGAATGTGATTTAATCTGGCAGGCCACTGCCTTTAGACCCCTCAAATCCTCATTGTCTTTTTTCCTCCATTTCCATGAAAGCATGTCAGTCCCAATTTGGATATGAAAAGATATCTTTTTCAAATATTGGTAGCTGATTAGGAGAGGCAGATGTTCAGTTTCTGGCGGGTACCAACTCTAGGTCTCTGAGATTGGGGGGGCAGTCGGGTGTAGAGGACAATGTGTTTTCTTGCTTTTTGTCCAGGAGGGTTTCATTTGATGAGTCAAGGTGTGAGTAGATTATCAGCTTTATTGTGTTAGTTTTCAGGATAGTTGTACATTTTTGACATTTCCTATGTCTTCACAAATAAATATCTTATCATTAGATAGAAAATCAAGGAAGTCTATTTCAAGGCCTCTTAGCTAAAGAATATTTAAAAGTGTTGCTCAGATTGAAGCAATGGGTGTGAAGTGCTTTGGATTTTAAAAAGATCAACCCTGTGATAGGCCTGGGTTCTTTTTTTGAAAATATAGTGAAAGCTATCTATTCTCTAACAAAAATATGGATATGAGGGCATGCACAAATGTCCAGGAAGAGATCTCTTGATTTTAATTATTAGTATATTTAGATGCAGTAATTTAATTCTGAGCACATAAAGAGCATTTTTATAGAGTCTTTTAAAAATATATGGATTAGCTACCTTTTTATATCCCAAATTGAAAACATCTTTCTTCTCGGAAAACTTTGGGATATGTAGCTTCTCTCATTAGTCAGTGTGTGTACTTTGTCTATCTTATGCATATTTACTTCTTTCTATACAATTAGGAAAGTCTGCCCCTAATAAAAAAGTAGTGCATCTCAAAGTATAATAGAAACATTTTTGATTATTCACTGATTTGGATTGTAGTCCCCACTACACCTTTTTATTAAGGTGAGAGAATGCATAGTTAGTTGCCTTTAAGGGAACGTAGACCTTCTGTTTTTCAGGCTAATGGGGTCAGGAAAAATTTAAACACCCTCAGAGGACCATGAGTTAACTGTTGGGAATGCTGCTTCCTGAGTATATGAATCTGGCCTTTTGATGGTTATGTCGGCCAACCCAACATATTTATTTCTTTTCTTTTCTCATAACTATTTAGAAATATAAAATCCAAGTGATCCTTCAGTGGAGGCATGGGTAGAAAAAATTAAACTCTTTTCATGTTGATTACTTTCTTTTTAGAATAATAGCATCATAGATTCCAGCCTAATACCAGAGAAAATAGAATAAGCAGACTGTCAAGTGCTCCCTTTTCTGGCTGCATGTCTTTGGCAGAAAGGGTGTTGGAGATTTTTCTGCTGGATTGCCAACTCTGAGGCCTGGTGAGGGTAGATGGGTCCAAAAAGCTGGCAAAAGGGCAGAACTTTGTTGACCTACATCAAATGAATTCTCCAAGGTCTAGTTTACTCACTGCACTTTGAGAAAAACTTCAAAAAATGCAGTAAGAGAGACTGAACTCTCAAATCCCTTGATTGCCCATCTGTTTCGCCTGAAAATCAGGCTAACCTCCCCTGGCTGCTATAATATTTTACCCCACCTTCCAACTTTAGGACTTCAATTCACATAAAAGAATCAAGAATAGTATCTAGAACAGAAAAGTTTAATAGGAGCAAAGGAGGCAGAATATGGGTCACTGATGGGCAGTTGCCTTTATTTATTTATTTTTTTCCTGGAGGGTAAAAATTCAAGTCTCAAGGACTGTGTTGTAAAATTTACTACAGAAAACCAGCAGACTCCTCTCCAGAGACTTGCTGCCTGAATGATCTACCTGAGTTTCTTAGATGGAAAACATGGAAAAAGTTACTGAAGCTGTAAATGACTTTCACTTGGAATTGAAAATTTAACTAGTTACCCATTTTCTGTCTCCGTCTTTAGGATCAAAATAGATTGGCGTCAAGGATATGCAATCTCTGCAGTCACACAGAATCCCCAAGCCTACAAGAGCCTCATGATTTATTTAATGCTCTTCTGTCACCTTTTAAACATTTTTAACATTTGTTGCAAAATATGTAGTCAGTCCTGAGGGTAATTTGGAGGTAATGTTTATTTTGATGATGAACTGAGAGTAATAACTGAAGCACTGGGCTGAGATATTGCCTAGTAGGCACCACCAATTAGCAGTCTCACCACTGGTAGTGGACCATTTAACCTTTCTGGTAAATTCTTGGTTAGTGGGTTGGCCTAGATCAACGGTTTAAAAGTGAATGCTATGTTTCCATTGAGATGTCATGATTTTTACTGAAAAGCAATGAGTTGGAAGCTGAGTGGACCAGCTTCTGGGCCCTATTCCTGCTTCAATGCAGAGTGGATTGTTTATCTCTTATATTCAAAATATCTCTTCTGGTTCTGAAATTCTACGAATAGAATTCCTGTGATCAGGACAAGTGGTTGTCCCCAACCTGAATATATGAATCTGGCTTTTTGATGGTTATGTCGGCCAACCCAACATATTTATTTCTTTTCTTTTCTCATAACTATTTAGAAATATAAAATCCAAGTGATCCTTTAGTGGAGGCATGGGTAGAAAAAATTAAACTCTTTTTCATGTTGATTACTTTCTTTTTAGAATAATAGTATCATAGATTCCAGCCTAATACCAGAGAAAATAGAATAAGCAGACTGTCAAGTGCTCCCTTTTCTGGCTGCCTGTCTTTGGCAGAAAGGGTGTTGGAGATTTTTCTTTACCTCCCGATGAGGTAAAGATAGAGAAATGTATAGTGCAATGATTTGCCCAGGTGAGAGACTCTTACTTAAAGATTTGGTTTGGGAAAGGCAGATGCCACAAAAATAATGATGACAAATTAAGCTCTTCTTTATATGCCAGGCAAAATACTGTTTTTAGAAAGAATCCTTCTCTCTGACACACCTAGTTTCTTGTAACTTTTCTTGCTTCTGAACTCCCATGGTTGTTATGCAATCTGTACCATTAACTTAACACAAACTTGTGCTATGTTATAGTAATATTTAGTAATGAAAATACCAATGTTAGTATTGCAATACTATATTTTTCATTTCTGGTAGAGAAAGTTTTTATTTGTGTGGCTTGTGTCCCCAGTTAGATTTAGCTTAGCACATGGTAATTCCTTGAAAGGATTTTTTAATGAATTCATGGAATGGATGAATAGATTGTTAACTTCTTGAAGGCAGACAAAATTGTTTTGGATTTCTTGTGTTTTTAAGGTCTAGCAGAAGATTATGTGTATTCCACATGATACTGGTTATGAAGTGATTTAACAGTTCCTTCCTTAGAATGTTGCCTGGGGGGGAGTTTTATGAGGCTACACAGGAAGTGTCAATATACTATAAAACAGAAAGTCCACATTTAGTTTCATTTTCTTGTCAGGAAGTGATTTTTCTCATAAAACACCCAAAAATTCAATCAATAAGTAAGTAAGTTAATACATAAATAAATAAGAAAAGAGAAAAAGGAAAAAAAAAACCCTTAAACAAACCATTCTGTTTCTATCTCCCAGCACTGTGACTTAATTGCACAGAAAACTCTAATCCTTCAGAAGGAAGTTATCCTGGAAAAATGTCCCACTTTCAGTGCCCAGGGTATAGAAACATAGATTAATGACATAATAAAGCCCTAGCCAACATTTTTCAGATCATATTGGAAGAAAAGAAAACTGACCTTAGAAATCACTTGATTCAGCCTCAGTCCTTAAAGGCTATATTTTGACTGAACATATAAATCCAGAATTAAGACGATCCCCTGAAACGAGAAGTGCAAACAATGAGTCAAAGCACTGTGCAACCCATAAGAGCCTCTCTAGGACCAAGGGAAATTAGACTAGAGCTAGCCCATTAGACACTACATTGATTAAGAATTACCAGCGTTCTAGTGTAGGGAGGAGTAGAGGATATAGCAGAATTCACTGTGCCCTCCACACTATATATTTACAACATATCCCCATTACAGACTGATAGTTCAGCCATTTTTAACAATTCCTTTTTGTCATCTTTATATTATCTCAAGCTAAAGAAACCCTCCAGGTGCTGTTAAATATACTAGGGGTGGATCAGTGTCAACTAATTATTAAAATTAATATTCTGGCACACATACCGCTTACATAATGCTACTTCAGTAAAATTAACATGAGAAGTGTTACACATTTCAGTACTCATGTACACAGAAAATTCACAACAACATTTGTCAGATTTATAAATCAATCAACTAACCAATAGGTAGTCATATAGAGGGAGAAATCAGAAAGGCAAATCTTTTCGTCTGTCTCCTTGCTTTTCCCTGTAGTCCTATCTATTCAGAAGTCTGTGACTTTCCTTCAGTAAAATAGATTTCTCTCCTTTCCTCTTATCCTTCCTTCTCTCTCTGGTCTCCTCTATTTTGCCCCCTACCCTCTCTTCTCATCAGTATTTTGAGAAGGACATTCCTTGAATAACTGTGGATATGGGAAAGCCATATTATTTTCACATAATATCCTTGGGCTGTCAATGATAAAATAATAATGCCCGTTGATTAGCTGAGCTGAAATATTCATCCTAAGCTAGATTCTCTGGTCATCGTGTTAAAGTGCTTCTCTATTTCTGAGATGATAAACTTCCATCTCTCAAAGGACAGAAAAGTCTGAGATAGTGATGTGGCATTGTTCCTCTGGGGTAATACCTGAGGTTCGTTGTCCCATGGCTAGGGAAAACTAGGACGCGGACACACCAGAGTGAGGTTAAGAGTGTTAAGAATGGAAGTTTAATAGTCAAAAGAAAGAGAAGAGCTCTCTGTGCAGAGAGGGGTCCTGGAGAAAAATTAGTTGCCAGTTCTGTGGTGAAATACACGGGGTTTTATAGACTAGCTTGAGGAGGCAGTGTTTAATTTACATAGGGCACGGAAGATTGGTCAGACCAGGTGTGTCATTTGCATAGTGTGCAAGAAGCTGGCTGCCTCACCCTAATCTTTTATTATGCATATGGGTTCTCTACCTGGCCAGTGCCATGTTGCCTGGTTCTTTCCTATACACGTGGTGACAAAGAAAATGGAAGATGAAGCCTCCATGTTGAACATACCTGGCTTCTTGGTAGCCCTTTTCTATTGGCACTCACCTGTGCAAGCTTCCAGCTTGCTTATCTTTGTCTGCAGCTCGATTTTTCAGGCTGCTTTATGTTAGAAAAGAAGTGATTTAGGGGCTGCT
This sequence comes from Homo sapiens, assembly GCF_000001405.40. Taxonomy (NCBI): domain Eukaryota; kingdom Metazoa; phylum Chordata; class Mammalia; order Primates; family Hominidae; genus Homo; species Homo sapiens. The sequence goes on along the minus strand of NC_000017.11, from coordinate 54,734,885 downwards.
TTTTGTTAAAAGGGAAACCTTGCTGAGGACTCTTGTCCTCACTATCTGCCTAAATAATTTTTTTCTAGGTCCTGTATCAATAAGACATGGTGAGGTAAGTTTAGGTCTATAGGAACCCCTGCTTTGAAAATGCACAAATTTCAACATCTGAGAGTCGTTTATAACAGAAAAAAGTTGAAAACAGTGCTTCTTACTCTCATCAGCCCATATTGTTATGGCATTTCATCGGCCTGCATCTCTAGACACCATCTTTCTCTTCAGGGTTCTAGATCTTCATAAAAGATAATATAGATCTAATATTCTGTATTAGAATTCTAGATGCCAAAAGGACACATTTTCTTCCACTTAGTAGACACAAAGATTTATTCTTTATCTCAAGACTGCTTTGAGAAAGCTAGTGTTCAAGAATCTCTCCTATATGCCAGTGAATCTTTTCATTATTTCTCAAAATCTTAGACACACCTAATAATTATAGAGTTGTTTAAAAGTTGGGGCGCAGTGGAGTTGAGTTGGCCTAGGTTCTGTAAACTTTGGCTACACTGAATTCACATATGTTACTCTAAAGCATCTCAATGTGACCTACACAGTCTCAGAAACACTCCCTCTAACACTACAGAGTACACAAACAAATTTTTAATAATTGAACTAATTGCTCAAGATCTACACAGCTATTAAGTACCAGACATGGGTTTTGAACCCCATCTTTGTCTGATTTTACTTATTTATTTATTTATATTTATTTAAACTTTTAAGCTCAGGGATACATGTACAGGTTTTTCATGTAGGTAAATTGTGTGTCACGAGGGTTTGGTGGACAGATTATTTCATCATCCAGGTAATAAGCATACAATCTGATAGGTAGTTTTTTGATTCTCTCCCTCCTGTTACCTTCCACCCTCAAGTAGACCTCAGTGTCTATTGTTCCTTTCTCTGAGTTCATGTGTACTCAGTGTTTAGCTCCCACTTATAAGTGAGAACATGCAGTATTTGGTTTTCTGTTTCTGCATTAGTTCACTTAGGATAATGGCCTCCAGTTCCATCCATGCTTCTACAAAGGACATAATCTTGTTCTTTTTTATGCCTGCATAATATTCCATTGTGTAAATGTGCCACATTTTCTTTATCCAGTCTACCATTGATGGGCATTTAGGTTGATTCCATATCTTTGCTATTGTGAATAGTGCTGCAATGAACATACATGTGCATGTGTCAGTATGGTAGAATAATTTATATTCCTTTGGCTATATACTCAATAATGGGTTTGCCAGATAAAATGGTAATTCTGTTCCAAGTTCTTTGAGAAATTGCCACAATGCTTTCCACAATGGCTGAACTAATTTACATTCCCACAAGCAGTGTAGAAGTGCTTTCCTATGCAACCTCACCAACATCTGTTATTTTTTGTCTTTTAATAATAGCCATTCTGAGTGGTGTGAGATAGTATTTCATTGTGATTTTCATATGCATTTCCCTGATTATTAATGATGTTGAGTATTTTTTATTTATTAATTTTTTTAGACAGAGTCTTGCACTGTCGCCCAGGCTGGAGTGCAGTGGCACAATCTCGGCTCATTGCAAGCTCTGCCTCCCGGGTTCATGCCATTCTCCCACGTCAGCCTCCCAAGTAGCTGGGCCTACAGGTGCCTGCCACCACCCCCAGCTAATTTTTTGTATTTTTAGTAGAGACAGAGTTTCACTGTGTTAGCCAGGATAGTCTTGATTTCCTGACCTCATGATCTGCCTGCCTCGGCCTCCCAAAGTGCTGGGATTACAGGAGTGAGCCACCGCACCTGGCTGATGTTGAGTATTTTTTCATAGGCTTGTATGGTGACTGCTTATATATCTTTTTTTGAAAAGTATTCATGACCTTTGCCTACTTTTTAATGGGGTTGTTTTTTGCTTATTATTTTGTTTGAGTTCCATATAGATTCTGCATAGTAGATCTTTGCTAGATGCATAGTTTGCAAATATATTCCCCCATCTGTAGGTTGTCTGTTTACTCTGTTGATAGTTTCTTTTGCTGTGCAGAAGCTCTTTAGTTTAATTAGGTCCCATTTGTAAACTTTTATTTTTGTTGCAATTGCTTTTGGTGTCTTATTCAAGAAGTCCTTTCCAGGGCCTATGTCCAGAATGGTATTTCCTAGGTTATCTTCCAGTGTTTTCAGTTTTTGGTTTTACATTTAAGTCTGAAGTTAATTTTTATGTATGGAGTAAGGAAGGGGCCTAGTGTAAATCTTCTGAATATGGCTAGCCAGTTATCCCAGCATCATATATGGAATACAGAGTCCTTTCCCCACTGCTTGCTTTTGTCAACTTTGTCAAGGAACAGATGATTGCAAGTGTGTGGCTTTATTTCTTGGCTCTCTATTTTGTTCCAATGGTCTATGTGTCTGTTTTTGTAGCAGTACCATGCTGTTTTGGTTACTGTAGCATTGTAGTATAGTTTGAAGTTGGGTAATTTGATGCCTTCAGCTTTGTTCTTTTTGGTTAGGATTGCCTTGGCTATTCAGCCTCTTTTTTGGCTCCATATGAAATTTAAAATAGTTTCATCTAGTTCTGTGAAGAATGTCAATGGTACATTAATAGATAAACAGCATTGAATTTATAAATTGCTTTGGGCAGTATGGCCATTTTAATGATATTTATTTTTTCTATCCATGAGCATGAAATGTTTTTCCATTTGTTTGTATCATCTCAAATTTCTTTGAGTGATATTTTGTAGTTCTCATTGTAGGATCTTTCATCTCCATGGCTGGCTGTATTTCTGGGTATTTCATTCTTTTTGTGGCTATTGTGAATGGGGTTGTGTACTTGATTGGCTCTCAGCTTGGATGTTGTTGGTGTATAGAAATGCTACTAATTTTTTTTTGTGCATTGATTTTGTATCCTGAAACTTTGCTGAAGTTGTTTATCGGATCTAGATGCTTTTGAGCAGAGACTATGGGGTTTCCTAGGTATAGAGTAATATCATCTGCAGAGATAGTTTGACTTTTTCTCTTCCTAGTTGGATGCATTTTTATTTTTTTCTCTTGCCTGATTGTTCTAGCTGAGACTTCCAGTACCATGTTAAAAAGGAGTGGTGAGAGTGAGCATCTTTGTTTTGTTTCAGTTTTTAAGAGGAATGCTTCCAGATTTTACCCATTCATTATAATGTTGGCTATAAGTTTGCATAGATGGCTCTTATTATTTGGGAATATGTTTGTTGCCTAGTTTGTTGAGGGTTTTAACATGAAGGGATGTGGAATTTTATTGAAAGCCTTTTCTGCATCTATTGTGATGATCATGTGGTTTTTAGTTATGTTTATGTGATGAATCACACTTATTGAATTGTGTATGTTGAACCAACGTTGCCTCCCAGGGATACTGCCTGCTTGTTCATGTTTTTGACGTGCTTTTTGACATGCTGCTGAATTTGGTTTACTAGTATTTTGTTGAGGACTTTTTCATCATCTATATTCTTCGGGGATATTGGCCTAAAATTTTCATTTTGTGTGTGTGTCTCTGCCAGTTTTTGGTATCAGGATGATGCTGACCTCTTTGAATGAGCTACGGAGGAATCCCTCCTCCTTAATTTTTTGGAATAATTTCAGTAGGAATGGTACCAGTTCTTCTTTATACATCTGGTAGAATTAGGCTGTGAATTTTTTGGAATAATTTTAGTAGAAATGGTACCAGTTCTTCTTTATACATCTGATAGAATAGAATTAGGCTGTGAACTCATCTGGTCCTGGGCTTTTTTCTGGTTGGTAGCTTTTTATTACTAATTTAATTATGGGTCTCATTACTGGTCTGTTCAAGGATTCAATTTCTTCCTTTTTCAATCTTGGGAGGTTGTATGTGTCTAAGAATTTATCCCATTTCTTGTATGTTTTCTAGTTTGTGCGCATAGTTTTTTATAGAAATCACTGAGGGTTACCTGTATTTCTGTGGGGTCAGTGGGAATATCCCCTTTGCCATTTATGATTGTGTGTATTTGGATATTCTATATTTTTGTTATTCTAGCTAGCAGCCAATTAATCTAATTTAGTTTTCAAAGAACCAACTCCTGGATTTGTTGATCTTTTCTATGGGTTTTTGAATCTCATTTTCTTTCTGTTCACTTCTGAATTTGGTTATTTTTTGTCTTCTGCTAGCCTGGGAGTTGGTTTGCTCTTGTTTCTCTAGTTCCTCTAGGTGCGATGTTAGATTGTTAATCTGTGATCTTTCTAACTTTCCGACGTAGGCATTTAGTGCTATAATCCTATTGACACTGCTTTAGCTGCTTCCTAGAAATTCTGGTATGTGATCTTTGTTCTCATTAATTTCAAAGAATTTCTTGATTTCTGCCTTAATTTCATGCTTTACCAAAGTCGTTCAGGTTCAGGTTGTTTAATTTCCATGCAATTATATGGTTTTGAGTGATTTTCATAATATTGATTTATCTTTTTATTACACTGTGGCCAGTGAGTGTGTTTGGTATGATTTTGGCATTTTTTTTTAATTTGCAGAGGATTGCTTTATGGGCAATGATGTGGTTGATTTTAAAGTATGTGCCATGTGCAGATGAGAAGTATGTATATTCTGTTGTATTCTGGTGGAGAATTCTGTAGATATCAGTTAGGACCATTTGATCAAATGTCAAGTTTAGGTCCCAGAGATCTATGTTAGTTTTCTACCTTGACGATCTGTCTAATACTGTCAGTGGGGTGTTGAAGTCTCCCACTATTATTGTTTGAGAATCTAAGTCTCTTTGCAGGTCTCTGGGAACTTGCTTTATGAATCTGGGTGCTCCTGTGTTGGATGCATATATATTTAGGAGAGTTAGGTCTCCTTGTTGAATTGAACCCTTTGCCATTATGTAATGCCCTTCTTTGTCTTTTTTGATCATTATTGGTTTATAGTCTATTTTGTCTGAAATTAGAGTAGCAACCTCTACTTTATCTTCTGTTTTCCATTTCCTTGGTAGATTTTTCTACCTCCCTTTATTTTGAGACTATGGATGTCATTGCTTGTGAGATGCATCTCTTGAAGACAGCATACACTTGGGTCTTGATGCTTTATCCAACTTGCTACTCTGTGCCTTTTAATGGGCATTTATCTCATTTACATTAAAGGTTAGTATTGATATGTGTAGATTTGGTCCTGTCATCATAATGTTAGCTGGTTATTATACAGACTTGTTTGCATGGTTGCTTTATAGTGTCACTGGTCTGTGTACTTAAGTATGTTTTTGTGGTGGCTTGTAATACTATTTCGTTTCCATATTTAGTACTTCCTTTAGGGTCCTTTGTAAGGCAAGTTTGATGGTAATGAATTCTCTCAGCATTTGCTTGGCTGAAAAGGATCTTATTTCTCCTTGTCTTATGAAGTTTAGTTTGGTTGAATATGTAATTCTTGTTTGGAATTTCTTTAAGAATTTTGAGTAAGCACACACCGTGTACTCTGGCTTGTAGAATTTCTACTGAAAGGTCTGCTATTAGTTTATTGAGGTTCCCTTTGTTGGTGACTTGCCCTGTCTCTCTAGCTGCCTTTAACATTTTTTCTTTCACTTCGACCTTGGAGAATCTGATGACTATATGTCTAGGGGATGGTCATCTTGTACAGTATCTCACAGGGGTTCTCTGCATTTCTTGAATTTAAATGCTGGCTTCTGTAGCCAGATTGGGGACATTTTCATGCACAATATCTGCAAATATGTTTTCCAAGTTGATTGCTTTCTCTCCATCTCTTTCAGGGATGCCAATGAATTGTAAATTTGGTCTCTTTACATGATCCTGTATTTCTCAAATATTTTGTTCATTCTTATTGTTTTTTAAAATTTTTGTCTGACTAATTTTGGAATACTGGTCTTTAAGCTCTGAGTTTCCTTCCTTGGCCTCATCCATTCTGCTGTAAATATTTGTGATTGCATTATGAAATTCTTGAAGTGAGTTCTTTCCTCTGCTTTGTCCATTCTGCTGTGAATATTTGTGATTGTATTATGAAATTCTTGATGTGAGTTTTTCAGCTCAATTAGATCAGTTTGGTTGTTTCTTAAAATGGAAATTTTGTCTTTTATCTCTTGCATTATTTTAGTATTCTTAGATTTCTTCAATAGGGGTTTGATTTTCTACTGAATGTTTATTCCTATACATACTCTCAATTCTATTTCTGTCGTCTTAGCTATTGCAATCTGATTAAGAACTGTTGCTGGGGAATTAGTGTGACTGTTTTTATGTAAGAGGACATTCTGGCTTCTTGAGTTGCCAGTTATTGCACTTTTTTTCCTTCCCATCGGTGTGGATTGATATTCCTTCAATCTTTGAGATTGCTGTCTTTTGGATTTTTTTTTTTTTTTGGTCTTTATCTCCTTTGATGCTCCTGGAGGTATGATTGTGGTATAAGTTAGGATCAGTTAACTGGGTTTGATTCTAGAGGATTATACGGGGCCAAGCCTCAGCTCAGCACTCCTGGTCTGCATGTTCTAACTCTGGGAGCTAATACCAGCCCCCCATCTTTGTTCTGTGGCTTCTCAAGGTTAGGAATCTACTGCACTGGAGGGGCCAAGATATTCCCAGTCTGCTGGCCACAGCACTATGATGGGTGGTGCCAGCCAAAGTGCTTTATTGGGTTGATGACAGAGTGATCCATGCTAACTTGCATGTGTCAGCAGCTGTGGCAGTGTGGTGAGATGCACAAACAAAGCCTTTGAGATGTGTGGGACTACGTAAAGTGAACAAACATAAATTATTGGTATTCCTAAGAGGGAAGAAAAATTAAAAAGTTTAGAAAATCCATTTAACAAAATAATTGATAAGAAATTACCAATTCTAGCAAGATATTTGGACATTCAAATGCAGGAAGCCCAAAGATCCCCAGGCAGATGAATTGCAAAAAAGTCTTTACCATGGCATATCATAATCAGACTGTTTAAAGTAAAAGTGAAGGAAAGAATTATAAAATTAGCAAGAGAAAAGCAGCTAGTCACCTATAATGGAAACCCCATCAGACTAACAGTAGATTTCTCAGGAGAATCTTTACAGGACAGAAGAGAATGGGATGGCATATTTAAAGTGCTAAAAAAGAAAACCAAAACCAACCCTGTCTACCAAGAATTCTATACCCAGCAAGATTAAGCTTTATTAATGGAGAAGAAATCCCAGACAAAGAAATGCTGGGGGAATTTGTTACCACTTGGCCAGCCCTACAAGAGATGCTGGAAGGAATCCTAAACTCACAAAGAAAAGGATCACTGGGTATGGTGGCTCACACCTGTAATCCTAGCATTTTGGGAGGCCAAGGCAGGCAGATCACCTGAGGTCAGGGTTTCAAGAACAGGGGAAAACTTGGTCTCTCCCCAAAAAAACAAAAATTAGCAGGCATGGTGGCATACACCTGTAATCCTAGCTACTCAGGAGGCTGGGGCATGAGAATCACATGAACCAGGAGGTAGAATTTGTAGTGAGGCAAGATTGTGCCATTGCATCTCAGCCTGGGTGACAGAGCAAGACTCTGTCTCAAAAAAAAAAAATAAATAAATAAACAAAGAAAGAAAAGGACAATATTTACCATCATAAAAACACAAGAAAGTATAGAACTTACAGGTAAAGCAATCCTGAAAAGGAGGAAGAGAAAGGAATCAAATGGCAACACTACTTCCTGAAGGCAACCTCCACTATACATATTTCTTTCACATTCTTTATTACAGATATGGCTCTTCTAGACACATAGCTAGCATGCAATCAGTATATTGCATTTGAAATGTATGGTTTACTAATATCCATCTGTGACAATAAGTCAGTGTGGGAGACATTGTGTGATACAAAGATCATAGAGGTTGGATAGCTGAATTGGGTTTCGGTTTTGGCTTTGCCTATTAGCATTGCAAAACAGATGAGACAATTCTCTCTGTAACCTTCTCATCTATAAAATAGAAGAGTGATAATACTTCTTCTAATGTTGTCCTGAGTATTCAATGAGATTTAGTCAATTAAGTATCTGGTACTACAAGGTACATAATTGATGTATACCCCTAAGTGCCTCCCCTCTTCACCTGCTATTTCCAAAGGAATGCTGCATCTTATACATTGCTATAACCAGCTGATCATGAATTTTTAGTTTTATTTTTAATTGACATATAATTGTATGAAATTATGGTGTACAATGTGATATTTCAATGTGTGTATACCTTATGTAATAATCAAATCAGGATATGTAACAAATCTATTACCTCAAACATCTAATATTTCTTTGTGGCAAGAACATTCAGAACCCTCTCTTCTAGCTATTTGGAATATGTATACAATATATTATTTCTAGTTATAGTCGTACTACTGCACAATAAAGCACCAGAACTTATTCCATCTATCTAATTGCAGCTTTATACCCATTGACTAACCTCTCTCTATCCTTCCACCCAACAAGTGCTACCCACTACCCTCCCCAACCTCTGATAACCACTATTCTCTATTCTATGAAATTAGATTTTTTTGATTCCACATGTGAGTGAGATCATTGGCATTTATCTTTCTGTTTCTGACTTACTCCACTTAAGTGAATGTCCTCCAGGATTGTTGATGTTGTAACAAATGACAAGACTTCATTCTTTTTTATTGCTGAATAGTATTCCATTTTTTATATGTACCACCTTTTCTTTGTTCATTCATTCATCCATTGATGGACACTTAACTTCATTCAATATCTTGGCTATTGTGAATAGTGCTGTAGTAAATATGGGAGTGCAGATATCTCTTTGATATACTGTGTCTTTTCCTTTGGATACATATACCCACCAGTGGGATTGTGGGATAGTATGGTAGTTCTTTTTTTAATTTTTTGACAAACCTCCATACTATTTTTATAGTGACTGTACTAATTTGCATTCCTACCAACAGGGTGTAAATGTTCCTTTTTCTCTACATCTTAGCCAAGGCTTGTTGTCTTCCATATTAATACCTATCAGAGGTATAGTTTGCAAATATTTTCTCCCAGTTTGTAGTTTGTCTCTTCATTCTGTTGATTATTTCCTTTGCTGTACAGAAGCTTCTTTGATGCAATCACATTTGTCTGTTTTTGCTTTTGTTGCCTATGCTCTTGCAGTCTTATGTAAAATAAATTTTGTCCAGATTAATGCCATGAAGCATTTCCCCTATGTTTTCTCATAGTAGTTTCATAGTTTCAAGTCTTACATTTGTGTTTGTATTGCATGTAAGGTTATCCAGAAGGATCCTCTCCTCTTTAAGCTAACTCTGTCATTGCTATTTATAACTGAGTCAGGCTTTATCTTGTACTGTGTACAGTTACCTTGACTAGTTATTTCTAAGATTTCCTCTGATTTTCAACTAGATAGGTTGAAGTAGCAATCTGAACTTGCTAGCACCTTAAGAAATTAATTTCCTGTGACAGTGCATGAGGCAGATGGCATCCTTTAATCCCTCTGCTATACTTTGAAGGGTGAAGGTTGTTTGCATTTTTTTCTTTCCTGATGATACTATTTCTTGTGAATGAAGAACATGAATATAGAATTCACTGCCCACTTCACTTCTGCTTAGAAAACTGTCCTTCAGCTTTGCTCATCTGTATTCATCCTCAAAATCTTTACACAGCCCACTTGTCTTCCTCCATAAGGCAGCCACACTCCCTCCTTCCATCTGACAACACATCTCCCACATACCTTACGTAATACTGAAAAAGAAGGGATCTCACACATCACCAAGTCTAATTTTTAAAATTATAAATCTACCCACTAAAATGGCTCTTTTTCTCCCTTAGCCATAGGAAAAAGGAGATTACAGGTTCACAGGACAGCAATAAAGAAAGCATATATATTTATATATTAACTATTTAAATTTTAAAAGTAATTTATGCCTGTTCTAATAATTTGAACATTATGGGACTATTTCTATTAAAATTGTCTTCTTGAAAGCTTTACTTCTGCACACTAATGTAACCACTGTTTAAAAGGCAATGTTCCTCATTCTACACTATACATTTTTATCTGCCTAAACAAGATTATACCAGCTATATCCATATGTAATTGCATTATAAAAACAGGATCAAAATATGTGTTATTTGGAAACTTTTTTTCATTTCACCTTATTTTATGAATACACTTTCAAATCAACATTCAAAAATATAACTGAGTTTTAAATTACTGTATTTTGTTTCGTATTGAGAATTACCATAATTTAATCATTCCTTCTTGTACTGATAGACATTCAGATTATTCCAGTTTTTTTTTGCTAATAAAGTATATTGCTTTCTGAATCATTCATATATATCCATATATATATATATTTAGTCATATATAGATATATATTTTATAAAAAACTTCCAAGAAGTAGATTGCTTGGTCCAAAGATAATTGCATTATAAATTTTAATTAATACTACCAGAAGGCTATTCAGAAATTGTTGAAAGTTACAATGCTCAACAATGTGTGATTAGGTTTATTTTCTTACATCCTTGGTATCATGGGATGTTATTAAAATGTTTCAATCAGAGGGAAAAATTTCACATTTTAAGTAATGTGATGATTTATTTTGTATTTTATCAACTATTTTGTTTGAGTATATTTTCATATATATGTTGACCTTTTGCATTTCATTTTCTATGATTGCCTCTTCAAATACTTTGCCCACTTTATATTGATTTATTTGCCTTTCTAATCAGTCTGAAGGAACTCTTTATAAATTAATGATAATTATCTTTGTCATTCATACATATTGCAAATAGTTTGTATTTTCTTTTGATATCATATGTAGTATATTTTGCCACAAGATATTTATTATTTGTAATTAAATAATTTTAAATAATGAGTTTAAAGAACGCTTTAAGTAAACTTTGGCAAGGAATGGATATTTTAAATGGAAAATTTTAGAAACAAATTCTCATTTTGAAAAATTTATAGTCCCTCATTCAGACTTAAAAGCCTTAGGCTCTATTCTTATTGCACAGGAATAATTTTCTTATAGTCTATTTTGTTTTTGAATAACAGTGTGCACTAATGGACCACATCTTTAAATTAGTTATACTACTATTAATTTTTGCCTTTTAGCCTGAAATTTACCCTTCTTCACTGTGCTTTGTGATACTAGAACTGGACCCTATGAACATTTCTTCTTCCCAGCTGGCACAATGTTAATCTTTAATAATAAAGGGTGCTGGAGTAATTCTTCAAGGCCAGATCAGGAAGAAGGACTTCTTTTCCTTCTTCCATCATGCTGTGGAAGCCAGCATATTGTCATGTGTGTGTGTGTTGGTGGGAGTTATGCTCACCTCAGCCTTCCTCATGGTTTAGCTGCAGTCCATACTGTTCAGTAAGTTTTTCCTCCACTCAGCAGCAGGCTGCTCCTGTGGTCCAATGACAGCTGGTGCCCTCCAACAAGCTAATTTTCTACTAATGGACTATGTGTTCTTGTGCAGCCACACCTTTCCCCAGAGGTCTGAATCCGACTGTGGAAAGGGCTCCAATGAAAGTTGCTAAATTCCTTCCTTGTTTGTTCTCCTTCATCCCTAGGAAAGGTGGCTGTTTTCTATAATTGCTACTTCAGTGGCTACTATGCCTTTGTATCCTCTTTACGCCTTTTAGTAGTTAACCACTCTTTACTCCTTAACAATTTTTAAATTAAGTGTTCCCTGTTACAATTACTGGTGTAGTTTCTTTCTCCGGATTTGATCCTCTCCGATATATTACAATAGCTGTGAGGTTTCTCGGAGAAATAAAGCAGCTAACCCTGCATGCTGTGCAACAATAAGGAACAGAATACAGATTCACCCTAGAAGATGCAGTTGCAAAGAACTGACTCAATGAGAAAAGAAGGCAACATGATAGGTAGAGAAAGCTCTACACCAGAAACAGCAGGTCTGGAGGCTGAACATGAATCTAGAACAGTGTGTGACTCTTTTTTTTTTTTTTTGACCGAGTCTCCCTCTGTGGCCCAGGCTGGAGTGCAGTGGCATGATCTTGGCTCACTACAACCTCAGTCTCCTGGGTTTAAGTGATTCTTGTGCCTCAGCCACCCGAGTAGCTGGGACTACAGACATGCACCACCACACCTGGCTCATTTTGATATTTTTAGTAGAGACAGGGTTTTGCCATGTTGGCCAGGCTGGTCCCGAACTCCTGGCCTCATGTGATCTGCCTGCCTTGGCCTCCCAAAGTGCTGGAATTACAGGCATGAGCCACCACACTTGGCCTTAGAACTGTGCGACTCTCTCAGTCATGGTCTACTTGTTTGCAAAATGACCACCTTGGGCAAGATCAGTGTTTTCCAACCTGCAGTAATTTGTGTTTTGCCTTATAATGTTTGTCATAACTGTGGATCATCTATACTTTAATTAATGTTTTCCTTTCAACCAAATCATTTTAAATTAATAGTCTTTATTTATGATACAGTGTTAGAGTTATACAAAATTTGCACAGATAGTACAGATCAATCCATTTTAAACTTCGATTTGTTTAAAAACAAACTTTATAAAACAGGTAGCAATGATATAAATTTTCCATAAATATAATATATTGATAAAAACAAACACTGATTAAAATAAAGGGCACATATATAATCTAAAATAATATATTATAATATTACATTTATTACTTTGGGAAAGATGAGACTAGAATATTTTTGAAATACCTCTACTATCTCTAAAATTCTGGACTATTGGGATACTATGTTCATGTATTTTTTGTTTGTTTGAGGGCTGTGTGAAGATCAATTGTTTCAAATGTCTTCTATAAATCAACAGAAATCTCTGTATCCATATAGATATATGTCTCTATATATGTATGTATATATACACACACACACTTATATTTGCATTTGTGTGTATATCTATAAATCTGTCTAAATCTGTAGCCAATACCTATGTCTATAATGCATTAAACTATGTACCATCATTTTCTTCTTCTTGAGAATTTGTGATTGATGTATCGGCATAAATCAGCCCCATCATTATTCTTCAGCTGGTCTTGACATTCCTATTTGAATCATAACCTTGAAAGAACAAAAACAAATTGGTTTCTCCATACTCTGTAACCCAATAGCAATCAAATGGTGCTTTTCATGATTCATCAGAGCTCAGAAAATGTTTTCAATGAAGATGATGAAGGCGAAATTTCAAGGATTTTTTATTGTTTGTTGAGTTCAAACAAAGCACATGGGGTTGCTGTTGCCACAGTAACAGATCCTCCATGTGCATTAGTTTATACCTTTGTCTTTAGTAATAGGAAGCTGGGTTATTGTTTTTCCTGTGTGAATGTGTGTGTGTGTGTGTGTGTGTGTGCATACACACGTGCACGTGGGAAAGAGTAAATGAGAGAAAGAAAGATGGAGAGAGAGAAAGAGAGAAATACCTTTATAAGAGTAGTTTACTCTTTACTCTGTAGTTTTAGACATTTCTTCGTATGGTCCACTCATTTTTCCTAGAATCTCAGTAGCTCATGTTCTTCATTCAGACCTGTTCTAACAGAAATCTTACCTCTCTCCAAACAGACGACAGCAGCTTTACACAGAGAACAACATTTTATTTAATTATTTTTATTTGGATATGTCTTTTTATGAAGTCCTTGTGTTAGAACAAGAAGTTCTGACTCTGTATAGAGAAAAGGAGAAGGTTAAAGAAATACATAGAATGGATTCTTGACTATTTGCATGTGGATTGTTTACCTCTTTGCTATTAGCTGGGACCTATTTATAGCTGTGGACTGTGCTCACACTTTTGGTGATCTCATTACCTTGTAAAATCAATTTGTTCTCAGAAAATTAAATATATAAACTATAAGAACAAGCATAAATATAAACATAATACAGAGGATTATAATAGAGTATAACTTTTAAAAAATTTTATTTTAAGTTCTAGGATGCATGTGCAGGACGTGCAGCTTTTGTTACATAGGTAAATGTGTGCAGTGGTTTGCTGCACTGATCAACCCATCATCTAGGTATTAAGCCCCACATGCATTAGCTATTTATCCTGATGCTCTCCCTTCCCCCACCCCCTGATAGGCCCTGGTGTGAGTTGCTCTCCTCCGTGTCCATGTGTTCTCATTGTTCAGCTCCCACTTATGAATTAGAACATGCAGTATTTGGTTTTCTGTTCCTGTGTTAGTTTGCTGAAGATGATGGCTTCCAGTTTCATCCATGTGCCTGCAAAGGACATGATGACGTTACTTTTTATGGCTGCATAGAATTCCATGGTGTATATGTACCACATTTTCTTTTTCCAGTCTATCACTGATGGGCATTTGGGTTGATTCCATGTCTTTGCTTGTGAATAGTGCTGCAATAGACATACACATGCATGCATCTTTATAATAAAATGATTTATATTCCTTTGGGTATATACCCAGTAATATATATCCAGTAATGGGATTGCTGGGTGAAATAGTATTTCTGTTCCAGATCCTTGAGGAATTGCCAAACTGTCTTCCACAATGGTTGAAGTAACTTATATTTCCACCAACAGTGTAAAAGCATTCCTTTTCTCCACAGCCTCACAGCCTCAAGAGCATCTGTTGTTTCTTGACTTTTTAAAAATCGTCTTTCTGACTGGCATGAGATGGTATGTCATTGTTGTTTCGATTTGCATTTCTCTAATGATCAGTAATGTTGAGCTTTTTTCATGTTTGTTGGCTGCATAAATGTCTTCTTTTGAAAAGTGTCTGTTCATGTCCTTTGCCTACTTTTTGATGAGGCTGTTTGTTTATTTCTTGTAAATTTGTTCAAGTTCCCTGAAAATTCTGGATACTAGAACTTTGTCAGATGGATAGGTTGCAAAAACTTTCTCCCATTCTGTAGGTTCTGTTGACTCTGGAGATAGTTTCATTTGCTGTGCAGAAGCTGTTTACTTTAATTAGGTCCCATTTGTCAATTTCTGCTTTTGTTGCAATTGCTTTTGATGTTTCTGTCATTAAATCTTTTCCTGTTCCTATGTCCTGAATGGTATTGCCTAGATTTTCTTCTAGGGTTTTTATAGTTTTGGGTTTTAAATTTAAGTCTTTAATCCATCTTGAGTTAATTTTTGTATAAGCTGTAAGGAAGGGGTCCAGTTTCAATTTTCTGCATATGGCTAGCTAGTTTTCCCAGCACTATTTATTAAATAGGGAGTCCTTTCCCCATTGCTTGTTTTGGTCAGGTTTGTCAAAGATCAGATGGTTGTAGATGTATGGTCTTATTTCTAAAATCTCTATTCTGCTCCATTGGTCTATGTGTCTGTTTTTGTACCAGTACCATGTTGTCTTGGTTACTGTAGCCTTGTAGTATAGTTTGAAGTAAGGTAGCATGATGCCTCCAGCTTTATTCTTTTTGCTTAGAATTGTCTTGGCTATTCGGGCTCTTTTTTTGGTTCCATATGAATTTTAAAGTATTTTTTTCTAATTCTGTGAAGAATGTCCGTGGTAGTTTGGGAATAATATTGAATCTATAAATTCTTTTGGGCACCATGGCCATTTTCATGATATTGTTTTTTTCTGTTCATGAGGATGGAATGTTTTTCCATTTGTTTGTTTCCTCTCTTATTTCTTTGAGTGGTGGTTTGTAGTTCTCCTTGAAGAGGTCCTTCACGTTCCTTGTTAGCTGTATTCCTAGGTATTTTATTCTCTTTGTAGCAATTGTGAATGGAAGTTTATTCATGATTTGGCTCTCTGCTTGTCTATTGTTGGTGTAAAGGAATGCTTGTGATTTTTGCACATTGATTTTGTATACTGAGACATTGTTGAATTTACTTATCAGGTTAAGGAGCTTTTAGGCTGAGACGATGGTGTTTTCCAAATATAGGATCATGTCGTCTGCAGAGACAATTTGACTTCCTCTCTTCCTGTTTGAATACCGTTTATTTCTTTTTCTTGCCTGATTGCCCTGGCCAGAACTTACAATACTATGTTGAATAGGAATGGTGAGAGAGGACATCCTTGTCTTGTGATGGTTTTCAAAGGGAATGCTTCCAGCTTTTGCCCATTCAGTATGATATTGGTTGTGGGTTTGTCATAAATAGCTCTTATTATTTTGAGATATGTTCCATCAATGCCTAGTTTTTTGAGAGTTTTTAACATGAAAGGATGTTGAATTCTATTGAAGATTTTTTCTGCATCTATTGAGAAAATTGTGGTTTTTGTCATTGGTTCTGTTTATGTGATGGATTACATTTATTGATTTCCATATTTTTTGAAAACATTTTAGTGTCTATTATGCATATTAGTTTATATTTAAAATGAATTTAACATAATTTTTAACAGTATAGTTTCTGAAATTTTTTGTAACTCAAAAATAATAACATCCTCTTTTGAAAATCTTGAGGTTTTCTGCTAAGAAACATTGAGAAACACTATACTAAAGAAGAGGAAAAAAATTAAGTGCTAATATTATTCATACCACTTGTTCATCATCATTTTTTTCAGCCAACAGTTGAGTACAAACTCTTTGCCAGCCACTATGGAGGAAAGCCAAGAGCAAAATGACACTTCCTGCTTTCCAAGAGCTTACTGGCTTGTGGCTGGAAGGAGACAAGTACAAAGATTGATAAGTTCTCTGATACACGTAAAGTAAGTCGCTCTGTTATCATATGGAATAAAGTTGAACTCAGTTTCTGGTGGTGAGAACAGAAAGGAAAGAACAAATGGGAGCTATTAATAAGGTAGAACACACTGGGCATCCTGACCAATCAGATGAGGGAAGAAAGATAAAGAATTAAAATTCTTGTCAGTGAGATGCCTTTTATTTAGAGATACAAGGAGAGGGAAAAAAAAGGGTCTAGTGAATGTTTACCTAGGAAAAAAGGATATGTTAAAAATTTTCCTTTACAGATGACCAAATCCTCTTCCTTCTTAATTTTAGGATATTATACATAATCTCTCATTCAAAACCTTTGGATAATCACAGTGTTTTAGAACTAATAATTTTTTAGAGTTTTGAAATGCAAGATTAAAACATATAAAAATTAAAACATACACACATACACATACACACATTTTTTAATGTCTAAAGTATATATCAAAAACTGCTCTGTACCAAATTATAATTTCAGACTTTTTATCATTGAAGATTGACAATGATTCAAAAACAATGGATTCCAACTACCTGATGAATAAATAAAATGCAGTACTGTATATCCATATAATAGAATATTATCTGGCTATCAAAAGGAATAGAATTCTGATATACTCTACTGCACAGATGAACTTTGAAACATTATCATGAGGGAAAGAAACAAAAGGCCACATATTGTATGGTTCCAATGATATGAAATGTCCAGGATATGCAAATCCAAAAAGTCAGAAAGCAGACTAGTGTTTGCCAGGACTGGGAGGGGAGGGAATGTTCTAGAATTGAACGGTGGTGAATGATATACAACATTGTGCATATACTATAAAGTACTGGATTGTACAATTTAAAATTTTGAACTTTATGATATATGAATTATATATAAATAAATAAAGCTCAATAAAGTTTTTTTTCCTTTAAAAAATAATGGGCTGAACATGGTGGCTCATGCCTGCAATCCCAGCACTTTGGGAGGCCGAGGCAGTATTGCTTGAGTCCAGAAGTTTCAGACCGGCCTGGGCAATATAGTAAGACCCCGTCTCTATAAAAAATACAGAAAATAATCAGCTGGGCATGTTGGCACATGCTTGCAGTCCCAGCCACTTGGGAGGCTGAGGTGGGAGGATCACTTGCACCCAGGAAGTTGAGGCTGCACTAAGCCATGATTACACCATTGCCCTCTAGCCTGGGTGACAGAGTGAGACCCTGATGCAAAAATGAAATTCATATTTTTTATCTCATGAACGTTCAAATTTTAAAGTACTTAAAATAAGCCGACAAGATGAATTATTGTAGGGACATACTTGTTTGTGTCTTGAATAACCACATGGATCTTGTAAGAGCTACCAGAAGAAAAAAAAAAGAAATTGTAAGAGTTCTTCAGATACTTCATATTTTAAAGTAAATATAATCATGGAACATCTATAATTAGTATGAATAAATAGCCATAGGAAAAGAAATAATAGAACAAGGTTGGGCTACACTGTCCTTATTCCAAAAATGTGACAAAAATCAAAAATTTCAATCAAATGCTGAAAATAGTTATAAAGAGTTAATCTTGCAGTTTTCTCTCTGAGCCCAAAGTTTAAATTGTTTTTATTCCGAATGAGGTTGGGCATGTTTATAAATGAATCTAACACCACTACAATTGGATCACTGTGAACTATGGCTTTTCAAAACTGAAGAAAATGTAAATTTGAAGATTCAACCAGAAAAATAAAAGAATGAAGAAACTGGAAACTAACTTTGAACAACCTTCAGTTTTAATATGTAAAAGATAATTTTTAGAGAGAAAAAGAAACAAGGAAAGAAAGGGACAGCAAAGTCCACCAAAATCTATCTCCATTCGTTTGGGTCCTTGACTGATGTTCTATTAGGCTTAAGCAAAAAATATTACTCAATAGAACTTATAAATTGGTTTGCTGATCCACGTATGCTGAATATGCTGAACAATTCCTTTCACGGGCAGATCACAGCTAGTTAGCAATAGATAATGAGAAAAATTTACTTCAGCAGATTGGGAAAGCCTAACTGAATTACAATGGCATAATCTTCTCTTGTATGTACACATAAAAAGGGAACTAAGGACAAGATTTTTTAAGATCTTAAATAATCAAAACTGGATGCAACTGAAAGTTTAGAAGTGAAAAAATATAGATGCAACAAAAAATCAACATGCTTTCTTTAATATTCATAGACAATAAATTAACAAGATAAAATGTTTACATTACCAATGTTTATTTAGTCATTTAAGTTATTTTTTATAATTTGTGTGTGTTCTTCATGTTAAGCAATATAAGTAAAATAAATGGGTAAACTTTGATTTGTAACTATAATAAGATGATTACTAGATTCTAGCATATGACATGAGCTAAATTTAAGCAGCTCCCATTATTTTCCATAATATGCGGTAAATCACTATTTTAAAAACTTGTTATTGTTTTGGCCTATTAAGATAATATAAGTTTAATATTATTTAAAAAGTTTAACACTATTAAAAAAGTATAAAATATAATTGGATCTGGGTAATTTAGCAAAATATGAGCTTGCTAGTCATTTTATAAGACCTATTATCTCTTGAACAATACAATAAATGAGGTATGTTCGAGGTATTCAAAAAAAAGAATGAAGCAGTTTTTTCTAAATGGTACATCCTTAACATTGGAGGTAGAAAGGGGTAGGATACACATAAATGAAGATAATTGAGCAGTAGCAACTGATTTGTATGAAAATCATCCTGTAGGTCTTATTTAAAATGCAGGAATTAGGCTAACGCTTGTAGCTCTAAATAAGTAGTTCTATGGCTTTTCTTTTTGAAATGAAAATCAAGTTAAGATCTATTATGTAACATACTGTGATCAATAGTATTTGTTAGGCTTCTTAAAGTCCACGTTAGAATTTTAGTTGGAACTGGGCCAGGCATGGTGGCTCACACCTGTAATCCCAGCACTTTGGGAGGCCAAGTTGGATGGATTGCCTCAGCTCAGGAGTTCCAAACCAGCCCAGGCAACACGGTGAAACCCCGTCTCTACAAAAATACAAAAAATTAAGGCAGTGTGGCGATGTGTGGCTGTAGTCTCAGCTACTCGGGAGGCTGAGGCAGGAGAATTGCTTGAACCTGGGAGGTGGAGGTTGCAGTGTGCCACATGCACTCTACCCTGGGTGACAGAGTGAGGCTCCGTCTCAAAAACAAAACAAAACAAAACAAAAAAAAAAAGAAGAAAAAGCAAAAAAAGAGTTTTAGTTGGAACTAAAAAGCAATGAAAAACAAATGCCTTCCTTCAACAGGCAGTAGTTTCTATTTTATATTTGTGTTACTAAGTGTTTGATATGTTTGGATATTTGTCCCCTCAAAATCTCATATTGAAATGTAATCTTTACTATTGGAGGTGGGGCCTGGTGGAAGGTGTTTGGATAATGGGGATGAATAGCTCATGAGTGGCTTAGTGCCATCCGTTGGTGATAAGTGAGTTCTCCCTCTGAGTTCATGTGAGATCTGATTGTTTAAAAATACGTAGCACCTCCCCTCTCTTTCTCTTGTTCCTGCCCTCACCATGTGACATGCCTGCTCCTGCTTTGCTTTTCACTATGGTTGTATGCTACCGGAGGCCCTTGCCAGAAGCCAAGCAGATGTTGGTGCCATGCTTATACAGCCTGCAGAACTGTAAGCCAATTAAATCTCTTTTCTTTATAAATACCAGTCTCAATTATTCCTTTATAGCAATGCAAAAACAACCTAACACAATGTCATAGTCTGAGTTGCTATAACAAAGTACCTTAGACTGGGTAATTTATCAAAAAAAAAAAAAAAAGAAGTTTATTGCTCACAGTTCTGAGGAATGGGAGGCCCGAGATCAAAGAACTGGTAGATTCTGTGTCTGGCAAGAACATGTTCTTCATAGATAGTGCCTTTTATGTGTCCTCAGATGGCAAAGCAAGTTTCCTTCAGCCACTTTTATACTGGCACTAATCCCATCATGAGGGATCTACCCTAATTATCTAATTGGCCCCTATAGGTCCTACCTCTTAGTATTATTGCATTGGGAATTAGATTTCATTATATGAATTTTGGGTAGACAGAAACATTCTGACTACAGTGCTAAGTAATACACAAAACTACAAATCTCAAACAACACCATGAGATATATAATAAAATGGTCATATGTAGCAAATTTAACTGTATGCTCCTATATCAACATAATCAGTTTTAGAATGTAATTAAAAAACTATGTATTCATGGTAAAATCAAATGAAATAGTTACAATATAATATGCCAATGCCAATGAAAAGACAGAAGTAATAATAAAGTTTAAAAATAACATTTGGATTTGAAAAAATTTAGTATTACAAATAAAAATGTTTAATCAGTCGCATATAAAAACATAACTAGAGACAATTAAAATATAATTTGCTTCAAATAGATTCCTTTGATCATAATTTATAGAACAGAGGCACTTGATGATACTATTTCTATCCATTTTATAATTCATGGAAATATTTGCTTTGCTATAAAAGTTAATTTTAAAGTCTCTAAAAAATAAGTAAAGAGAAGAGAAAAGCTGTAGAATGAAGAGTCCTTTAAAGTAACCAACAGGTAAAAGTAATCTATAAAAATAATTGTAGGCCAGCTGCGGTGGCTAACGCCTCTAATCCTAGCACTTTGGGAGGCCGAGGTGGGCAGATCATGAGGTCAAGAGATTGAGACAATCCTGGCCAACATGGTGAAACCCTGTCTTTACTAAAAATACAAAAATTAGCTGGACGTGGTGGCACACACCTGTAGTCCCAGCTACTTGGGAGGCTGAGGCAGGAGAATTGCTTGAAGCTGGAAGGCAGAGGTTGCAGTGAGCTGAGATCACGCCACTGCACTCCAGCCTGGTGACAGAGTGAGACTCCATCTCAAAATAATAATAATAATAATAATAATAATAATTGTAATAGTTAAGTGATGTTTACAGGCAACCTTGGAAAAAAAAAGAACAGATAATTAAAAATGAAAAAGAAGAACTACATATGCAGCAAGATCACAAAATTGTTTCCAGCCACACATTTCACCTAAAAGAGATGAGCAGTTATATAAAGTAGGTATAGCCTGGCATAGTGGCTCACACCTATAATCCCAGCACTTTGAGAGGCCAAATTAAGCCAGTGTGGTGCCGTGCACCTGTGAGAGGTGAAGCCAGCTGGACCTTTGGGTCGGGTGGAGACTTGGAGAACTTTTCTGTCTTACAAGAGGACTGTAAAATGCACCAATCAGCACTCTGTAGCTAGGATTGCAAAACACACCAATCAGTGCTCTGTGGCTAGCTAGAGA
This sequence comes from Homo sapiens, assembly GCF_000001405.40. Taxonomy (NCBI): domain Eukaryota; kingdom Metazoa; phylum Chordata; class Mammalia; order Primates; family Hominidae; genus Homo; species Homo sapiens. Next base: position 54,713,075 of record NC_000017.11, on the reverse strand, counting down.
TTTAGAAAATGGACCAATCAGTGCTCTGTAAAAATGCACCAATCTGCTTTCTGTGGCTAGCTAGAGGTTTGTACAGTGGACCAATCAGCTCTCTGTAAAATGGACCAATCAGCACTCTGTAAAATGGACCAATCAGAGCTCTGTAAAATGGACCAATCAGCACTCTGTAAAATGGACCAATCAGCAGGATGTGGGCGGGGACAAATAAGAGAATAAAAGTTGGCCACCCCCAAGCCAGGAGCAGCGACTGCTTCGGTAGCCTGCCAGGCTGTGGAAGCTTTGTTCTTTTGGTTTTCACAATAAATCTTGCAGCTGCTTACTCTTTGGGTCCGTGCCCCTTTTAAGAGCTGTAACACTCACTGCAAAGGCCTGTGGCTTCATTCTTGAAGTCAGTGAGACCAAGAACCCGCTGGAAGGAACCAACTGTGGACACACCTGTAGTCCCAGGTACTCGGGAGGCTGAGGCAGGAGAATTGCTTGAACCGAGGAGGTGGAGGTTGCAGTGAGCCTGGCCAACATGGTGAAACTCCATCCCTACCAAAAATAAAAAAAATTGGCTGGGCATTGGGGTGCATGCTTGTAGTCCAAGATACTTGGGAGGCTGAGATATAAGAATCTCGCTGGAACCTGGGAGGTGGGGGTTGCAGCAAGCCAAGATTGTGCCACCACACTGCAGCCTGGGCAACAGAGTGAGACGCTGTTTTTGAAAAATAAAATAAAAGTAGGTATATAGGGGAAGCAAAAACAAGGAACAATGTCCTTATTTCTTGTTTTCTAGATTGAATAATAAACTACATAAAATCAACTTATTAATTAATCTTGATAATAATTCCCCAGCAGCAGCCACCAGAAGGTGGAAGAGGTAAGAAACAGCTTATTCTTTAGAGGGAGAATGGCCCTGCCAACACCTTGATTTGGGTTGAAATCAAGTGATACTGATTTCAGACTTCTGGTCCCTAGAATTATGAGAAAATAAGTATCTTTTGCACTAAGCCACCAGGTTTGTGGTAATTTGTTACAGAAGCCATAGGAAAGTAATACACAAACAATACACATTAGGGGACTAGGGCTTAACTGAAAGTTATTTTGGTAAACATGAAAAGTTATCTATATGAGCATGTATCAGTCTCGTGGCATATAAGGAAATTTGTTTTTTTAATTATTATTATACTTAAAGTTCTGGGATACAGGCACAGAATGTGCAGGCTTGTTACATAGGTATACATGTGCCATGGTGGTTTGCTGCACCCATCAACCCATCATCTACATTAGGTATTTCTCTTAATGCTATCCCTCCCCTAGCCCCCCACCTCCTGACAGGCCCCAGTATGTGATGTTCCCCTCCTTGTGTCCATGTGTTCTCATTGTTCAACTCCCACTAATGAGTGAGAACATGCAGTGTTTGCTTTTCTGTTCCTGTGTTAGTTTGCTTAGAATGATGGTTTCCAGCTTCATCCATGTCCCTGCAAAGGACATGAACTCATCCTTTTTTATGGCTGCATAATACTCCATGGTGTATATGTGCCACATTTCCTTTATCCAGTCTATCATTGATGGGCATTTGGGTTGGTTCCAAGTCTTTGCTATTGTGAGTAGTGCTGCAATAAACATACATTTGCATGTATCTTTATAGTAGAATAATTTATAACCCTTAGGGTATATACTCAGTAATGGGATTGCTGGGTCAAATGGTATTTCTGGTTCTAGATCCATGAGGAATTGCCACACTGTCTTCCACAATGGTTGACCTAATTTACACTCCCTCCAACAGTGTAAAAGTGTTCCTATTTCTCCACATCTTCTCCAGCATCTGTTGTTTCCTGACTTTTTAATGATCGCCATTCTAACTGGCATGAGATGGTATCTCATTGTGGTTTTGATTTGCATTTCTCTAATGAGCAGGGATGATGAGCTTTTTTCCGTATGTTTGTTGGCCACATAAATATCTTCTTTTGAGAAGTGTCTGTTCATATACTTCACCCACTTTTTGATGGGGTTGTTTGTTTTTTTCTTGTAAATTTGTTTAAGTTCTTTGTAGATTCTGGATATTAGCCCTTTGTCAGATGGATAGATTGCAACAATTTTCTCCCATTCTATAGGTAGCCTGTTCACTCTGTTGATAGTTTCTTTTGCTTTGCAGGAGCTCTGTGGTCTAATTAGATCCCTTTTGCCAATTTTGTTGCCATTGCTTTTGGCGTTTTAGTCATGAAGTCTTTGCCCATGCCTATGTCCCGAATGATAATATTGCCTAGGTTTTCTTCTAGGGTTTTTATGGTTTTAGGTCTTATGTTTAAGTCTTTAATCCATCTTGAGTTACTTTTTATATAAGAAGTAAGGAAGTGGTCCAGTTTCAGTTTTCTACTATGACTAGCAGTTTTCCCAACACCATTTATTAAATAGGGAATCCTTTCTCCATTGCTTATTTTTGTCAGGTTTGTCAAAGATCAGATGATTTTAGATGTGTGGAGTTATTTCTTAGGTCTGTGTTCTGTTCCATTGGTCAATATATCTGTTTTGGTACCAGTACCATGTTGTTTTGGTTACTGCAGCCTTGTAGTATAGTTTTAAGTCAGGTAGCATGATGCCTCCAGCTTTGTTCTCTTTGCTTAGGATTGTCTTGGCTATATGAGCTCTTTTTTAGTTCCATATGAAATTTAAAGTCTTTTTTTGTAATTTGTGCATATGCTATCCCTGGTGAAGTAAGAATTTTCCAATAGAGATTATGCAAATGACTTAGCCTGCATATAGGATTGTCAGAGGACTTTTGTGCTTCAAAAGAATGAAAGATCATTCTCTTGATATTTGAATTTTTCCCACAGTGTATCAAACTAAGTAGTCAGCTACCTGCTTTTTGCATATCTTGTGACTTCTGGAAGCAGCACCCAAATTTGATTACTTTCTCACATTATCCATCTAGTAAATTTCTACTGGTAAATTTACAAAAGGTAAATTAAAATACCACCTCATACATCCCTGACTCTGTTACAGCCCTAGGGAAAAATTATATCATATTCACGTGTATCTGTATCTGACACTAGACTAAGCTCCTTCAGAGCAGAGAGCTTGTCTAGTCCAACTCAAAGCCCAGCTTACAGCTTGGTACACAGTAAGGGCTCAGTAAATATTGCTATTTGATGATGCTTCTGACTATTAGCATGTTGAAATCAATGGCATAAGATTCCCTGGAATAAAATTGTTTAAATAAAATCTAGTAGAAAAATGAAAAGAGCATAAAATAGAAACAAAAATGAATGGTGCCTCTAATTCTAATACCTAGAGATAACCATGGTAACATTTGGGTATATATTTGAATTCTGTCTTTGTAAGTATAGATAAATATACACACATACGAACATAATTAATAAAAATGGTATAATATCATAACACTGCTTTGTAAATTGCAATTTTTGACTTAAACATATTTATTAACTGTTATTTTCTAAAAATGATTATTCTACCACATAAAAATTCTCAAAATAATAGATGTACATGGTAACAAATCAAAGCATACAATATAAGTCTTCAGCCTTTTCCCTTTTCACAGTTCAGAAGAATACATTTTTAAATGGTGTTACTTATAAATACTTATACTTCTTTTCTTGATTATCATCATGGCTATTACATATGTAATATATGTTATAATGCTATGATGAAAATTAATATAACCTACAACCCAGGGGCAATTCCACTTTAAGCTGTGTAAAGATTCTCTTACACACGTTCAAGGAGATATGTACATGTATGTTCATGGCAACACTATTGGTATTACTAAAAAGGGAGATTTTATATATATATATATATAAAATAAAAGGAGATAATATATATAATATATAGATATATATTAAGATATATAACATATAAGATAAAAAGGGAGACTATATATAACCTATATATATAGATAATATATATGTTTACAAGCTTATCAATATTAGGCAATATTATGGATTCTCAATAAAAAAGGTGACTTAATTTATATTCACTACTTTCCAGTTCCCCCGTTCACCTCTAATGTTTGATATGTACATTATTTTTAGTTTTTCTATTAATTATCATTATTCAAATAATTAACAGCTATTCCTATTTACTCAACTTTTTAAAATGTACAATTTCATGAGTTTTTATAAGTATATAAATTGTGAAAACATCATTCTAGTTAAGAAAGGAAATATTTTCTTTACCTGAAAAGACCCTTGTGTCTTCCTTCAGTTAACTCCTGCCCTACAAAGGTAGCAAATGCTTTGATTTCTAGGATCATATGACTCTTATCTGTCCAAACTTCATATTCATGGACTCATACAGTAAGCATTCTTCTGTTGAATGGCTTCTGTTATTTATGATAATTTTGTTTGTTTGTTTTGTTGTGTTTTTGAGACAGAGTCTTGCTCTGTCGCCCAGGCTGGAGTGCAGTGGCAGGATCTCGGCTCACTGCAAGCTCCGTCTCCCGGGTTCACGCCATTCTTCTGCCTCAGCCTCCTGAGTAGTTGGGACTACAGGCGCCTGCCACCACGCCCGGCTAATTTTTGTATTTTTAGTAGAGACGGGGTTTCACCATGTTAGCCAGGATGGTCTCGATCTCCTGACCTCGTGATCCGTCCGCTTTGGCCTCCCAAAATGCTGGGATTACAGGCGTGAGCCACCGCACCCGGCCCATTTATGATAATATTTTTGAGATTCGTTTACGGTGCTGAGATTTTAATAGTTCATTTTTATTATTGCATAGCAATAGTTCATAGAGATATAGAACAACATGTGTAAGCATTTTCTATTATTTTTGGTCAATGCCATCTTCATAATGTGTAAACTGCATGTGTTCTTTTGTAACTTTTCTTTCACTCGACATTAGATTATTGATATTAGTCATAATGGCATATACACATATAGGTCCATTTAAGTAATAAACCACTTTTTTTTAGATTCCTTCTTAGTAATTCTTCTCTTTTTCCTTTCCAGTAATACCAATAGTATTGCCATAAACATACATGTACATATCTCCTTGAACATGTGTAAGACAATCTTTAGGCAGCTTAAAGTGTAATTGCTCCTGGGTTGTATGTTATATTGATTTTCATCATTATTGGATGTGGTAAAATTACTCTGAATTGATTGTATTAATGCATAAGCAATTTTTTTTTATTTTTTCACATAATTTCCAAAACTTAATTTCACCAGTCTTATTAATTTCATCCAATGAAAAGAAATGTGAAATGGCATTGCATTTTTAATCTTTTTTCCATATATTTATCGACCAGTTATGGTTTTTTTTTGTAAACTGCAATTATGATGCCCTTTGCTCATTTTTATGGTCCTTTGTCAGCCTGGGGTGCCTTTTGTATTTGTTTACAGTGATTCTGTTTTTTTTTTTTTAACTTTTATTTTAAGTTCAGGGGTACATGTGTACATTAGTTACATAGGTAAACTTTTGTTGTGGGGGGTTTTTGTACAGATTATTTCATTATCCAGGTATTAAGCCTAGTACCCATTAGTTATTTTTCCTGATCCTCTGCCTCCTCCCACCCCACAATAGGCCCTAGGGTGTGTTGTTCCCCTCTATGTGTCCATGTGTTCTCATCATTCAGCTCCCACTTATAAGTGAGAACGTGCAGTATTTGGTTTTCTGTTCCTGTGTTAGTTTGCTAAGTATAATGGCCTCTAGCTCCATCCATGTCCCTGCAAAGGATATGATCTAATTCTTTCTTAGGACTGCATAGTATTCCATGGTGTATATGTATGACATTTTTTTTTATCTGGTCTAACATTGATTCAAAGTCTCAGGATACAAAATCCATGTGCAAAAATCAGCAGCATTCCTATACACCAACAAGAATCAAGCTGAGAACCAAATCAGGAATTAATTCTCATTCACAGTTGCCACAAAAAGAATAACATACCTGGGAATACAGCTAACCAGGGAGGTGAAAGATCTCTACAAGGAGAGCTACAAACCACTTCTCAAAGAAATCAGAGATGACAAACAAATGAAAAAACATTCTATGCTCAAGGATAGGAAGAATCAATATTGCAAAATGGCCATAGTGCCCAAAGCAATTTATAGATTCAATGGTATGCCTGTTAAACTATCATTGACCTTCACAGAACTAGAAGGAAAAACTATTTTAAAATTCATGTGGAATGAAAAACAGCCTGAACAGCCAATGCAATCCTAAGCAAAAAGAACAAAGCTGGAGGCATCACACTACCCAACTTCAAACTATACTACATTTCTACAGTAACCAAAACAGCATGGTACTGGTACAGAAGCAGACACGTAGACCAGTGGAATAGAATAGAGAACCCGGAAATAAGATCGCACACCTACAACTATCTGATATTCGACAAACCTGACAAAAACAAGCAAGGGGGAAAGGATTCCCTATTCAATAAGTGGTGCTGGGATAACTGGTTCAATAAATGGTGCTGGGTTAACTGGCTAGCCATATGCAGAAAATTGAAACTGGACCCCTTCCTTATACCATATACAAAAATTAACTCAAAATGGAGTAAACTCTTAAATGTAAAATGAAAAACTATAAAAACTGTGGAAGATGACTGAGGCAATACCATTCAGGACATACGCACAGGCAAAGATTTCATGATGAAGATGCCAAAAGCAATTGCAACAAAAGCAAAGATCCTGTTTTTCTTACCCAGAAGTTCATTAGTTAGCACAGGCTAAATTATGCTGCATTAACATCCTCCATATCTCAATGGCTTAATGCCACAAAGTGTTGTTGTTGTTTGTTTGTTTTTCCACTTAGAGTCTGTTGTGGGTTCAAATGGCTCTTCAGGATACTTGTCCTCTACTCAATCACTCAGCAACCTAGGCTGGTTTGAATTTGTGGCTTTGCCATCTCAGCACAAATTCTACACAACAATTCCTGTGTCAGGGAGAGAGCTGGAAGTTCTTATAATGGCAGTTCCTTTCTTATGTCCAGAAGTGAGACAAGTTACCTATACTGACACTTGATTGGCCAGAACTAGTCAGCCTAACTGCAAAGGATGGGGGAAATATCATCTTTCCATATGCCAAAAAGGAGCAAAGAGCCACATGGGGATGGATATTAGAAACTTACGATGTGAAGATTTGAATTTTAATGTGTATGTTTATTCTTCCCAGTAAACTTTAAAATTATTTTAAATTCTCTCTCCAAATATTTTTGGAATTTTGATTAATATTGCGATGCTATTTCAGAATCATTGATGATAACGAGGGAGGAAAACTGACATCTTCCAATATTTTAAGCTTTCTCATTCACAAGCCTCATTTGTGTTTCCAAATATTTAAAACTTCATGGGTATCTCCCAAGAAAGATCAATAGGTTTAATTATATTGAATCTACATGGCTCTAGTCTTTAGTTAATTCCTAGGCATGTTGTGGGTTTTTTGCTGCTATTGTAAATAAGATTTTGTTTCAATTGGTTATTTCTCATTTATAAAAAGACTATTAGATTGGGTGTCTTTATTTTGCATCTGACAACCTTAAGAACACCTTTAAAAATTTGATTGTTTTAATAAATTTCATAAATTTTAAAATTTCCACATCATGTTAAAAACAATAATACTTTTGCTTTAACCTAGTTCTTGCTCATTTTTATGTTTTTCATATATATACCATTTTTCTATTTTAATAAGTTTCAAATAATAGTAATAATCATGTGTAGTAATATCTCGTTGCTATGAAGAGAAATACTTTAGAATCTTAAAAAGGACACTTATTATCAGTTTGAGTTCTTTACATGATTAAGCGTAAGGATTATTAGGAATGGATGTTGGATTTTATCAAATGTCTTTAGTATCAGGATAGTCACATGATTTCTCTATTTGGATCTATCGATTTAATGAATTACAATAGCAGGTTTTTCTACTAAACTACTTTTGCATTATGTAATAAAGCCAACGTTGTCATAATATATTACAGTTTTAATTATGCTTATGGATTCAATTTGCTATTATTTAGGGTTTTCCTATGTGAGTTTTTAGATAATAATTGGTCTATATTTTAGTTCTGTTTGTGCTATCTTAAATTTGCTATCAAGATTATGCTAGCTTTGTATAATGAAATGAGAAGTGTTACATCTTTTTTATTTGCACTGCAGTAGTTTAATATTTGGATTTTCTGCTAATTAAAGATTTGCAAAGATTCACTTATAACAATCTTAGACACAATAATTGATTTGAATATATTTCTCAATTCCTTCTACATTGACTAGTTTTTTCATCTTTATGATATAGTGTCAATGGTCTTCATTTTTTTTTGGAAAACGGTGCATTTAATGGCAATTGTAAGAATATATAAGCATAGAATTATAGACACTATTAAACTGTTTGAAATATAGGCCTGCATAATGGTGTGTTCCTTTCTATATTCCTACATTTGGGTGTTTGCATTCTCTTTATTAGTTCTTTTTTCTTGTGTTTCTAGTATAATTTGATGTTAGTTTTTATAAATTACTGAGCTCAATGCTTAATTTATTTTTATTTCTTTCTTAATGGTAACATTAATTATAGTCCATATCTTATATGATTTGACATAAACTATTCCGTTTGGTATTGTTTTTGTATTCATTTTGTAAAATCAGCTTAAATTTCTTTTTTTAACCAGTTATTACTCTAAGAAGTCTTTCCTATTTTAAGATAATTCATTTTTTGTTTGAATATTTTCTTTTTATTTCAAATTTATTGCATTATGCATATACTCATTTGATTTTTTTTGTTTCAAAATGTTTTGAGGTTTCCTTATCTTGTTCTTGTATGTACTAATTTTACTACATGTTCTGGGGAAATTTGGAAGACTGTGTTCCACATTTGTAGGGTAAAGAGATTGCTATGTATCTATTAAATTACGTAACTGTATTAATGATATAAGTCAGAGTTTCTGTGTTCTTTATTTTTTATCCATACTACAAGAGTATTAAAGGGTTCTATCATGACAATTGCTTTGTCAGGTTCGCTTTATGTGTATTTTAACTGCTTTATTGAGATATAATTCACATATCATACAATTAACCTATTTAAGTGTGTTCACAGAGTTGTGTGACCATCAACACAATACTTTATAGAACATTTTCATCATTCCGAGAAGAAAGCTCCATATCTGTTACTCCCCATTCACTTCTTTCTTGAGACCTAGGCAATCATAAGCATATTTTCTGTGTCTATAAATTATTCTTTTCTAGACATTTAATATAAAAACATTCATTCATTATGTGATCTTTTGTCACTTAGCATAATGTTTTCAAGGTTTAATATGGAAAATGTATCAGTATATCACTCCTTTTTATTGCAAAACAATATTCCATTATATGAATATACTCATTTTTATATTTAATATTTCACGCATTTTAAAATTGCATTTTTATTATATAAAAATGTAACAACAATCCAGTAAAACCAGAAATACAGATATATTCTCTTGAGCTTTTGTATATGTTGATTTTTATTAGTAATCTTTTTTTCAATACAATGTACAACTTCATCTCCATTTACAGTCTGATTATACAAGTGCTAAGTGGCAAAAAGATCTGAAATAAGTATATTTAAAAAGGCAAAGCTATAAAACTAAGCACATGCAGCAGGGTCTATGATGATGGGGCAAAGTATCCAGGAAATAGCATAAGATACAATAATTTCGTGGTTTTAGCTGATGTTTCAATCATCTTTGTCTTTCACCCCATATTTAAGGCTACATGTGAACTCAATGTAATTAAAATTTCCTTTTTTGTCAATAGCACCTTCTCTGTACAGCTCATTCACTTCCCATTGTTGTCAGCAGTTCTCTCAAATAGTCTTCCTGAATGGTTCCTGTTGCTTCTTTATCAAAGCAGGCTAAAGCATTTCTGATGACATCTTCAGGATATGTGCTATTTAACTTCTCACCAAACAGTAGGGCAGTGGTGAAATTTATAAGCCCAGAACCTCACTCCTTACAGCATCTTGGTATACATCAGTTGGATTCTGATGAAGAGAGAAGCAAGCATATCATGCACATCTTCCTTGTTGAAAGAATCTCTATTCTGATCAATAATGTCAAAGGCCTCTTTGAACTCCTGAATCTGTGCCTAGTCCAATGTGGCAAACACACTGAATATTACGTTTGGAGAGTGCTTCTTGGTGGCCTTGGTCTTTGTCCTTTTGTCAACATGGTGGCTGTTTAATTCCACTGCCAGACACTAGAACCAGAGCTGCCCTACAAGATAACTATTCTCTTGATGAGCGTTGGGCAGTAGCTTGACTGGTTGCACCCTGGCATTTCCTGCCTCCAGAGACAGACCAGAAGGCTTGGTAACACCAGTTTTTATTTGTTCACTTATCAGTTGATGGACATTTGAGTGTTTTCTCTTTTTAGCTATTAAGAATAATGCTGTTATAAACACTGGTATGCAAGTTCTTGTGTGAATATTAGTTTTCATTTATCTTGAGCATATACCTAGAAGTGGAATTGCCGAGTCACATGGTAACTGTTTAACTTTTTGAGGAACTGCCAAACTGTATTCCATAGTGGTTGCACCATTTTGTATTACAACAGCATAAAGGTTCCAACTTCTCCACATCCATGCAAATGCTTGTTACTATCTTTTTTATTATAGTCATCCTAATGGGTGTGAAGTAGACTCTCATTGTGGTTATGATTTGTATTTTCCTAACTGCTAATGATGATGAGCATCTTCCCATGTGCTTATTGGCTATTTGCATATTTTCTTTGACAAAATATTCATTCATATATTTTGCCCAATTTTCGTTGAGGTTATTTGTCTTTTTATTTTTGAGTTGCAAGCATTCCCTGTATATTCTTGATACTAATCCTTCATCAGATATATTATTTGCAAATACTCTCATTCCATGGTTCGGTTGTCCCTTTACTTTCTTGATGATGGCCTTCAAAGCACAAGAGTTTTTAATTTTGATGAAGTCCAATTTATTTATGCTTTTTAAAAATAATTGTGCTTTTGGTTTTCCATCTAAGAAGGCTAAGCATAACTCAAGGTCAAAGTCTGTTCCTATTTCCTTCAAAAAGTTTTATATTTTTAGCTCTTACATTTAGGTCTTTGATCCATTTGGAATTAATTTTTATGGTGTAAGGAAGAAATTCAACTTAATTCTTGTGCATGGGGACATCAGGTTGTCCTGGCACAATGTGTTGAAAAGACTATTCTTTCTCCATTGAATTGTCTTGGCACTCTTGTCAAAAATCAATTGACCTCAAATGTATGGGAATTTCTTTTCTCAACGTTCAATTTCATTTTATTGATCTATATGTCAATTTGTGTGTTAATACTACACTGTCTTAATTGTTGTATTTTTGTAGTAAGTTTTGAAACTGTGAAATATGAATCTTCCTACTTTGTTCATTTTTTTAAGGATGTTTTATGTAATTGGGGTCCCTTGCAATGAAACTGGATTAGTGTTGGCTTGTCCATTGATACAAAAAAAGGCTGCTGGGATTTTGATAAGGATTGTGCTGAATCTGTAGATCTGTTTGAGGGTTATTGTCATCTCTACAATATTAATACTTCCAATCCAGAAACATGAAATACTTTTCCATGTTTTAGTTCTTTTTTATGTTCTTAAAACAATGTTTTGTAGCTTTCAGAATATGTTTTGCACTTTTGTTAAATTTATTCCATAGTGTTTTATGCTTTTTGTTTCCTTGTACATGCCTTAACATCCAGCATTTTTCATTCTATCCTTCATTCTCTTGATCTTAGAATGTTTTACCTATTAAGAAATATTGAGCTCCAGCTAAATAGTTGAAGGCATATTCTTTACTCTTCTTGTATTGCTAGGCTTTTCATATTTGCTGATGTACGTATTGGAATCCTTGTACTTCTGAAGTTTCCCTGATGCCAATGAATTCACTGCATTTTCATCAAAATGAGGTTGTTCTTGGTTCCAACTGGCTGAGGACATCAGGGTTCCATGAGATGTTAGTTTCTTGAAAGAAAAGCCCTTGAGTATTAGAAGCCTCATATTTAATTAACCATCAACAATTTTGGAGGAATTGGTTAAATTAAAAGTAGAACAGAGCGAAGGGTGGCATTTCATTCTTGGTTCTGTTACGACATTTAGAAAATTATTATTTTTATTCTACATTTTCCATTGATCCTTTCTGCATTATGTGCTATTTATATTCTATACAACCTTTTTTTTTTACAGCTTTTTATCCCTAGAATTAGTATTAAAGCTAGATAATTTTCAGTGTCTATTCTCTCTGCTATTGCTGCAAGTTCAGAGTTTAGAGTGTCATCACTGATTGTCTCCATGGATTTGGCCATGTGTATTTCTATCTATAAAGAAGGTAGGGGGTTTCTCTCTTCTTTCATACACTGTCTTTTTCAATTTTTTGCTGCTATAGCACAAATATTTGAGACTGGGTAGCTTGTAAAGAACAGAACTTATTTCCTCACAGTTCTGGAAGCTGGGAAATCTAAGATCTGGGCACTGGCAGGTTTGGTTGTCTGGTGAAGGCTCTTCACATGGCAGAAGGCAGAAGGGCAAGCTACCTAATGCTGCATGAATCCTCACGTATAGGAACTTTAATCCCATTCATGAGAAAGGAGCTCTCAGGGCCTAATCGCCTCTTAAAGGCCCCACCTCTTACCGCATTGGCAACACAGGAGTTTTGAAGAGGATGCTGCTCATTCAAACCATAGCATATACATAGTACCAAAAAAAAAAAAAAAAAAAAACCCTGTAGAATCTCTGTGTGGGCAAGCAGCAAGTCTGCTTATTCTCTGTTGTTTATATCTTTGTGTCTAAAGATAATGCCTGACAGAACTGGTGCTCAACATTGTCCAAGGTGTTTCTGTTTTGTGTTCTCTCTGACTTGAACTGAAGCAACAGGTATGGATGAAAGTAAAGTGTTTCAGGTTGGGTCCATCTTGAAAACACCTTCCTTCTGAAAACTGTTGACTTTCTCCTATCTTACTGTTTTATACTATTAAAAATCTCGGCCTGGCGCGATGGCTCACGCCTGTAATCCCAGCACTTTGGGAGGCTGAGATGGGTGGATCACAAGGTCAGGAGATCGAGACCATCCTGGCGAACATGGTGATACCCCGTCTCTACTAAAAATACAAAAATTAGCTGGGTGTGGTGATGTGCGCCTGTAATCCCAGCTACTCGGGAGGCTGAGGCAGGAGAATCACTTGAACCCAGGAGGCGGAGTTTGCAGTGAGCCCAGGTTGCACCGCTGCACTCCGGCCTATGCAACAGAGTGAGACTCTGTCTCAAAAAACAAACAAACAAACAAACAAAACAAAAACTCACATGTCCACAGCACCAGAGGGGTTTTTCCATTTAACCATTTCATTCTTTCTGTGTGAGGGCCAATATTTCTATACACATTATTTTAGTCTAAGTTTTGGTATAACAATATAAAACAATATTGATTTCTTTCTAAAAATAAAAAATGCATAAAATCCCATGACTCTATCATAACTTCCATTTTTGAGTATTCTCTTTCAGTTTTCCATATGTTTCTATATTCCCCCAGTGACAATCATCCTGAATATATTACTTTGTATGCTCTTCCATTTAACATAACATTGTAACATTTATTCTTGCTTGTGCTTGGCATGTATAATTTTCTGTCTTAAGAATCTTCAGTATTATATCAAAATCCACATGCTTTTGAGCATCATAAGAAGTGTAAATTATGTTTTCCTAATAAATAAAATGTTCAGAGTATATATTTGGAAAATATCACAAACGTAGTATGCAAGTTGACTACTTCTCCAACTCATGTTCCTGACATCAAGTCCTGAGCTTACTATATTATACCACATAGTATATTTTCTAAGGCTTTGGGACACCTGTCTGCCAAATGCTACTGTATTAGTTGAGCCCCTTTCATTTTGTGAGAGTTGTGCTACTTTATTTGCACAAAGCGAGAATATGGAAGCTTCTCCGTTCTAGTGCTTAGTCATTCCAGTAATGCACTTGATGTCCTTTCAGGTGTGTCTGTTTTGCTTTCTACTTCACATCTTTAGTTTCCAGGCAAGTTGGGTTGATTAACCATCACTGAATATGGATCAGTTTTTCATTGGTGGTCCCTAAACTGGGAAACTCTCCCTAGTCCAACCAATTTTGAAAAAGGCACCAATATGATTTAGCTTGAAGCATAAGATTTGGCTCGCCACAGGGTACTTTCTGAGTATTCATTTCTCAGCAAGATTTTTTTGAGGCTTCTTGTCCATGCCTTTCACCCCTAGCTTCCAGGTCACACAGTTCCCTTCTTTGTGATTACAGACCTCCAATGACGCTCTTTACTAGCACTACAACTTTCTTGTGCATAATGGCAACATGCTCTTTCCTTCCTCAATAGGATGGCAACTTGAAGTCACATCTAGTTAGCGCATGCAGAGGTAATTTCCTGACCCTCCTTAAAAAAGACTGTTGTCGTCTGCAAACAGGGAGAATTTGACTTCCTCTTTTCCTAATTGAATACCCTTTATTTCCTTCTCCTGCCTAATTGCCCTGGCCAGAACTTCCAACACTATGTTGAATAGGAGTGGTGAGAGAGGGCATCCCTGTCTTGTGCCAGTTTTCAGAGGGAATGCTTCCAGTTTTTGCCCATTCAGTATGATATTGGCTGTGGGTTTGTCATAGATAGCTCTTATTATTTTGAGATACGTCCCATCAATACCTAATTGATTGAGAGATTTTAGCATGAAGGGTTGTTGAATTTTGTCAAAGGCCTTTTCTGCATCTATTGAGATAATCATGTGGTTTTTGTCTTTGGTTCTGTTTACATGCTGGATTACATTTATTGATTTGCGTATATTGAACCAGCCTTGCATCCCAGGGATGAAGCCCACTTGATCATGGTGGATAAGCTTTTTGATGTGCTGCTGGATTCGGTTTGCCAGTATTTTATTGAGGATTTTTGCATCAATGTTCATCAAGGATATTGGTCTAAAATTCTCTTTTTTGGTTGTGTCTCTGCCCGGCTTTGGTATCAGGATGATGCTGGCCTCATAAAATGAGTTAGGGAGGATTCCTTCTTTTTCTATTGATTGGAATAGTTTCAGAAGGAATGGTACCAGTTCCTCCTTGTACCTCTGGTAGAATTTGGCTGTGAATCCATCTGGTCCTGGACTCTTTTTGGTTGGTAAGCTATTGACTATTGCCACAATTTCAGCTCCTGTTATTGGTCTATTAAGAGATTCAACTTCTTCCTGGTTTAGTCTTGGGAGAGTGTATGTGTCGAGGAATTTATCCATTTCTTCTAGATTTTCTAGTTTATTTGCATAGAGGCGTTTGTAGTATTCTCTGATGGTAGTTTGTATTTCTGTGGGATCGGTGGTCATGATTGTATATATAGAAAACCCCATTGTCTCAGCCCAAAATCTCCTTAAGATGATAAGCAACTTCAGCAAAGTCTCAGGATACAAAATCAATGTACAAAAATCACAGGTATTCTTATACACCAATAACAGACAAACAGAGAGCCAAATCATCAGTGAACTCCCATTCACAATTGCTTCAAAGAGAATACAATACTTAGGAATCCAACTTACAGGGGACATGAAGGACCTCTTCAAGGAGAACTACAAACCACTGCTCAATGAAATAAAAGAGGATACAAACAAATGGAAGAACATTCCATGCTCATGGGTAGGAAGAATCAATATAGTGAAAATGGCCATACTACCCAAGGTAATTTATAGATTCAATGCCATACCCATCAAGCTACCAATGACTTTCTTCACAGAATTGGAAAAAACTACTTTAAAGTTCATATGGAACCAAAAAAGAGCCCGCATCATCACCAAGTCAATCCTAAGCCAAAAGAACAAAGCTGGAGGCATCACGCTACCTGACTTCAAACTATACTACAAGGCTACAGTAACCAAAACAGCATGGTACTGGTACCAAAATAGAGATATAGATCAATGGAACAGAAAAGAGCCCTCAGAAATAACGCCACATATCTACAACTATCTGATCTTTGACAAACCTGAGAAAAACAAGCAATGGAGAAAGGATTCCCTATTTAATAAACGGTGCTGGGAAAACTGGCTAGCCATCTGTAGAAAGCTGAAACTGGATCCCTTCCTTAAATCTTATACAAAAATTAATTCAAGATGGATTAAAAACTTAAATGTTAGACCTAAAACCATAAAAACCCTAGAAGAAAACCTAGGCATTACCATTCAGGACATAGGCATGGGCAAGGACTTCATGTCTAAAACACCAAAAGCGATGGCAACAAAAGCCAAAATTGACAAATGGGATCTAATTAAACTAAAGAGCTTCTGCACAGCAAAAGAAACTACCATCAGAGTGAACAGGCAACCTACAAAATGGGAGAAAATTTTTGCAACCTACTCATCTGACAAAGGGCTAATATCCAGAATCTACAATGAACTCCAACAAATTTACAAGAAAAAAACAAACAACCTCATCAAAAAGTGGTTGAAGGACATGAACAGACACTTCTCAAAAGAAGACATTTATGCAGCCAAAAAACACATGAAAAAATGCTCACCATCACTGGCCATCAGAGAAATGCAAATCAAAACCACAATGAGATACCATCTCACACCAGTTAGAATGGCAATCATTAAAAAGTCAGGAAACAACAGGTGCTGGAGAGGATGTGGAGAAATAGGAACACTTTTACACTGTTGGTGGGACTGTAAACTAGCTCAACCATTGTGGAAGTCAGTGTGGCGATTCCTCAGGGCTCTAGAACTAGAAATACCATTTGACCCAGCCATCCCATTACTGGGTATATACCCAAAGGACTACAAATCATGCTGCTATAAAGACACATGCACACGTATGTTTACTGCGGCACTATTCACAATAGCAAAGACTTGGAACCAACCCAAATGTCCAACAATGATAGACTGGATTAAGAAAATATGACACATATACACCATGGAATACTATGCAGCCATAAAAAATGATGAGTTCATGTCCTTTGTAGGGGCATGGATGAAATTGGAAATCATCATTCTCAGTAAACTATCGCAAGGACAAAAAACCAAACACCGCATGTTCTCACTCATAGATGGGAATTGAACAATGAGAACACATGGACACAGGAAGGGGAACATCACACTCTGGGGACTGTTGTGGGGTGGGGGGAGGGGGGAGGGATAGCAATGGGAGATATACCTAATCCTAAATGACGAGTTAATGGGTGCAGCACACCAGCATGGCACATGTATACATATGTAACTAACCTGCACATTGTGCACATGTACACTAAAACTTAAAGTATAATAATAATAAAAAAAAAGTAAAATAAAACTGTTGTCCAATCTCATTGCTCGTATTATCTCCTGATTGTGTCATAATTCCATCTTAATATTGCGTCTTTCAGGATAAGATGGCAAACTGTCACTAGTGCAAAAATTAAGCTAACCAAAACAATTGAAATTAAAATCCCTTTATAGAAAAGGAGACTATTAAAAATGACACAAGAAGGTCAGAGTGTACCTCAGATTCAGATATTCTGATAGTGTATGAGAAAAGGAAATTTAATACATAACCCTCATTTCTGTAAGGATAACCAGAATAGTTCCTGGCACAAAGTAGATATTCAATAAATATACTGAACAAATTAATGAATGAACAGCTGGTAGGTCTGGCTTTCCTCCTTGTTCATTGATTCGTTGATGCCTTTAGCCATCACTTCTAGTCGATAAGGTTCTTTTCTCACTGGATGATCCCAACCTTCTTTCCTGAGAGAGATGAGCCCTAGGTAGTCTTCTATTTATTTTGCTATTGCTGCAGTTTTACATGGAGTCCCCTGGGTTCTTACAGCACTATTCCAGCTCCATGGTACCTCAAAACTCTACTTTCCCTTAAGAATTAAAGCCAATTCCATTATAGTAAAACCATTATCTCGTCACAATCTGGATTCCTTATTAGCATTCTTTCTTAGCACTAAAGCCTCAAAAGAAGCAAGGTTTAGAGCAATGGGTCTGAGGGACAATATATTTTAAGGTGAGTCATTAAATACACTTCTAATTAGGTATGCCTGCACATTCTCTAATAGCTGCTTGCCTGACCTACACCGCTCATCCCACGTAGCTCCCCTTTGGAGTTTCTACCATATTTCCTGTGGCTATGAGACTTCATTCCTGATCCTTGACATAAAATGCAATCAGGTATACAAATGAGCTAAGATCATAAAATGACTTAAATTAACAGCACTTGGATTCATCATTATATCCCTACCCCTTGCTGCAAATTGCAAGGAAAGGAGTGGAGTTGGACAGCAAATCCTCTTCTTCAATAACAACTAATTGAAAATATATGCCATGATCCTTCAGTGGCTTATTCATTCTTTCTATAGAAAGGGGGAATATAAGATGATGGTGATTTGTTTTTGTTGTTTGTTATTATTATATGCTTACCTTTACATAAATTCTCTTGTCAGCAGTTTTGCTTTATTCATTTTTGTCTGGTCACCATGGGTCCTAATTTCTTTTCTCAGGGATTGGAATCTCTATTCCTCCTCCTATTATCCCTCTCTCCAGTCCATAGTAATTAGTCAATAACTACAGGCTTCTGTCAAGGCTGTCAGGCTAATCTGGCCATGTTCCAAGCAGGCAATATCATCTACCAATAAGCAGATGGAATGAAATAACTGAACTTCAGACTTAGGCCACTAGAAGTCTGTGTCCCAGGACTGCTTTATTTCGGCTCCTTTTGTAACTGTCTTAAATAAGCTGATCGGGGTTTTGAAATGGCATCAAAGTTAGAACTGAGGGATGTTATATAGAAAACAGCCATATGGACTTTGTAAATGTATGTCTTATAGGCCTTGTATTGAGGCCTCGGTTTGTTATATTACATAGTTTCTTCTACGTGAGGATTCAAAATAAATTTCCTTCATGTCTGAAGCTAAGAAAGGCTGGACTTCCTCTTAGTAATATTGTGAATCTAGTAATTAATTATATTTTCATTTTTGCCCCAGGAAATGAAATCTAAGTATACCTCATTTCATGAAAGTGTACAAGACATTATAATTTTTTGCGTCAATCCTGTCCTTGACTTATTTTTTTGCCTTCATTGCTTTTTCACACCAATTTTCTGACTTATTTTAAAATTTTGTATGGTTTCATCGCTTACTTTTCTGTAAGCTGCCTCAGATTCCTCCTCTTTTTTTGAATAAGGTAAATATGGATCTATAAACAAATGGTTATGTAATTAAGCAAAAATTTTGATATTCAATATTTGGTTCAATTAGTTTAAAATACTTTTATTGAAATAATATTGAATTTAGAACAGATTATAAAACACCTAATATTATCTGAGCTCTTACAAAACATTAAAATTACATTGTTTTAAAATGTATATTCTGTTAATTCAAAACTTTTTAAATCATTTAATTGTTTCTGAATTAATTTTTTCCAAGCCATGATATTTTATAATTACTCTAACTTTTTATCATTGGCTTATCATCAAATTTTTTAAGCACTTGGGGGCGATCTGGAAATACACAGATGAGATTTTGTTTCTTGTTTAGGCTTTTTATTTTTATATTTAGGACTTTGTACATCCATATTTTCTGTGCCTTGAGATTGAAACCTCTTCAAGGTCAGGGTCTGTAATGACTTCATTCTTTACCATTCCTCAGTAATAAAGTGCCTTGACTATTTACTAGTTCTGTGACCTTGAGCAAATGGCATTGCCTCTCTTGGGCCTCAGTTCCCTCACTGGTAAAATGTAGATAGTTACAGTATTCTCTTCATAGGGTTGTTGTTGACTTAAAAGGTTAATCACATCAAGCATTTGTAACTAATGCTTTGGGTATATTAGTAATGGTAACAGGAGCAACTGTAAGTAATAAACCCCCAAATCTTGGTTGTTTTATGATATAGAAATTTATTTCTCATTCCATAATGTAACCAGTGATGAGGGAGGGTAGGCTCTGCTTTATACAATAATTCAGGGACCAGAGTTATGGAATATTTGCCGTTTTCAATATGTAACTTTCAAGTTTCCACTGGTTTGTGTGCATATATTATATGCATATACACACACATTTATATAAGGTGATGGTAGTGGTGTGTATTCATATGTATAAGGGTTAATGGAGAATATAATGATAGATTTTAATGGTCCAGGCCTGGAAGGGGCATACATGATTTCTGCCCATATTCTGTTGGACAGGTCACATGGTCTTACTTATGTCTGAGTGTGACTGGGAAATGTAGCATCTATATGGGTAGCTTCTTCCCAAAAATAACTCTTCCTTACAACAGCACAACATGATTCTTTGGTGGACAACTTGATGTCAATGCCTCACAGATGCATAAGAGATGAATAAATACTGAGTGTTTTTTGTATATTTTTATATAGCACTTAATACACTGAATCAAACTTACAGTTTACTTTGGCTTTCCAATAAGGCTAGGAATTCTCTGAAGTCATATAGAGCTTATTCTTCACAGAGTCCCTGATTGTTGGCAGAATTGCTGAACAATGTAAGTTCTTTTTTTATTTTTTATTTTATTTTATTTATTTTTATTTTTTATTTTTTATTATACTTAAATTTTAGGGTACATGTGCACAACGTGCAGGTTAGTTATATATGTATACATGTGCCATGTTGGTGTGCTGCACTCAGCAACTCATCATTTAACATTAGGTATATCTCCAAATGCTATCCCTGCCCCCTCCCCCCACCCCACAACAGGCCCCGGTGTGTGATGTTCCCCTTCCTGTGTCCATGTGTTCTCATTGTTCAATTCCCACCTATGAGTGAGAACATGTGGTGTTTGGTTTTCTGTCCTTGTGATAGTTTGCTGAGAATGATGGTTTCCAGCTTCATCCATGTCCCTACAAAATACATGAATTCATCATTTTTTATGGCTGCATAGTATTCCATGGTGTATATGTGCCAAATTTTCTTAATCCAGTCTATCATTGCTGGACATTTGGGTTGGTTCCAAGTCTTTGCTATTGTGAATAGTGTCGCAATAAACATACGTGTGCATGTGTCTTTATAGCAGCATGATTTATAATCCTTTGGGTATATACCCAGTAATGGGATGGCTGGGTCAAATGGTATTTCTAGTTCTAGATCCCTGAGGAATCACCACGCTGACTTCCACAATGGTTGAACTAGTTTACAGTCCCACCAACAGTGTAAAAGTGTTCTTATTTCTCCACATCCTCTCCAGCACCTGTTGTTTCCTGACTTTTTAATGATTGCCATTCTAACTGGTGTGAGATGGTATCTCATTGTGGTTTTGATTTGCATTTCTCTGATGGCCAGTGATCATGAGCATTTTTTCATGTGTCTTTTGGCTGCAATTCTTTTGAGAATTGTCTGTTCATATACTTCGCCCGCTTTTTGATGGGGTTGTTTGTTTTTTTCTTGTAAATTTGTTGGAATTCATTGTAGATTCTGGATATTAGCCCTTTGTCAGATGAGTAGATTGCAAAAATTCCCATTCTGTAGGTTGCCTGTTCACTCTGATGGTAGTTTCTTTTGC
Source organism: Homo sapiens (assembly GCF_000001405.40). Lineage (NCBI taxonomy): Eukaryota > Metazoa > Chordata > Mammalia > Primates > Hominidae > Homo > Homo sapiens. Next base: position 54,691,616 of record NC_000017.11, on the reverse strand, counting down.
TGTGCAGAAGCTCTTTAGTTTAATTAGATCCCATTTGTCTATTTTGCCTTTTGTTGCATTGCTTTTGGTGTTTTAGATATGAAGTCCTTGCCCATGCCTATGTCCTGAATGGTAATGCCTAGGTTTTCTTCTAGGGTTTTTATGGTTTTAGGTCTAACATTTAAGTCTTTAATCCATCTTGAATTAATTTTTGTATAAGGTGTAAGGAAGTGATCCAATTTCAGCTTTCTACAGATGGCTAGCCAGTTTTCCCAGCACCATTTATTAAATAGGGAATCCTTTCCCCATTTCTTGTTTTTGTCAGGTTTGTCAAAGATCAGAGGGTTGTACATATGCGGCATTATTTCTGAGGGCTCTGTTCTGAACAATGTAAGTTCTTAACAAATTCCTGGTGAATGGATGTCTATAGATGGCATACATTTAAGGAATAAATGACTATCTGATCTGATGTTGGATATACTCTTACAATCACCATTAGTATTAACTGAAAATTGCAGATAGGTCTTTTACAGTTGGAATTTTAAAGTTCCAAAAAAGTTAACTATTCTCCTTGCTTAGCCCCATGAGCACCAACAATCTAAAGAAAAATAAAGATATGCGTTTGTAGAATAATAGACACTGCCATAGCAGTATGACAATGTAGTTGGCCCCTCCAAAACATTGTTTAATGTTGCTACTGACTTTCCATTTCTCCAGACACTTTTGAAGACAGTCAATACAGCTGGATGTCTGTTGCAATTCATCAATAATTTTGTAATGTAAAATCAATATCCAGAGTTATGAGAATCTGCTTAGAATGACTAAGCTTTCCACCAGTGCTCTGGTGGGTGTTAATGCCTGCTTTTCAGTGAGATTACATTCAAGCTAATAAGGATGGAATATTGAACAGAAGCCATGTTTCTTCACCATTTGTTCCTTGGTACTTTTATTAAAATCATAGAAGAGAATAGGACTCCAGTAAAAGGTAACAGAATTGGTGATCTATTCTCTGCATTCCCTGAGCCTTGTATCTGCACCTCTCATGAAATGTAATGCCTTCTCTTTTGAAAGGGAGGTCAAGGCTGCCGAAGGAAAAGTAGCAAGGACTGTTTCGTCATTCTTCCTCTGGAGCTTTCATATCTCCTTCCTCTTATTCTTCTGAGGCTGAGCCAAAAGGAGGGTCCTAAATTGTAGGAGAAAAGTATTTTTATTTAGTTGTTTGTATTCCTCTTGTGGTTGGACGCGTATTGTCTTATGTCAAGCATAAAGTTTTGGCTTTTCTGTGGAGTGTATTGGTGGATCCTCCAAAATGCTCTTGTGTAGACACCTGTCATGCATAGTTCCCTGGTATAGATGCATTCTCCAACTGACCTCCTGACACCCGCAATCAGTTTCTGTCTGTTGCAGAATCCTCTGTAACTTCTCACAGCTTGCTTGTCATATTTCAGCATGGTGTCATCTTTGAAGTAAGCCTATTAAGACTACTCAAACATGGCTACTTGGCCCTTGGGACCTTCATACATTCTTATGGTGCCAAATCGTGGACAAGTAGCTTGCCCAAGTTAAAATCCCCTCCTCCTTAAAGTCTAGACAAAGGACAATCCAGCCAGCTTTACCCCTTCAGACTTCCACAGTAACTAGTCTGTGTGTTCATCTGTGCCCTGAAACTCCTGGGAACACATATCAGACTCTTCCAGTATCTTTCTCCCTAGTTTTATTCTGGTCCTGTAGCAGCATGTGGCAGGCCTATAAATTTTTATTGCTCAAAGAACATTAAACCAGTGTTAACATGACTTCTTTTCTGGTGTCAAGCCAATCTTTTAAGTTCTCTTTCTCTTAGCATGATAGAGGGGAGGCACTACCCTTCCAACTCTCTTTCTGAGTGGGTGGGAGGAGAAAGAAAAAAAATTCTTCACTTGTTTGAAAATTCTCCTACCAACTCTATTCAATAACCATTTGAATTTCTAGTCTTACATAGACCAGAAGCAGAAGGTGATGATGGTGGCGAGTTTTGGGGTGGGGGGGATTTCAGTAATTGAATTGGAACTTCTATCCTCTAGTGTAGCATGGATTTATCTTGCAATTCTTTTAAAAATGTTTACTTCCAGTAAGTATCTGCTGAAAATTTTTTTTACAATTACCAAAGATCAAAGTATTGCATGGTCTTTAATTATTCTTGCCAATACCGAATTTATCTTTGTAATTTTCTTGACTCTCTTTATTATATTCTTATTTTGTGTGTTTTATGCTTTGCTGTGTGTTTGGATCCTTCTATTGTTTTGATGAGTCATATCTTGTAAGTCTGTGTTTGGATTTAACTTTCTCTCCATAACCCAACAAATATGTATCACGAAAATCTGTTGTCTTGCCATTAACAACATGTCTCTGATTCTGAGAAAAACAGCAACTTGTATGATCATGTTTTAACTAGGTGTGTTTTAACTAGGTTTTCCTGTATTTGTAAAGTAGGTTTGTTGCCTCCTGAGTTAGAATGGCATCTATTACTACTTGTCTTCCCTGAATCAGTTAGTTCATCATTAATTTCCTAGTCCAGAATAATTACTGCGTCATTCATGATGGTGCCCAGAGAGATAGCCACAGAGAGAGAAAAAGAATCTAGGGGTGTGTTTTATTGTTTTTACCTGTTTTATTCTTCAGCCAAAATTCTGAAAAGATAAGAGCAAATATTTCGTTCAGTAGTGTGTTACTCAAACAGGGAACATAATGGTATGTTTTCTTTTCTGTAAAGCATGAAAGAAAATCTTAAATGACTGACCTAGGACTTGATATATATTATCATGAACATAACAGTTGACAACCACAAAGCTGAGTAAGACGTAGGTGCTGGGAAGTGGGCTGAGTACATGGATGATTCTTTTTTGTACCAGCCCAACAGCACACACATTCCAGTTTTCTCTTTAGCAAAACTGCAAATGACCACACATCTTTAACCCTCAGAGTGACTTCTAAGTATTCAAAAATCCCCCAATGTTAAATATGCCCACAGTCTGCTATACTTAAGTAACATGGCCATTTCAAGGACAAAATGCAATTTTTTTTTCTGATCTTGATATCATAAATATATTTTCTATCTGACTAAAATCTTTCTGAGGACTGGTATTGTGCCTTACTTTTATCTCTATCCTTTTCCATCATCTCAGTGCGGTTGAGCGTAAGATCTCTAAAGTGTTGTCAACTTAAATTTAGTTCTGGAGCCTATCGGGAATCCTGAGTCATTTTTACTTTCTAGGGCAAGTAGCCAGTGGTTTGATCCCTTTGTTAGGGTTTCCTCTTCTTTATAGAAAAATTCCTCAAAAAAAGTTGTCTACATTAGCTATTTCCAATTCCTCTACTCACAGTCTTTTTTGAACCCACACTAACTGGTGTTTTGTTTTCTCTTGCATTGAAAGAATCTTACCACAGTCCTTGATGATCTCCATGATACCAAATCCAGAAGTTCATTATAATTCCTCATCACATTAGGTCTATCAATATTAGAAGAGCTGACTCTTCTCTTCTTGAAGCTCTTTCTTCACTTTGCTGCCTCTCTTAGTTTTTCTTCCATTTCACTTATCACTCTATTTTTTTTCTGTTTATTCTTCCTCATCTCTTAAAGCCCAGACTTCAGATATCTTTTTTGGTTCTACACTTACTCCCTAGGTTATCTTCCCCAGTTTCAGGGTTTTAAAAGCCATCTTAACTCTGACAACTCCTAAATTTATATCTACAACTCACGACTTTTCTTCCCAAACCCTTCTCATATATCCAACTGCCTACTCAACACATCCCCCTTAGATGTAAAGTTGTTATCTCAGGCTGAATATGGCCAAAACATAACTCTTAATTCCTAAGCTCCCAAATCTGCTCCTCCCACAGTCATCCTATCTCAATGATTGGAAGTTTCATCCTACTAGTTGCCTGGGCCAAGAAACATAGAGTCATCATGAGTTTCCTTTCTCTCTTGTACTCCACATTCAATCTGTTAATCTTTTCAGCAGTATCTTCAAAATGTATCCTGGTTTCAATTACTTGTCATGACCTTCTCTACTACCAATTTTACCTAAAATGATATTGTCATTTACTTGTGTTATTATAATAACCTCCTAATTTCCCCTGCCCCTCCCTCCCAACTTGACAAGAGTAGGCATTCAATTAATATGGAGTAATTTAATTCATATTCCACTTGAATGAGCACTTTTGTTAAAGGAATGAATGTGTGGTTGCCTATTATTGCCTGTTTGCTGTTGGAGGTCATGTCAGTCAGGCTCATTCTCAGGATTTGAGATGGCTTTGTGTCTTCTTCACCAACCAACACACATGTGCTTGTGTACACACACACATACACACACACACACACAGTCTTCACTTCCATCTCCTCTTAATAGACTTTAAAGACTGCCAGTGTTACTCCAGTAAGGCAGTGAAAGTCCCTTCAGGTACAGAAAGGTGGGCTCCACCTCAGACTAAGGGGCTGAGTTGGCCAAGACATTCTAAGGTTATAGAAGTGGGAGCATTTTTTTTTCTTTCCTAAAGTCTAAGATTCTTTCATAGTAGACGCTGGAGTAAGAGATTACCAGTGGGTAGGATCTGGCAATACTGCCAGTCTAGGTGGGATTCTAATCAGATATATTTGGCTTTTGGCTTCTGGTAGCAGAAACGACTTCAAAATGAATGGTCACTGCTAGACATTTTCTTTCTAAAAAGGATCTAAATCAATATTTCTGCTGGCTTGGTTTGTTTCTCCTGCACGCTGATTCATTCTGTTATTTCTCACCACAGGTCTGAGACTTGACTATTATCACAACCCTGCTTTTCTCATTGCCCTACTTTCATGCCATGTGGACTTGATCTGCCTTTGGCTATTAGATTCATCAAAATTTTCAGTTTTCAATAATAACTTTGAGTTCTCTGTGCCAGGTGCCCCACGGCCTTTAGATCTCAGCCAAATCATAAAAATGAAGAAAAGCAACTTTCCCACTTTCACTAATAGGAGAACAAACTTCAGATCACACTCTCAGAAGATTTGGCCTTTCATCAAAGTCCCTTGTTTGGGGTGACTGGGTCTGAGAATTAACAGATATTTGGCTCACACAGAAGAGTTTGGAATTGCCAGTACCTAACTACAGCCCTGCTTTTATTATTCAGATAATAATTATTGTAGCTGCAATTAAAATCACTTACTTTGTGCTGGGTGATATATTCTTTACATTTAGCCCTCACAAAGACCTTATGAGAGATGCACTATTTTTTATCCCTTGAAGACATGAGGCTTAGAAAGTTTGAATAATTTGTCTAAAGTCACAGAAGAGGCAAATTGCAGAATGCATACTCGTTCACAAATGCTCTTCTAATGCACTTGCCTATTCTTTCAACAGTTGCACAGTAGTATCTCCCTTAGAACACGGAGTCATAGTCTTGGGGCTGGACATGTTACTTTGCCCTCTTTCTCTTATGCCCAACCTTTCTGAGTCCTCTGAATTGTATTCACATCTGTTCTGGAAGAATAAGGTGGCAGAGCAGATTCAATCCACCTTTGTTGCCCAGATTGAGAAAATAAACCAGGCTCTTAAATGATTTCCTAATGTTTCCTATCTGATAGGAACTTAGGGAGGTTACAAACTCATGTATGTCACTGAACACACCATTGGATGAGGATATTTTCTATCCCTGCAGATTCTGGAAAATGGAGCCAGAAACCTTTTGGAGGAAGGAGCCACATTTGATCATCCATCTCTGGAGTTATTCTGTCCCAAGTGATTCATTTTCTTGTTACTTATTAAAAGTAGCTTTGACTCAATTGCTAATACCTAAATTAGATTTTTGGCATATCAAATTCACTGTTTTTAAGTAAACAGTTGTAATTCCACCTCTGCGTTTTTTTTTTAGCTACATCAATAAGTCCCAAACCTATATAAACAACTCTTGATTGTCTGAAAGTGAAAATACTTCATGAATAAGACTGGGGGAAAACAAGGAACCCCAGAGTCATTTAAACCTATAATTGGATCATTCATACGGTCAGCAGTCCCTTACATATTCCACAATAAATTAAGATGATTATACCTGACACCCAGATAGCATCAATTTTCACTTTAAATTAAAGAGAAGACACTTCGATAGATCTTTTCTCTGGCCAGTAAGAGGTCTTCAGAGGCTCCAGAAGCTCATTAATATATTGAGCTTTGAAGTTTTTGATTTGGCAGAATTTCTATGTTGACTCAGTATCAAGTGACCTAATGCTCAGATTTCTTGTCAGCTAGTTATCTCCATGGGTTAGAAAATGCTGCTAGCAAAGCCATTTATTCTCTGTGGGTTAGAGAAAGTTGCTCTTCCAAACTATTGGTTAGACCCTTAACCCCAGCTTATAAATGTTTGTGGTGTTTCACAAGGTGGGAACCAGGAACAATCAAACCATTGCATTTATAGTGTCTTCTGGGCTTTGCTAAGCTTGATGTAATCACCAAAGGGAAATAAACAGTGCCACTTTCCTCCTACCCCTAAGAATCTTGTCTTGCTCCGTCAAATCCACACCATCTTTTAAAGGAGAAAAGAGGGGGCTGTTTTTGTTATATTCAAGGACATCAACATTCGGAATGGCATAGGCAGGTCATATTACCTCATATCAAGGGCCATTTTACTAGTTGTTTCTGTGAATGGGAGACCCCATGATAATTGAGCAAGCATGGGTAAAGAAAAAAACTGGTTGGGACTCTTGGTTTCTACCATCATGTGATTGAATTCCAGGTCCATATGTTGTCTACTCAACATCTCCACTTAGTTAGCTAAGAGAAGTCTCATATTTAGCATGTCTAAAACAAAACTTAAGCTGAGCATGGTGGCTCATGCCTGTAATTCCAGCACTTTGAGAGGATGAGGCGAGAGGATCTCTTGAACCCCGGAGTTTGAGACATGCCTAGACAACATAGCAAGAACCCGTCACTACAAAAAATAAAAAAAATTAGCTGGGCGTGGTGGCACATGCCTGTTGTCTCAGGTACTCAGGAGACTGAGGTGGGAAGATCACTTGAGCCCTGGAGGTCGAGGCTACAGTAAGCCCTAATCATACCACTGCACTCCAGCCTGGGTGAGAGAATGAGGAGACTCTGTCTAAATAAATATATAAATAAATAAATAAGATAAAAACATAAAGCAAAACTTCCAGGCTTCTGCTTTCCCAGAGGATTGAATGGTGCCCATCCCAACTATTTCTATCTGGAACCTGTGAAAGTGACTTTATTTGGAAAAAGAGACTTCGCAGACGTAACAAAGGATTTTGATATGAGATCATCCTGGATTATCCAGGCGAGCCATGAATCCAATGACAAATGTCCTTATGAGAGACAGAGGAGAAGAAACACAGTAAACATTAGAGTTATGCAAGAAATGCCTGGAGCCACTGGAGGCTGGAAGAGGCAAGGAAGGAGGTTTCCTTAGAGCCTTGATAGTGAGTGTGGTCCTGCTGACCCTTTGATTTCAGACTTCTGGCCTCCAGAACTTTTAGAAAATGATTAACTTTTTAATTAAGTGCATTACATTGACTGTTGCCTCCACTAAAATGTAAGTCCCACAAGAGCAGGGAATTTTCCTCCTATATTCGTTACTGCTGTATCCCAAGCTCGTAGAAGAGTGATTAGCTTTTTTTTTTTTTTCTGTAAAGACCCAGAGAGTACATATTTTATTTGCTTTGCAGACTGTATGATTTCTGTTGTAGTTATTCAACTTTGTCAATGTAGTGTGAAACAACCATAGTATGGTTGTGACTGTGTTCCAATAAAACTTTATTTGCTCCACTTTATTTGCAAAAACAGATGTTTGATAGGATTTTGCCTGTGAGGTGTAGTTTATAGCCAATCTGTGTCCTAGAACAATAGCATCTAATATTTGTTGAATGAATCAACAAATTGTACATTAAATATGTACAGATTACCAATCTTTTTGGAACTTCATTTTCTTTAGCTTCAAAATCAGGATATTAATTTTATGCTCATTTAGATGTTATAAGGTTTAAATGAGAAAACCTCCTAGCTGAGTGTCACATGCATGTAATACACAGTAGAGCTGTCCTCCTCCTTCCACCTAAAGTGAGGCGGAATAGGTAGATCATGTTATTTAAACAGAATATTTATTCACCCTCAGTGCACAATATTTTATTATACACAATATCTTAATGTTAACCATTTTCTATGCATTACTTAGGAGCATCCTCACAGAAGCCCTGTGATGTAGCTAGAGTAGGGACCAACATATGCATAGAGTTTGTGTGATCTCAAAGTCACTCAGCTGGAACAAGGCAGTATGAGAATTCTAGTGTGAGCTGAATTCTAGTGTGTTCCCTCTCTCATGACTCAATCATTAAAGAGGGATTATTTTTCATCTAAAATGTAAAGTATTTCTGTTTTATTCCAGCATCACAGTCCTCCTATCCCCTGCCCCAAACCTAATAGTTATATTGAACAAAGACAGAGGAGTCTCGTACCCTGACACCTGCAAGACACCAGGGTTTTATTTGTTGAGTTGCAAGTAATAAGTACTTATTGTATTATTTGCTGAGTAGATGCCACAGTGGACTGTATCTCTTAGATTTTTCCCCCATTCTCCAGTGCAGATTCTGGGCTACCAGAAATGAAGGGGAATAAACAGCAGAAGGAAAGCACCTCATAACATGCAGAAGGGGCAGTAAGATGTGGCAGGAGTGAAGGTTTTGATTTAAATACAGGGCTCCAGCCAGCATGAGTTAGAGGACGTTGCTCCTATGAAACCCTGTTTCCCACTTCCATTTTGCTGCCCAACAAATCCAAGTATCAAATATCAATGCCTTGGTATTAAGGATGTGTTTCCAATTTGTTATGGGGATTTCTGGGAAATCAGCTTGTCAATATGGGGCAAGATATATCATCATGATGCTTGATGCCCCATAACTGGTAAGACTTCTCAAAAGAATGAGTCACTGAATCTCCCCCATCCCTTGTTTATGCTCCTTCTTGGTAAAGAGAAATCAAACACGTCACCTTCCCTCTTAGTTTTACTCGACGCCTGTTCAGAAGACTTGATTAAGGAAACCTGAATATTTCTATTTCTTTTTCTTTTTTTCTTTTTTTGAGTTGGAGTCTTGGTCTGTCCCCCAGGCTGGAGTGCAGTGGTGCCATCTCGGCTCACTGCAAGCTCTGCCTCCCAGGTTCAGCCATTCTCCTGCCTCAGCCTCCTGAGTAGCTGGGACTACAGGTGCCCGCCACCACACCCGGCTAATTTTTTTGTATTTTTAGTAGAGACGTGGTTTCACCGCATTAGCCAGGATGGTCTCGATCTCCTGACCTCGTGATCTGCCTGTCTCGGCCTCCCAAAGTGCTGGTATTACAGGCGTGAGCCACGGTGCCCGGCCTCTATTTCTTGAGTGTAATTTCTGTCATCCCCATTCTTACCTTCTTTTTATTTTCAACTAAAATAAATGCTAATTACATTAACATTTGTAATCACAGTGGAGAGTACCATCATAATTCATGGATCATTGGTCAAAATAGCCTTGTTAATTTTCTGTGTCACATAAGACTTGGGGACTATTAATCTCAGGGTTATTGACACTAGGATGCAGTAGCTTTTTAAGGTATTAATGCAGTTTGAGCCTTTGTGTACTAATTTGGATTTTGTAAATAGAATTAGGGAGGGGAAGAAAAAGATTAAAGGGGCACTGTGACTTAAAGGCCATGTTAGCCAAGAGCTACTTTGGTAATAAGATCATTTGAACATATTTTGGTAATGTGCAGGCACCAGAAATGTTTGAAGAGTGGGATGAAGGGAAAAGATAACACTGGAAATGGCAGAGGGATTCTTTTCTTCTGTATTTCAGCTCTGCCAACAAGGCAACTGGGGAAGAGAAGGGCTGAATGAACACAAAATTTCTGGTTGCTGCACAAAACAAGATCAAAGAAAAGAGAAGAATAATCAGAGGTAATGATGGTAATTTGTTTTCTAGTTCAAATATAATTGACCCACACAGAAGACATAATTATGGTGCATTAAGGAGATTAAAAGAGAGACAAAGGCAAAAGCATGGAGCGATGACAACATGATTCAAGATCCTATAATTATGATGTTTTTAAAATCACAATGTTTTGATATTAGCCTTTCAACCTACAAAATACAGGAATAGTGGAAAACCAAGCAGATTCGATTTCAGTTGTCAGATTCATGTTTTCCTTTCTTTTTTATGCCTGTTTCTTTCCCTTTTAGTTTCTTCTAACAGCTGCTGGTACTTGAATGGTATCTACTAGTAATAAGGATGTGGAAAAATGGAGTGAAACAATGGTTTATTTAGATGAGGAGTGAGTCTGTAATGATAATTTTCCACTCCTTCCTTTTCATCCATCTTAAGCTTGCGTATTTTGGACTGAGTCTGAAATTCTAGAAGCCCTCAGCTGAAATTGATTTCAGTTGAGTATTTCCCAAAATGTGACTTATGAGGCACGTAAGATGCTTTTAGGTTGTATGTGGACAAGTTTTTTATTGCATCAGTTATGGATATATTTTAATGAGCATTGAAAATGTTATCCCTTAAATCTACGCTGTTACGGTTATTATCTGGTTAGGAAGAGACCAAGTAAAAACAGTGAGTCAATTTAAGGGATAACACTATATAAATAATTGTACCAATGGTGCATGACGTTGGTACAAATCATGAGAGTGGCCAGGGAATTACTGGCATTTGTGAAACATTGTTTTAGTCTTCCTTTTCCCTCATCCCATAGCACTGTCTATTCACTGTTCTAGGGTTATATAATGAAACAGAGGTGGGGTGGCAGTTCTGAAATAGCAGTTATGAAATCGTGGAAATTTTGGTGCTAAATAATAACTGCACTAGTATTATTCCCGGCAATCTCTAATCTCCAGAGATCTGGGCTTTGAATTGTGTTAACAAATCAACTGCTGTCTGCCGGCAGGTCAGTGATTAGTCCACAGAGTATTCGAAGAGAAAGCCATAGATATGACTGAGGTTGAATAATGAAGCAGGGATGCACATGTTTTTCTATCTCAGCGTGTGTGTGTGAGGCGTTGCAGTGGGTGGGTGGGCGGGGTGTTAGCTTGACTACAGGCACAAAATTATTACTCGACGCAGAATGAGTTGGTGCTTTCCAGAGACATGCAGCCTCTTCAATCAAGATGAGCTCTGTCAAGAAAAACATACGGAGCCCATTAAAAGAAATCCAGTCTTTCCCAACTCAGTTATCTCCTTACCCAACCTCTTTTATGACACACATAAAGACACACACCTTTTCTTTGATTCAGGGCTCAATCGATCATTTTGGAGGTGCAATTCATTGCTTGCTTAGTTGTTTAGGGGGTTCGAATTCACCAGTCACTGTACTTTCTCATTGAACTAAAAATCTTACCATTCACCTGAGAAATAGAACTGATATCCAACCTACTTGCTCAGCATGAAGTGAGACTATTTTTCTGAGTACACAAGGTGAGCTAAGAGGGTTGTAAAATCTAGAAGAACAAAAATGGTCTCCAGGTTGGAAAAAATAGGCATAATGATTCTCACATACCTTTCCTTTATGGCAAATATTTCTGCTTTGGAAGTTGCTAGCAAGTGCTTTCTCTCATTCTGAGCACCCTCCTGTGCAATGGGGCTCAGCTTTCAACTCTACTCTTCGCCTGTGTCATCTTCTGCGAGTATTCTCATTCATTTAAATTCCCTCCTAGGACATTTTTCTCATCCAATTCCTACGATTTTAGTATGAGGCCCTGGAATCTTGAAGGTTTGAACAATGGTGATGCTGAATATTTAAAGAGTACACTCAGGACGTTTCTCTGTGTTTAGCCATATGAGTTCATTCAAAAATATATACCCCTATCTCCCAATCTCCAGGAAACTTAAGACAAAATAAATTTGAATCTGTTTCCACTTCCTGCTATGCAAGTACAGGAAATTATGTCAGATTCTTTATCTCTTATTGAAAATAAACATTCCATTTAACCAATAACAATGTTATTAGTCTGCATAGTGTATTTGCTTGCTATTGTTGCTGTAACACATTACTACAAATGTGGTGACTTATAAATGACACATATTTATTATCTAGAGGTCAAGTCCAAAATGAGTTTCACTGAGTGATAAAGATATTGGCAGTGCTGCACTCCCTCTCCAGGCTCTAAGACAGAATCTATTTCCAGGGGGTGAGGGGAGGGGATAGGCGGGCATTATTCAGTACATTGTTTTCAACTCATTTACCTTTAAGAACTCCTGTTGTAGACATATTAAAGGTTGGATAAAGAAGAAAATATATGGCAGTGCATATTTATGTGTAGTTAACCTATTTTATTTAATGTCCTGTAAATCTTATAAGTTCTTATTTTGTTGTATGTTGCATACCTACACTTATTTTTCCTTTTTTTTTTCCTTTGAGACAGAGTCTCGCTCTGTCACCCAGACTGGAGTGCAGTGGCGCGATCTTGGCTCACTGCAACCTTTGCCTCCCGGGTTCAAGCGATTATCCTGCCTCAGCCTCCCGAGTAGCTGGGACTGCAGGTGCCCACCACCATGCCCCGCTAATTTTTGTACTTTTAGTGGAGACGGGGTTTCGCCATGTTGGCCAGGCTAGTCTCAAACCCCTGAGCTCAAGTGATCCACCCGCCTTGGCCTCCCAAAGTGCTGGGATTACAGGCATGAGCCATCGCGCCTGGCCTCCTTTTTACATAATATTTGGCACACTGGGTACCAGACACTTCTCTGCAATTGTCAGTGAAATCCATTTCGGTTAACTTTTATTACCAATATTTGGAGAGTCAAACTTGGCCTTTCACCTTGAATAGCTTTCTCTCCATTCACAGCTTCAACTTTAGGCATAGAAAAAGAGCTCCCTTCCTCTGTATATTCTTGTCTCATAGACTTTCTCCAGATTCTGGCCCCTGAACTCTCTTGCTATTTCCTCAACCACTGGGATCAATCATTTGCTTCAAATTCATTACCTGCTGTCTTCTTTGACTTGATGCTTTATTTTATTGTTTTTATACCTCCCTTACTCAGAATACACTGTTAGTTCCTTTTAATGTACAATCTTGACTCCTCTATCCTGATTTCATTAGAGTTATTTTTTCTATGCTGTAATATCAGACAGGAAGATGAATTTAGTTCAGTAATAAACCTCTCCCTGTAAATCCACAGAATTTTAACTTATTAACTACACTGAACATGACCTCAAACAGAGACTGATACTGTAGGTCAGTGCCATATCCAGAAGTTCAGTCCACAGCCAGCACCTGGACTCTGTGCTGACAGCATTTACCCAGACCTCCCTGGCCAGCCTGGACTGTGATACTCTAGCTTTAGCCTAGAAGTGGCCTCAGATGCCTTTTCAACTCAGTGCTCAAGACAGCCATAATGGCCAGGCACAGTGGCTCATGCCTATAATCCCAGCACTTTGAGGAGGCTGAGGTGGGAGAATTGCAGGAAGCCAGGAGTTTGAGTCCAGCCTGGGCAACCTACTGAGACACTATGTCTACAAAATAAAAATAAAAATTTAGCTAGGCATGGTGGCGTGTGCCTGTATTCCTAGCTACTCAGGAGACTGAGGTGGGAGGATCACTTAAGCTCAAGAGGTCAAGGCTGCAGTGAGCTATGATTATGCCACTGCACTTCAGCCTGGGTGACAGCAGAGTAACACTTTTTCTCAAGAATATAAAAAAGACAGCCATCATGAAGCATCAGGGAAGGAAGGTAATCTTCAAAGGGAAACTTATTTGCCTTATTTGCATCCTTGGAATTAAACTGTGAAAGGAAATTGCCTAGAATCTATGGATATTTGTAGAAGGACATAATTTGTCATGTAATAATTTTACTTGCTCCTTTGTCTCACAGGGCATTTTTAGTAACTCTCATAAGTATTATTTTTCAGGTACTTTGTAACCCAAGAAAAGTTCAAGTGCCCAGATATGTTAGTCTGTTTGAGATCTGTATGGAAAGATTCAATATTAGACCTTCTAAGCTTGACAGTTCCATTTCAGACATGCCCAATTTACCACACTTCAGCTTTAAGCAACCTGGGGCAGGATAAAGGCTGTGTTCTGCTCCTGTTTGACACCTTCTGAGGATCCATTGTCAGCTTTAACAAGCTGTGTATTGACATTATTTAATATACCTTATTCACTAAGATGCATTCCAGCCTTTTAAACAAGGGTGTACATTTAAACTGGCAATGGGAATGACTGGTATAATGCTTATGGTGTCAAAACTTTAGCATATGCTGGGCCCAGTGGCTCACACTTATAATCTGAGCTCTTTGGGAGGCTGAGGCAGGCGTTATCATGAGGTCAGGAGTTTGAGACCAGCCTCTGGCAAAGAGTAATAGGGTATGAGTGGCTTTATCACTCAAAACCTACACAACAATGCAGGATGGTGTAAGGCAATTCCCTTTGAATATTCTCCAGAAGTGGGAGTTTAAGATACACTGGGTTGTCTAGTGACTAACTATAAAATCAGACAGAGAGGAATCTTTACCTTTAAAAAACAAACAATTCTTAGGAAGAGTGTAGTCTAAACCAAAAGTAAAAAATTCAATTGCTTACTTGACCAAGCAGTGAAGTGAATTAATTAAGTGGGGTAGGAATTGTGGCAAACCAAAGACTACTTATTTCTTCTAAAGGTATCCTTCATAGACCTCAGGGCACTAGGAGTTGCTCAATTCCAGGGGGTTGGCATATTTATATAACATAGGTACAATTTCATTGTATTAATTTTACTTAGGATACAAGCTAAGTGGTGCCCTTTGAGTTTATAAAATAATGTAGTTTTGTGACACTATCGCTGATTTTCAGTATGTGGAAATTCAAGCTTAGAGTTGTCAGATCTTGCATTTTTTTTCAAGAGAAGCCACAATTCTATGTGAAATCTTCCAATTTAATTTTTTGCAAGTAATTCAAGTCAAAAACAACTCTGTGTGAGCCAACAAAATATGTCTGCCGGCCAAATTTGTCCTATAAGCAAAGATAACTGCCTTCCATCTACATCCTTTATGCACAAGAGAAACGTTTTCCTAACTGCCCTAATAAGTTGAGAGATTGTTTTTCTTACAGCAAGGATTGTACTTCACAGTATAATTAGAAATACTCTACCTCTTGTTTTGCCTGAGGCAGTTCTGGTTTATGGCTATAATCACAATACCCAGTTTGCTTTAGTGTTTTTCTTAGATTTTTCATTTTTAAGCATAGTGTTATATTGACAGCTGCATTAAAATAAGCAGTGTGCATTTGGTTGATTTCATTTCTATTTCCCTCTTCTGCCATGCCAACTGTGAGTTGCATGTGCAGTGAACAGAGGTTTCACTTTAACATGTAGTTAATGTAAAAAATGGACTAGTGATGCCACATTTCTCTATTCTGGCCCTTTGAAAATGCATGTTAACTAACACCCTAAATCCTTCCTTTCATTGACAGCATTAAGGGTTCCTGTTGGTGAAATAAAGTAGACTCTTTTTGGAGAAGCTAGAGATAACTAACACCTACTTTTAGGTGTTGTTGGGAGAGGTGTTGTTTTGTTGCTATCTCTGCTGGCCACTTGGTGAATTGCCGTGGTCCTGCCTTGGGATGCTAGATAAATAAAGAACCAGATCACGGTTGCAGACAGTGGGAAACATGCAAACTTATAGGTTAGATACATGTGCAATATGTAGGGAAATAGAGAGTAGTTGGAATGCTGTTGCTACAATGATTTTTGTCATCTATTTAATGGTAACGCTACAGCAATTTATTTTTTACTATTTATGCTTTTAAAAAATGTTTTCAATGAATTCTTGGCAGCAATGAGTTAAAGCAAAAAGAATAATGTATATTTAATAAGAAATTAAATATAAATTTTTATTTCTTAAACACTTAGTGAATGTGAAACTCCAATAAGATATTTGTTGACAATTATTATCCATTAAGGGGATGATATGGTTTGGCTGTGCTCCACCCAAAATCTCTTGAATTGTAATCCCCACAATCCCCATAATTCCCACATGTCAAGAGATGGCCCAAGTGGAGGTAATTGAATCATGAGGGCAGTCTCCCCATGCTGCTCTTGTGATAGTGAATGAGTTCTCACTAGTTCTGATGGTTTTATAAGTGTTTGGTAGCTCCTCCTGTATTCATTCTCCTTCCTGCCAACTTGTGAAGAAGGTGCCTTGCTTCCCCTTCCCTTTCAGCCATGATTGTAAGTTTCCTGAGGCCTATCCAGCCATGCTGAGCTGTGAGTCAACTAAACCTCATGCTGAACTGTGAGTGAATTAAACCTCTTTCCTTTGTAGATTATCCAGTTGGCAGTTCATTGTAGCAGTGTATAAACAGACTAATACAAGGGATTATTATGATAAACCAGAGTCATAAATATGCTAAGAAAGCATCAGGATCTACTTCAAATGTTAATGGTTACTTTTAAGAAAACTATCCTGTCCTGGTCACAATAATGTTAGCACATACAGCTGCAGAAAGTGCACTTACATCTCATTCTGTGAAACATGACTTTTCATCTAGATCAGCTGACTGCATTACATTATTTCATTATTGATTCCAACTTTCCCTGTGAACATACTAAAAGTAAAGAAATAACTATTAATATGATTACTTCATCAGCAGAAATACTTTGCAAAGATTGAAATGATGCCACTTTTTTTCTCAATATCAGCAAATGCTTCAAGTTAAAAATGAATTAAGATAAATTTAGTAATAGTTGATTCTTTGAAGTCACAATGAATGGAATCACAGTCCTTCTGTCAAAGTTACAACATTTGACAGTATTGTGAATGCTATTATTATAATTTTAATTAAATATATTAACAATTAATAGAAAATATTTGTTTTTGGAAAAAATATGAGCACAGATTTTAGTAGAGTACAGTGTATTGGTGAAAATAACGTTCTTATTAAATTAATAGGCCAGGGAGCAGAAATGTACTTGGAATTTGATATAGGTCATATATAATTTATAATTACATCTAAATCTATGCTATCTACCAGTAAAAATGGAAGCTGTAGATATAAAAATACTAAATGTTGCCATATAAATTTACTTAAAGTAAAAACTGCAACTTTTTTTGAGAAGATAGTATTACTTTTTAAAAACTGTCCTGGCATTTTGGCTCATTGGCAATACATGCTTACCTCTTTTAGCCAGCATCAGAGTTTTGAAATATTTGAATTTGCGATGAGCTACTCCTTAAAACAAACTAAATGCTTTGTGATGGTAATGGGAGTAAAAATTTTTAAAGTAAGTCTTAAGTTTTGGTTGCATTTTATTCAAAATCAGTTGAAAATCTTTAATCAAAATATTTAACACATCAATTCAAAAAAAATCTGCAGCTTTGGAAGTACTTAGCAAGCAAAAGAGAAGTCGCTAAAATTGTTCTTTCGAAAAGGAAAAGAGTAACTGTATAAACACAAGAGCAAAAGCCGACATTGTAACATTGTAACTTTGCTATTTAAAGTGTGGTCCTCGTGACAGACAGGACTAGCTGGATTTCCCAGGCGGACTAAGAATCCCTAAGCCTAGCTGGGAAGGTGATCGCATCCAGCTTAAACACAGGGCTTGCAACTTAGCTCACACCCAACCAATCAGAGAGCTCACTAAAATGCTAATTAGGCTAAAACAGGAGGAAAAGAAATAGTCAATCATCTATTGCCTGAGAGCACAGTGGGGGGGACAAGGATTGGGATATAAACCCAGGCATTCCAGCTGGCAAACAGCAACCCCCTTTGGGTCCCCTCCCTTTGTATGGGAGCTCTGTTTTCACTCTGTTTCACTCTATTAAATCTTGCAACTGCAGTCTTCTGGTCCGTGTTTGTTATGGCTGGAGCTGAGCTTTCGCTCGCCGTCCACCACTGCTGTTTGCCGCCGTCACAGACCCGCCACTGACTTCCATCCCTCCAGATCCAGCAGGGTGTCCAGGGTGCTCCTGATCCAGGGAGGTGCCCATTTCCACTCCCGATTGGGCTAAAGGCTTGCCATTGTTCCTGCATGGCTAAGTGCCTAGGTTTGTCCTAATCGAGCTGAACACTAGTCACTGGGTTCCACGGTTCTCTTCCATGACCTACAACTTCTAATAGAGCGATAACACTCACCACATGGCCCAAGATTCCATTCCTTGGAATCTGTGAGGCCAAGAACCCCAGGTCAGAGAACACGAGGCTTGCCACCATCTTAGGAGTGGCCCGCTGCCATTTTGGAAGTGGCCAGCCACCATCTTGGCAGCTTTGAGAGCAAGGACCCCCCAGTAACACTGGGTAACATTAGCATCACCTGGGAACTTGGTAGAAATGCAGAATCTCTTCCACCTCAGACCTACTTAATCCCAATCTTCATTTCATAGGATTTCTGGGGCGTTTGTGTTCACATCAAAATTTGAGAAGCACTGGTGTAAGAAATGTCATTGAGAAATTTGATAATTACACTTTGGAATATGATGACACTGGGAAGAATACTTTGGTGACACTTTTTAGTTAATTGGAAAAACTTAGCTTCTCTGCTAGGATGACAGGAAATTGCAAAGGTCTATAAAGTTACAATATCTAAAGTTGACAAAGTATACAGAATAATCACAATTAGAGGATAAACATAATCAGAAATAATCAGAAACATTTGATAATTATTCATTGAAGAAAAGTATCAATTAAAGCAAAAGTGCAGTACCCATACAAATATTTGTTCTGAAATATTTATGCAGGATGAAAAAATGAGAAAGATAATTATATCCATTTACTAGAACTTGCTGTGTGCTTAATAGATACCTCAACTTTTGTCGAGAGAGATTTTCTCCATTAAAAATATTATGGTCTACAGAGAAGAGTCAATGGAAGGTGTAAATAATTTTAAATACATCAAATATAAAATGGAACACTGAAGGTGAGCATGTAATTTTATTTTAGAAATTAAAAATAATAAGGGTGTATCAAAAAAGACTTTAAGAAAAATACCTTTAACACATTATTAGTGATAGATATGACTAAGAAACTGATTTAAGTAAATTAATAAATTGATCTATGTAAAAATAATTACTCTTATTTCTGCTTTTTTGTTTATATCAATAATTAATGTATCATTTTATAATAATACAGTACAGTTTTATTTGCTTTTACATGGATATATAAGAAAATTATATTTGGAAAATAATTTTGAATAGAATGATTTTATGCAACAAAATAAAAACCAACTTGACAATCAATAAATCTTCTTAAAAATTATATAATCCAAAAGTATCCCTCAAAAGTGCTTTGGACAGTATAATGCAGAGCAGTGTTAGTTTCTTTCCATTTGTTTGTTTCACTTTAGTCTTCAAAAATACTCCTCATCTATTTTTTTTAAAGGTTGGTTTACATTGTCTCTATTCGTAAACATTAAAAACCCGCTATTATTTTTAAGGGTTCAAGTAAGATGTTTTCAGGCAAGGATGATAACCCTCTTCAGTTATCAGGAGTGGGAAAATGGAGATGATGGCAAGAGAATACAGATGAGTAGTTTCAGAACTACAATTACATATAAATTCATTGAAAAAAATTCATTTATATTGGCATTATGCCTAATATACCATGTTCACATGTGGTACTTCTGACCACCTCTGTTGTCACTACCCTGGTCCGAGCCACTGACAGCTCTCATCTGGATTATTGAAGCACCCTTTAAATAACATACCTCTTCTTGCCCTATTAGTCAAATGTTAATGGACCAGCCAGAGGACTTTTTAATATTTCGAGTCCAGTTTATAGCACTCCTCTGATGGCTTCCAATCTCATCTGCAAGAAAAGCCAAAGTCTTTATCCATATCCTACAAGGTCCCTCAAGTTTACTTTCTTCTGGATTGTACAGACAACAGTGAACATGATAAGATGATGACCAACCACTTACATTGTATTTGGTTCCATTTCTGAGTCCTTGGTTAGGATTTCCCAGCATGAGGATATTGCCTTTGCCATATCAACCACTGTCACTCTGCAAACTTTGCTGTCTTATATCTGTCCCCCTATGGAACCTACTGCATTCAGTCTCCAGCTGTACCTGATTCTCTTTTGGAGAGCAGTTCCACTTAGCCAGTCAGCCTGCTTCTGGAGTTCTGGCAAACATGTTTTTCTTTGCTATTTTATTAGATGTGATTATTAGTCAGTGGTTTATCCCTTTGGTAGATTGATTTTCAACCAGTGTTTGTTCCCAGTAAGCTTCATCTTCCTAATCTAGGGTTTGCCTTTCTGGCCAGCAGTCAATGAGTATTAGAGCAATACAGACCTTCTTGAATACCAGCATGAACAAAATACACTACAACAGTAATTTTGCTGAGTCCCAGAAATCATCCAATTGCCATTCAAAGCCCACAAGATTGTTTGCTCTGACCTTTTCAATAATCTTTATTGTGAATCATCCATGTGTATATTTGAGAATTGATTCTGCTACACAGTCTTCCAAGGATGATATAGCCTATGGCAATCTATCCATATTCTGATCTCTAAGACAAACTATTTTCTGTACTTTGCATGTGAAGAATGGAACATAGTTTTCATTTTTTGATGCATAATTGTTTCATTCAACTTCAGTTTCAACTAGGTGCTACAGACTGAGTACACTTAGGATTCAAAACTATTTTCAGGGTACTATTAGTCATGTGGCACATTTGTACTATTTATTTTTATTTATTTTATTTATTTATTTTTGAGACTGAGTCTTGCTCTGTCACCCAGGATGGGGTGCAGTGGCGCGATCTCAGCTCACTGCAACCTCTGCCTCCCGGGTTCAAGAGATTCTCCTGCCTCAGCTTCCTGAGTAGCTGGGATTACAGGCTTGCACCATCAAGCCTGGCTGATTTTTATATTTTTAGTAGAGACAGGGTTTCACCATGTTGGTCAGGCTGCTCTCGAACTCCTGACCTCATGATCCACCTGCCTTGGCCTCCCAAAGTGCTGGGATTACAGACGTGAGCCACCACACCCAGCAAGCTTTGTGCTATTTAGAAAAGTGAACCCTTTTTTCTGGGAAGACATAGTTTCATGTTAGGTTGCATAGCTTGATGAGCAAAGGATGGGTGATTTCAGACCTCCATTCATTTCCTTGGCTGGAGACTTTTGGACAGCAGACAACCTGCACAATAGCATATGACAGTTCTAGAGATTAACAGATTTTTTTTTTCTGACTTCAAGGAGGCTCATTGGTATTGGAAATTTCCTGAGGATATGGACTCTGGTTTGGTCTTCTTTATTTCCCCTTGTAAATAAAGGAAGGGCATGAACAGGTAAGTTCTTGATAAATACTTACAGGAATAAAATATAGAACTTAGAAATATCAGGATAGCATACTCTAGAAATTGTCATGTGTGTTTTCAAGAGCTTTTATCTGGCTATTGCAAAACATTTCACTTGAACTGAAAGGGAAATATTTAAAATTAAAGAGAGAAAGAGAGGTGAATATACTTGCTTGGTTGAAATTGCAAGTGGGTTTGTGTTGTAAATATTAAAATATTACATAGTTTCATTCAGGGAACTTGGTAACTCTTTGATTGCTTTTGGAGATCTAAATCTTCATACATATCATAATGAAATAGCATTCTTTGAAATATGAATGATGATAAAGATTCTTTGATTTCAGACATCTATTCAGCCTCTTTTCAGGTCTCTCTGTGGAGAAGCAATTATTCTTGTTAGCAGAGATGTCAGAGGATCTATTTCAGTTTTACTGTTACCTTTTTAACACTCGACTCAGCCAATGCTGGGCAGATCTTTGTCTGTCAATTATTCAAAGAGACATGTTGCTTTTTGCCATGCCTTTTTGTAAAAGTAGTAAAACCAGTATCTCAGAACAGAGACCAACCACTTCAAGTCTCTGAAACCTTCTTGCCTTTAGTGAGACTAAGAACAGGTCACAGAGTAGCTTTATCACTTGTATATCATCCTTATGTTTACAACTAAAACACACTGGTAATTTTGCCAGAATATTAATGAGTTCCTGGTGGATGTAGCACCTGTGCCCCAAGTACCTTGCTCTGAAGTCTATTGCCACATATGTACTGAGGCCACATATGTACTGAGGCCATACTTTCCATGGGTGCTTCCAGCCAATAACTGAGCTTGGCAGGGATCCTATGGTAGACGCATCCTTGGGAGACATGGGACTTCTCTGATGGACACCTTTGGCCCAAGAACCCCCTGAAAGACCTTATCAAAACTTCCCCAGAGGCCATGATTGTCTAAAACACTTTTACAGAACCTCCTCTTTCTCCATTTCTTGAGGCCAGACTTGCACCATGGTTTGATGGCTCTCCAGTATTGTCTGTATTCTTTCCCATTTTCTCTCACACAAGTATTTCCCTAATAACACCCTTGCAAATTTATTCACATCTTGTCATCTACTTTTTGGACAACCTGGACTGAGAAAGTACCCAACGGTGACTAACTCTTAGCAGCACATGCCTGGAATTGTGCTTGAGAATAAGGCATAGAGTCAACAGCCTTTGTTTTACCTCAGATAGACTGTTCATAACTCATTGAGTGATGCAACTCCTTCTCTTAGTTTAAACTCATTGCTTTATCTGTTGCTTTTTACTCATTTAAACTGCAACCACCTAGTCATGACTGATCTCTAGAAAATGCCATCTGCCCATGCCTGTCTTTTGAGCCATCTGGTGGTAACTGACCCTGTATATGATGCCATAAATTCACCTGTATGTGTTGTCAACTTCTTCACTGCAAGACCTCACGCGCCCTTTGTCTTGTCTATGTCCTTGACTGGGATGAAGCACTAGGCTGGCCTCAAGGCTCATAAAATCTCTACTCAATAATAACATCTGCCATAAAAGGAATTTAAAAAATTGATATTTTAAAATGGAAAACCACTAAAATCTTTAAGTACCACTTTATTAAATGCTTACTATGTTCCAGGCACTATGCTCATTGATATGCATGCCTTATCTCCATTCTACACAATAATCTTATCAGGTGAGTATAATTACCATCCCTTTTTTACAGATAAACAGCTTACCAGAGGTCTCACTCTGAGTGGAGTGGAGCCAGGTACAGTGACTTCAAAGTTTTTACCCTTGCTTTTAATTTTTATACTACATTACCTCACAATTAAAAACCCTGTGACCAGGGCATGAATAATACCATTAAATTGTGGTAATAGTATCCATACTTTACTGAATTCTTTACATAATACATTATATTATTTAGTCCTTGTTATGATCCTACAATGTGAGCCTTGTCCTTGTATTAGTTATCTATTATGGTGTAACAAAATACTATAAAATTTAGTGGTATAAAATAATAACAGTTTGTTATTTCTCATAATTCTGTGGGTTGATAATCAGGGTGATTCTTCTCCCAGTCTCACCTGGCATGGCTCATGTGGCTGCTGTCATCTGATGGCTCCACTGGGGATGGAGTTTCCAAGGGAGCCTCAGTCAGATATCTGGAAGTTGAGGCTGACTGAGGCACTCCATTTCTCTTACTGTGGCTTTTCAGTCTTCAGTAGGGTAGACTGACCTTCTTCACTCATAATGGCCTCAGGCTTTCAAGGCAGTGAAGGTGGAAGCTGCAAGACATTATAGAGAGTAGGGCTCCAGACACATAAATATTACTTCTGCTTCCACTTTCTGTTGCTTAGGGACAGTCACAAGACTAGCCCTGATAAAAGGAGTGTCAATTCCACATTGCCCTTTATTATATTAATTGTATTTAAAAATGAGAAAACTAAGTGGAAAGCCAGAATTAAAATCCAGACCTCTATGACTGCCTCCTTGGTTCTCTTTCCACTCTGCCATGCTATCAGTAGGACCTCTTTCTCCACAGTCATCCTATCAGAACTAGATGAGACTGATGATAGAAAACCACTCTGCCAACTCAACTGTGTCATTCAACATCAAAGCCCTCACAATCTGTGTACGAAAGTTTTTATTCTAGCATATGTTTATTAAGTGTAAGATGCAATATCCAGTGCTTCTTTACCACTGTTTCACAAATTATTTTCTGAGTGTGGTTTCTTTTCCTCAGCTTTTCTCTTTCTCCCTTCATTATTTATTCCCCCTTTCTCTCCTTTTTGTTCTTCTTCCATAATTCTCTGTCTCTCTCAAAAGCATTTGATTGTGTTGAGTTACAACACAATAAAATAATCAGATTGGAACTTGAACACAGATCCTCTGAACTACCAATTCATTACTCTTATTAAAGGATGGCAAATATGTGCATATCTGCTGCCACTCCTGGTCCCTTGTCCCTGGCAGATAGCAATAACTGATGAAAGTTAGCATATGAGATGAAACCTGTTTGAAATCCCCACACTGAACTATATCTAGCTATATTTTTTAGATGACACACAGTAAAAGTCACTTGTCATTTTCTTCTTGTAGAATGAAACTGTATTCTGCCCAACTCAGCTCCTTAAAATATAAAACACAGGATGCCTTGCAGTCAAACCAACTTTTTTTTTTTTTCCATCCACGGGATTTCCTATCTTGGTGAACTGGAATAAGCAGGAATAGAAAAATTACATGACCTCTTCACATTAAGTGTTCAAAGCAAGCAGTTCTACCTCATTTATGTTTCCATTCAACTTTAGTTATTCCAAAGGGAGAAGAGAGGAAAAGAAACCTTTAGCTCTAAGCTTATACATGAACAAACTAATTATTTCCCTTTGCAACCAAGGAAAATATTATATTGAACTAATGAAAATAATACAAATGTATTTGTTTAACAGGTGCTTAGAATGAACTCTAGTTGGCACAAATTCAATTACAGTGGTCCCCCTTTTACCATAGTCTCACATTCCACAATGTAAGTCACCCATAGTCAATCGCAGCCTGAAGGTATTACATCATTATTCTTGCTCTTTGGGGCCATTATTAAGCAAAATAAGGGTTACCTGAACATAAGTACTGCAATACCAAGACAGTCCACTTGATAACTGAGATGGCAGCTACTAAGTAACTAACGACAATCCAGGCAGAATGGAGAAGGATGGCGTGAGATTTCATCATGCTACTCTGAATGATGTCCCGTTTAAAACTTATGAATTGCTCTTTCTGGAATTTTCCCACTTACATCACAATAACTACATCATTCACCTCACTTCATCTTACCATATAGGCATTTTATTGTTTCACATCATCACCAGAAGGGTGAGTATAGTACAATAATATTATTTTTAGAGAGACCATGTTCACATAACTTTTATCACAGTATATCGACATATTTATTGTTTTATAGTTATTGTTACTCATTCACAATGCCTAATTTATAAGTTAAACTTTATCATAGGTATTTATGTATAGGAAAAAACATAGTGTATATAGGGTTTGATACTATCCACAGTTTCTGGCATCCAATGGAAATCTTGGAACGTATCTCTTGTGGGTAAGTGGGAACTATTGTAGTGACTTATTTGGTGGTGCGGCGAGAGACGTATTTCCATCTGGGGCAGTAGAACTTGCAGTGTTGGTTGAGTCACCTACTGGGAGTCCACTTACTTTTACATTCCATCTGTAATTATTTTTTATTTTTTCAACCCAGGTAGGTTTTAACATATAGCAGTTAGTTACTATATTCTTACACAGGTATTTATTTGCTTTTTCTACCCCTCAAAATCTTAGTATTTTGTACTCTCTGGAATAAATAATAATAAATGTGCATAATTTTACCTGGACTAAAATCACACACACACAAATGTATTGAGATGCATTAAGCAATGAATTACATGTGTATGGCAAAGTGAAACATGGGTAGAACTGGAAAAAAAAAAGGTGGGAACCTCATTGTCCCGTATAGAAATAATCAGAGAATGCTGACCATTGGTCATTCCTGTGGCAGGACAGGTGGTCAGAGAGAATGGAAAATATTGCCTAATTTACCTTATAGAAATTTCAAAGTAACTGAAAAAATGCTTCAAAAATGCATTTCAATGAAATTTTCAGCCATTACAATGCACAATGATAAACAGGGTCATAAAAGATCTCATGTATACTAAATTGAAGTCGGAAAATCAGACGGACATAGGACAAGTCTAATTTATCTCTGTCTTAAATGGATAATACAAGTCATTCCAGCTTCCTATTAGTTTACATTCTCTCTCTCTCTTTTTTTTACTCTATATTCTTGAAGGTCTTTGAGCTCAGAGGAGAGCCTGCTCAGCCCCCTTCCCCCTCTCTCTTCAACCTACCCATCACACATAGGCTCCACCAAGCAGTGTGTTTGCTTTCTCAGATTGATCATACTGCAGATGCACAGAACTTTCTCTGCTATCATAGGTGCCACTTCCATTGCTACATCTGATGAAATATGTTAATGTTGCCTTCATTGTTGATGAAAGCAACAAACTTATCCACCATTTAGAGGTGGCATAAAAACAAATTCAAATAAATATAAATGTGTAGTCTGATGTACATGACCCTAGCCTCTTAAGAAGGTGTGGCTTTATGTTTTTAAGAAATGGAAAGCTTTTGTTTTTGCTTCTTGCTTTTTTTTTGGCAACATCTGTTGGCTTATACTTGGCATCTTTTGTAATGCACCTGTGTAGGAAACAGCAAATTCAATGGAGAAGGAGGAAAGGTGTACAGGAATAGAGGATATGTGGGAAAGGCATTTAAAATGTTATCAAGTTATGAATGCCAACATTTCACTTTTTCATGCTAAATAAAGAAGTACTGCTGATGCATGTGTGAACATGTCCACATGTATTGTCTTTGATGCTCTTGGTCTTATAATTAGGCAAACATAAGTTTATTTTTTCAATTTGTGTGTCATGGCAAAGGCATAACTGATGTTTCAAATACAGGCTTAGTTTTGTAAGAACTCCTGTGTCCCTCTCCCTTCTTACTCTCTAAGGTGAAGACCCAATCTTCCGGAAGAATAGCTCCTTAGGGAGCAGTCTTAGTCTATCTATTCTGTTTTCTCAGTAGCTTTTGGATCCTCTCAAATTGCTACTTCCTTTAGAGCTTTGTGTGCAGATCAAGGAGTCTTTGGTGAGTGCTGTGGGGATATAATACATATAAACCAAACAGGGGCCCTTTTCTGGGTTATCTCTTGGCCAGTAAGTTGATCTGATTGCTTTGAACATTGCCTGTCAGGAGTCATGGAATGGCTTGGCAGCAAATCAAGAAAGACTCAGAATAGGTGATGGTGGGAGGTGGTGGTGACAAAAAACAAACAAAAAAACACTGATATAGCACTTAGATTTAACACCTTTTGTCCAAATATTTTACCTTTAAGGGTACTTTTGACATTAATTGGGAATTGACTTAATTTATATGAAAATATTCATTGGGGGCTGGCAAGAAGTTACAGAGGTAGACAGCCTGATTTGCCTCTGCAGGTGATAAGTGAGCATGCTCATGATTTGGAGTCTGTCAGACCTGGATTTAAATCATAGCTCCACTCTTCTTTGCTTCTTTGGACTAAGTACTTTTTTTCAATTTCCAATGCAGAAATTCTCTTGCTATGTTCTACTAGATAATGGCTATTCATCCACTGGATGTTATCTTAAACAATACCTTTTCTGAGATGCCTCACAAGATCCTTTAGTCTAGGTTAAATCTTCCTCCTCTAATTACAGGCCTCCTTCAGTAACATGTATCTTATATGAGGACAAAGATTTTGATCTTCCTCACCATGGTATCTTCAGCATCTAGCAGCATGTCTTGTATCTGAATTGTAATTTTTGAATGAATCACTTAAATTCACCTTACAGAATTTACATTTTCAGCGTGGGGCCAAGATGGGCGAATAGAAGCAGTGGCCATCAGAGGCTCCCATCGAAAAGAATCACAATTAGAGTGTGAATCCTGAACTGGCAATTAAGGTATCCAGTTTCTCTCATCAGAACTGACTAGGCGATGGCATGATCCACACAGAGGGAGGAAAAGCAGTGTGGTGCCGTGGCCCACCTGAGAGCCACACAGGGCAGGGGAGCCCCCACCCCCAGCCAAGGGAGGTGGTGAATAAGCATGCTACCCAGCCAGGGAAACCATGCTTGTTCCACAGAACTGTGCAACCCATGGATCCAAAGATCCCACTCACGAACCCACGCCACCGGGGCCTAGGGTCCCAATCCTGGAGCCGTGCAGATTTTCAACAGCCTCTCAGCTAGAATCTGCTTAAGCCTGCCTAGTTCCTGGGAGGAGGGGTGACTAGCACCACAGCTGCAGCTGACTGCTCTCTAAGCCTTTTGAGCTCCTTGAGGGAGAAGCAGCAGCCAGCACTGGGACTCATAACTGCCTAATGCGCTAAGCTCCCTGGGGTGGGGAAGGGCAGAATTCATCTCTATAGCTCCAGGCTGCACTTTTCCCCTGCAGGAGCCAGGGAGGCTGGACGGCTTGGTCCCAAGAGGTGCCCCCAAAAGCCCAACACACCGGCTGTGGCAGACTGTGGCCAGAACGCCTCTTCAGGCCTGACCCTAACCCATTCTTCCTCACTGGGTGGGGCTTCCCTGCAAGAATTCCTACAATTCCAGCCAGAGGCTCAGGGACAAAACTGTGAGCTCCCTGGGCCTGAGCCTCTAGGGGGCGGGGTGGCTATAGTCTCTGCAGAGCAGCAGATTTAGCCTCTCCTCCTACTAGTTCTGAAGAATCCAGGCAGCCCAGATAAGTGGATTTACCCCAAGCAAAGCACATCCCCTACACCAAGGGACAAAGTACTTCGTTAAATAGGTCCTGTTCTCAGTGCCACCCAACTGAGTGAGAACCTCCAAGAGGGGTTGTCAGACACCCTATACAGGAGTGATCCTACTGGCATCAGGTTGGTGCCCCTGTAGGTCAGACATCCAAGAAGGAGCAGGCATACATCTTTGCTGTTCCCAGTTTCCTTGAGTGACATCTCCAGGCATGGGAGTAAGCCAGATGAATAGAGTCTGAAATGAACCCCCAGGAAACCACAGCAGTCCTACATAAGAGGGACCTGACCATTTAAATAAAAATAAACAGAAAGAAACAACAACAACAGCATCATCGACAACAAAAGAGTCCCAACAAAAACCCCATCCAAGGGTTAGTAGCCTCAAAATTGAAACTAGACAAACTCATGAAGATAAGAAAGAACTAATGAAAAAACGTTGAAAATCCTAAAGACCAGAGTGCCTCTTCTCCTCCAAATAATTGCAATGTCTCTCCAGCAAGGGCACAGAACTGGATGGAGGATAAGCTGGAGAAATGGACAGAAGTAGGCTTCAGAAAATAAAAAGCTCTATTGAGCTAAAGGAGCATGTTCTAATCCAATGAAAAGAATCAAAGAACCTTGATAAAAGGTTAGAAGAGCTGCTAACTAGAATAACCAGTTTAGAGAGGAACATAAATGACCTGATGAAGCTGAGAAACACAGAGGAGAACTTCAGGAAGTGTACACAAGTATCAATAGCTGAATTGACCAAGTGGAAGAAAGGATATCAGAGTTTGAAGACCACCTTGCTGAAATAAGCCATGCAGAAAAAAAATAGAGAAAAAAGAGTGAAAAGGAGTGAACAATGCCTCTGAGAAATATGGGACTATGTTACAAGAGCAAACCTATTATTGATTGGAGTACCTGAAGGAGATGGGGAGAATGGAAACAAGCTGGAAACTACACTTCAGGATATTATCCAGGAGAACTTCCCCAACCTAGCAAGACAGGCCAACATGCAGATTCAGGAAATACAGAGAACACCACTAAGATACACCACAAGAAGATCAACCCCAAGACATGTAATCATCAGACTCTCCAAAGTCAAAATGAAGAAAAAAATGTGAGGGGCAGCCAGAGAGAAAGGCCAGGTTGCCTAACAGTGGACCTCTCAGCAGAAACCCTACAAGCCAGAGGAGACTGGGGGCCAATATTCAACACTCTTAAATAAAAGAATTTACAACCCAGAATTTCATATCCAGCCAAACTAAGCTTCATGAGCAAAGGAGAAATAAAATTCTTTCCAGACAAGCAAATGCTGAGGGATTTCATCACTACCAGGTCTGCCTTGCAAGAGCTCCTGAAGGAAGCAGTAAATATGGAAAGGAAAATCTGGTACCAGCCACTATAAAAACACACCAAAATATAAAGACCAATGACGCTGTGAAGAAACTGCATCAACTAATATGCAAAATAACCAGATAGTGTCATGATGACAGAAACAAATTCACATGCAACAATACTAATCTTAAATGTAAATGGGCCAAAGGCCCCAATTAAAAGACACATACTGGCAAATTGGATAAAGACTCAAGACCCATCAGTGTGCTATATTCAGGAGACCAATTTCACATGCAAAGACACACAGAGGCTCAAAATAAAGGGATGGAGGAAAATTTACCAAGCAAATGGAAAGTAAAAAAATGCAGAAGTTGCAATCCTAGTTTCTGACAAAACAGACTTTAAACCAACAAAGATTTAAAAAGACAAAGAAAGGCATTACATAATGGTAAAGGGATCAATTGAACAAGAAGAGCTAACTATCTTAAATATATATGCACCCAATACAGGAGGACCCAGATTCATAAAACAAGTTCTTAGAGATGTACAAAGAGACTTAGACTCCCACAGAATGATAGTGGGAGACTTTAACACCCCACTGTCAATATGAGATCAATGAGACAAAATTAACAGGATATTCAGGACTTGAACTCAGCTCTGGATCAAGTGGACCTAATAGACATCTACAGAACTCTCCACCCCAAATCAACAGTATATACATTGTTTTCAGTGCCACATGGCACTTATTCTAAAATTGGCCACATAATTGGAAGTAAAACACTTCTCAGCAAATGCGAAATAACTGAAATCCTAACAAACAGGCTCTCAGACCACAGTGAAACCAAATTAGAACTCAAGATTAAGAAACTCACTCAAAACCACACAATTACATGGAAATTAAGCAACCTGCTCCTGAAAGACTCCTGGTAAATAATGAAATTAAGGCAGAAATCAAGAAGTTATTTGAAACCAATGAGAACAAAGAGAGAGCATACCAGAATCTCTGGCACACAGCTAAAGCAGTGTTAAAAGAGAAATTTAAAGCACTAAATGCCCACACCATAAAGCTAGAAAGACTTCAAATCGACACTCTAACATCACAATTAAAAGAGCCAGAGAAGCAAGAGTAAACTAATCCAAAAGCCAGCAGAAGGCAAAAAATAAGTAAGATCAGAGCAGAACTGAAGAAGATAGAGACATGAAAAACCCTTCAAAAAATCAGCGAATCCAGGATCTGTTATTTTGAACAAATTAACAAAATAGATAGATGGCTAGCTAGACTAATAAAGACAAAAAGAGAAGAATCAAGTAAACACAATAAAAAATGATAAAGGGGGTATTACAACTGACCCCACAGAAATACAAACTACCATCAGAGAATACTATAAACGCCTCTATGGAAATAAACTAAAAAATATAGAAAAAATGGATAAATTCCTGGACACATACGCCCTCCCAAGAATATACCAAGAAGAAATCAAATCCCTAAATAGACCAATAACAAGTTCTGAAATTGAGGCAGTAATTAATAGCCTACCAATCAAAACTAGCCCAGGACCAGATGGATTCGCAACGAAATTCTACCAGAGGTACAAAAAGGAGCTGGTACTATTCCTTCTGAAACTATTCTAAACAATTGAAAAGGAGGGACTCCTCCCTAACTCATTTTATGAAGCCAGCATCATCCTGATTCCAAAATCTGGTAGAGACAAAACAAAAAAAGAAAACTTCAGGCCAATATTCCTGATGAACATTGATGTGAAAATTCTCATTAAAATACTGGCAAACTGAATACAGTAGCACATCAAAAAACTTATCCACCATGATCAAGTTGGCTTCATCTCTGGGATGCAAGGCTGGTTCAACATATGCAAATCAGTAAACATAATCCATCACATAAACAGAACCAAAGACAAAAACCACATGATCATCTCTTTAGATATAGAAAAGGCCTTTGGTAAAATTCAACATGCCTTCATGTTAAAAACTCTCAATAAACTAGGTATTGATAGTTTCAAAATAATCTCAAAATAATAACATATTTATGACAAATCCACAGCCAATATCATAATGAATGGGCAAAAGCTGGAAGCATTCCTTTTGAAAACCAGCACGAGACAAAGATACGCTCTCTCACCACTCTTCTTCAACAAAGTATTGGACGTTCTGGCCAGGACAATCAGGCAAGAGAAAAAATAAAGTGTACTCAAATAGGAACAGAGGAAGTGAAATTGTCTCTGTTTGCAGATGACATGATTCTATATTTAGAAAAACCCATCATGTCAGCCCCAAAACTCCTTAAGCTGATAAGCAACTTCAGCAAAATCTCAGGAAAGAAAATCAATGTGCAAAAATCACAAGCATTCCTTTACACCAACAATAGACAAGCACAGAGCCAAATCATGAATGAACTCTCTTTCGCAATTGCTATGAAGAAAATAAAATACCTAGGAATACAGCTAACAAGGGATGTGAAGGACCTCTTCAAGGAGAACTACAAACCACTGCTCAAGGAAATAAAGGAGAAGACCAAGAAATGGAAAAACATTCCATCCTCTTGGATAAGAAGAACCAGTATTGTGAAAATGGCCATATTGCCCAAAGTAATTCATAAATTCGATGCGATTACCATCAAAGTACCATTGACATTCTTCACAGAATTAGAAAAAACTACTTTAAATTTCATATGGAATCAAAGAAGACCCCATATAGCCAAGACAATCCTAAGCAAAAAGAACAAAGCTGGAGGCATCATGCTACCTGACTTCAAACTATACTACAAGGCTGCAGCATGAT
Organism: Homo sapiens; assembly: GCF_000001405.40. Lineage (NCBI taxonomy): Eukaryota > Metazoa > Chordata > Mammalia > Primates > Hominidae > Homo > Homo sapiens. The sequence continues at coordinate 54,658,916 of NC_000017.11, read as the reverse complement.
ACTGGTACCAAAACAAACATATAGACCAATGGAATAGAACAGAGACCTCAGAACTAACACCACACATCTACAACCATTGGGTCTTTAACAAACCTGACAAAAACAAGCAATGGGGAAAAGGTCTCCTATTCAATAAATGGTGTTGGGAAAACTGGCAAGCCATATGCAGAAAACTGAAACTGGACCCTTTCCTTATACCTTACACAAAAATTAACTCAAGATGGATTAAAAACTTAAATGTAAAACCCAAAACCATAACAACCCTAGAAGAAAACCTAGGCAATACCATTCAGAACATAGGCATGGGCAAAGACTTCATAATGAAATCGTCAAGAGCAATTGCAACAAAAGTCAAAATTAACAAATGGGATCTAATTAAACTAAAGAACTGCTGCACAGCAAAATTAACCATCATCAGAGTGAACTGGCAACCTACCGAATGGGAGAAAATGTTTGCAATCTACCCGTCTGACAAAGGTCTAATATCCAGACTTTAAAAAAAACTTAAACAGATTTACAAGAAAAAAATCAACCCCATTAAAAAATGGGCAAAGGATATGAACAAACACTTCTCAAAAGAAGACATTTATGCAGCCAACAAAAATATGAAAAAAAAGCCCAACATCACTGATCATTAGAGAAATGCAAATCAAAGCCACAATGAGATACCATCTCACACCAGTCAGAATGGCAATTACTAAAAAGTCAAGAAACAATAGATGCTGGTGAGACTGAGGAGAAATAGGAATGCTTTTACACTGTTGGTGGGAATGTTAATTAGTTCAACCATTATGGAAGACAGTATGGCGATTCCTTAAGAATCTAGAACCAGAAATATCATTTGACCCAGCAATCCCATCACGGTATATACCCAAATGAATATAAATCATTCTACTATAAAGACACGTGTGCACTTATGTTTATTGCAACACTATTTACAATAGGGAAGTCATGGAACCAACTCAAATGCCCATCAATGATAGGCTGGATAAAGATAATGTGGTACATATACACCATGGAATACTATGCAGCCATAAAAAAGAATGAGATAATGTACTTTGCAGGGACATGGATGAAGCTGAAAGCCATTATCCTCAGCAAACTAACCCAGAAACAGAAAATCAAACACTGCATGTTCTCATTCATAAGTGAGAGGTGAACAATGAGAACACATGGACACAGGGAGGGGAGCAACACACATCAGGGCCTGTTGGGGAGTTGGGGGTGACAGGAGGGAACCTAGAGGACAGGTTAATAGGTGCAGGAAACCATCGTGGCACACGTATAACTGTGTAACAAACCTTTACCTTCTGCACATGTATCCTGGATCTTAAAGTAAAATTAAAAAAAGGAAAAATGCAGAAGCAAAAATAGCTTACATTTTCTTAACTGTAAAATGGATATAATAGTGCTATCCTGAGAATTTTGTCTTAGAGAACTTCCATTTTCTCAGCTGTGAAATGGGTATAATAATATCATCTGAACTGTGAAATGGGTATGATAATGCTATCCTTAGCAGAATAACATATGTAAAATGTTAGCATGGTGCATGACAGCCACAAATGCACATATAAAACTCACCACATCTCATTCATTCTAAGATGCAATTCTGCCCCCTTAAATTTTAGCATCTTTGAACTTGGAATCCATCTTTTAATTGAGATAATGTGGCAGACTTATAATCTGTATTTTTTCTTTCTCCTTAATGGTACATAAGTAATGGCACATCTTTGCTTTAATGAAATACGGTGGTTCTTTCTGGTCTCCCTGGGGACCGATTGTAGCCTCGGCACCCCAGAGCTTTTTCTTTTAAATAAGGATAGGCAGCATCTGTGCTGTTTAAAAAAATACTTATTAGAATAACTATAAAATAAAAGGGGAGTCTAAAATAATAAAATAAGAAATAAAATAAAGGTATACCTATTGTATTAGATTATAACATCTTAATCTTCACAATGACCCCATTTTATAGATCAGGGAATTGAGGCAGAAAGAGGTTAAGTAACTTGCCCAAGTTCACAGAGTAAGTTCTAGAGCTGGGATTTGATCCCAGAGTCAAATCTTCACTTTCCAAGACAGTGTCTTAGAAATCTAAAGCCAATAAAGCAGTAAAAATAAACTGATGTAATTACATAAACATTTAAGACATATATTTATCAAATAATTATGAACAAAATTGGAATATCAACAACCTGGAAAACAGTGCCACTGTACCACATGGCAATTTATTTTGTAAAGAAGCAAATGTCCTATAGGACACTTTGCTAAGTGGAATAAGCCAGGCATAGAGAGGCAAAAACCACATGATCTCAATTTTATGTGGAATGTGAAAAAGTCAAACTTGTAGAAGTAGAGAGTAGGATGGTGGTTACCAGGTTCTGGGGGCAAGGATAGGGGGAAATGGAAAGATGCTGGTCAGAGAGTACAAAGTTCCACTTAGGAAGAATAAATTTTTCTTCTACAATATATTTTGTAAATGCAATATATTTTACAATTTGATTTTTATTGAAAAGATGCAAGCTGAATTCTATTTCTTTTGTGTATTTAGAATATAAAAGAATCAACCTGAAATGATTAGAGTTAGTATCATATTAAAAGACGTATGCCCTTCTTATTTCAGAAGTTATTTAGGGTGGTTATGAGAATACCTAAAATACAGGAAACTAGCATATTATAATTAGAAGAGACTAAAAACATTGAGTCAAGCCAGGAATTAAAACACAAAAAAATCAGGCCATAAAATATTATGTGCTTGTAGATGGGCATGAATGGCTTTCTGAAAATATTTATATCACTGCAACAATGACTTTCAACGAACTGGTTTCTATATTGTCCTTGTATATAGTTGATAGCATCTCTCCAGAATACAATTCCATAAATGTACTTATACATAATATCACAATGAATATGAACATTCAGCTAGATACAAGATAAATTTACAGAATGTAATGGATGAAAAAAATCCTTAATTCACAATTGCAATAAAGGAGAAAAATCCAGAAATAATCTTAATACCAAATACCTGATGTTTACATCAAGAAAATTTATAAACATTCTGAGTGTCATTAAAAAAAGAATGAACTATGAAAAGTCAACCTAACTTAATACATGGAAAGTCTGAATATGACTAAGGTATAACTATCAACAAATGCATTTGTTTAAATTCACTTCTCATCAAAATTTCTATAATTTTGGGCTTTTTGAAGGCTTGACTGGTTCTAAAGTTAAAATGAAGAATACATGTAAAATTGCTTTCTGAGAGAGGATTTTAATCAACCTAAAGCCATGATGTAAAGCAGTAAAAATCAATTAATAAAGATGATTATTTAAAACTTGTATGTGTAAAAATTAATAAACAAAATGAGAATATCGACAAACTGGAGAAAATGTAATACGAATATAATTGGTAAATTGTAAAAATGGCATTGAAAAACAGGGAAGTTGGATCATTTACCTCCCATTTCTAGCCCCTCATTTGTTGGGGCTTGCCCTCAGAAGGATTGAAACTATTGTGCTTTAGGGTGTCCCTGAAAAGCACACTCCCATGAACCTGGAAAGTGTTTGATAGAAAGGCAGAGAGGTGCAAATATCGAGGTGGAAAGCTGTTAATGTGTATAGGATTGTGTAGTGTGTCTGCAGCTGAGCTTAGAGAGGGTGGAGGTGATATGGGGAAGGGAAAAAACACAGCAGTATCTACTACAGGTGAGAAATGTTTTGATTACAAAATTAAATGAAAAATGCTGGATAAAAAAACCACATGTATGAAGAACAATTACCATGATGTAAGAAAAAAAAAAAAGGGCATGGAGTATAAAGACTGGAAGGAATAATGGCAAAATATTAAGTGAATATCTTGGATTCTAGGACTACCACCAAATTTTATTATAGAAGTAGTACTAATATAGAAGTAATAGTTGTCACATTTGTTGTTGTTACTTTTGTTTATGACAAAGGTTCACAAACTATAATCTAACTTCTGTTTTTGCAGATAAAGTTTTATTGGACACATAGTCATGCCCGTTCATGTATTGCCGATGGCTAATTTTGTCCTATGTCTGAAGATTTGAATGGTGCAACAGAGATCAAATGACTGACACAACTTAATATATTTATTGTCTGGCTTTTTAAGAAAAACTTTGCTGATCCCTGGTTTAAAACAGTGTGCCAAGCTAATAGGATAATCTGATCGCAATTTGACTGAGGATATAGTAGAAGTATTTGGGGAGAAAAAAACAAAACAGGCTTAGAACACTATATTTGTGTAATGCATATTGTGATATAAATTTCAGAAGCATATAGGTAGAGAGATAAACTACTCAATATCTTTTCAGGTAATAAATTTACCTTTTACACCTTACATTTTGGTTGCTAACCTTTTGCAGCACACACTAGGACAATTTGAGAACATCAACCACTCCTCAATCATAGTTCAATCAGGGTTTGAGTTTCAAATCAATATCATATTGAAATTATGTGAAGACAATGAAGTGGCTGACCAGCAAATTGCGCCTCAAAATTGGACTACAAAAGCTTTAAATGGCTTCATTAAGAAAAGTGGGCGCCTAAATACCCAATATAGGGCTCCTTTGAGATATGGGTGATTTTAGGCCTGGGGCAGAGAAGGTACAAAGTAAGCCTAGCCATTTGGGGGTGCCTGAAAGTAAGGAATTGTTCAAAAACTACTGGGAGTGAGTCAAGCGGGCATGAGAGCTGAGTTGAAGAGTCTTCCACTGGCCACATTTGTGACAATTTGAGCATGAAAAATGATGTGTAAAACAATGAACAAATACAGTGTGTAAAATGATAATACATGAACCCATAATGACGTGAAAAGTGAGGAGGAGGATTGAAATGCTTTGCTTTATAGAAGAATACCAGCTAACATATGTAGAAGAAAGAATAGTGTTGGAATAAAACCATTCTGATACCAACTATATGATAATTAATTCAGGTAAGGATCATCAATGGAAGTCAAAATTACTTGGTGAAAGAGGACAAATACCTTGGTGTTAGGAGACAAGATACTTGCATGGTCTTAAAATATCCCCCTACTGATTGCTTATTAAATTACAGGGAAAAGTTAGTTTTATAATGAAACGATCTGGCAGATACCAGCTTAATCAAATAGTCAAACTTATCCTCCATCAGCAGAACAAATTAATAAACCCTGCCATCTATTGTGATTCAGAGGAAATTATACATCATCTTTGCAATATTCTTGCCAAAAACATTTAACCTGAATTTAATTATAAAGGAGCAATGAAAAAAATACAGAATATGGGACAATGTAATAGTCAAGTAGCCTAGACTATTAAAAATGTCAATAACATGAAGGATTGTTCTAGATTAAAGAAGATTCATCTGGTTTAAAGGGAAATGGAGAGACACAGACAATTGTAATGTTGCATTTTGATTGGATTCTAGACTAGAAAAAAAACAGATGTAAAGGACATTTCGTGGAAATTTGAATACGAATTGTGTATTAGATGACATTATTGCATCCATATTAAATTTAAGTACATTTTAAAAAGTTTCTGACTCTCAGGAACTCAACTCCTATATTAGCTGACCTTGGCATGAAATGTGTATTGTTTTCACTATTCTTCTCCTTTTTCCTAAATATCCTATACCACTTGAGGCCCAGCCTTGGTTTCAACTCCTCCCTAAAAGCTCTGATTATTTTAGATCTAATTGGTTTGCTTCCCCTGAGATGTTCTGTGATAGCCTCAGTATGTAGCACATAGTTTAGCATTTGACTTTGTAGGAGTAGAAGTAGTGGTACCCTTGGAGACAAATGAGTACAGTGATTAAGAGTCAGGCCACTAAGGGTCTGGTTTGAATCCATATCCGACTGTGTTATGTAGCTTCTCTGTATTTCAGATTCCCTTCCTTAACATAAAAATTAAGTAATTTTCCCAAATCCAATGGAAGATAATGCTCCTGTTCATTTATTTACCAAAAATTCTGTAGTTCCTTCATCAGATACCAAAATCATTCATAGTCTCTATTTCTCAAGTCAGATATCTCACTGAGCATTCTAGTGAAAAAATTGTTTTTCTCAAAACCTCCATAATACCTATATTCTTATACTTTTCACATTCTTCCTAATTGTATGATTATCTCAGCATGTACTTAGCTCAATAAGGAAAAACCTACTTATATTTCAATATGATTGTCATGGAATTTAAGGAAAGGTTGGATGATGAGGCTTCAAAAGTGAAACTCTGAGAACCTCAGCAGCTGGAGTTTATGGATCTTCCTTCTAGTTTTCTACAGTTGTTATGAGTCAGCTCCAAACCACACCTTCTATGTTTTGATTCATATTCTCAATGAGAAAAATATCATAGACAACCTAAGGACAAGATATTCCCAGTTCATTGATCAACTATCTGGATATTATAAGTGGGAAATGATGTGACATAAACAGAGCAGTCGAAGTTATAGTAATGTGGATTGGAAGATAATTGCAATTTATATGTCCTTATTGGAATGTACATGTCTTAAGAGCAAGGTCCAAATCTCATTTATCCATATTCCTCATTTTATCTAAAACATGTATTTCCACATAACAGGTATTATGAACTGCATTGTGCCCCCCAAAATTTACATGGTGAAGCTTAACACCCAATGTGACATTATTCGAGATAAGGCCCTTAGGGAGGTTAAAGGAGGCCATAGGATGGAGTCCTAATTTGACAGAAATTGTCCCCTGCAAGAAGAGGAAGAGACATTAGAGATGGTGTCTATCTCTCTCCACATATGCAGAAAGGAAAAGCCATGTGAGGACACAGCCAGCAGGTGGTTATCTACAAGCGAGGATGAGAGGTCTCACCAGAAACCAATCCTGGTAACACATTGATTTTGGACTTCTAGCCTTCAGAATGGTGAGAAAATAAAATTCTGTTGGTAGAGACACATAGTCTGTGGTATTTTGTTATGGTTTCCCTAGCAGACCAATACAGTAGATGTTCAAAACTGTTGGTAAAATATGTTAGTTCATTTACCTCCCACCCCACTAAAAAACTTCCCCTGATCCTGTGGGTATTGTTATATGCTTCTGAAAGATAAGGGAAATAAGATTCCTGGAATACTATTTATTTAAGTGGGAGACCTGGACCACCTTCATTAGAATATTTTGGGGTGCCTATGAAAAACTAGATTTCCACCAAAAAAGTCAGATTCCAGAGATTCCCCCTAACCAAGAATCTCTGTTGTTGGCACCTGAAAATACACATTTAAGTATCTCAGGTGATTCTTATCCACTTCACATTTGAGAACTACTCCAGAGAGAAGTAAGTTGCTTAGGGTCAGAGTAGCAGAGCTATCATTTAAACTTGGTGGTCTAGATTTGAATAGACATTTATCAAAAGAAGACACAGAAATAGCAAGCAGGCATATAAAAAGGTGATCAATATCATTACTCATTAGAGAAATGTAAATCAAAACTACAGTGAGATATCATCTCACTCCAGTTAAAATGGCTTTTAATCCAAAAGACAGGCAATAACAAATACTGGCAAGGATGTGGAGAAAAAAGAACCCTTGTAAACTGTTGATGAGAATGTAAATTAGTACAACCACTATGGAGGACAGTTTCGAGGTTCCTAAAAAAAACAAAAGCAAAAACAAAAAAATCCTAAAACTAAAAGAGCTACCATATAATCCAGCAATCCCACTGCTGGGTATATACTCAAAAGAAAGGAAATCCGTATATTAAAGAGATATCTGCACTCCTATGTTTGTTGTTGCAGCACTATTCACAATAACTAAGACTTGGAAGCAACCTGAGCATCCATCAACAGAAGACTGGATAAAGAAAATGTGGTATAAATACACAATGGAGTACTATTCAGCCGTAAAAAAGAATGAGATACTGTCATTTGCAATGACATGGGTGGAACTGGAGGTCATCACGTTAAGTGAAATAAGCCATACACCGAAAGACAAACATCACATGTTCTCACTTACTTGTAAGATATAAAAATCAAAACAATTGAACTCATAGAAATAGAGAGTAGAAGGATGGTTACTAGAGGCTAAAAGGGTGGTAGGGAGCTGATGTGGAGGTAGGGATGGTTAATGGGTACAAAAAACAGTTAGAAAGAATAAGACCTAGTATTTGATGGCACAACAGGGTGACTATAATCAGTAACAGCTTAATTGTACACTTAAAAATAACTAAAATAGTTTAATTGAATTATTTGTAAATCAAAGGATAAATGCTTGAGGCAATGGATATCCCATTTTCTATGCTGTGAGTATTTCACATTACATGCCTTTTTCAAAACATCGAATGTACCTTATATACACATACCAGGTACCCACAAAAATTAAAAATAAAAAAAATTTAAAAAGAAATATATGGTGCTATTCTGCAAAAGGAGAAAAAAGTAAACTTCGTGGTTGAGTTAAAATCTTAGCTTTTCCTACTCATCCTACTTACTTACAGACAGTCTCATCATCTAAGGGAAGAAATGGTTGAATAAAGTTGAGAGATCCGATGTTATACAACTATTTTATTAATGTCTTATATTTGATGAGTGTTTTACAACTTGAAGGTATTTTCATTCAACTTTGCCACTTAACAGAACATAATGTGGTTTGATAAAACAAAGGGGCTTTTTATTCAAAATTATTCTGAGTACGGTTTCATCTTTCTCTTCTCTTGGTGAGTAATGAAACAACTCAATTATCTATCATTAAACACATTCCACAGTAGTAAGTTTAGTGCACTTGCTAGCTCTGGGATGGAGGGCAATTTATCTTCTGCTTTCTTTATTTCTCTGATAACCTGCTCATCATTTGCTGCTTTGACTTTTCTGCTATTATCTCTTTTAATTTAACAATTTGGAACCATTTCAGTTCAGCAAGCATTTACTGAAAGTCTATATTTTTAACATTGCCTTAGTCCTTGTGGGTGATATAAACTCTGCTCAGATGGAGCATGTTCTCTAAGGCATGTGTTGGTGTCACCGTATAGCTACATCATACTGCTTTTGGAATGAGGTAGATGAAAAATTATCCTGTCATCTTTAAAATTATCCAAAATTGACAGTTGATGGCTCAGCTTTTTTTTTCCATTAGGAGGTTAGTGAAAATGTCACAAAATATGCTAGGCAAGTAAGTTGAAGTTTCCAATGTAAACTGTAACTGATGCTGAAGATATTGCAATACGAATCCCCTCTCATGACAAACACATTCCCCAGGAGAGGACCACAGCTGATTTATCTGTCTTTCCAATATTTTAAGAGAAACACAGTCTTTGCAGAATGGGAAATTGTCTACCTTAGGGAAGTCTCATTATCAAAGTAAAGATCACCACAGTACCTTACCCTTATGGAGTTCTTGAGAGGATTAAATAAGGTTTTGTATTTAAAATGCCCAGGACAGTTTCTAGCCCCAAGTAAGAGCTCAAAAATTGTGAGCTACTTTAAAAATGAGGGCTGAGCTTTTAGGAAGCATGTTTAAAATGCGGGAACAAACTTATAAAACATTTAATAAACATTTCAACAATATTTATGAAAATGTGCATGTGGGGGAGAATAAAAGTAAAATCAGATCTGGTATTAACTTACTATCAACTTGCTTGCTATATGGATTCATATAAATAAATACATAAGTATTATATCAGACAATTTTTAATGATCATAATTGATGGCTTGAGCTCAAGGACAAAAATGATGATGATGATGATAAATGCAACAGACATTATCTTTTTATATTGTGTTATATTTTAAAATGCTTTGACAAACATTTTCTCACTTAATTCCCACAATAACTTGTTGAGGCTTAGAGGTAGTTGAGAATTGATGATTTGTCCATGGTTCAAAGCTCTTAGGAGACAGAGCTAGGTTATAACTCAGGTTTAATAATTTTGCATTTATTGCTATTTCTCCTATATTCCAAGATTGAAGTTGGATAAATGCTATAAGAGTAATCAGATGTCCCTTTGCTTTTAAGGAATACTTCTAAGAAAAAATTGAGTCCATTTGTACAGTCTTCCGTTTCAGGTTTTAAATAAAATTTTATTTTTTATTTTTGTAGGTACACAGTAGGTGTATATATTTATGGGGAACATGAAATATTTTGATACAGGCATGCAACGCATAATAATTTCATCATGGAAAATGGGGTATCCATGACATCAAAGTGTTCATCCTTTGTGTTACAAACAATCCAATTATACTCTTTTAGTTATGTTTAAATGTACAATTAAATTAGTATTGACTGTAGTCACATTGTTGTGTTATCAAATAATAGGTCTTATTTATTCTTTCTATTTTTTATACCCATTAACCATCCCCACCTTCCCCTGGACCCCACTACCTTTCCCAGCCTCTGGTAACTGTCCTTTTACTTTCTAAGTCCGTGAGTTCGATTGTTTTGATTTTTAGATCCCACAAATAGGTAAGAACATATGATGTTTTTTTTCCTGTGCCTCACTTATTCCACTTAACATGAGAACCTCTAGTTCCATCCATATTGTTGCAAATAACAAGATCTCACTCTTTTATGGCTGAATAGTACTAAATTGTGTATATGTACCACATTTTCTTTATCCATTTATCTGTTGATGAACATTTAGGTTGCTTCCAAATCTTGGCTATTGTGAACAGTGCTGCAGTAAACATAAGAGTGCAAATCTTTCTTTAACATACTGATTTCTTTTCTTTTGGGTACATACCCAGCAGTGGGATTGCTGGATCATGTGGCAGCTCTATTTTTAGTTTTTTGAGGAACTTCAAACTTGTTCTCCATAGTGGTTGTACCAATTTATATTCCCAACATTGGGAGTGTTCCTTTTTCTCCAAATCCTTGTCAGCATTTGTTATTGCCTGTCTTTAGCATAAAAGCCATTTTAACTGAGGTGAGATGATATCTTACTGTAGTTTGATTTGCATTCCTCTGGTGATCAATGAATGATGTTGATTACCTTTTCATATGCCTGTTTGCCATTTGTATGTCTTCTTTTGAGAAATGTCTATTGATATATTTTGTTCATTTTAAAATCAGATTATTAGAATTTTCCTTATAGGTTGTTGAGCTCCTTTTATATTCTGGTTTTTAGTTCCTTGCCAGGTGGATAGTTTGCAAATATTTTCTCCCATTCTGTGAGTTGTCTCTTCAGTTTGTTCATTGTTTCTTTTGCTGTGTAAAAACCTTTTAACTTGAGATGATCCCATTTGTCCATTGATGCTTTGGTTGCCTGTGCTTGTCAGATATTACTCAAGAAATCTTTGCCCACTCCAATGTCCTAGAGAGTCTCCTCAATGTTTTCTTTCAGTTATTTCATAGTTTGAGGTCTTAGATATAAGTATTTCATGCATTTTATTTGATTTTGTATGTGGTGAGTAATAGGGGTTTAGTTTTATCCTTCTGCATATGGATATCCAGTTTTCCCAGCACCATTTATTGAAGAGATTGTCTTTCCCCCAATGTATGTTCTTGGCATCTTGGTTGAAAATAAGTTCACTATAAGTGTGTGGATTTGTTTCTATGTTCCTTATTCTGTTCCATTGGTTTATGTTTTTTTTGTTTGTTTGTTTCGTTTTTGTTTTTTTTAGATTGAGTCTTGCTTTATTGCTCAGGCTGGAGTGCAGTGGCACAATCTCGGCTCACGGCAACCTCTGCCTCCTGGATTTAAGTGATTGTCCTGCCTCAGCCTCCCAAGTAGATGAGATTACAGGCAAGCACCACTAAGCCTGGCTAATTTTTGTATTTTTAGTACAGATGGGGTTTCACCATGTTGGCCAGGTTGGTGTTGAACTCCTGACCTCAAGTGATCCACCCACCTTGGCCTCCCAAAGTGGTCGGATTACAGGCATGAACTGCTGTGTCCGGCTTTATATGTCTCTTTGTATGCCAATACCATGCTGTTTTGTTTACTATAACTCTATAGCATAATTTGAAGCCAGGTAATGTGATTCCTCCAGTTTTGTTCTTTTTGCTCAGGACAGCTTTGGGTATTCTGGATCATTGGTGGTCCCATATGTATTTTATGATTTTTTTTCTATTTATGTGAAGAATGCTGTTGGTATTTTGATAAAGATTGCATTGAATCTATAGATCGCCTTGGATAGTATGGACATTTTAACAATATTTATTCTTCCAATCCATGAACATAGAATATTTTTCCATTTTTTTCATGTCCTCTTCAATTTCTTTTATCAGTATTTTATAGTATTCATTGTAGAGAACTTTCACTTCTTAGGTTAAATTAATTCCTAGGCATTTAATATTATTTGTGGCTATTGTAAGTGGGATACTTTTTGGATTTATTTTTCAGATTGTTCACTGTTGACATACAGAAACACTACTAATTTTTGTAGGTTGATTTTGTATCCTGCAACTTTACCAGATTTATTTATCTGTTTTAATAGTTTTTGGTGCTTTTCCAAATATAAGATCATAACATCTGCAAACAAGAGTAATTTGACTTCTTCCTTTCCAGTTTGGATGCCCTACATTTCTTTCTCTTGTCTAATTGCTCATGCTAGAACTTCTAGTAGTATGTTGAATAACAGTGGCGAGGACATCCCTGTCTCTTTTAAGATCTCAGAAGAAAGGCTTTCAGTTTCCCCCCCATTTATTATGATGCCAGCTGTGAGTCTGTCATATGTAGCTTTTATTGTATTGAGGTATGTTTCTTATATACCGAGTTTTTTGAGGGTTTTTATTATGAAAGATTTTTGAATTTTATTGAATACTTTTTCAGCATCAATTAAAATTATCACATGGTTTTTGTCCTTCTGTTGAATGATGTATCACATTGATTGATTTGCATATACTGAATTATACTTGCATCCCTGGGATAAACCCTAATTGGTCATGATGAATTATCTTTTAAATGTATTGTTGAATTTGGCTTGCTAGTATTTTGTTGAGGGTTTTTGCTTCAATATTCATCAGAGATATTGGCATGTAGTTTTCATTCTTTTTTTTATGTGTCATTGTCCGGTTTTGGTATCAGGGTAATACTGGCCTTGTAGAATAAGTTTGGAAGTATTCCCTCTTACGTTGTTTTTCAGACCAGTTTGAATAGGATTGGTATTAGATCTTCTTTAAACGTTTGGTAGAATTCAGTAGTGAAAACCGTTGTGTCCTGGGCTTTTCTTTACTAGAATTTTTTTTTTATTATACTTTAAGTTTTAGGGTACATGTGCACAACGTGCAGGTTAGTTACATATGTATACATGTGCCATGTTGGTGTGCTGCACCCAGTAACTTGTCATTTAACATTAGGTATATCTCCAAATGCTATCCCTCCCCCCTCCCCCCACCCCACAACAGGCCCTGGTGTGTGATGTTCCCCTTCCTGTGTCCATTATTGTGGCTTTGATCTAGTTACTTGTTATTGGTCTGTTCAGTGTTTGAATTTCTTCATGGTTCAATCTTGATAGGCATTATATGTCTAGAATCCATTTTCTCTGGATTTTCCAATTTATTGGCATATATTTGCTCTTAGTGGCCAATAATGATCCTTTGAATTTCTGTGGTAACAATTATAATGTCTCCTTTACATCTCTGATTTTATTTATTTGAATCTTCTCTCATTTTTTCTTTTCTTTTTTTTTTATTGTACTTTAAGTTCTAGGGTACATGTGCACAACGTGCTGGTTTGTTATGTAGGTATACATGTGCCATGTTGGTTTGCTGCACCCATTAACTTGTCATTTACATTAGCTGTTTCTCCTAATGATATCCCTCCCTCTGCTCCCCACCCCATGACAGGCCCTGGGGTGTGATGTTCCCCACCCTGTGTCCAAGTGTTCTCATTGTTCAATTCCCGCCTATGAGTGAGAACATGAAATGTTTGGTTTTCTGTCCTTGTGATAGTTTGCTCAGAATGATGGTTTTCCAGCTTCATACATGCCCTTGCAAAGGACATGAACTCATCATTTTTTATGGCCACATAGAATTCTATGATATATATGTGCCACATTTTCTTAATCCAGTCTATCATTGATGGACATTTGGGTTGGTTCCAAGTCTTTGCTATTGTGAATAGTGCCGCAATAAACATACATGTGCATGTGTCTTTATAGTAGCATGATTTATAATCCTTTGGGTACGTACCCAGTAATGGGATCAATGGTATTTCTAGTTCTAGATCCTTGAGGAATCGCCACACTGTCTTCTGCAATGGTTGAACTAGTTTACACTCCCACCAACTGTGTAAAAGCCTTCCTATTTCTTCACATCCTCACCAGCATCTGTTGTTTCCTGACTTTTTAATGATTGCCAATCTAACTGGTGTGAGACGGTATCTTATTGTGGTTTTGATTTGCATTTCTCTGATGACCAGTGATGATGAGCATTTTTTCATGTGTCTTTCAGCTGCATAAATGTCTTCTTTTGAGAAGTGTCTGTTCATATCCTTTGCCCACTTTTTGATGGGGTTGTTTGATTTTTTTCTCGTAAATTTGTTTGAATTCATTGTAGATTCTGGATATTAGCCCTTTGTCAGATGAGTAGATTGCAAAAATTTTCTCCCATTCTGTAGGTAGCCTGTTCACTCTGATGGTAGATTCTTTTGCTGTGCCGAAGCTCTTTAGTTTAATTAGATCCCATTTATCAATTTTGGCTTTTGCTGCCATTGATTTTGGTGTTTTAGTCATGAAGTCCTTGCCCATGCCTATGTCCTGAATGGTATTGCCTAGGTTTTCTTCTAAGGTTTTTATGGTTTTAGGTCTAATATTTAAGTCTTTAATCCATCTTGAATTAATTTTTATATGAGGTGTAAGGAAGGGATCCAGTTTCAGCTTTCTACACATGGCTAGCCAGTTTCCCCAGTACCATTTATTAAATAGGGAATCCTTTCCCCATTTCTTGTTTTTGTCAGGTTTGTCAAAGATCAGATGGTTGTAGATATGTGGTGTTATTTCTGAGGCCTCCATTCTGTTCCATTGGTTGATATATCTGTTTTGGTACCAGTAACATGCTGTTTTGATTACTGTAGCCTTGTAGTATAGTTTGAAGTCAGGTAGCATGATGCTTCCAGCTTTGTTCTTTTTGCTTAGGAGTGTCTTGGCAATGCGGGCTCTTTTTTGGTTCCAGATAAACTTTAAAGTAGTTTTTTTCCAATTCTGTGAAGAAAGTCATTAGTAGCTTGATGGGGTGGCATTGACTCTATAAATTACCTTGGGCAGTATGGCCATTTTCACGATATTGATTCCTCCTAACCGTGAGCATAGAATGTTCCTCCATTTGTTTGTGTCCTCTTTTATTTCGTTGAGCAGTGGTTTGTAGTTCTCCTTGAAGAGGTCGTTCACATCCCTCATAAGTTGGATTCCTAGGTATTTTATTCTCTTTGTAGCAATTGTGAATGGGAGTTCACTCATAATTTGACTCTGTTTGTCTGTTATTGGTGTATAGGAATGCTTATGATTTTTGCACATTGATTTTATATCCTGAGACTTTACTGAAGTTGCTTATCAGCTTAAGGAGATTTTTGGGCTGAGATGATGGGGTTTTCTAGACGTATAATCATGTCATCTCCAAAAAGGGGCAGTCTGACTTCCTCTTTTCCTAATTGAATACCCTTTATTTCTTTCTCTTGCCTGATTGCCCTGGCCAGAACTTCCGACACTATGTTGAATAGGAGTGGTGAGAGAGGGTGTCCCTGTCTTGTGCCAGTTTTCAAAGGGAATCTTTCCAGTTTTTGCCCATTCAGGATGATATTGGCTGTGGGTTTGTCATAAATAGCTGTTATTATTTTGACGTACATTCCATCAATACGTAGTTTGTTGAGAGTTTTTAGCATGAAGGGCTGTTGAATTTTGTCAAAGGCCTTTTCTGCAACTATTAATATAATCATGTGGTTTTTTTCATTGGTTCTGTTTATGTGATGGACTATGTTTACTGATTTGGGTATGTTGAACCAGCCCTGCATCCCAGGGATGAAGCTGACTTGATCATGGTAGATAAGCTTTTTGATGTGCTGCTGGATTTGGTTTGCCAGTATTTTATTGAGAATTTTTGCATCGATGTTCGTCAGCCATATTGGTCTAAAATTCTCTTTCTTTTTTGTGTCTCTGCCAGGCTTTTGTATCAGGGTGATGCCGGCCTCATAAAATGAGTTAGGGAGGATTCCCTCTTTTTCTACTGACTGGAATAGTTTCAGAAAGAATGGTAACAGCTCCTCTTTATACCTCTGGTGGAATTAGGCTATGAATCCATCTGGTCCTGAACTTTTTTTGTTTGATAGGCTATTAGTTATTGCCTCAATTTCAGAGCCTGTTTTTTGTCTATTCAGAGATTCAACGTCTTCCTTGTTTAGTCTTGGGAGGGTGTATGTGTCCAGGAATTTATCCATTTCTTCTAGATTTTCTAGTTTATTTGTGTAGAGGTGTTTATAGTATTATCTGATGGTAGTTTGTATTTCTGTGGGGTCAGTGGTGATATCCCCTGTATCATTTTTTATTGCATCAATTTGATTCTTCTCTCTTTTCTTCTTTATTAGTCTTGCTAGTGGTCTATAAATTTTGTTGATCTTTTCAAAAACCCAGCTCCTGGATTCATTGATTTTTTAAGGGGTTTTTGTGTCTCTGTCTCCTTCAGTTCTGTTCTGATCTTAGTTATCTCTTGCCTTCTGCTAGCTTTTGAATTTGTTTGTTCTTGCTTCTCTAGTTCTTTTAATTGCGATGTTACAGTGTCGATTTTAGATCTTTCCTGCTTTCTCTTGTGGGCATTTAGTGCTATAAATTTCCCTCTACACACTGCTTTAAATGTGTTCCAGAGATTCTGGTACATTGTGTCTTTGTTCTCATTGGTTTCAAAGAACATCTTTATTTTTGCCTTCATTTTGTTATTTACCCAGTAGTCATTCAGGAGCAGGTTGTTCAGTTTCCATGTAGTTGTGTGGCTTTGAGTGAGTTTCTTAATCCCAAATTCTAATTTGATTGCAGTGTGGTCTAAGAGACAGTTTATTGTGCTTTCTGTTCTTTTACATTTGCTGAGGAGTGCTTTACTTACAATTATGTGGTCAATTTTAGAATAAGTGCAATGTAGTGCTGAGAAGAATGTATATTCTGTTGATTTGGGGTGGAGAGTTCTGTAGATGTCTATTAGGTCTGCTTGGTGCAGAGCTGAGTTCAAGTCCTGGATATCCTTGTTAACCTTCTGTCTCATTGATCTGTCTAATATTGACAGTGGGGTGTTAAAGTCTCCCATTATTATTGTGTGGGAGTCTAAGTCTCTTTGTAGGTCTCTAAGGACTTGCTTTATGAATTTGGGTTCTCCTGTATTGGGTGCATATATATTTAGGATAGTTAGCTCTTCTTGTTGAATTGATCCCTTTACCATTATGTAATGGCCTTCTTTGTCTCTTTTGATCTTTGTTGGTTTAAAGTCTGTTTTATCAGAGACTAGGATTGCAACCCCTCCTTTTTTTTGCTTTCCATTTGCTTGGTAGATCTTCCTCCATCCCTTTATTTTGTGCCTATGTGTGTCTCTGCACGTGAGATGGGTCTCCTGAATATAGCACACTGATGGGTCTTGACCCTTTATCCAATTTGCTGGTTTTTGTCTTTTAATTGGGGCATTTAGCCCATTTAAATTTAAGGTTAACATTGTTATGTGTGAATTTGATCCTGTCATTATGATGTTAGCTGGTTATTTTGCCTGTTAGTTGATGCAGTTTCTTCCTAGCATCAACGGTCTTTACAATGTGGCATGTTTTTTTGCAGTGGCTGGTACTGGTTGTGCCTTTCCATGTTTAGTGCTTCCTTCAGGAGCTCTTGTAAGGCAGGCCTGGTGGTGACAAAATCTCTCAGCATTTGCTTGTCTGTAAAGGATTTTATTTCTCCTTCACTTATGAAGCTTAGTTTCGCTGGATATGAAATTCTGGGTTGAAAATTCTTTTCTTTAAGAATGTTGAATATTGGCCCCCACTCTCTTCTGGCTTGTAGAGTTTCTGCCAAGGGATCTGCTGTTACTCTGATGGGCTTCCCTTTGTGGGTAACCTGACCTTTCTCTCTGGTTGTCCTAAACGTTTTTTCCTTCATTTCAACCTTGGTGAATCTGACAATTATGTGTCTTGGGGTTGCTTTATCGAAGTGTATCTTTGTGGCATTCTCTGTATTTCCTGAATTTGAGGTTGGTCTGCCTTGCTAGGTTGGGGAAGTTCTCCCGGATAGTATCCTGAAGAATGTTTTCCAACTTGGCTCCATTCTCCCCGTCACTTTCAGGTACACCAATCAGACATAGATTTGGTCTTTTCACATAATCCCATATTTCTTGGAGGCTTTGTTTGTTTCTTTTCACTCTTTTTTCTCTAAACTTCTCTTCTCATTTTATTTCATTGATTTGATCTTCAATCACTGATACCCTTTCTTCCACTTGATCGAATCAGCTAGTGAAGCTTGTGCATGCGTCACATAGTTCTCGTGCCAAGGTTTTCAGCTCCATTATGTCATTTAAGATTTTCTCTACACTGTTTATTCTAGTTAGCTACTACTCTAATCTTTTTTTAAGGTTTTTAGCTTCCTTGCAATGGGTTCGAACATCCTCCTTTAGCTCAGAGAAGTTTGTTATTACTGACCTTCTGAAGCCTACTTCTGTCAGCTCATCAAAGTCATTCTCCATCCACCTTTGTTCTGTTGCTGGCGAGGAGTTGCAATCCTTTGGAGGAGAAGAGGTGCTCTGGTTTTTAGAATTTTCCGCTTTTCTGCTCTGGTTTCTCCCCATCTTTTTGGTTTTATCTACCTTTGGTCCTTGATGTTGGTGACCTACAGATGGGGTTTTGGTGTAGATGTCCTTTTTGTTGGTGTTGATGCTATTCCTTTCTGTTTGTTAGTTTTCCTTCTAACACTCAGGTCCCTCAGCTGCAGGTCTGTTGGAGATCACTGGAGGTCTACTCCAGACCCTGTGTGCCTGGGTATCACCAGTGGAGGCTGCAGAACAGCAAATATTGCAGAACAGCAAACATTGCTGCCTGATCCTTCCTCTGGAAGCTTCGTCCCAGAGGGGCACTCGCCTGTATGAGGTGTCAGTCAGCCCCTATTAGGAGGTGTCTCCCATTTAGGCTACATGGGGGTCAGGGACCCACTTGAGGAGGCAGTCTGTCCATTCTCCAATCTCAAACACCATGCTGGGCAAACTACTGCTCTCTTCAGAGCTGTCAGAAAGGGATATTTTAGTCTGCAGAAGTTTCTGCTGCATTTTGTTCAGCTATGCCCTGCCCCAAGAGGTGGAGTCTACAGAAGCAGCAGGACTGGCTGAGCTGTGGTGGGCTCTGCCCAGTTCGAGCTTCCCCGGCTGCTTTGTTTACCTACTCAAGCTTTAGCAATGGCGAATGCCCCGCCCCCTGCCAGGCTGCTCCCTCACAGGTCAATCTCAGACTGCTGCACTAGCAGTGAGCAAGGCTCCGTGGGCGTGGGACCCACCAAGCCAGGTGCAGGATATAATCTCCTGGTGTGCTGTTTGCTAAGGCCATTGGAAAAGTGCAGTATTTGGGCAGGAGTGTCCCATTTTTCCAGGTACTGTCTGTCATGGCTTCCCTTGGCTAGGAAAGGGAAATCCCCTGACCACTTGAGCTTCCCGGGTGAGGCAATGCCCTGCCCTGCTTTGGCTTACCCTCTGTGGGCTGCACCCACTCTCCAACCAGTCTCATTGAGATGAACCAGGTACCTCAGTTGGAAATGCAGAAATCACCCATCTTCTGTGTCAATCACGCTGGGGGCTGCAGACTGGAGCTATTCCTATTTGGCCATCTTGCTCTCATTTTTTTCTTAGTCTGGTGATAGCTTTGCCAATTTTTTATATCTTTTCAAAACACCAAATTTGCATTTCATTGATTTCTCTATTGTTTTCTTCATTTTAATTTCATTTATTTCTGCTCTGATCTTTATTATTTGTTTCCTTCTATTAATTTTGGGTTTGGCCAGCTCTTGCTTTTCTAGTTCTTTAAGATGCATCATTATGTTATTTATTTGAAGTTTCTCTTCTTTTGTGATGTAGGTGCTTATAACAATACATTTCCTTCTTAGTAATACTTTCACTGTATCCCATAGGTTTTGGTATGTTGTGTTCCCATTTTCATTTGTTTCAAGACATTTTTCAATTTCCTTCTTAATTTTTTTATTGACCTACTGGTTATTTGGGAGCACACTGTTTAATTTCTGTGTGTTTATATAGCTTCAAAACTTTCTCTTGTTACTAATTTCTAGTTTCATTCAATTGTGGTCAGAGAAAATGCTTGATATTATTTAAATTTTTTTGGAATGTTTTAAGACTTGTTTTGTGACCTAACATATGGTCTCTCCTTGAGAATGGTACATGTGCTGAGGAGAATGTGTTTTCTGCAGGTGTTGGATGAAATGTTCTGTAAAAATCCATTAGGTCCATTTGGTGTACAGTGCAGTATAGGTCCGATATTTCTTTGATAATTTACCATCTGGAAGATCTGTTTGATGCTGAAAAGTGGGGTGTTGAAGTCTGTAGCCATTATTGTACTGAGGCATATTTCTCTCTTTATCTCAAATACTTGCTTTCTATATCTAGGTGCTTCAGCATTGAGTACATGTATATTTATAATTGTTATATCCTCTTGCTAAACTGACCCCTTTATCATTATATAATGACCTTCTTTATCTCTTCTTATGGTTTCTCTCTTGAAATTTATTATGTCTGATATAAGTATAGCTACTCCTGCTTTTAGTTTTCATTTGCATGAAATATGTTTTTCCATCTCTTTATTTTCAGTCTGTGTATCTTTACAGGTGAAGTGTGTTTTTTTTTGTAGGCAGCAGATCCAATGGGTCCTTTTTAAAAAAAAAATTATTCAGCCACTCTGTGTCTTTTTATTTGAGAGTTAGTCCATTCACATTCAGTGTTAAAGATAAATAAGGACTTACTCTTGCCAATTTTTAATTTGCTTTCTGGTATTTTGTGGTCTTTTCTTCCTTCTTTCCTTTCATCCTATTCTCCTTTAAGTGAGGGAGACTTTCTCTGGTAGTATGATTTAATTTCCTGCTTTTTATTTTTTATGTATTTGTTATATGTTTTTCAATTTGAGGTTACTATGAGGCTTGCAAATATTCTTATAACCCATTATTTTAAACTGATGAAAACACTGCATAAACAAACATGCAAAAAAACCCTAATAATAACCTACATTATAACTTTGTTCCTCTGTTTTTTAACTTTTTGTTGTTTGTCTTTATGTTTTATTATATTATGTCTTGAAAAGTTGTGGTAGTTATTATTTTTTATTGCTTCTTCATTTCTTCTTTCTACTTAAGAGAAGTTTACCCACTACAAATACAATTACAGTGTTATAATATTTTGTGTTTTTCTGTGTGCTTACTAGTATTACCAGTAAATTTTGCACCTTTAGATAATTTCTTATTGCTCATTAACATTCTTTTCTTTCTGATTTAAGAACTCCTATTAGCATTCTGGCAGGGCAGGTCTGTGTTGATGAAATCCCTCAGCTTTTGTTTATCTGGGAAAGTCTTTATTTCTCCTTTGTGTTTGAAGGATATTTTCACTGGAGATGTTATTCTTGGGTAAGATTTTTCCTTTCAGCAGTCTAAATATGTCATGCCACTCTCTCCTGGCCTGTAAGGTTTCCATTGAAAAGTCCGCTGCCAGATGTATTCGACCTTTATTGTATGTTATTTTTTTTTCTCTTGCTATTTTTTAGGATTCTTTCTTTATCTTTGACCTTTGGGAGTTTGATTATCAAATGCCTTGAGGTAGTCCTCTTTGGGTTAAATCTGCTTGGTGTTCCATAACCTTCTTGTACTTGAATATTGACATCTTTCTCTACATTTGAGAAGTTCTCTGATATTATCTCTTTGAATAAGCTTTCTACCCTTATCTCTTTCTCCACCTCCTCTTTAAAGCCAATAACTCTTAGATTTTCCCCTTTAAGGTTATTTTCTAGATCTTGTAGGTGTGCTTCATTATTTTTAATTCTTTTTTTCTTTTGTCTCCTCTGACTGTGTATTTTCAAATAGCCTGTCTTCAAGCTTACTAATGTTTTCTTTTGCTTGATCAATTGTGCTATTTAGAGGCTCTGATGCATTCTTCAGTAGGTCAATTGAATTTTTCAACTCAAGATTTCTGCTTGATTCTTTTTAATTCTTTCAATCTCTTTATTAAATTTATTTGATAGAATTCTGAATTCCTTCACTGTGTTATCTTGAATATCTTTAAATATCATCAAAACAGCTATTTTGAATTCTCTGAAAGGTAACATATCTTCATTTTTCCAAGATCAATCTCTGGTGCCTTATTTAGTTCATTTGGTGAGGCCATTTTCCTGTATTGTCTTGATGCTTGTAGATGTTAGTTTTTGTCTGGGCATTGATAAATGAGGTATTTATTGTAGTCTTTGAAGTTTGGGCTTGTTTGTGCTTGTCCTTCTTGGGAAGGATTTCCAGATATGCAAAGGGATGTAGGTCCAAAGCCCAATAATGCTGTGGTTCTTGCAGACTCATAAAGGTACTGCCTTGGTGGTCTTGGATAAGATTCAGAAGAATTCTCTGGATTACCAGGCGGAGACTCTTGTTCTCTTCCCTTACTTTCTCCCAAACAAATGGAATCTCTCACTCTGTGCTGAGCTGCTTGGAACTGGGAATATGGTAATGCAAACACCCCTGTGGTCACTACTATTGGGACTGTGCTGGGTCAGACCTGAAGCCAACACAGCACTGGGTCTCTCCCACCCGACTTGAACCACTACCTAGCTACCACCCATGTTCACTCAGGGCTCTAGGGCTCTATGATCAGCAGGTAGCAAAACCAGCCAGGTTGGTGTCCTTCCCTTCAAGGTGGCGAGTTCCCCTAGGCCCCAGGCAAGTCAAGAGTTGCTGTGTTGAATCGAAGGGTTAGAGTAAAAAATCTTGGAAATTTACCTAATGTTCTATTCTGCTGCAGCTAAGCTGGCACGCAAACCACAAGACAAACTCCTTCCTGCTCTTCCTACCTCTTTCCACAGGCAGAGGAGCCTCTCCCTGCAGCACCACCACCAGCTCATGGGGGCTCTGCCAGGCCACTACAAGTGAACAGCTGATGTTCACTTAAAGCCCAAGTGCTCTTCAGTCAGCTTGTCATGAATTCTGCCAGGCCTGGAACTCACCTTTTAGGGCACTGGGCTCCCCTCTGGCCCAGGGCAGGTTCGGAAATGCTGTTCAAGAGCCTAGACCTAGTCTCGGGACACCAAGAGCCTGTTTGTTGCTCTGCCTCGCTATAGCTGAGCTGGTACCTAAGGTGCAAGACAAAGTCTCCTTTACTTTTCCCTCTGCTTTTCTCAAATAAAAGGAGTCTTTCACTATAGCCTTCACAGCTGAGAATTTGCTGGGTCACACATGAAGTCAGCATGTCTCAGAGCCCAAGGCCCACAGTGTACTACCTAGGTATTGCTGCTTGTTATTTAGAGCCCAAGGGCTCTTTAGTTAGCAGCTGATGAATCCTGCCAGGACTGGGTCTTTCCCTTCATGCCAGCAGTTCCCTTTTGGCCCAGGGTGTGCCTAGAAATGTCATCCATGAACTAGGTAGGGCTTGGCCTCAGGGAGGGGTGGCACCAGTGATTCAAGCCTGTCTCTCCTACCCTCTTTAATACCTCTTTCAGTGATATGAAGCTAAAACCAGGTACTGTGATTGTTCACCTGATTTTTTGGTTCATGTGATGGTGCTTTTCTGTGTGCAGATGGTTGTTAAAATTTGGTGTTACTGCAGCGGGGTGGACAAATGGTTTAGGTTTCTATTATGCCATCTTGCTCCACTTGCCAGTTTCAGGCTTTTTAATCTGCCAAGGGATGCACATACACAGAAGCTATCTCAGTTCTCTGGGCTTTTTGTATTATCCCATAAAGCATCCTATACCTCCCATTAAACTAACATAAAATCTCTAACACGTATTCAAGTGAGATTGATGATTATGTAATATTATTATGAAAAAATAAGTTAATTTCATTAATTAGTCGATAATATCTCAACCCAGTTCTACTAATTGGAAAATAAACTTGGAAATGGTGGTCAAAAATAAATTACACCAATACAGTCATTCTGTTTTGGATCTAGTTAAAATAATTAAATGTTTAAATCACTATGTTTTCTAATTAAGCATCATCCTAGGATACCCTTGGAGAAAATACTGAGTGGAGGGACATACTCTGGCTTTCAAGCCAACAGCATTTAAACTATGCTGTCTTGGAGGAGGGAGGAAGTGGGGAGGGAGACACACACAGACGCACATACAAACACACGAAGAATTTTTAGAATTTTAAAATCTATAATCTATGGTGCATGATATGGATGCTTAAGACTGAGTTTCAAGAGAAAAACATAAAACTAAATAATAGTTTTATGAAACCAGTGAATAACTTCTCTGCAAACATTGTTAGGAATGGATGACAAATTTTTTCCTCCACCATCTTCAGCCTGAAACAATAAGCAAATAAAAATAAACAGAAACCTCCCTTCACATAAAAATTAAAAATAGCTACCAATTTACCAATCATGAAAGGCATTTACCCATAATGGACATAGCAGCTAAAAACTGATATATGACTCAAATGTAAGCTCAGACCCATATGGTCCAGCCTTGGAGTTGTGTATCAGTCTAGCAGCCAGAAACAATTTAAAAATAATTCAGAAACTTTCTTCTCTCAGAAAAGTCCAGCTCCTTTATTTGCACTCTGAATTTCTCTAATCCCTCCATCTTCTTAAAAGACTTTTGTCCTATAGTTAATTCCTCTCCTTCCTGCATCATGTATCCCCATCTAATGGGATCAATCTAGTCAGTATATGAACAAGTTAGTGCCAACATCTTAACATGCCTTTGATCCCACATACTCTGTCTAACCATGCCATATTTCTTGACCCTCTTCCCAAAAAATATTGTGGAAAGAGTTGTCTACACTCACTGTCTCCCTTTTTCTTCTTCTTTTTTTAAACCTCTACTCACTCTTTTGCCTACCCAATTAGAAGGAGCATGAACATCTGTATGTTAATCATACATATGGCTCCACTGACATTGTTCTTTTCTTGGAATAGCTTGGAAAATCTAATATTCAATGTCCATTCCTCTGATAGCAATGTATTGGCCATTCAGAAACATTGGATAAAGGTTTTAATTGTTTTCTTCTTAAAACATTGTTGTATTTTGACTTTCATGACATCCCCTGGTTTTCGTTCAACTGCCTTGGCATACTTCGTTCTCCTTGAATGCTTGGCTATCTCCCCTTCATTCACGGGGTTTTTAAATGTTGATGTTTTCCAGACATCTGTACTCTGGTTTTCATTGTATGCTCTCTTTCTAGGTGATCCCATCCAGTCCCATGGCTCAAAATGCAATTTATTGCTAAGGACTCACAAATATATGTCTAATCTGACCTGAAATCCAGATATCTATAGTCATCTGCCTATGTGACATTTTAATTTGCTTACCTAACAAAGATCTCAAACTTCCAATTCCACAGCTCCAACCTTAGCCCATGCTACCATTCTCTCTTGTCTGGGTTTCTGTAACATCTTCAGTGATCTCTGTACTTCCACGTTTACTTTTCATATAATCTAGTTCTCATTCACACCCCAAGAAACCATGGCGATATTTAAAAATCATACATTGGAACACATCATATTCCCACTGAAAATGGTTAAGTGCCTTTTATTACACTCAAAGTAAAACCTAGAGTTTTGACCATGTCCTACCATGCTTACACCACCTGGACCCAGCTTTCTCACCCACCTCACCTTGCACCATTCTGCATCATTTCCCCATCCAGCTGCATTGAGACATTCCTCATACCAGTCTGCTCCTCAGATACGATAAGCTCTTTTTTGTTTCAGGGTTTATGTCCCCTGCCCTGAATACCCTTCCTCAACTTTTCAAAGGGAAATTTACTTTAATCTTGTAGGCTTCAGTTGTAATTTTACTTATTCTAAGACGACATCACTGACTGCCTCCTCTGCCCCAGTCTCATCACTTCCATTTCAGTGTCTTATCTGTTTCTTTAGGATTTATTACAAGCTGAAGTAAATCTTGTCTGCTTGTTGACTGACTATCTCCATCAACTAGAATGTAAATTTTGGGAAGGAAACTTGATATTTTGTTCACTGTTCTATCCTCATTACCTGGAAGAGTGTCTAACATATAGAAGGTACAAAATAGATATTTTATGAGAAGCTACATGAATGAATAACAAATCCTTTGTGAAACTTGGTAAAATCACCTCTGCTGATTTCTCTTCTCCCATTATCTCCTCTCTGCTGTACCACATTTTAGTCTGGCTGGTCATTTTCATTTTCTCAGTTGCTCCTTGCAGAAGTTTAGAAATTGGTCTAGGGGAAAAAAAACACACAAAACACAACAGGTTCTCCTCAAAGTATGGGAAAAGGGAACAACCAGTGCTTGGGAAGGAACGTGAGTGAATATCTATATATTAATTAATTGATCCCCTTCATAGACTCATATTTTTTCAAATCTAAAGAAAGGTGAAAATTTCTAAACATTAGTGAGCTTGTCTTAAAAGCCTAAACAAAGAGCTCTTTACCAGAAATTAAGATGATCAAGCATGAGATGGCATAAGGAGAAGCAAGAAACACACATTTAGGGACCTAGTTTTGTACTACTAGAAATGCACACCATCTTTCCTTTTTCTTAGCCTCTGATCCAAGAGACATGAACCGAGCTGAGGCAGAGTAAAAGAACAGGGGGCGGCCAGGTGCAGTGGCTCACACCTGTATTCCCAGCACTTTGGGAGACCGAGGCGGGCATATCACTTGAGCCCAGGAGTTCAAGGCCAGAGACCAGACTGGGAAAGATGGTGAAACCCTGTCTCTACCAAAAATACAAAAAATGAAAGAAAGAAAGAGAAAGGAAGAAAGAAAGAAAGAGAAAGAAAGTTAGCTGGGCATGGTGGTGCGTGCCTGTAGTCCCAGCTACTAGGGAGTGTGAGGTGGGAGGATCACTTGAACGTGGGAGGTGGAGGTTGCAGTGAGCCAGGTTCATGCCACTGCATTCTAGCCTGGGTGACAGAGCAAGACTCTGCCACACACACAAAAAAACTATGAGAGGAGAAAAAGCAGTCTTTTTTAAAAAGTCCTCTTCTGATTAAGTTAAGCAGATATTTATAAATACTAAATTACATAGAGGGTCCATGAGCTTGAATAATCTTAACTCCAAAAGTGGGAATTCTGAAAATGGAGGAGAGATTCTGCCAAGAGAGAGGAGAGAGAACATTATTATAAGCTCACTGCTAACTTCAATTACTTTTTTTTTTTAACCAAATAGCAGGACCAGAGAGGGATGCCTACATTCAGAGAGAAGCAACAACCTATACGTATATATAAAAATGCAGTCACGTATCACTTAATGACAAGGATATGTTCTGAGAAATGCCTCATTAGGTGATTTGGTTGTTGTGCAAATGTCATAGAGTTAACTTACACAAACCTAGATCATATAGCCTACTACACATCTAGGCTATCTGGTATAGCCTATTGCTCCTAGATTACAAACCTATACAACATCTATACTATACTGAATACTGTAGGCAATTGTAACACAAGGGTATTTGTGTATCTAAACATATGTAAACATACAAAAGGTACAGTAAAAATACAATGTTATAATCTTGTGGAACCACTGTAGTTTAAATGGCCCATCATTGACTGAAATGGCATTATGTGGTGCATGATTGTATGTGATATTACTATAAACAATAAGAAGAGGAAGAACTGACCAAAGCTGAGAGAAAAAAGAATAAAGAAATGGGATTTAAGAAGTGGACATGAGATTGGGGGAGGGGGGAGGGATACCATTAGGAGATATACCTAATGCTAAATGACAAGTTAATGGGTGCAGCACACCAACATGGCACATATATACATATATAAACCTGCACGTTGTGCACGTGTACCCTAAAACTTAAAGTATAATAATAATAAAATTAAAAAAAGAATTGGACATGAGAAGGCTATTTATTGTTATTTTAAGATGATACAGTAGGCCAAATCATGACCTCCTAAGATTTCCATGTCCTATCTCCGGAACCTTTCATGGTAAAGGGGATTTTGTATATATGATTAAATTAAGGATCAAGAGATGTGGAGATTATCTTGAATTACCCAGGTAGGCCTAATATAATCACAGAAGTCCTTGTAAGAGGGAGGCAGTGGAGTTACGATTTAAGTGTAAAGTAGAGAGAAGATATAAATATGGAAATGGAGGTCTGAGAGAAGGGAAGATGGTATACTGCTAACTTTGAAGATGGAGGAAGAAGCTGCAAGCAAAAGAATGTAGGTGGTTTCTAAAAGCTGGAAAAGACAAGGAACCTTAATTTTCCCTAGAGCCACTAAAAGAAATGCAGCCTCATGGATCAATTTTAGACTTCTGACCTCTAAAACTGCAAAATAATGTATGTTGCTTTAATACTAAGTTTATGATGATTTATTATAGCAGCAATAGGAAACCAATGCAGATATGTTTATATATGTCTGGAAAGGATAAGATTATTAATATTAAAAATCTCTTAGAGATAAAACTATTCAATAAGATATCTACTTATACATTATATGCAGAAATCAATAGCTTTCTTTGTATACAAAAAAGAGCCAGTTAGAGAACATAGTGAAACAACAGATCTGATTATTTTATCCACAAAAAAATATAAAGTCCCTTGGAATAAGCAGACTGGAAACGGGAAAACTACACAGTTCTCAATACTGGCTGCATATTATCATTATCTGGGAGAAGTAAAAATCCTAATGCTCAGACTGCCCCTTGCAGACAAAGTTAATCAGAATTTCTAGGAGAAATCCTTGCTATGTGTGTTCTTAAAGCCCCCCAGGAATTTCAATGTGTAGCCAGGTGTGAGAACCATTGGTAAACTGTATTTTGGATGGGCGGGGGGCAGGAGGTGAATGTAGAGTTACAGTAAATTGGGAAAGGATAAACAAGCCCATACCTGAGGATTGAGCACCTGGAATGGGATGCTGATTACAGCAATAGAAGGGCACTTTGCAGAAAACACTGAAAAGACTTAGCAACAAATTGAATGTGGAAAATGAAGAAGAAGGCTAATTTGATGATTTTTCAAAGGTTGCAAAACTGACAGAATGTTGATGTCACTGACTAATTCAAAGTATGTAGGGGAATAGATATCCAGATTGAAGGAAGAGAAAACATTGATGTGTTGAAATTGATGTGATGGTGAGGAAAACATGTGCATCCTTTAAGCAATTATTGTAGGTATTTGCAATCTTAGGAAAATTGACTTCACCGGAGACAAAAATCTTGGCATCAAAAGCCCAGAGATAAAAGAGTGAGAGACAAAAAAACAGCCTCACAAAAATGACTATAGTCTAAATGTTTGTGTTTCCCTAAAATTCATATATTGAAATCTTAATCCACAAAGTGATGGTATTGGGAGGTGGAGCCTTTGGGAGGTGAGTAGGTCATGAGGGTGGAATCTTCTTGAATGTGATTAGTCCCCTTATAAAAGAGGCTCCAGTGAGAACGTTGCTTCTTCCAACCATGTGAAGTTACAACAAAAGGACTGCCATCTAGGAAGTGAGCGCTCGACAGACACCAAATCTGTTGGCACTTCAATGTTTGACTTCCCAGCACCTGGAATGGTAAGAAATACATTTCTGTTGTTTGTAAGCCACCAGTCAATGAAATTTTGTTATAGCACTTCAAGGCAAACAAAGACAGAAAGTCTCTAAGAAAAAAAAGAGGGAGCAGGGACCAAAAGAGAAAAATAAGTTAAAATGGTAGGATATATGTTACTGTTACACAGAGTGGCTATAACTGAGAGAAAATATAATTTCGGAAAGAGGTGTTCTGAAGCCTCAAAAACAGAATTATAAAAAACAATTAAGAAAGAAAAGAGGTTTGAGAAAAGCTGTTGGGTTTACCACTAGCAAAGCTATAAGGCAATTAACCAGAAAACCAAGTTAAGTAACATTAAATATAGACAAGAATATGAAATCTTGTTTATCCATGGAAGGTAAAGAGCATATTTGGAAGTATTGGTGATATTCACCAATTGAATCTAAGAGAAATGAATGCTTTTTCCTAATTGACCAGTTAATTCAATAAATATGTGTTGAGCATGAAACATAGTGCTTAGTGTTATGGAAAATGCTGAAATTTCAAAGCTTCATTCAGGTTGCCATAGAGATTTTATAGTTTGGAACATGTTGCTTTAGTTGCTTTGATGGATATTTTGGTGGCTGTGTAGGTCACTAGTGACTTTGAATAAATGTCAGTGGGGAAGTGCCGGCATGCGTCGAAAGCCCAAATGTAATCAAAATTCTAAGTGTCATACTGTTGCATCCTAAAACTGCCTCAAAACATGCAATATTTATTTTCTTTGGTACAATGACTTTTTGGCTATACTGTAAAAATGCACTTTAAATATTCCTAAATATGTTTACTGTGGGCATGTCCAGCAAATCTACACTCATGGCAGACACAATTAGGGCTAGAAATATTAGATGACTTGACTAGAATAAAATAGCATTTGGGAAGTGAAAGATCAGATTCCCAAACCTTTTAATTTGCATCAAAATGATCCTTCTATTATGGTAATGTATAGATACATAATAATAAGATTTGTCAAAATCTGTATTGCCTCAAACCCAGTAGAAGCTTATTTTTCCCTCATGAAGCAGGCCATGGTATGTATGCTAGGTCATAGGAAACTCTTCTCACATGGTGATTCAGGGACCCAGGCTCCTTCCATATTGTGGCTACCCCATTTGGCAGGTCCCATGGCAATATTATCTTCTGCATTCAGTTAATGGAAGGGGAAAGGAAGTGGTAAAAATGCATCTGAACGTCTGAAAAGCCTTGTCTTGCAGGTGATACAAATCAGTTCTTATAGTCCTTTGGTAAGAATTGCTCATATGGCTACGTCACATCTCACTGCAAAGTGAGCTGTGTAAAAGAATGAATTTTATGAACAGAGAAAGTCTCTCCTATACTTTACATATGAGATTTTTAAAGTCAATATTTGAATTCAGTATTTTAATAGTAATGCTGAGTTGATACATCAGGAAGCTGGTTGCTAAGGGAGATTGCTGCATGATAACTAAGTCCCTTTGATTATTTGGTTTCTGCAAATATACTGCAAGCAGATGATTTTTAGTGGTAATTCTAACCTACTATTTAATTTATTGAAATGCACAATTTCTTACTGTCTTTCGAATGCAGTGTACAAACATAGTCACAGAAATTCTCCAACTGTCACATCACTACTATGATTTTTTTGTCATGTCCTAACCTTTTCCCTGGCCTGTAAATGCTTTACCATGCAAGAGAGAGATTTTTGTTGTTGTTGAAGAGTTTTTATTTAAGTAAGTTTCATTAACAATAGCAAAAATATATCTCTCTCCGAGTTTGTTTTGGATAGGGGAAAACCAGTATAGATTTTCTACAGCTGGTAAAATACAGGTCTGAAGGACAAGCAGCAGAGACCAGGTAATGGTTTAGGCTGTTGAGCAAGAAGTCATATTTTGCTGTTATTGGCTCAGGATGCTTGGCTCTACAGTCCTGTGTAGTGACATGGTAGATGCCAATTTTAATAAGGAGAAAGAGAGACAAGTAGTGCTGATATGCAAATATCTGAAGCATTCTAGTGGAGCTGCTGATTAAATTGCTTATTATGCTGAAAACTCAAACAGAAGTAAAGAAGGAAGCAGGAATCTATTCCCCAAAGCAGGTCTGATCATAGACTTATATGCTGCAGGTAGAATATAAATCCTGAGTGTTTTCTCTAAGCAAGAGTAAAAACTGCTGGTGTTTTTCTCTGCATGTCAGCAGCCGCAGAGTGAGGGTGGATGGGCTCATGGTTGCTCCCTCTAGGTCAAAAATTCATTATTACTCCCCTTTTTATTGCATCTATGCTGATGTATTTAATTTGGCAGAATGAAATGAGATGAAAGGAAAATAGAAATTGTGATAAAAATAATCTGGTATTTCATGAGAGCCTTTATTTTCAGAGAATTATAGTCCCTTAGGAACTCTGAACTTCATTGCTTCTCTCTCAGCCAGAGAATTTCAGACTGTGAAGGCTGAAAAAGGAAATATTTTGTGCTCATCCTTTGACCTGCTAGATTTCTTATCCATAAAATGAAAATATTAGTGTTAAGAAAACTTATAGAGGAGGATTATAATAAAGAATTAGGATGCGCAATATTGAATTCCCAGGCATAAGGTAGAACCTGAGGCCAGCTAAACTGTGATTTCTTTTGTTTTTTTTTCCAAAAGTTCTTTTACTTCTCCTTAACATTATGCATTTCATTTTGTTTTAGCATGTATGCCAGTCATCCGCTTCTTGTCTCTTACTCCAAATACACCTTTCTTTGTCATTCTTAGTAGTGTTGGAGCTGGGCCCAATAAGCATTTCTCTTTAGCCAACTGGAGCTATGCTAGCTTTCCTCAGCTGAGTACACTGAAGGTATGCTGCAAGATAAAGGGCCTTATTTTCCTGATTCTGAGGCTTTTCTCTTTATTCCTATAGCGTGACAGCTGGTGAGCAGCTTCACAGTGAATCTCACCACCACCCCAGTGGGTGGGCTTCCCAGGAGGCCTTACTGATACCCAAGCAGG
This sequence comes from Homo sapiens, assembly GCF_000001405.40. Taxonomy (NCBI): domain Eukaryota; kingdom Metazoa; phylum Chordata; class Mammalia; order Primates; family Hominidae; genus Homo; species Homo sapiens. The sequence continues at coordinate 54,626,347 of NC_000017.11, read as the reverse complement.
CATTTCCTGCTTGCTAACTTCCACTGGTGGCACTTTGGAAAGCTTCTTTCTTGCCTGTCCAATGAGCCACAGCCACAACCTCTTCAGTGAGATCTGAATCTCAGCCTCAGGGGAGGAGAATCTTGTCAAGTTTGTCCCTTCCTTGAGTACTCACTCTCAGCCCTAGAGGGAGTGACTTTTTCCCACATTTGCTATTCATGTATCTTTAGAATTCTCTTTAGCATTCTTGATAGTCAATCTCATTTTACTAGATAACAGTTCTTTATATATTTTTCTTACGCAAATTACTGATATGGTTTGTCTCCCACTGAACCTTGACAGATCATAAGAGTGTTTCCAATTTCTTTTGTGATTAGGGTTGTCCTAGCAGGAATTTTTAGATGTGCTTATGGGTATTGGGAAAAGTACATATAGTTAGTTCTAAATTATATCTGATCGCCAAGATGCCAGGGGTTCCTGGGTCTGGTGGCAGAAACTTTTGACACCAATAAATGAGGGTTTATATATTTTAAGATATCAATAAACTATAATGAGGAGGTTAAAAACAACAACATTGGATAAGGTACCAGGGGAAATCTTGTATTTCTAAGTTTATATTTCTCTACTCTCTTGGCAAATGGCCCTGCAGCTCTATATGGCATGATCCTACAGCGACAGGAAGAAGGTGATCTGGGGATGGTGAAAGATGCTGCAATGAATATACTTCACTCATTCTTTTTGAGTTGGGCTTATTTGTCCTCCTGACTACTTCCATTAAACTTATTTATGCCCAGTGTTCCACTATTGGAACTCTAAGCATGTGGGAGTTATTTATATCCTACTGCTCAAGGTAATTGCCAAGGTCTGATTTCAAAATTCAGTAATTGCAACCTCAGGCATAAATGGGTTAAACTGATGGACACTCCTACGGATATGAAATATGAAAGTGTTCTCTGTCTTTACTGTTGATCTTGATGATACCTAGGTGAGTCATATTATATAACTTGTCCTCCAGATTGAGCATTACAATTAATATAATATTATATATAAAATTTATATTGGAGTGATTTTTGTAAATAATGAGACATAGATGCCTTCTGTATCTTCTGAGTATTGCAAGTAAAAACAGAATAAATTTACTAAGACATGTATAGGGTGTTTATGAGGAAACTATAAAACTAGACTGAAGAACTATATTAGTTATCTATTTCTGCAAAAAATATTACTCCAAATTTTAGCAGATTCAATATGTAACTATTATATATCATCTAACACATTTTCTGAGGACCAGGAATTTAGGCAAAGCTCAGCTGGGTGTTTCTGGCTTGGGAGTTCTTACTAGGTTACAGTTAAGATGTTGTGTAGGGTCACAATTGCCTAACGGCTTGATTGGGGCTAAAATATGTGATTTTAAGATGGCTCACTTACCTGGCTGGCAAGTTGCCTTGGCTGTTTAGTGGAGGCTGCAGTTCCTCATTAACTGGACTTCTCCATAGGGCTACTGGAGCATCCTCACAACATGACGACTGGCTTCACCCCAGAGTGACTAATCCAAAAGCTAGCAAGGACAAAGCCTTAGAAATCACATATTGTTACTTCTGCTGTATTCTGAGGGTTACTCAGAGCAACCCTGATAAAATGTAGGAGAGGAATACATGAGGACATTGATACCAGGATGTGAGGATCACTGGGGATCGTCTTGGAGGTTGGCTACCACCAGTGCTTAAATATGAGTTCACTAAATTAAGAAAAGTAGATGTTTCAGGATGGGAAGACCAATACTTCATAAAATATTAATTCTCCCCAAAGTATATATATTAATACTATTCAATGCTGTTCCTATAATGTTAATAAGTTATTTTTAGGTCAAGGACTTTGACAAGTTGGCTGTTTTTAAATAAAGTATGATAAATGCATTAGACACATGAAGATATTTTCAAATTTTGACAAAAGATAATTAAGTGGGCATTTGCCCTATTTGCTATTTTTTTTTTTTCCTGAGACAGAGTCTTACTCTGTCGCCCAGGCTGGAGTGCAGTGGTGTGATTTCGGCTCACTGCAACCTTTGCCTCCCGGGTTCACACCATTCTCCTGCCTCAGCCTCCTGAGTAGCTGGGACTACAGGCGCCCGCCACCACACCCGGCTAATTTTTTGTATTTTTTTTTAATTGAGACGGGGTTTCACCATGTTAGCCAGGATGGTCTCAATCTCCTAACCTTGTGATCCACCCGCCTCGGCCTCCCAAAGTGGTCCTAATTTGCTATAAGTGGAATCCTTATAAGAAGGGAAAATTTGGACACAGAGAATCATGCTGGGAGAACGCCATATGAACATGAAGACAAGCCAAGGAAAGAAGCCCAAAGCAGATTCCTCCTCACAACCCTTGGAAAGAACCAACCCTGCCGGTATCCAATCTCTGGCTGCTAACTTCCAGAATTTTGTGACAATAATTTTCCGGTGTTTAAGCCACCCAGTTTGTTATGGTTCCCCTAGCAACTAATGTAAACTTAAAACCAGCATCGTTTTCCTGTTCTCTCAAGCTGTTGCTGGATCTGTTTAGGAAGTTTTCCTGGAGCCAGATGCTTGGGTTCAAATCCAGATATGCAGTTTACTAACAGCATGAATTTGGGCAATTCATTAACCTTTAGAACCTTCAATTTTTCTGGTCTTTACACTGAAAATAATAAGATTAATATTTCATAAGGTTGTTTGAGGAAAAATTAGCTTAACTTTCCAAAGTATTAAGAAAGAAATTACCTGACATATAATTAGCATTGTATTTCATTTGTTAATAAATGATAAATAAAACCTTATAATTTGGTTAGTAAAAGAAAATATTACTCTATACATGTATAATTTTTTCAAACAAATTTAAGTGGATGCCTGTTTCACATTGCACATACTTCTATAAACAAAACCAATTTCCAGGTGGAATAAACATGTGATATTTAAAATAAATAGACAATTCCATTCATACAGTTCCATTCTTTCATAAATCACATATGTTTATAAAATGTGTATAAAGTGCAAATGTATGGATGCGAAACACTAGAGGTAATATAGTCTAATATAGTCAGGAGTATGTTAAAGGAGAGACTGGCTAGATGCACATTAGTCCTGTTTCTTTTTCTTTTTTTTTTTTTGGTAATGCAGGAAATCTAAATTTCTTACCCTTCTTTCTGTGTGGGTGGGATCTTGTGACTACTCTAAGTAATGGGATCTGGGAAGAAGTGATAAAGACCATTTAAAGACCTGGCCATATAACGCCTGTATAGCTTTTCATACTGTCTTATTCCCCTATCCACAAGCCTACAAGCAAAGGATTCTGAGAGGGCAAGGCCACACGATGAGTAACCACTGCAAGCAGAGCCACCTGGAAGAAATATCTTGTTCTGTAACATGAACAAGGAATAAACTAATTCTGGAAAGCCACAGGTATTTTGAGGTTATTTGGAATAGCAACTAGCATTACATGTCCTAATGAATGCTGGAGGACTGCATTCATATAGAATGAAAAAAGTGTTGCTTTTTAGAACCAATCTTTGTAAAGGAAAAACAATGTAGGTAATAATTAATTGCACAGACCCTACTGCAAGAGTAAAGATAGCTATACGTTTGGAATTGACCTTGGCTAGTAGAGACTATAAACGTATAATAATCAGAAATGGATGTTTATGACCTAATATGTGACTGTCTGAATTCATCACTGGCAAAACAGTTTAGGGACAGCAGTGCAACATAAGCAACTCCAGCTTGAATAAAATCAAGCCTGTCTGTGATCTTAGTTGAGAAAGACTCGAAATAAGAAACCATCAAAGGATAAATTGTGAGATTTTACTATAGAATTTTTAAAAAGCCTTCCTCACAAAATCATAGTATCAAATAATTGACAAATTGGGAAAACATTTGCATAATATATAACTAAGGTTGCTATCCTTAGTAAGTAAAAATGTGTAAATCACTAAGAAAACAATATCCTAATGGAAAAACTGATAAAAAAACAAGAACAAATATTTAACACACACCCAAGCACAAAAATTCTGTTGGCCAACAAATATGGGATAAGATGTTTACTTGCACTTATTAACAAAGAAATATCAGTTGAAACAACAATAAAATGTAATGTTTTAGGACTAAAAATTAAAGTGAATAGAGCTCAGTGTTGACGTGGATGTTGGGAAGTAGGCACTCTCATATAACCTTTTTTATGGGGGAATTGTAACTGTTTTTGGAGGACAATTTGCACCTACGTTTTGATCTCAGTTTTACTTCTATCATTTACATATTCTACAAGACCAGGTAATTTTGTGTAGAGTTGTCTATAATAGTGAAAATTGAAAACAGTTTAAATGCCCCAGATCAGGTGATCAAAATAAGTAATGGTGGATTTTTACAATTGACTGTTATTCAGGTGTTAAACTAAATAAGGTAGATATTTGTGACCTAATGTAGAAATAGTTCTGTAATATATTATTTATGGTTGGGAGGTGGGCACAAGGAGGCTATATAACACTTTAGAAATATATGTGTATAAATATATACATGCATATATGTATATGTACACGTATGTGTGTGTGTGTGTATGTATTTTTTCCAAGCTTCACATCCTTTTTTTTTCAGTTACTTTGCACTAACATTTTAGAAAAAATAACTTTTATCTTGCATTCCCTCCTCAGTATTTATCCTGCTTCTCTGCTAATACCTGCTTCTTTCAAATATACTTTGAGTTATTATCTCCATTTAGAAATCTCTATCTTTTTCCAATATGATATTGCCACTGTCACATGCTGGCCTCAACAGAGGGGTAAAATAGGAAAGGAACATTAAGCGCTCCTTGCCAAGAACAAGACTGTTAAAAGAAACTCAAAGAAGAAAATCAAGATTTGATGTCAAAGTAGAGAAAGGGTTTAGTGTATACTCATCACGTTGTATGTTGAACAGAACAAGGAAAGACGTATTTGTTGTGGATAAACTGGCCTGAAATGTCTTTCCTATGGAAGAAGGAAGAGAGAGCTATGGACTCGGTCTTTCACCTGAGGTATCTTCAGCTTCTCTCACTGATTTGATTCCAGCATCTCCTTCCCTCTACTAAAATCTACTTTGACTCTTGACAAGGATGTCATTTAGTGGAGGGGTTACAAACTTGTTCTGACAGATTTTAGAGTTAACAGTGCTGTTAAAATAGCTGTCAAAGTAAACCCTGCCAGAATTCATGGCACTTATGAAATAAAGAGAGTCATTTGTTCAAAATCTTATTATCCCAAGAGCATGTATATTAGGAAAGGAAGATGAGGTGCTGCTTAGTGTACCTTGTGACTAAGTATATCTCTTCTCCTAATTCTAACACATGGACATAAGAGAGTGCTTAGCTTTCTATTGAAATGGGCGGTAAGATGTTTTTTGATGAAGGAAAATAAGGAATAAGATATTTTTTGTCTCCTCACCTTTTCCTTATCCCACGCCACACAAATACCTTCAGAGAGCACCATAATGCTTTTGCAAAACTGAGGCAACTCCCAGGCTTGGCTTTGGAATTAAACTAAATGTGACTCAGTGGTTAGGGTTGTACTGCCTCCTTAGGGTGCATTGATGGAAAGGGCAATCATGCAATACAGGATGCTGTCGGGTAATGCTTTTCAATCACTGGAGCTGTTCTATGATAAATATTGTATTCAGCAGTATGTATTATGCATGCTTTTTGCAAAATGTCTGCAAACTAATCTCTGGCAAGCACAGATGACAGAAAATACTTAATGCAGGGCACTGGCAGCTTGTAGACATGCTGGAATTCAGTGCAGGCAGAAACTCTCTTACAGACAGGGAGATAAAGGCCTTCACAAATGGGATAATGATAGTTTTTAGTGCCAAGTGCATTTTCATTTATCTAAGGACTTCAAAATGCTTCCTAAATGTTTTCCTATTCTTCAGTATGTAAATTAGTAAAATGGAGCAGAGAGAGATTAAGTAATTTTCTACCACCTTCTAGCAAATCTAATATAGGAGAGAGTTCTGACATTACATTTATGAAACTCCCCAGTGAGCACCTGGCAATTTTTGACTCCCCACACATCAAGGAAGTTAGGGTGATGCTTTAGTGCTGATTGTAAGTGTCAAGATGTTTGTAGGTGTTGATTTGAAATGGTCTAGATGACATAGAATATTGTAGAAGACATGCCCTGAGCAATAAAATTGAAATGAAATGTGTTTACATGAGAATTAGGGGGCTCAGCATGGATGGAGAGAGGCTGAAACTCCTTCATAGCCTGGGTCCTACAGGTCTAATGTATTATAGCTTTTAGTCTACAACCAAAGGGAAGCCAAGAACTGAACAGGGAGAATTCAGAGGTTTATACCCTCCATGTATCTGAAAACAATTGAAAAATAACATAAATACCATCAATTCGAGGGCTAGAAGTAACCCTGGATATTGTCTCCATTACCTGCTGCCTTATTTTACAAATGAAGAAATAGAAGCCTCATGAGCCATAGTGATAAAATGACTTGATCAACATTATACTCTGAGTTAGTGAGGAACCAGAAAAAGAAACCAATCCAGTTGTGTCTCTCTACTGCTTGGAGTTAAGGAGTCTAGACTATTTGTAAATCAATTATTTCTTGGAAATGTAGGAAGGAGGTACCAAAGCTATTATTCCTTCAATTATTCTCTCAGCCCTATTCTCTTTCTCTCTTCCTTCTGGATGTCTAATGATATAAACATTGACTTTCTTGTTATTGTCCCACAAGTTTCTGAAGTTCTATTTATTCTTTTCCTCAGTCTACTTTCTTGGTTGTTCATATTGGGTAAACTCTTTCATCTGCCCTCAATTCACTGATTCTATCCTCCATTATCTCCACTATACTATTTAGCTCACTCACTGAATTTTTTTTCTGTTATTATAGTTTTATGGTTCTACAACTTGCATTTGATTCTTTTTTATGATTCTTATTATGTGTTGTTATATGCTATTTTAAAATTTACTTCAAAAGAATTTGTAATTATTTGTTGAAGCATTTTTATGATTGCTGCTTTAAAATTCCCATCACGTTGTGCCAACATCTGATTCAACTTATGTTTACATCAGTTGATTATCTTTTCTCATTCAAGTTGTGATTTTCCTGATTCTTGGTATGATGAGTTATTATCTATTGTATTCCATACATTTTATCTATTATGTTAGGACACTCTGGGTCCTATTTAAATATCCTACTTTAGCAGGTGATCACTCTGTTTAGATTAGCATGCAAAATGTGGCCTACCTTTGCAGGCTGTAGTTTCAATGAGAGTTTAATTTTTAGTCTTTGCAATGTTGTTTTGGTCTATCTGATTTATCTGGTGCCATTGGGTCTCCCACTAGTCCCTACTGGTGCTGTCTAAGGGGGCAGACAGAATTTCTCTGGGCTGGGCCACCTCGGTGGCCCTTAGTTAAGAATGGGAGGCTCAGGCCAGCAGGGATAAAGGGGATTCCTGGGTCCGACAATTTATGACAGGGACCAAGCATTGGGGAAGGAGGATACTTCCATGGCTGCTGCTTATTAATGGGGCTTCCCATCCATTCTCCTCACCAGTGGTGCCAGGCTCTCCTGATGTTATCACAGGAACTCCCATTCCATCCTGGAAAATAATTCAGCCTGTCTGGGCTGCCCTTGGTTGCTAGGTCAGAGGTCAAGAAACAGCAGGCCTAGGGTGCTTTCTTTGGTCGGGTCATGGTGATGGGGTATAGTAAGATGTCCTGTTGCTGTGCTCTTCTTTCAATGCAGAGGCCCTAGACCAGTTTGCCTTCCTCTTACTACCTTTAAGAGTTCTCCTTTGGCTGTCTTTAGCTTCATCTTCATTTCCAGGAATTATACTTGTTTTTTTTTTCCTTTTTAAAATGTTTTATTCATTCTTTTTTATTTTATTTTATTATTATTATACTTTAAGTTTTAGGGTACATGTATTTAGTGTATGTGTGGGGGGAATAAGTCTTTGCCATTGCATCTGCATCAGAAGTCCTCTAATTGCAGCCAGGAGTGGTGGCTCATGCCTATAATCCCGGCACACTGAGAGGCCGAAGTGGGTGAATTGCTTGAGTCCAGGAGTTCAAGACCAGCCTGGGCAACATGGTGAAACCCTATCTCTACAAAAATACAAAAATTAGCCAGGCATGGGGGTGCATGCCTGTAATCCCAGCTACTTGGGAGGCTGAGGTAGGAGGATCACTTAAGCCCAGGAGATGGAGACTGCAGTGAGCTGAGATTGCACCACCGCACTCCAGCCCGGGTGACAGAGTGAGATCCTGTCTCAATAAAAAAAAAGTCTCTTATTTTCATTTTTATTACCATTTTATTCTTACTGGTGGTGTGTGTGTGTGTGTGTGTGTGTGTGTGTGTGTAAACTGGCAACCAAAAGATGGGAAGGTTTGATCTCTCAAACATGGGTATAGTTCTATTTACCTTTTATTCTATCAGAATCTCAGAAGTTCCCTGGTAAGCCCTATTATGTTTCCTACAGTGAGCCCGAAAGGCTTGAACTAACTAACTCCTTGCTCTTGGAATGGGGGTTGTGTAGGGGTGACAACCACACAATGCAACATTGGCTTTTTAAGAATGTATTATGACTTCAGAGACTTTTGAATACAGACATCAAAGCAGCTGAGAAATAAAAGCATAGTGTTTCCTTATAAAAAGAACTCTGTTTTTCTTATATAAAGACATTTGATCATTTAAATTTTTAACTTTAAAAATCTTAAAAGTTTTATTTTCAAGCTTTATTGAGTTTGTTTTTCTTTTTTCCCTTTCTTTTTTTTAAATCTTTTTTTTTTTTTTTTGAGACAGGGTCTGGCTCTGTTGCCCAGGCTGGAGTACAATGGTGCAAACTCGGCTTGCTGCAGCCTTCATCTCCTGGGCTCAAGTGATCCTTCCATCTCAGCCGCCTCAGAAGCTGGGGCTACAGGCACATGCCACTACACCTAGCTATTTTTTGTATATTTGTAGAGATGGGGTTTTACCATGTTGCCCAGGCTGGTCTTGAATTCCTGGGCTCAAGCAATCCACCTGCCTCAGCCTCCCAAAGTGCTGGGATTGCAGGTGTAAACCACCATACCCAGCCTGTTGAAGTATAATTTAACACTGAAAAGTTGTATGTATTTAAGGTGTACAATGTAATGTTTTGATATATGTGCACACTACAAAATGATTACCACAATCAAGCTAATTAATATATCTATATCCTCACATAAATTCCATTTTGTATGTATGGTGAGAACATTTAAGATCTACTCTCTTTGGTTAAATTTCAAGTATACAATGCCTGAAAATATGTAGTAACCATGCTATACATTAGACCTCTAAAACTTATTCATCTCATATGACTGAAACTCTACAATCTTTCTTGACCACATCTTCATATTTTCCTCATCCTTTTTCCCCCAGTAAACACCATTCTACTGTCTGCTTTTATGAGTTCGAATGTTTAGATTCCTTTATAGATTTCAGTGTATAGACTGTTCACCTTCTTGGTTAAATTTATTCCTACATATATTTACTCTTTTTGATACTATTGTTACAGGATCCTTGGGGTGTCGCTTTTCTGACTGGAAACCTCTGTGGCCAGTGGTGCCTTTGCCCAAGGTCTGCTCAGGTACGCTGGGCTCACTCTGCCCACCCAGCCTGGCAGGCTGCACTTGGCTCACACTACCGGCCTGGATCCCACACCTGCCAAAGGCGCGTCAGGCGTGGAGTGGTGAGGGGTGTGTGAGTGAGCATGGGGTCTGGCCACTGCACACAGTCAGATTCGATGGCTGCTGCAGGGGGGTTGGTGGCTCAAGTGCCAGCATGGGTACCGACTCTCTGTGAGGCTGCGGCTGTACCAAGTTCACTGCAAGCAGCTTCCATGGCTGGCGTCAGGGAATACGGTAGCACCTGGAAGCTTGGAGATGCCAGGAACTGCTGGGCCCCAAAAAGGGAGTCACAGCCCTGGCTCGTCTGGGTTCTCTGAAGGGCTGCAGCTCTTCTCTCCTTCTCTTCTCCCACAATGTGACAAGAAAGGGGCATGTTTCAGCCCTGTTTGTGTTACAGCTCTTTTAGCCTCACCATTTGGCAGGTCCTAAGTTCTTGTCCTGCAAGAATGTGGTACGCAGACACATGGAGGGTGAGCAAGATGAAGAGATTTATTGGGCAATAGAACAGCTTAGAGGAGACCCACGGTGGGCAGCTCCTTTCCACAGCCAGGGCATCCCAACAAGTATTCGGCTCTCATCAGAGACGTTATTTATTTGTCTTATTATATCAGTTGGGACTTTCTTTTTTTAATTTCAACTTTCATTTTAAATACCATGGGTACATGTGCAGGTTTGTTACATGGGTATATTGCGTGATGTTGATCTATGGTGGATTGGATAAAGAAAATGTGGTATATATACACCATTGAATACTATGCAGCCATAAAAAGGGATGAAATCATGTCCTTTGCAACAGCATGGATGCAACTGGAGGCCATCATCTTAAGCAAATTAATGCAGGGACAGAAAACCAAATGCAGCTTGTTTTCACTTACAAGTGAGAGATAAACATTAAGCACACATGTATGGAAACATAAGACCAATAGACACTGAGGACTTACTAGACAGGGGAGAGAGAGAAAGGGATATGAGTTGATAAACTACATACTGGGTACTATGCTCACTACCAGGATGATGGGATCTGTACCCCAAACCTCAGCATCATGCAACATACCTATATAGAACTGCTTTTGATGTATTCCATAAGTTTTGGTATGTTGTGTTTTCATTTTTGTTTTTCTCAAAATATTTTTTGATTTCTTATTGCACCCATTAGTTGTTCAGGAGTGTGTTTAAGTTCCACATATTTGTAAATTTCCCCTTATTGTTGATTTCTGGTTTCATACCACTGTGATTGGAAAAGATACTTGATATGATTTCCATCTTCACAAATTTGTTACGATGCATTTTGTGGCCTAATATATAATATATCTTGAAGATTGTTCCATATGTGCTTGAAAAGAATGAGTTCTGCTGCTGTTGGTGGAATGTTCTGTATATATCTATTAGGTAAATTTGATCTATAGTGTTGTTCAAGTCCACTTTTTCCTTATTGATTTTCTGTCTGCACAATCTGTCCATTGTTAAAAGTAGAGTTTTTAAATCTTCCACTATCATTGTATTTTCCCTTCGGTCTATTAATATTTGCTTTTTATATTTAGGTATTCCAATATTGGATGCATATATATTTATAATTTACAGGGTGGACCTGTTATATCCTCTTGATGAATTGATCCCTTTATCATTATATAATGACCTTTTTTGTCTCCTGTGACAATTTTTTACTTAAGATCTATTTTGTGTTGTATATATATAGCCACCCCATTCTTTTTTGGTTACATTTGCATAGAATATATTTTTATCACTTTACTTTTGTGCCTATATATATATCTTTAAAGCTAAGGTGAAACTCTTGTGTGAAACATAGTTGGATCTTGTTTTTTTTCCCATCAATGTAGCCACTACATATCCTTCAATTAGAGAATTTAATCCATTTACATTTAAAGTAATTATTGATAGTCATGAACTTACTAGTGCCATTTTGTTGTTTTCTGACTGTTTTGTAGCTCCTGTATTCCTTTATTTCTCTTGCTGTTCTCTTTTGTGATTTTATTATTTTTTCTAGTGGTATGTGTTGATTCCATTTTCCTTTTCTTTTCTGTATCTAAGTTTTCTTCTTGTGGTTACCATGTGGCTTATATAAAACATCTTATATTTATAGCATCTATTTTAAGCTAACAACTTTGCATGCAAACACTGTACATTTTAACTTTTCTTTTTCTCACATTTTATGTTACTAGTGTCACAATTTATGTCTTTTTATGTTGTGCATCCATTAACAAATTACTATAGGTATAGTAATTAGTTAAAACTAATTAATACTTTTTAACTTTTATTCTAGAGTTAAATATGATTTATGCATCACCATTACTGTATTACACTATTCAGAATTTGAATATTCTTAACCTTGCAGTCAGTTTTATACTTTTATGTATTTTTACATTGTTAGTGAGTGCTCTTTCATTTCAACTTCAAGAACTCCATTTAGAATTTCTTGTAGAGTAGGTCTAGTGGTGATTAACTTTTGTTTGTCTGGGAAACTCTTTATCTATTCTTTGTTTCACAGGACAGCTTTGCCAGGTATAGTATTCTTGGTTGGCATTTTTTTTTTCTTTTAGTACTTCAAATATAGTATCATACTCTCTTCTGCAAGGTTTCTGCTGGTAAATATGCCAGTAGTCTTATGTGGGTTCTGCGGTATGTAATAATTACTTTTCTCCTGCTATTTTCATAATTCTTTCTTCATCTTTGGCTTTTGAGATTTTGATTATAATGTAGTCTCTGTGAAGATCTCTATTTTAATCTATTTAGGTTTATTGAACTTCATGGCTTTGGATGTTTATTTCCTTCTCCATATTTAGAAGTTTTCTGTTGTTATTTTTTAAATAGTCTTTTACCCTTTTCTCTTCCTCTGCTTTTTCTGGGTCGTCCATAATGTGTATATTGGTTTGTTTGCTGCTGTCCCAGGAGTACCATAGGCTTTCATCACTTTTTAATTCTTTTTTTCTATTTGTTCCTCTGACTAGGTAATGTCAGATTACCTGTCTGTGAGATCATTGATTATTTCTTCTGCTGGAATGAGTCTGCTATTGAAGTTCTCTATGAAATTTTTCAGTTCAGTCGTTATGTATTTTAGCTCCAGAATTTCTATTTAGCCCTTTAAAAATATATAGTTGCTATCTCTTTTTTAGACTTCTTATTTTGTTTGTGTATTGTTTTCCTGATTTCATTTAGTTGTCTGTCTGTATGCTCTAACAGCTCACTGAGTTTCTTTAAGACAATTATTCTGAATACTTCATCAGGCAATTAGTACGTCTTTGTTTCTTTAGGGTCAGTCACTAATGTTTTATTCCTTTGGTGGTGTCATTTTTCCCTGATTACCTGTGATCCTTGTGACCTTGCATTGGTGTCTCTTCATTTAAACACATAGCTACCTACTTTAGTTTTTACAAATTGGCTTTGGCATGTAAAGCCCTTCACTAGTCACCCCATCCAGAGATGCCAGATGAGCTGCCTGGCAGGTTCTATGGGTGGGCTTGTCTGGTAACTGGCTAAGTAGGTGCGGGGGCCAAGAACCTGAGTTCATAGGAGCTAGCCTAGTGCCTGGGTCCACAGGAGCAGGAGTGGAGTCTGGGTCTGTGTGGGCAAGCCTGGTGCCTGGGTCTATGGGTCTGGGCCTGGATTTCTGGGGCTGTTGGGGTAGTCCTGGGTCTGACTTTGGAAACAGACCAGGATCCTGGTTCTTCAGGAGCCAGACTGGTGGTAGGGCAGGCCTGGACCATAATTCAATGGGGTCAGGCCTGTGTCCTTGGGGATGGGCCTGGATCCTGGGGCACAGGAGCTGGTTTGGCAGTGGAGTGGCCTAGAGCTTGAGTTTGCAATGGTAGGCCTGGGTTCTGAAGACACAGAAGTGGGCCTGGAGATTGGAACTAGGAAACTATTTGGCACTGGGGCAGGCCTGGAACCTGGGTCTATGGAGGCTGGCTTGGTCCTAAGCTTCACTGGGGTGGGTCTGGTGCTGGTGTCTATGGCAAAGTCAGATGTTCACTTCATTCTCCTGCCCACATGTGGAGGATCTCTCTCCATGCTGAGTGAGCTTGGGAGATAGCTGACATGGGCAATGTGAAACTCTCCTTCCTACCCTCTTTAATCTGTCTCTTAAAATTTTATGTGCTCCACCCAAGTACTAAAATATTTTACTTGGTTTTCTTAGCTCTTGTGAAGGTATTTTCATGTGTGAATAATTGTTCAGATTGATATTTCTGTGAGGGAACAAACACTGGAAACTACTATTCTTCAATCTCACTGACCTGATAATTTAAAAAATTGGTTTTCAATAACTGTTATGTGTCATCCAATGTTTCAAACAACAGTGAGTCAGCCAGAGAGTTAGACCCAGAGATGTTTCAACAGAGTACTTCATCCGAAAATCCAATAGTGAAGAATGGCATTTAGAAGAATGGTGTTTAGAAACTATGATCTGAATGATCACTATGCTCACTGATATTGGGTAGCAACAGGCTCTCTCAGTGGACAGAACTAGGGATACATACATACACACACGCATCAATCTACTTACCTACCTACCTACCTACCTACCTACCTACCTACCTATCTAAGCTAACTATCATCTATCTATCATTTATCTACCATTTATCTCTACATATGTATGTATAGACGTATCTGTCTATATATACACACACATCCTATATCACACATTTACATCTATATTTATTTGTCTATCTATTATCTATCTTTCTTTCTAGTGATCCATCCATCTATCTCAAAACCCATGAGTTCACACTGATATCTGCAATTCCAATCCAAATCAAATGCACAATGTGCATTCCAGTTTTCTCTCTTTCTATATTTATAACTCCCTTCTTTGGCAATGAGCAGTCTGGAACCCATTATATTTAATATATTTATTTATTTGATTAATTTCCTAATATCATGTTGTTGCTGCCTGCTACCATCCCTTCCTGATACACTGGATTGCCATTATTCTGCCCCCATGTGGATGCTTACTCTCTTTGCTGGGGTCCCAACACCTTCCTGCATGGCTACTTCTATCTCCTCATATGGATACTCTCTCTACCCACTTTGGCACCCCACACCAGGGTGCTCCCTCTGCCCCATGAAACAGGATGTCTACCTGCTGAACAATACCTAATGGCTTTTGGGCTGTGTTGTCCTGGAAGGAAAAGAAAGAGAAAGGAAGGTAAAGAAAAAGAGGAGAAGCTTTAAGTTTAATCTTAGTTTAAATCCCAATTTCAGTCCTAATTTCACTTTGATTTGTTACTACGAGACAAATATAAAAGGATTCATTATTTAAGTTTTGAAAATTCAATTTTCATGCTAGAAAAGCTAATCCTCTTTCAACCCTGTTAGATTTTTAAGAGCATTATGCTTTGTTTTTCCTTATTTTTTACTTCTTTATAAGAAATTTAGCCAGCACTGGATTCAGCCAAAGAGATTTTAGGTTGGTTTCTGCTGAGTTCTACTACTCCATAAGCTACATAATGGAAAAATTGTCTCATAAAATCAATGTCTGATAATAAGTCTAGAAATTCTCAATGAATAAAAAATTAATAGATACATAGTCTGTATCTGTAAATACATGGCTATTTGAAGTTTCTGATGTTTATGCAGGAATATTGAGTTTATTAACTATACCTTGCCAGCTTCGTTAATACTCTTAAAAGGATATAAGAATGCATATTACTTTATTCTCCTCTCCATTAAAAAAAATACCATTTTCTTTCTCTTTCTCACACTTATAAATTGTCTAATCCTAAGAAAGGAACTATCATATAACTGACTCTACCTTACCTTATGAAGTCATAAGGATTAATCCCATCATGATAATTTCCATCACTTTAGCAGTCCAAATCTCTTATCTATTACTCTGTTCAACTTCAATCTGAGTCAATCCTCCCGCCTTTCCTTACTCCACATTGAACAACCTAGAACTCATCAGCAAAACATTAGAGCCTCAATTTCTTACCTGAATATTTTCCTGATTTTTTTTGCTCTGACTAAAACCTAACTACATCTAAGGACCTTGCTTCCCTGAAATCCTGTGATTTTGCAGCTATTTTTTTTAATTCTCATATCCTGTGGTCAATGGAACTTGGAGGAAGGGGTAGCTGCCTGCTTTATGTCTCATGTACACATCTAGATTATTTTTCTTTTCCCAAACTGTCCTAAATTCTATTATTTTTTCCTAGCCAATTCACTGCTCTGAAGTGGCTATTCAAACCACCATTCTCCTTAAATTTGAAATTCTTCTGTCTCCTCTTCACTATTAACTGATGACCTTAATTATGCCACCGTCAAGATATAAAGCAGTCATGAGGAACTACCTCATTTACCATGTTTTTTCCTCTCTCCTTTTAAAGTGGCTACATTTCTCTTTGCTACCTGCTGCTATCTAAGACTGATCCTTCCACTTATACACTTACTGACATTCTTTCTCATTCAAGGACTTTCATCCTACGCTTAACCCCTCTTCCGAATCTCCCCTTTCCTCCAATTTACCTTACTGTAAGTGGTAGCTGGTGTCTACAATGGCCTCCAGTGTTTCCTGTCTCCTGGAATTCACACCTTTGTGTAGTCCCTTTCTACTTGGTATTAGAGTTTGTATGATCAGTATACTATGTCATAAATAACAATATGTTACTTTTACAATCAGGTTATAAAACACACTGAGGTTTCTGTCTTGGTTGATTTCTCCCTCTCTCTTTTCTGTCTCTGTCTCATCATTCACTCCAGAAGCCAGCTGCCATCCTGCTTGGTGAGGCCCACCTGGTGAGAAACTGAAGCATCTTGTCAGTAGCAATGTGAGTGAGCTTGGGAACAGATCTTCCATACCAGTCAAATCTTCAGATGACTGTAATCCCAGCCGACATTTTGACTGCAACTTTATGAGCTAGAACCGCACAGCTAAGCTGCTCTTAGATTTCTGACTCAGAAGCTGTGTGAGCATAAGTGCATTGTTATCAATTGCTAAGTTTTGAGATGATTTGTTGTAGATAAATAATATACCATAGAATCATGCTTGAGTTGCTCTTTTCAAAACCAGACCCTTCTTTAATTCCGTGTATCCCATCAGCTCCTGTCACATTTCCCTTTTCCTTTTTAAAACATTTCCATTTCTTACTTTGCTGTATTTTTTCAGTCCATTTCAGACTTTTGTTCTTACCACTCTATTCAAATTGCTCGTGTCAAAGTCACTGAAGACTTCAATGTTACATCCAATAGTAAATTTATACATACATTTTTTATCACAGTTGGCCTCTCCGGTTGGTAATATTTAACTTGAAGCATTGTCTTTGCATGGTTTCCAGGAAAATCCAGTTTCCATTTTTCATTTCTCCTTCTCCTCATCTTTCAGTGTTGCGTTTCCCTAGAGCCGTGTTTTGATTAGTTATTCCGATTCTACACCTACTGATTGTTCAGTTACACCATACTGAATAACATTTGAAAAGTCAAGCAATGGATAAAGTTTCCCTGAACATAAAAAAAATCAGTGTCAAGAGGCTTTTTTTATTTTTTAATTTGGGCAGGGACTTTGGTCATCCAATAGAACCAAATGTTCTCTGTTTTTTTCAGAATTCTGTCTGAACACTAGTTAGGAATGTTCCATAACTGCCAGACTAATATAATACAGATATTTATATATATTTTAAAGTTTCATTTTTATTGAGAGTCCTGGTTTGTCCAGTTTCCAGAAGGCTGATTGTGATTCCATCTGAGTAATTGTTTGTAAGCTCAAGGCTATAGATTCGGACTGACCTCATTTGCAAAAGAATTAGTTCAAACTTCTGAGTCCATTGGGCAACATCTGTCCTCAGATACACATTTAGACACATGACTCACTTGTTGCTCTGCTTGTTAGAAAGACATTATGATAGGACACCAGAGAAGCTGGAGGTAACCAGGGAGCCACTATGCAGTGGAATGTTGACTTTTCCTATACTGCTTGATTGTCTCTGATGAATTCCAGGCTGCTCTACAAAATAAAAGAACAACTTTAGAGCAGCTGAAACTGAATACAAAATAGACTTGGAGGTAAAGCATTTATGTTTGTTTATAAGGCTCTTTACTTGTGAACTGAGCCTGTGTGGATTCATCTGTCACAAGGTAAGAACCATACACTCTTTTGTTTTATGGCTAGTCACTCTCCACCTCTCCAGTCCTCTTTACATATTGACTTTCTTTTGAGGACCGAGCACAGAAGCACTGATACTCCTTAAATAAAGATACAAAAGTATATAAATAAAAAGTTTTATGATATTAATATCATTTGACTACTTGCAAGGAAGCAGCTGTTATGCAGGTCGATAGATTATACAATATATTCAAAATCAAAATTTGGCATTAATTTTAATGAATGAGTTAATGTTTTAAAAACTATTTTAAAAGCCTAGAATGAGAATATATAAAAGTGCTGATTAGTGTAAGATGCATAAATGAGTAATAATGCATGTCCTGTAATGTCTTAGCTACATGAATGCTCTATAAACTTTGCATTTTTACCACAAAAGATACATTAAAATGAATAAAGGTTTGTCTTGATTGACTCTGTTAAGATGATTTAATTCAGAGTAAAATTAAAGTGGAACATCCTACCATGGTGAATTTAAACATTATATGAAAAACAATTGAAATTTATGGAGCATATTTTTCCTAACTAAATTATGCTCAATCTTAGCTAACATGGAGTCACTTAAGAATCACTTTAATATTTCATATTTGGGTTTCTTTAAATTTGATGAAATTCAGTTCAATTCATTAAACTTTCTAGAGCCTCATATATTTTGTCTATGAAGTGGGTGAAGTGAGTACACAGAAACTGGGTGACCAGTAACTTTCCACATATAAAATTATACTATTTTTTAAAATGTGTGTATAATATGCTAGATATAATGTGATGTGATTGTTGCTGGAGGAAATGTAGTGATAAAGCAGGATGTTTCCCTCACCCCTTCATGGAACTTACAACAGGGTGCCTCATTTACTCAGCTCACTGCTCTCAACTCCTTGCAGGAGGGAGCATGTGAGTGAACAAGGTAGGAACTGGAGTACATGAATTCTGCAACCAGCCAGTCACTTTGGCGCTGGCAGGAGTGAACTCCACTCACTTGGACCAACTATGTTCCACCCCTTGCAGGAGGGAGTGTGCAGGTGAACAGTTGTAGAAGCCAGGGTGAGCACTTTTGGGTGCCAGCAGGAGAAAACTGCATGTGGGCCCCACAGCAGCATCTCGGGGTGGAGGATGCCTGCTACACCTGAAGCCCCAGAGGGCATGTTACAGAGCTCTTTTAGCTCTGCCATCCACAGATGGCTTAAGTGTTAAAAACTCAGTGGGCCCATGGCTTCCCTCCACCAGTGATGGCAAAGGGCCAGTGTGACAACCTTTGGTATCCTTACTCATGGCTCTTGAGTTCTTGTCTGGCATCCAGGAAAAATGAGGTCACATGGACAAATTGAAGGATGGTAAGTGTGGGCAATTTTATTGCCAATGAAAATGGCTCTCAGCTCAAAAGGGGACAGAAGCAGGTGTAGGTAATCTTCCAATGAAGTCTGGTCATCTCTGGTCAGATTCCTCTCCGAAGTTACACCATCAAGCTGTCCCTCTGAAGTCAAGCCGCTGCTTTCTGATGTCCAGCTGTGGTCTCCAACATTCAGCTGCTTCTCCTCTCTGCCAGCTGAGTCTGGGGTCTTTATAGGCACAGGGTGGGGCAGGGTAAGGATAAGGGTGGTTTAGGAAAAGGCAACATTCGAGCAGGAAAACATGATATAAATTCTCACTTTGGGCTGAGATCTCAGGCTTTTTGGCTTGATAGTGGGGCTCTTACCAGGGACCTGCCCTTTTTTGCCTATAATTTCTGTGCCTCCTGCCTCTTTTATTGTAGCAGTGATATGGTACATAGACAGGAGTCAGTATAGCCCCTGCCTTCAAGAAGCTCACATTTAGAAACAAAAAAACAAAAAAAAAAGTATTATTACAACATAGAATTAAGCAATCATTTTAGAGAAGTATAAGCTACATGCTGTAATGAATGTAAGGAAAAATGGATCATGTCCAGTTTCAAAGATCAAGTTGTGTGTCTAGGTGATAATTGCATTTGAGATGGGTACTAAAGGATGCATAAGATTTTGATAGGTAAAGAAGTCAATGAGAAAAAGAGAATTTCCATCTGTAGCACACGTAATCATGTAGGCGTGGAAACACAGGACATTTGCAGGAAACTTAGAGAATATTCTTCCAGTTTGGTTTAAACACAAGATACCTGCAAAGAAATAAGCTAAAAATATAGCTTTAAACCCTGTTGTGGAAAATATTAATGGCCAAATTGTGAATTTAAACTTAATTCAGTAGGCAAAAAAGAGCTATTAAAAATTTGTAATAGAAAATAGGAATGAATAGGATAATTATTCTTGCTAGGATTTTCAGAGATGAAATTGGGAGGTTGAGGAAAGAGTTAGGATAAAGACAAAAGGAAGGAACCAGAATCAATGAATACTATTTATTCATTTAAAACATTTACTGAGTGTCCACTAAGTGCTAGGCAATGCTGTAAACAGTGCTTCTTCCTTATTGAACACAGAGGAGACAAAATGTACTGATTAATTTTTAAATATCAATTTAACTTTCAGAGGAAAAATAGAAGATGTGCATCTGCTACGTACTTTTTAAGGACAAGTCACATTTCAACACTTGAATTAGAGAGAAGAGGATTAGGCTCTGAGTAACCAATAGTAAAAGTTGAGATAATGTCAATTTAAACTAGAAAGAGATGTTTTACATAGGATTCCTAGTGGCTGATAGTTTTAATATTTATTTTTATTTTTTTTGAGACTGAGTCTCACTCTGGTGCCCAGGCTGCAGTGCAATGGTATGATCACAGCTCACTATAGCCTTGACCTCCTAGGCTCAAGCAATCCTCCCTCCTCAGCCTCCCAAGTAGTGGGGACTACAGGTGTGTGCCATGATGCCCAGCTAATTTTTAAATTTTTTTTTGTAGAGACAGGGTCTTGCCATGTTGCCCAGGCTGGTCTAAATCTCTTGGCCCCAGTCAATCCTCCTGCCTTGGCCTCCCAAAGCACTGGGATTACAGGTGTGAGCCACCAAGCTGGGCAGTTTTGATGTCTTGATAAAATAAGAACATTACTTGGCTTGTGTACATGCCTCAGACTATAGGGAATGTAAAACAGTTTCTAGTATGACTCTGAAGTATATTTCTCAAAGTAAGGCCCATAGGTTGATGAATCAGCACGTCTAGGAGGAGTAGCTGTCTGCTTCCAGTTGCAAAAGACTTTTGTTACTTTAGCAACAGGAAAAAAACATAATATAAAAATCATACATTTCTATGGGGCTATGATGATAACCAGGAAGTCTTGATGAACTGAATTCCAGAGAGGAAGGAGTCTTTTATTAAAGACCAGAGAGATTCATACCTGAGGGAACATGTCTGGTTTGGGTTTCTCCAGGTGGAACCATTGACCTGACATATCAAGAGATTTTGCAGGGATGAGGAAAAACCAGCTGAACCTTTAAATAATAATTTAGTAGAATGAATTGGACTCTAGACATAATGAGATTCAGCCTGAAAATTATATCCTTTTGTACAGGCCCTTTGCACAAAAAATTTGCCAAGAATTTGCAGAGAAAAGGCTAGAAAGCAGATAATATTTTTGCACAGGCTTTCACATTCCTACAGATTTTGGGCCTTTATAGATTTGAATTAAAGGCTGAAAATAAAATGTTCTAAAAATGTGGCCCAACCCAACCCCCATCTCAAATACTGTGATCTCTGATAACTGTTGTAGGAAGTTGGAAGTTGGGCTAGTAAAGTGAACTCAATCTAATTAAAACTGCAGCCCAGCTCAAGCTAAACTCAATTCTTGGAATAATGTTTATGCTCAGCCTCACACTCTAACCTTAAGACATAGGGAAAGACTTTTATTTTCTGAAAACAAGAGGAAACAAAACAAAATAACAATATTATATTTTGGTCTCCACTGTATTTTTATATTCAATGTCCAGAATACAATAAAAAATTACAAGACATACAATGAATGGGCCTGTGCCTGGATCCCACCTACTTCAGATAAATCAAAATCTGTGGACCAGTAGTTGAAATAGAAAGCTGAAATGGAGGGATTTGCATGTGACAGAAAAGAAAGAAGATAATAGAGATGAGAGAGCCAAGGTTGTCCTCTGACACAAAAACTAGGGAGGTCAAATTGGCAAAGGAAGTGAAAAGCATTAAATGCTACAAGAGAAGTGAGATGCCAACTGATTATTTAAAAAAATCATATTTACTTTATTTCTTCATTTCTTACAAAGTAGCCTTTCTTTTTGCCAATTAGAAGAGTAGTTTACTTAAAATTATAATGTAAAACCTGGAAGTTCTAATTTCGTTTGCAAATTTGAAAGAATAACTGAATAGTTTAAAAGTTTCTTCTCTTAAAATGCCTTTCTTCTCAAACTAGGTTAGGCCATCTTAGATAACAACAACTTCTCTTACGCTTGCAAAATTAACAATTTGTAATAAAAAAGCACAAATTCTTTATTGTGACTAATTGTACTTTATCAAGCTATTAATTTTAATCAGAAAGCTAATGTGGTAGGTTGCAAGGAATGTAGAATTAAGCAGATGTTCATTGATAACTTGGAAGAGAAAATTCTATTTGTAAAAGCAATGAATATTTCTTCCATTATCCTATTTAAGCAGATGTTCTGTCTAATCTGCATTCACTTTACTTACTACCTTATCTTTGACCTTTCCTTTGATGGTATTCATGGAAGAGAATGTCAGTGTTTACCTACCTGCTGTGCTTCCATCTGTCTAAGCAGTGCATGGATACACACAAATTATATTTCATTTGTATGACTTTGAATGACAGAGGAATAACTAAGACTTTATAGACATAGAATAATCAGATATTATCTCTTTAGTCCCAGAATAAACTATAACATCATCTTACATCTGGACAGTTTATACTAGAAACAGGTGCTTTGAATCACTTCAAACTAGAAACTCTGATTTTCAGAATCTCCAGAGGTTTCTCTAAACAGTTTTTATATTGGCCTGCAAGTTTTGCCATTCTGTTATTTTTTTCCACCTGGATGGTTGTTCAGTCTGTGGTAGAAAGAGCAACAGTGATTATTTGTGATATGGGTTGTTTATTTTAACTGTCTAGTCAAATAAGCCCTCATGTTTGCAGTCTCAGGTGTTTGTTGATGATTTGGAGTTAAAGGCTCACTCTGAAAAGAGCTTGGCTTCTTTGGGAATTCTTTTATTGTTCAAATAGCTTGGTAATTTTCCAGGTTAACAGGGACCTAAGGCAGATAAAATATCTCTAATAAGGTATTTTCCCGTATCTCTTGAATAAAAATATATTGCTTGCCCATAGGAGGTTTTAGCTACCAGTATCTTAATTGGAATGAGGAGGATAATTTACATCTATAGATTGTTTAAAAAAGAAACTTTAAGAAGTCAGGGTCCTGCCCCAAAGTTATATATGACATGTATGGGATCTGGTTAAAGAAATGTATTATCTATGGGAATAGTTCCAAGATGGTCTGATTATATAATTCATAGCATAAATTAATTAAATTTTTTAGCACATAGCCTAATCTCTGATTGTATCTTGGGAAATACTAACCTCTCTAGCAGTAAAGGACAAAAAATCTTGGAGTTGTTTTAACTGATATTATTTTTGCACAATTTGGACATAGTATTTCTGAGGACTGACCCATTTGATAAAAATGACATAATAAAACAAATACCTGAAGTCCTCCTCTCTTAATATATCTATCTACATAAAATTTAAAGCAGATAGCATAAAGTGTATATTTATCATCTATTACTGTGTAGCAAATTATAATACAACTCAATGGCTTAAAACAACAAACATTTACTGCCTCATAGATTCTGAGTGGAGAATCCAGGAATGACTTAGATGAGTGATTATGGCTCATGGTCTCTTCATAAGGTTACACTCAAGATGTTGGCTGGAGCTTCTGTCATCTGAAGGCGTGACTTGGACTGTTATGTTCACTTCCAAGACTGAAACTTTAGAACTGAAAAACAGAATACATGAAATAAAAAACTTACTGGATGGGCTAAATAGAAGTCTGGAAATGAGAGAGGTTGGTAGAATGGATTAAAATATTATTCAATTATAAGCTATCTACAAGGATGATTTCAAATATAATGATGCAAATAGGTTGAACATGAAGGAATAGAATAAACATAGACCAAGGAAGCTAATCAAAAGAAAACTGAAATTGATATAATGATATAATACAAAGTAGATTTCAGAGCAAATAAAGTTACTAGGACAAAAAGGATTATCACATAATAATAACAAGTCAATTCAGCAACACGATAGAGCAATCCTAAATGTTTATGTTCCAAACAACAAAGCTTTAAAATTCATGAAGCCAAAATGACAGAGCTTAAATAGAAGATAGATACATGTACAATTATAGCTGGGGACTTGAATACATTTTCTCAATAATGAGTAATGCTACTAGACAGAAAATAAACAAAGATAAAGAAAATATCACCATCAACTAATGGCATCTAATTGGCATTTAAAGTACATATCACACAGTAACATTAGAACACACATTTTTTTCTAGCACACATGGAACATTCACCAAGATAGACTACATCTTGGGCCATTAAAAAAAACCCTTAACAAATTTAAAATAAAATCATAATGTTCTCTTATGTAGTGGAATCAAACTAGCAATCTATACTAGAAAGGTAACAGAAAAATCTCTAAACACTTGGAAATTAAAGAATAGGTTTCTAAATATTCCATGGATAAAACAAAGTTTAAGGGCAGTTAATTTAACACAACTGTACTGAGTCCAATAATTTGTGTTTCTTATAGGCTTCCAGTTGTTGCTGATGCTTCTAGTCCATGATAGGGATAGAGTAGAACAATGGAGACCACATTTTAATAACCATTGAAGTAGAGCATTAAAAATACAGAGTTCTTCTGAAGATACCTACATTGCAGATACATGCCAGCTATGCCAACCCAAAACACTTTTTTTATGGGATAATAGGTATTAATGATCATGTGTCTTTTACTTGTCTGTATTTTTCTAATAAAGCTTCATTACATTTTTACCCCAAGACAGTAGTGGGGATATATGTATGCATGTTTGCCTGTTTGCATGGAAATCTGGCTGCTTAACACATTTGTAACCTGCTCTGCCCCTGAAGACTTGTTCGTGGCTCCTATTTAGAGAGTGTGATTGAATGACAGTACTTAGAGTGTATAGTTTGTATTTGCCATTACTTGATATGTTTGAATAGAATATACTAGCAAACATGTAATTTGTGACTTTCTAGGCATCATATTCACAACTAGGCTAGCTTCCACTTTAATTAATGATGGTACCAGATTTGGGTGGTTCAAATAGCAAGTCTTCCCATAGGTGGATAACTAAGAGTGATAAAGTATTACACAATTCCCACGCAGTCTTATCGTTTATTTTCCAGCAAAAAATGAAACAAAATAATAAGTCAACAGCCAATATTTAACTCATTACAGAATTCCCATGTGCTTTCAAAATTTAATAAAAGGCTATGCATAAAATAAGTAGCAATCTGTAAATGGCACAAATAAATTCAATAAATATTTATTATGTTCCTATAGGAATCTGGCACTGGATTTTAAAGTGTATGTTATGGTTTATGATAGTCATATTAAATCCATACATTTTGTAACATGTTTTTTCACATTATTTTGATCGAAGGGAAAATAATTTTGTATAGGTTATTAAGCCATGGTCTATTATTTGTGAGGTTAATTCATTATTAGCTATTGGAAAAAAGAAAGGCCCAGTTTCCTTTTTAAAAGTGTTATCATTTCTAAAACATATTAAACATTAAAAATATTCACTAGTATTTTGTCTTTATTAACAAATATTAATTATAATCAACATTTAAAAAGAACAATATTTAAAGATGTAAAACCAAATGAAGTTGAAATTGAGATAAAAATTTTAATTCAAACTCTGCTTTTCCTGAACACATTTAAATAGAAACCTTAAATCTTCCCTTTCTGTTAAGGTCACCAGGCTCCTTGCTCATGGCTACCCTATGAAGGCAGAAAAAGATAAGCTCCAGCCTACAAGTTAGAAACATTTAAATTCCTACTTGTATCTATGGTTTATGAAGAACCAGTGTAGCTCTATCTATGTCCAGGAGTACAGCCAGGGCCAAAGGCTACCAAGACAGGGTGCTGAGAACATGTGTTTTAAAGTGTTGTCAGTTAATTTTTTAACAACAAAGTATAGGAACTGACTTCCTTAGTGACTCCTTCTACTAAGCTAATAATTTAATCCATGTTGTTTGCATATTAGTTTTTTTTTTTTTTTAACGGAGTCTCACTTTGTCGCCCAGGCTGAGTGCAGTGGCGCGATGTTGGCTCACTGCAAGCTCTGCCTCCTGGGTTCACACCATTCTCCTGCCTCAGCCTTCAGCCTCCCGAGTAGCTGGGACTACAGGCGCCCGCCACCATGCATGGCTAATTTTTTGTATTTTTAGTAGAGACGGGGTTTCACCGTGTTAGCCAGGATGGTCTCTATCTCCTGACCTCGTGATCCACCTGCCTCAGCCTCCCAAAGTGCTGGGATTACAGGCGTGAGCCACCGCACCCAGCCCATATTAGGTTTACTCTATAGGAAACATACACATAGACAGGTATGCATACACTTTTTTTTCTTTATAATATGTAGTCCATTTAATTACATGCTAAAGATTAATTTCTAGTTTTATGAGACAGGATGCTGTTTTCCATTTCTTGGGAATAAGTTTTTTGTTTCATTGTTTTTGAGGAATTAATGGAATAATGGATTGAATGAATGTATTTGGTTTTCCCATAGCTGACACTTATTAAACACCCACACTGTTCCAGATACTGCATTAGGCACCAGATCCCAATTAACATGCAGATTTACTTGTCATACAAATCTTGAAGGATACTTCACCTACAGTTTGACATAATCCTTAGGTTAAATTATCTTGCTCATCATTTTAGCATATATTACATGAATTTTCCAGCAGTTCTTGAAATCTGCAACCTACTATTGAAATCTACAACCTACCCTTGAGACCTCAACCTAGGCTGAGGTTAAGAAATAAGGTTTTCTGAAACCTTGATGGCCAGAAAGGATGGGATTTAGAACTATCATTTTAAAGTCTGGGAAAGTTTTTCTTTATAACTAAAGAAAGAGGCATATTTATTTAAATCTATTTTTTTCTTTTGTAATAGTTTAGAGTTATAGAAAAATATGATAGTACAGAAAGTTTTCATATACCTCACACGATTTCCCTTAATATCTTATACTTGTATAGTACATTTGTTACAATTAATAAATCAATGTTGATACATTATTTTAATCTAAAGTGAATACTTAATTCAAGTTGCCTTAGTTTTTACCTAAAGACTTTTTTTTCTGTTCCAAGATTTCATCCCTAATATCATATTTAGTTGTCATGTCTCCTCTTGGCTTTCAGTTTCTCAGATTTTCCTTGTTTTTGTTAACCTTGATAATTCTTAGTAATGGTCAAATATTTTGCAGAATGTCCCCCGATTGGGATTTGTATAATTCTCTCATGATACTATAGGTTTTTAGGAGGAATAACCACAGAGATAAAGTGCCATTCTCATCACATTATATCAAGGAAACATACTATCAGCGTGATTTATCACTATTGTTAACCTTGATCAAACCTGGCTGAGGTAGTTTCCAACAGCTTTCTCCACTGCGAAGTTACTATCTTCCTCCTTGTTTTCCATGTTTTACTGGTAGGAGAGCTGTCTGTGTAAGTCAGTTTTCACGCTGCTAATAAAGACATACCCAAGACTGGGTGATTTATAAAGAAAAAGAGGTTTAATTGACTCACAGTTCTGTGTGGCTGGGGAGGCCTCACAATCGTGGCAGAAGGTGAAAGGTACATCTTACATGGTGGCAGGCAAGAGAGAATGAGAACCAAACAAAAAGGAAAACCCCTTACTAAACCACCAGATCTTGTGAGACTTATTCACCACCACAAGAACAGTATGGGGGAAACCACCCCCATGATTCAGTTATCTCCTACCTGGTTCCTCCCACAACACATGAGAATTATGGGAGCTATAATTCAAGATGAGATTTGAGTGGGGACACAGCCAAATCATATCAAGAATAGTCTCTGTACACAGGCCCAATCTTAAAGAGTAGAAAGTTATGCTTCATCTTCTTAAAGACTGACTGTCTGCATGAATTATGTGGAATCTTTCTGGATGAGAGATTTGTCTATTCTCTACCATTTATTTATTCAATCATTTATTTACATCAGTATGGACAGATGGGTACTTATTTTATACTTAGTGTTATAGTCCAATGTTCTTTATTTAATTTTTTATATACATTTTTCTGCTTTAGCCATTGGAGCTCTTTCAGCTGACGCTTGAATCCCTTTGACATAATTCCCAACCCCCTCTGTTTCTGTGTGTATGTGTGTGTGTGTGCACGTGCACACACATACACGCTTCATTCAGCATTTCCTTTCTGGCACTACAAGATGCTCAAACTGTCAAGTATAGTCAAGTATATAGAGAAATACAGAATAATGAATTATGTAATGGTAGTGCATAAATCACTTTTAACCGTGGTATAAATGTTAAAAGACAAACACAGTAAGTGTATCTATAACCATTAAAATTGGTTAACAGATGCATAATATACAAAGAAGTAAATTTTTGCATCAGTAACATAAAGTACATGTGCAGAGAAGTAGAAGTGTGGAGTTTTTTGTATGCAGTTGAAATAACTTTTTATCTCAGAATAGACTGGTATGACACAATAAGATGTTTTATGTAAGTCTAACTTTATTTTTCTATAGTATTGTGTTGGCAACTTTAGTTTTTTTTTCCATAGAAGACTTAGAATCAGTTTATTGATGTAAATGAATCAGCTGGTTAAGATTTTGACTGGTATTGAATTGAATATATAGATTAGGTTTGGACAAACCGACATCTTACACATATTGAATCTTCTAATCCATGAACATTGAATATTTATTTAGGTTATTTTAAATTTGTTCATCAGTATTTCGTAGGTTTTTGCATACCAAGGCTGTACATATTTTGTTGGTTTCACACCTATTTTGGAGTGGTACTGCAAATTTTTAGGGTCGTTTTTAAAAAATAGACTTTATATTCTAGTACGGTTTTAGATTCACAGCAAAATTGATTCCCAAATATGATCACACATACATAGCTTCCCCCATTATTAACATCTCCACCAGGGTGATATAGGTGTTACCATTGATGAACCTACATTGATATATCTTTGTTAATAGAGTCCATAGTGTACATAGGTTTCACTCTTAGTGTTGTAGATTATATGGGTTTGGACAAGTTTGCAATGAGATGCATCCACCATTATAATACCATAAAGTTTAGTTTTACTACCCTATCTGTGCTGTGTATTATCATTCTCCTAATTTTTTTTTAAAAAAATCAAATTGTAATTGTTCATTGCTGGTATATAAGGGACTAACATTTGTATATTGACCTTGTGCCCTGAGACTTTGCTATACTCACTTATTCCGGGAGATTTTTGGAAATTCTTTGGTAGATTTTTTTGGTCAACAATTGTGCCTTCTATGAATACAGTTTTATCTATCTCTTTCCATTTCATATACCTTTTATTTCTTCTTGTGTTATCACAATAGCTGAACCTTCAGTACACTGTGGAATAAGAGTAATGAGAGGGAACTTGCCTTGCTCCCAATGTTAGGGGAACAACATCCAGCCTCTCACCACTAATTTGTTAGTCTGTTTTTGTAGATGTTCTTTATCAACTGAGGAAGTTCTCCATTTCTAGTTAATTGATTATTTTTTAAAAGTAAACATGACTTCGTATTGGATTTTGTCAGATTCTTTTTCTGAAGCTATTGATGTGATCATATGATCTTCCTTATTTGTTTAGTTGATAAGGTAGATTACATTGATTACTTCTTCAATGTTGAACAAATCTTTCACACGCTTGGTCATGTTTTATAAATGTTTTTATACATTCTTGGAATTTTTGCTAATACTTTGTTGAGTTTGCATTTATGTTTATGAGTGATATTGATTTACAGTTTTCTTTTTTGTAATGTCTTTATACATTTTTGATATTAGGGTAACCATCGCCTTATAGAATGAGTTGGAAAGTGTTCTTTCTGCTTCTCTTTTTGGGAGATTGTGGAGAATTGATACTATTTTTTCCTAAACAATTAGATAGAATGCACTAGGGAACCCATATAAATCTGTTGTTTTTTATTTTGGGAATTATTAGTAATTGATTGTGATGGTTAATACTGCCAACTAGATTGAATTAAAGGATACAAAGTATTGATCCTGGGTGTGTTTGTGAGGGTGTTGCCAAAGGAGAATAACATTTGAGTCAGTGGGCTGGGAAAGGTAGGTTCACCTTTAATTTAGGTGGACACAATCTAATCAGCTGCCAAAGTGGCTAGAATATAAGCAGGCAGAAAAATGTGAAAAGAGAGACTGGCCTAGCCTCCCAGGCTACATCTTTCTCCTGTGCTGGATGATTCCTGCCCTGGAATATCAGACTCCAAGTTCTTCAGTTTTGGAACTCAGACTGTCTCTCCTTGCTCCTCCTTGCAGATGGCCTATTGTGGGACCTTGTGATCATGTGAGTTAATACTTAATAACCCCCCTTTATATATATGTGTATATATATATATACACACACATATATATACATATATATATACACACACATATATGTGTATATATGTTTATATATACACACACACACATATATGTATATATATACACACACATATATACACACATATATATATACACACACATATATATACACACACATGTATATATTCTCTTTATACATATATATATTCCTTTAGGATATATATATATATATATATTTAGGAATACACATACATTATATATATTCCTTTAGTTCTGTCCCTCTAGAGAACTATATATATATATATATATATATAAACTCCCTTTATATATATATACACATATATCTATAAACTCCCTTTATATACACATATATATAAACTCCCTTTATATATGTATATACATATATATATATATATTCCCTTTATACATATATATATATATTCCTTTAGTTCTGTCCCTCTAAAGAACCCTGACTAATACAGATTTTAGTACTAGGAGTGGTTCTAGAGGAACAGAATATTAAGGATGGAGCTCTTTCATTGGTTTTGGGGTTTCTGGAGTTGGCTGAGTAATATGATTAGCCCCCAAAATGCTAAGAACTCTATTGCTAATAGTATGGAGAACACTGATAGTCCTTGGCATTAACTGTGTAGAAAGTTATGCAAAATAAGTGCACTTGACATTTCTCATTCATTGCTCACGAGTGGCAGGGAGTTTAGTGACTCTGCATAATACCTTTGACGATATGTGGAGAGCCAAGGAACATAATGAAGCTGGTTGGTTGCTTCTAAGTTCAGTGGATAAAATAATGAAAGAAAATGATGAACTCAGATTCTATTTCCTGGCTTCAGAAGCAGATACTGAGCCTCAAATCTGCTAAGATTGCCCTGAGTTGACAGTCTTATCTCCTGTAGAGAGTTAACTGAAATTGTGGAAAAACAGACACAAGCTCTTATCATGTGAGTGGCTTGCTGCAATGAATGGTGCATGCACAGCCTCTCCAGGTGTCTATTGTCAAAGTGAGGGCATTGATTGGAAAAGAATGGGACCCTGCAACTTGGAATGGGGCCATATGGGAAGACCCTGATGAAGCTGGGAACACTGAGTTTGTAAATTCTGATGAACGTTTTCTTGCCAGAAGAAACAGCTTCCCCATCCCCAGTAGTGGCAACGTCTCCTCCTCAACCCATGCTGCCATAAGCCTTTCCATCTTTGTCTGAGGAGATAAACTCTGTGCTGCCTGAGGCAACATTGGTGGCCTCCCCTGAGGCAGTTGCCAGGAAAGATAATTTTGATTCTCCTCAGTAGCCACCCCCAACACCCCTGTTTGCTTCTGGACCTATGACTAGACTAAAGTCACAGTGGGCCCCCAAAGGTGAGGTTGAGAGTGTGACCCATGATGTATGACACACTCGAAAAGAACTGCTTGAGTTTTCTAATTTATGTAAACAGAAATCTGGAGAACAGATATGGGAATGGATATTAAGGTATGGGATAGTGGTGGAAGGAACATAGAGTTGGATCAGGTTGAATTTATTGATTTGGGTCCACTAAGTAGGGACTCTGCATTTAATGTTTCAGCTCGGGGAACCTTATAAAAGGTTCTAATAGTTTATTTGCTTGGTAGCTGAAATATGGATTAACAGATGGCCCACTGTGAGCGAGCTGGAAATGCCTGATCTGCCTTGGTTTAATGTGGAGGAAGAGATCCAAAGGCTTAGGGAGATTGGGATGGTGGAGTGGATTAATCACTCTAGACCTACTCATCCCAGCTGGGAGGGTCTAGAAGACATATCCTTGTCCAGTGCCTTACAGAACAGATTTGTGAGGGTTGCACCTGCATCTTTGAAGAGTCCTGTAATTGCTGTTCTCTGTATGTCAGGTCTAATAGTGGAGACCACAGTCACTCAACTACAGAATTTAAATACAATGGGAATAATTGGATCCCGAGGTGGGAGGGGCCAAGTGGTGGCACTCAACCACCAAAGGGAAGGTGGGCATAGCTACCATAATGGACAGCAGAGGCAAAGTGGCAATCAGAATAGCCTGACTCATGTAGACCTCTAGCATTGCATAAATCATAGTGTTCCTAGAAGTGAAACTGATAGGAAGCCTACTGCATTCCTACTTAATTTATACAAACAGAAAACTTCTAGGTCAAATAGACAAAAGACTAATTTGAATTATAAAAATAGGGAATCATGGCCCCTCAATCAATTTCCAGACTTGAGCCAGTTTATAGACCCAGAACCCCTTCAATGAAGGGGAGGCTGGGTCCCCTTGAGGAAGTACTACTTTATTGACAATTTATGCAGTGAATCTTTACCTCATCCTTCCCCAAGGAGACCTAGGGCCTTTTACCAGGATAACTGTGCACTGGGAAGAGGGGAATGATCAGACACTTTGGGGACTACTGGACACTGGCTTTGAGCTGACGTTGATTCCAGGGGACCCAAAACATCATTGTTGTCCTCCAGTTAAAGTAGGAGCTTATGTAGGAGCTTATGGAGGTCAGGCAATTAATGGAGCTTTAGCTCAGGTCTGACTTACACTGGGTCCAGTGGGTCCCTGGACTCACCCTGTGGTCATTTCCTCAGCACCAGAATGCATAATTGGC
The DNA here is from genome assembly GCF_000001405.40 of Homo sapiens. Lineage (NCBI taxonomy): Eukaryota > Metazoa > Chordata > Mammalia > Primates > Hominidae > Homo > Homo sapiens. The sequence goes on along the minus strand of NC_000017.11, from coordinate 54,593,397 downwards.
ATAGACATATTTAGCAGCTGACAGAACCCCCACACTGGCTCCCTGACTGGTAAGGTGTGGGCTATAATGTTGGGAAACAGCAAATTGAAGCCATTAGAGCTGCTTCTACCTAGAAAGATAGTAAATCAAAAACAATACTGTATCCCTGGAGGGATTGCAGAGATTAAGGCCACATCCACACCAAAACCCCATCTGTAGGTCACCAACATCAAAGACCAAAGGTAGGTAAAACCACAAAGATGAAGAGAAACCAGAGCAGAAATGCTGAAAATTCCAAAAACCAGAGTGCCTCTTCTCCTCCAAAGGATCGCAGCTCCTCGCCAGCAAAGAAACAAAACTGGATGGAGAATGACCTTGATGAGTTGACAGAAGTAGGCTTCAGAAGGTTGGTATAACAAACTTCTCTGAGCTAAAGGAGCATGTTCTAACTCATCTCAAGGAAGTGAAAAACCTTGAAAAAAGGTTACACAAATGGCTAACTAGAATAAACAGTGTAGAGAAGACTTTAAATGACCTGATCGGGCTGAAAACCACAGCATAAGAACTTCGTGATGCATGCACAAGCTTCAATAGCCAATTCAATCAAGTGGAAGAAAGGATATCAGTGATTGAAGATCAAATTAACGAAATAAAGTGAGAAGACAAGATTAGAGAAAAAAGAGTGAAAAGAAATGAACAAAGCCTCCAAGAAATATGGGATTATGTGAAAAGACCAAATCTATGTGTGATTGGTGTATCTGAAAGTGACGGGGAGAATGGAACAAAGTTAGAAAACACTCTTCAGGATATTATCCAGGAGAATTTCCCCAACCTAGCAAGGCAGGCCAACATTCAAATTCAGGAAATACAGAGAACACCAAAAAGATACTCCTCGAGAAGAGCAACCCCAAGACACATAATTGTCAGATTCACCAAGGTTGAAATGAAGAAAAAAATGTTTAGGGTAGCCAGAGAGAAAGATCGGGTTACCCACAAAGGGAAGCCCATCAGACTAAGAGCAGATCTCTCAGCAGAAACTCTACAAGCCAGAAGAGAGTAGGGGCCAATATTCAACATTCTTAAAGAAAAGAATTTTCAACCCAGAATCTCATATGCAGACAAACTAAGCTTCATAAGTGAAGGAGAAATAAAATCCTTCCAGACAAGCAAATGCTGAGAGATTTTGTCACTGCCAGGCCTGCCTTACAAGAGCTCCTGAAGGAAGCACTAAACATGGAAAGGAACAACCAGTACCAGCCACTGCAAAAACAGGCCAAATTGTAAAAAACATTGATGCTAAGAAGAAACTGTATCAATTAATGGGCAAAATAACCAGCTAACATCATAATGACAGGATCAAATTCACACATAACAATATTAACATTAAATGTAAATGGACGAAATGCCCCAATTAAAAGACACAGACTGGCAAATTGGATAAAGGGTCAAGACCCATCAGTGTGCTGTATTCAGGAGACCCATCTCATTTGCAGAGACACACATAGGCTCAAAATAAAGGGATAGAGAAAGATCTACCAAGGAAATAGCAAAAAAAAGGAGGGTTTGCAATTCTAGTCTCTGATAAAACAGTCTTTAAACCAACAAAGATCAAAAGAGACAAAGAAGGCCATTACATAATGGTAAAGGGATCAATTCAACAAGAAGAGCTAACTATCCTAAATATATATGCACCCAATACAGGAGCACCCAGATTCATAAAGCAAGTCCTTAAGAGCTACAAAGAGACTTCGAGTCCCACACAATAATAATGGGAGGCTTTAACACACTACTGTCAATATTAGACAGGTCAACAAGCGAGTATGTTAACAAGGTTATCCAGGACTTGAACTCAGCTCTGCACCAAGCAGACCTAATAGACATCTACAGAACTCTATACCCCAAATCAACAGAACATACATTCTTCTCAGCACCACATTGTACTTATCCCAAAATTGACCACATAATTGGAAGTAAAGCACTCCTCAGCAAATGTAAAAGAACAGAAATTATAACAAACTGTCTCTCAGACCACAGTGCAATCAAATTAGAACTCAGAATTAAGAAACTCCCTCAAAACCGTACAACCTCATGGAAACTGAACAACCTGCTCATGAATGACTCCTGGGTAAATAATGAAATGAAGACAGAAATAAAGATGTTCTTTGAAACAGATGAGAACAAAGGCACAACGTACCAGAATCTCTGGGACACATTTAAAGCAGTATGTAGATGGAAATTTATAGCACTAAATGCCCACAAGAGAAAGGAGGAAAGATCTAAAATCAACACCCTAACATCATAATTAAAAGAACTAGAGAAGCAAGAGCAAACAAATTCAAAAGCTAGCAGAAGACAAGAAATAACCAAGATCAAAGCAGAACTGAAGGAGATAAAGACACGAAAAACCCTTCAAAAAATTAATGAATCCAGGAGCTGGTTTTTTGAAAAGATCAACAAAATTGATAGACTGCTAGCAAGACTAATAAAGCAGAAAAGAGAGAAGAATCAAATCGACACAATAAAAAACGATAAAGGGGATATCACCACCAATTCCACAGAAATACAAACTGCCAACAGAGAATAGTATAAACACCTCTATGTAAATAAACTAGAAAATCTAGAAGAAACTGATAAATTCCTGGACACATACACTGTCCTGATACTAAACCAGGAAGAAGTTGAAACTCTGAATAGATGAATAACAGGTTCTGAAATTGAGGCAATAATTAATAGCCTACCAACCAAAAAAAGTTCAGGACCAGATGGATTCACAGCCGAATTCTACCAGAGGTACAAAGAGGAGCTGGTACCATTCCCTCTGAAACTATTCTAATTAATAGAAAAAGAGAGAATCCTCCCTAACTCATTTTATGAGGCCAGCATCATTCTGATACCAAAGCCTGGCAGAGACACAACAAGAAAAGAGGCTTTTAGACCAATATCCCTATTGAACATTGATGCAAAAATCCTCAATAAAATATTGGCAAACTGAATCCAGCAGCACATCGAAAAGCTTATCCATCACAATCAAGTCAGCTTCATCCCTGGGATTCAAGACTGGTTCAACAAACGCAAATCAATAAACATAATCCATCACATAAACGGAATCAATGACAAAAACCACATGCTTATCTCAATAGATGCAAAAAAGGCCTTTGACAAAATTCAACTTAGTGCTAAACACTCTCAGTAAACTAGGTATTGATGGGATGTATCTCAAAATGATAAGAGCTGTTTATGTCAAACCCTCAGCCAATATTATACTGAATGGGCAAAAACTGGAAGCACTCCCTTCAAAAACCAGCACAAGACAACGATGCCCTCTCTCACCATTCCTATTCAACGTAGTGTTGGAAGTTCTGGCCAGGGCAATCAGGCAAGAGAAAGAAATAAAGCGTATTCAATTAGGAAAAGAGGAAGTCAAATTGTCCCTGTTTGCAGATGACATGATTGTATATTTAGAAAACCCCATCTTCTCAGCCCAAAATCTCCTTAAGCTGATAGGCAACTTCAGCAAAATCTCAGGATACAAAATCAATGTGCAAAAATCACAAGCATCCCTATACCAGTAACAAACAGAGTCAAATTATGAGTGAACTCCTATTCACAACTGCTACAAAGAGAATAAAATACCTAGGAATCCAACTTACAAGGGATGTGAAGAACTTCTTCAAGAACTACAAACCACTGCTCAAGGAAATAAAAGAGCACACAAACAAAGGGAGGAACATTCCATGCTCATGGATAGGAAGAATCAATATTGTGAAAATGGCCATACTGCCCAAGGTAATTTATAGATTCAGTGCCATCCACATCAAGCTACCAATGACTTTCTTCACAGAATTGGAAAAAACTACTTTAAAGTTCATATGGAATCAAAAAAGAGCTCATATAGCCAAGACAATCCTAAGCAAAAAGAAAAACGGTGGAGACATCATGCTACCTCACTTCAAACTATACTACAAGGCTACAGTAATCAAAACAGCATGGTACTGGTACCAAAACAGAGATATAGACCAATGGAACAGAACAGAGACCTCAGAAATAACACCACACATCTACAACCATCTGAGCTTCAACAAACATGACAAAAACAAGAAATGGGGGAAGGATGCCCTATTTAATAAATAGTGCTGGGACAACTGGCTAGCCATATGTAGAAAGCTGAAACTGGATCCCTTCCTTACACCTTATACAAAAATTTACCAAAGATGGATTAAAGACTTAAATGTAAGACCTAAAACCATAAAAACTCTAGAAGAAAACCTAGGCAATACCATTCAGGACATAGGCATGGACAAAGACTTCATGACTAAAACACCAAAAGCAATGACAACAAAAGCCAAAATAGACAAATGGGATCTAATTAAACTAGAGAGCTTCTGCATGGCAAAAGAAACTACCATCAGAGTGAACAGGCAACCTACAGAATGGGAGAAACTTTTTGCAATCTACTCATCTGACAAAGGGTTAATATCCAGAATCTACAAAGAAGTTAAACAAATTTACAGGAAAAAAAAAAAAAAACAAAAACAACCCCATCAAAAAGTGGGCAAAGGATATGAACAGACACTTCTCAAAAGAAGATATTTATGCAGCCAACAGACACATGAAAAAATGATCATCATCACTGGTCATCAGAGAAATGTAAATCAAAATCACAGTGTGATACTATCTCATGCCAGTTAGAATGGTGATTATTAAAAAGTCAGGAAACAACAGGTGCTGGAGAGGATGTGGCGAAATAGGAACGCTACTACACTCTTGGTGGGAGTGTAAATTAGTTCAACCATTGTGGAAGACAGTCTGGTGATTCCTCAAGTATCTAGAACTAGAAATACCATTTGACCCATTGATCCCATTACTGGGTATATACCCAAAGGATTATAAATCCTCCTACTAAAAAGACATGCACACGTATGTTTACTGTGGCATGATTCACAATAGCAAAGACTTGGAAGCAACCCAAATGTCCAACAATGATAGACTGGATTAAGAAAATGTGGCACATATACACCATGGGATACTATGCAGCCATAAAAAAGGCTGAGTTCATGTCCTTTGCAGGGACATGAATGAAGCTGGAAACCATCATTCTCAGCAAACTATCACAGGATAGAAAACCAAACACCGCATGTTCTCACTCATAGGTGGTAATTGAACAGTGAGAACACATGGACACAGGGCGGGGAACATCACACATTGGGGCCTGTCGGGGGTGGGTGGCTGGGGGAGGGATAGCATTAGGAAAAACGCCTAATGTAAACGACGAGTTGATGGGTGCAGTAAACTAACATGGCACATGTATACTTATGTAACAAATGTGCACGTTGTGCACATGTACCCTAGAACTTAACAAATAATAATAATCATTTATTTTTAACATTTGTGGGTACAGAATAAGTGTATATATTTATGAGGCACATGAAATGATTTGATACAGACATACAATGTGTAATAATCACATCATATAAAATGGGATATTCATCTCCTCAAGTATTTATCCTTTGAATTATAAACAAATTATACTTTTAGTATTTCAAAATGTATAATTAAATTGTTATTAACTATAATCCCCTCTTATGTTATTATATCCTAGGTTTTATTCATTCATTCTATTTATTTTGTACTTATTAACCATTCCCATCTCCTCCGCAACCCAACCAATACCCTTCCCAGCATCTGGTAACCATCCTTCTACTGAATCTCTATCTTTTTTTATGGCTGAATAGTACTCTATTGTGTATATGTACCACATTTTCTTTATCCCTTCATTTGTTCATGGACATTTAGGTTGCTTCTAAATCTTGGCCATTGCGAGCAGAGCTGTGGCAAATATGAGAGTGCAGATACCACTCAACATAATGATTTCATTTTGGGGAGTTACCTACTCAGCAGTGGGATTATTGGATCACATGGTAGCTCTATTTTTAGTTTTTTGAATAACCTCCAAACTGTTCTCCGTAGGGGTTGTACTAATTTACATTCCTATCAATATTGTATGAGGGTTCCCTTTTCCCCACCTTCTCACCCATATTTTTTATTGCTTATCTTTTGGATATAAGCCATTTTAACCAAGATGAGATGATATCTCATTGAAGTTTTAATTTGCATTTATTTGACAATCATTGATATTTAGTACCTTTTCATATGTCTGTTTGCCATTTGTATGTCTTGAGAAATGTCTATTGAAATCTTTTGCCCATTTAAAAATCAGATTATTAGATCTTTCCCTACAGAGTTGTTTGTGCTCCTTATATATTCTGGTTAACAATCCCTTGTCCGATGGTTAATTTGCAAATTTTTTCCCTACTATGTGGGCTGTCTATATATATTATTGATTGTTTCCCTTGTTGGGCAGAAGCTTTTTGACTTGATATGATTCCATTTGTCCATTTTTGCTTTGATTGCCTATTTTTATATGGTAATACTCAAATCCTTGCCCACTCTAATATCCTGGAGAGTTTCCTCAGTGTTTTCTTGTATTTTTATAGTTTGAGGTCTTAGATTTAAGGCTTCAGTTCATTTTTATTTGACTTTTATATATGGTGAGATATAAGGGTCAAGTTTTATTTTTTTGGTATATGGATATTCCATTTTCCCAGCACCATTTATTGAAGAGACTCTCTTTTCCCTAGGTTATGTTCTTGGCTTCTTTGTGGAAAGAGAGTTTACTGTAGGTGTGTGGATTTGTTTCTGGGTTCTCTATTCTGTTCTATTAGTCTATGTTTCTTTTTTTATACCAGTACCATGCTGTTTTGGTTACTATAGCTCTGTAGCACAATTGGAAATCAGGTAATGTGATTCCTCCAGGGTTGTTCTTTTTGGTCAGAAAAGCTTTCGCTATTTGGGATCTTTCATGGTTCCATATAAATTTTAGGATTTTTTTTGATTTCTGTGAATAATGTCATTGGTATTTTGATAGAGATTACATTGAATCTGTAGATTGCTTTGGGTGTATGAAGCTTTTGAAAATGTTGATTCTTTCAACCCATGACCATGAAATATTTTTCAAGTTTTTTGTTTCCTCTTCAATTTTTTTCATCAGTGTTTTATACTTTTTATTGTATAGACCTTTCAGTTCTTAGTTCCTAGGTATTTAATTTAATTTGGGGCTATTATAAATGGGATTAAATATTAAATTTATTTTGCAGATTGTTCACTGTTGACATATAGAAATGCTAGTGACTTTTGTATGTTGACTTTGTATCCTGCAACTTTACTGAATTTGTTTATAAATTCTAAAATGTTTTTGCTGGAGTCCTTAGATTTCTTCAAATATAAGAACATATCATCTACAAACAAGGATAATTTGACTTCTTCCTTTCCAGTTTGGATGCCCTACATTTCTTTCTCTTGTCTGATTGCTCAAGATAGGACTTCCAGTACTATGTTGAATAATAGTGGTAAGAGTGGACATCCCTGTATCTTTTCAGACCTTAGAGGAAAGGCTTTCAGTTTTCCCCTGCTTATTATGATGCCAGCTGTGAATCTGTCTCATGTAGCTTTTATTATGTTGAGGTATGTTTCTTCTATACTGAGTTTTTTGAGGGTTTTCATCATGAAGGGATGTTGAATTTTATCAAATGCTTTTTCAGCATCAATTGAAATTATTATATGGTTTTTGTCCTTCCTTCTGTTGATATGATATATTACATTTATTGATTTGCATATATTGAATTATCCTTGTATACCTGGGATAAATCCTGATTGGTCATAATGAATTATCTTTTAGATGTATTGTTGAATATGGCTTGCTAGTATTTTGTTGGGGATGTTAGCATCAATATTCATCAGATATATTGGCCTGTAGTTTTCTTTTTTTTCTTTTTTTTTTTTTTTTTTTGTGATGTGTCTCTGGCTTTGGTATCCGGGTAATATTGGCCTTATAGGATGAGTTAAGAAGTATTCTGTCTTCTGTATATTTTTCAGAGCAGTTCGAATAGAAATGGTATTAGTTCTTCTTTAAATGTTTGGTGGAATTCAACAGTGAAAACATTGGGTCCTGGGCTTTTCTTTCTGGGAGATATTTTTATTATGACTTTGATCTCATTGCTTGTTACTGATCTGTTCAGGGTTTGGATTTCTTCATGGTGTAGTCTTGATAGGTTGTATGTGTCCAGGAGTCTGTACTTTTTTTTCTAGATTTTTGAATTTATTGGCATATTGTTGCTTATAGCAGCCACTAATGATCCTTTGTTGTAATTGCCTTCGGCATTTTTGTCATAAAATATTTGCCAGTTACTGTGTCCAGAGTGGTATTGCCTAGGTTTTCTTCCAGAATTTTTAGTTTTGGGTTTTGCATTTAAGTCTTTAATCCATCCTGAGTTGAGTTTTATGTATGGTGAAAGGAAGAGGTCCAGTTTCAATCTTCTACATATGGTTAGCCAGTTATCCCAGCACCATTTATTAAATAGATAGTTTTTCCCTATTGCTTGTTTTCTCAGCTGTGTCAAAGATCAGAAAGTTGTAGGTGTGTGGCCTTATTTCTTGGCTCCTTATTCTGTTCCATAGATCTATGTGTCTGTTTTTGTACCAGTACCATGAGATTTAGTCACTGTAGTCGTGTAGTGTAGATTGAAGTCAGCTAATATTATGCCTCCAACTTTGTTCTTTTTCCTTAGGATTGCCTTGGCTATTCAGGCAGTTTTTTGTTGTTGTTGTTGTTCTATATGAATTTTTTAAAGCTTTTTTCTAGCTCTGCGAAGAATGTTGTTGGTAGTTTAATAGGAATAGCATTGAATCTGCAAATTGCTTTGGGCAGTATGGCCATTTTAAAGATATTGATTCTTTCTATTCATGAGCATGGAATTTTTATTTTTTATTTTTGCATTTGTTTGTGTCATCTGTGTTTTCTTTGAGCAGTGTTTTGTAGTTCTCCTTGTAGATATCTTTCACCTCCCTGGTTAGCTGTATTCCTAGGTATTTTATTCTTTTTTGTGTCAATTTTGAATGGGATTACATTCCTGATTTGGCTTTCATCTTGACTGTTATTGGTATATAGAAACGCTAGTGATTTTTTTACATTGGTTTTGTATCCTGAGACTTTGCTGAAGTTGTTTATCAGCTTAAGGAGCTTTTGGTCTTAGACTATGGGTTTTTCTTTTTTTTTTATAGTAGGTATAGAATCATGTTGTCTGGAAACCAGGATAGTTTGACTTCTTCTCTTTCTATTTGGATGCTCTTTATTCCTTTTTCTTGCCTGATTGCTCTAGCCAGGACATTCAATACTATGTTGAATAGGAATGGTGAGAGATGGCATCCTTGTCTTGTGCCAGTTTTCAAGGGGAATGCTTCCAGCTTTTGCCCATTCAGTGTGATGTTGGCTGTGGGTTTGTCATAAATGACGGTTATTATTTTGAGGCTGTTCCTTCAATACCTAGGTTATTGAGAGTTTTAACATTAAGGATGTTGAATTTTATTGAAAGCCTTTTCTGCATGCATTGAGACAATAGTGTGGTTTTTGTCTTTAGTGCTGTTTATGCGATGAATCACATTTATTTATTTGTTTTTGTTGAACCAAACGTGCATCCCAGGGATAAAGCCTACTTGATTGTGGTGAATAGGCTTTTTGATATGCTGCTGGATTTGGTGGGCAATAATGTTGCTGAGGATTTTTACATCTATTTTCATCAAGGATATTGGCCTGAAGTTTTCTGTTTTTGTTGTGTCTTTTCCAGATTTTGGTATCAGGATGATTCTGGCCTCATAAAATGAGTTGGGGAGGACTCCCTCCTCTTAGTTTTTTGGAATAATTTCAGTAGAAATGGTGCCAGCTCTTCTTTGCACATCTGGTAGAATTTGGCTGTGAATACATTTGGTCCTGGGCTTTTTTTGGGTGGTAGCCTGTTTAGTACCGATTAAATTTCAGAGCTCATTATTGGTCTGTTCAGGGAATCAATTTCCTCTTGGTTCAGTCATGGGAGGGTGTATGTGTCCAGGAATTTATTCATCTCTTCTAGGTCTTCTAGTTTGTGTGCATGGAGGTGTTTGTAGTTGTCTCTGATGGTTGTTTGTATTTCTGTGGTGTTGGTGGTAACATTCCCTGTGTTGTTTCTAATTGTGTTGATTTGAATATTTTCTCCTTTCTTCCTTATTCATCTAGCTAGTGGCCTATCTTCCTTTTTTTTTTTTTTTTTTAAAAAAAGCCAACTTCTGGATTTGGTAACGTTTTGAATAATTTTTCATGTCTTCATCTCCTTTAGTTCAGCTCTGGTTTTGGTTATTTCTTGTCTTCTGCTAGCTTTGGGGTTAGTTTGCTCTTGGTTCTTTAGTTGTTTTAGTTGTGATGTTAGGTTGCTAATTTGAGATCTTTCTAACTTTTTGGTGTGGGCATTTATTTCTGTAAATTTCACTCTTAACTCTGCCTTAGCTGTGTCCCAGAGATTCTGATATGTTGTATCTTTGTTCTCATTAGTTTGAAAGAGCGTCTTGATTTCTGCCTCAATTTCATTATTTATACCAAAGTTATTCAGGAGCAGTTTGTTTAATTTCCACATAAATGCATGGTTTTGAGCAAAATTTTTAGTCTTGATTTCTAATTTGATTGCACTGTGGTCTGAGAGTGTGTTGGGCATAATTTCATTTCTTTTGCATTTGCTGAGGATTGTTTTATGTTTGATTGTGTGATTGGTTTTAAATTATGTGCCATGTGGTGATGAAATGTATATTCTGTTGTTTTTGGGTGAAGAGTTCTTTAGAGGTCTATCAGATCCATTTGGTTCAATGTTGATTTCAGGTCCTGAATATTTTTATTAATTTTCTACCTTGATGACCTCTGTAATACTGTCAGTGGAGTGTTGAAGTCTCCCACTATTATTGTGTGGTAGTCTAAGTCTGCAGGAAAATCTCTAAGCATTTACTTCCTGTGTTGGGTGCATATATATTTAGGATATATATCTATATATATCTATATCTATATATATATCTATATATATGTGATATATGCATATATCTTTTTGTTGAATTGAACCCTTTGCCATTGTGTAATGTCCTTTTTTGGTCTTTGTTGTTTTAATGTCTATTTTATCTGATATTAGAATTGCAACCCTTGTTGTACTCTGATTTCCATTTGCTTGGAAGATATTTCTCCATCTCTTTATTTTAAGCCTATGGTGTCATTGCATGTGAGATGGGTCTCTTGAAGGCAGCATATTATTGGTTCTTGCTTTTTTATCCAACTTGCCACTCTGTGCCTTTTAAATGGGACATTTAGCCCATATACAATTATGGTTAGTATTTATGTGTTTGGATTTGATATTGTTATTGTGTTGTTAGCTGGTTATTATGCTGGCTTATTTGCATGGTTGCTTAAGTTGTCACTGGTCTGTATTTAAATATGTTGTTGTATTGCCTGGTAATAGTATTTTGTATTGCCTGGTAATAGTATTTCCTTTCCATATTTGATGCTCCTTTCGAGATCTCTTGAAAGGTGGGTCTCACTGTAACAAACTTCTTCAATGTTTGCTTATCTGAAAGGATCTTTTCTCTTTCACTTCAGAAGCTTAGTTTGGCTGGATATAAAATTCTTGGTTGAAGATTTTTTTTTTTCTTTAGGAATGTTAAATATAGGCCCTCAATCTCATCTGATTTGTGGGATTTCTGCTGAGAGGTCTACTGTTAGCTTTATGGGGTTCCCTTTGTGGGTGGCCTGCTCTTTCTCTCTAGCTGTCTTTAACATTTTTTTTTCATTTTGACCTTGAAAAATCTGATGATTATGTGTCATGAAGATTATTTTCTTGTGTAGAATCTTGCAAGGGTTCCCTGTATTTCCTGAATTTGACTGTTGGCCTCTTTAGTGAGGTTGGGGAGGTTTTCATGGATGATATCATGAAATGTGGTTTCTAAGTTGTGTTCTCCTCACCCTTTTCAGGGATGCCAGTGGTTCATATATTTGGTCTCTTTACATAATCTCATATATCTCAGAGGTTTCATTGATTCCTTTTCTTTATTTTTTTTTTCTAACTTTTATTTTAGAAAGCCAGTCTTCAAGTTCTGAGATTCTTTTTTCAGCTTTGTCTATTCTGCTCTTAATACATGTGATTGCATTTTGAAATTCCTGTAGTGTGATTTCAGCTCTATCAGAGCAGTTAGATTCTTTTATATACTAGTTATTTCATATGTCAGCTCCTGTATCAATTTATTGTGATTCTTAGTTTTCTTGGATTGAGTTTTGTCATTCTGAATTGTGATGATCTTTGTTGCTATCCATAATCTGAATCTCATTTCCATCATTTCAGCCAACTTAGCCTGGTTAAGAACCCTTGTTGGAGAACTGGTGCTGTCATTTGTAGGGAATAAGTCTGGCTATTTCAGTTGCCAAAGTTCTTGCATCGTTTCTTTTTAGAGGCTTCACTGGCTCTGTGTCACTCTTGGGTGGGTCCTGCCATACTTTTCTTTGTTCTTCTTGGGTTGAGGTTTTTCTTGATGAATCCCCACGTGTGCCAGGATGTTTCAGTTGAAGGTGCTATATTTACTCATCCTATTTCTCTCTATGAGAGTGGCATACACTAGCTGCCTTTGGTTGGCCGTTCTCCTCCACCAGCTATCTGAATTTCCAAATCATGTACTGTGCATCTACATTCTTGTGCTTTCCTCCAAGTGAGGGATCTTCCAGGTTCTCCCCATCCTTTTATTTTCAGTCTGTGTTTTTATTGGTGAAGTGTGTTTCTTGTAGGCAACAGATCAAAGGGTCTTGTTTTTTTCACTGATTCAGCCACTCTGTTTCTTTTTATTGGAATGTTTAGTCCAGTTTCATTCATTGTAATTATTGATAACTGAGGACATTCTCCTGCTATTTCATTTGTTTTCTGATTGTTTTGTGGTCTCCTCTTCTTTATTTCCTTCTGGTGTTCCTTTAGTGAAGGTAATTTCCTCTGGTGAAATAACTTAATTTCTTCCTTTTTATTTCTTGTGTATCCACTGTATGTTTATGTTGTGAGGTTATCATGAAGCTTGCAAATACTATTTTATAACCATTATTTTAGCCTGATAACTACTTAACATGGTTTGTATAAACAAACAAGCAAAAAGAAAACTAATATAGACTGTATGCTTTAACTTCATCCCCCACTTTTTTGTTGTTTCTATTTATATCTAATTTTACTATGTATTGATAAATTATTGTTATTTTTTATTATTGTTTAGTCTTTCTGTTTATGATGAGTAGTTTACAAACCACATTTACAGTGTTATAATATTCTGTGTTTTTCTGTGTACTTACCATTACCAGTGAGTTTTGTACATTCAGTTGATTACTTATTGTGCATTAACATCCTTTTATTTCTGATTGAAGTAACTACCTTTAGCATTTCTTCTAGGACAGGTCTGGTGTTGATTAATTCACTTAGGTTTTGTTTGTCTAGGAAAGTCTTCATTTCTGTTTTATTTTTGAAGGATATTTTCACAGGATATACTATTCTAGGGTAAAAGTTTTTTTTCTTTAACACTTTAAATATGTCATGCCACTCTCTCCTGGCCTGTAAGGTCTGCACTGAAAAGTCTGCTGTCAGACATGTGAGAGCTCTATTGTATGTTGTTTCTTTTCTTTTGCTGCTTTTAGGATCCCATCTTTACTCTTGATCTTTGGGAGTTTCATTTTAAATGTCTTGAGGTAGTCTTGCTTGGGTTAAATCTTCTTGTTGTTCTATAATCTTCTTGTACTTGGATGTTGATATCTTTCTCTAGGTTTGGGATCTCCTGCTCTACCTCCTCTTTAAGGCCAATAGCTCTGAGATTTGTCCTTTTGAGGCTATTTTCTAGATTCTGTAGAAGCACTCCATTGTTTATTATTTTTTATTTTGTTTCCTCTGTGTATTCTCAAACAGCCTGTCTTCAAGCTCACTAATTCTGTCTTCTGCTTGATCAATTCTGATATTAAAAAACTCTGATGCATTCATCAGTATGTCTGTTGCATTTTTCAGCTCCAGACTTTCTGCTTGATTCTTTTATATTATTTCAATCCCTTCATTAAATTTATCTGATGAAATTCTGAATTCCTTCTCTGTGTTATATTGAATTTCTTTCAGTTTCCTCAACACCACTATTTTGAATTATCTATCTGAAAAGTCACATCTTTGTTTCTCCAAGATTGTTCTCTGGTTGCTTATTTAGTTCATTTTGTGAGGCCATGGTTTCCTGGATGGTATTGATGTCAGTAGATGTTCTTCAGTATGTGGGCATTAAAGAGTTGGGTATGTCTTGTAGTCTTCACTGTCTGGGCTTGTTTGGACCCATCCTTTTTGGGAAGGCTTTCCAGATCTTTGAAAAGACTTGGGTGTTGTGAACTAAGCTGTGTCTGCTTTAGGGAGTACCTAAGCCCAGTAACACTGTGGTTCTTGCAGACTCATATAGGTACCATCTTGATGGTCTTGAACAAGATCCAGGGGGATTCTCTGGATTACCAGAAAGAGTCTCTTGTTCTTTTTTCACTTTCTCAAAAAAAAAAAGTATCTTTCTTTGTTATGAGCCACCTAAAGCTGGGAGCAGAGTGATACAAGCATCCCTATAGCCACCACATCTATGACTGCACTGGGTCAGACCTGAATCCACCACAGCACTGTGCCTCCCACAAAGCCTGCATTAACCATGCCCTATGTTTTTTCAAGGCCTTGGGGTTTTGCAGTTAGCAGGTGGCAAACCCAGTCAGGCCTATGTTCTTCCCTTCATGGCAGCAGGTTCCCCCATGCCCCAGATGGGTCTAGAAGTGCCATTTAAAGGTCAGGGGCTAGGGTCAAAAAGCTTAAAAGTCTGCCTGGTGTTCTACTGAACTGCAGCTGAGCTTGCACTCATACCACAAGATGCAGTTTTTCCTACTCTTCTTTCCCTTTTCCAAAGGCAGAGGAGCCTCCCCCATAACTACCACTATAACCCAGCCACAGAGAGTACTGACAGACTACCACCAATATTTCCTTAAGACCCAATGGCTCTTAAGTCAACTTGTAGGGAAGGCTGCCTGGCTTGGGACTCACCCCTTCAAGGCAGTGGGCTCCCTTTTGGCCAAGGGCAGGTGCACAGATAGGATCCAGGAGTCAAATCCTGAAATCAGGGATCCCAAAAGCCCACTTGGTGCTCTACCCCACTGTGGCTGTGCTGGTAACCTGAGATGCAAAATAAAGTCCCCTTTACTCTTCCCTCTGCTTTTCTCAAGCAGAAGGGGTATTGGCCCATAACCACCACAGCTGGTAATGTGCTATGTCTCACCTGAAGCCAACAACTCTCAGAGGCTCACCCAAAGCCCTCATCTTAATATCTGGGTATCACTGCTGGTTATTCATGGCCCAAGGGCTTTTCAGTTAACAGATAATGAATGCTGCCAGGACTGAGTCCTTTCCTTCAAGGAAGTGAGATTCCTTCTGGCCCAGGATGTGTCTAGAAATGTCATCCAAACTAGGGCCTGGGAACAGCGGCCTCGCAACTCTGACCAGTGTGATATACTGCTGTGGCTGAGCTGGTATCCAAGATGCAAGATGAAGTCCTCCCCACTCTTTCATCTTTTCTCTTCAAACAGAAGGAAGGGATCTCTTTTCAAGCCATGAGCTGTGCAGCCTGTAGTTAGGGGAAGGGTAATGCCAGCACTCCCCTAGCTGCCCCAGCTGGTGTCTTGGTAGGTCATGTGCCACTCTAGTCCACTGTCTCTGGGCCTAGTTCAGCAATAAGACTCACTGTGAGTTGCAGTCCTTATGGCCTAGACTGCCTTTCAAGTTTATATAGATCACAGAGCACTTTAGCTTGTGGTGGTGAGGTCTGTGGGAACTCAAGTTTGGACCACGGGGTTTGGTGATTTCCCTCTGGCTAGGGCTGATTAAAATGCCCCCTCCATGGGTGAGCAATAGCTGAGTTTGGTTCTATTTTCCTTTCTACTCTAACAGGACAGCACTAAGTTTAATGCCTCACAATTACTGTGTTCTCCCTCCCCAGCACCCAGAGTTGCTCTCTGTACCATGCCTCTACTGCTAAGGTTGGAGGGGGCTGAGGTTGGGGTGATGTTGACAATTCAAGACTGTTTTTCTCTATCTCTTCAATGCCTCTTTTAGTGATAATGGAGTTAAAACTAGGTACTATGAAGGCTCACCTGATTTTTGGTTCTCATGAAAGTGTTTCTTCCGTGTAGATAGATCCTAAATTGGTGGCCTGTGGAGAGGATATTTGGTGGAGTTTTCTATTCTGCCATCTTGCTCAGCCTCTCTTGCTTCTGATTCTTAAATGGAACCGGTATCTTTCTCAAAACACAATTCAGAGCTACATTTAAAATAATTAAGATGAGGCATGAGTAGACCTTCCAAGTTGCCAGTCATGTTCTATTCTTGACCTGGGTAAGGGTTACATAGGTGTAGTCATATTTTAATGATTCATTTGTGAGATATGCATTTTTTCATGTGTGTCACATTGCAATTTTAAAAGGTTATAAATGAAAAATAAATGGGATAGAATATAATGTTTTAAAAATAGATTTATACTGTTTATTCCATATATAATGTGAATTTTAATTGTGATAAAGGTCTTCTGGATGCCTTGACAAATACCTTCAGTTTTAAAAAGACCACAGGTCTTTAAAAACCTCTTGTGTTAGAGTTGATAATAGAATCCTCAAACACATTGCAAATTAAGGCTGATTCTGCCTGTTTTCCAGCCTTTGCAAACTTTTTGTTCTCATAGCTGTGTTACTTGACCTTATTTCCTGATGATAGTCTGTCAAAGTCTCTTAAACTTATTCCTAAGCAGGAGAGATTTAAGGAGCCTTAAACTAACATTTTGTGAGTCAGAATCAGGTTACTCTTGCTGTTAGTCTAGTTCTCATCGTGCACCCCAGTTCTGAAAATTTTACTTCTGTCTTGTTTCTGGGCTTCCGTTCTGACTTCATGACCTGCCACTTACTCTATTATTTGTAATGTAAACCCTGCTTTTCTCTGCTTCATTTTCCTCTGCTTGCCCAGTGTCTGACATCATCTACCTAAATCCTAGCTCAGTATTTGGTCTCTTCCTACCACTTGACAAACTTGACAAGCCCTCTTGATTCAATAGTTAGTGTTGGTAGGTTCCATGATATTATCTATCCCTATATTGCCTGTTGCCTTTTCTGCCAGCTTTCTCTCTCTCTCTCTCTCTCTCTCTCTCTCTATCTATATATATATATATACACACACACATATATATACACATACATATACATATATATATACATATACATACACACACACACACAAACAAACATATATATATATTATATGGGCTTCCATTACCTTTAACATCTATTGCTTTTTTCTGTTTCTACTTGTTGTCTCCTTTCAAATGGTCCTGTTCTTGGCATTTCTGTTTGTTGCATTGTGCTTCTTCCTAGGACCTACTGGATGCAGAATTTATGAAGAGAGAATATTAGAGATAGAAAAAATGCCAGAATAAATGTGTACAACCTTCACTTTTATAGAGGAGGAGACTGAGGCTCAGCTAAGTATTCAGTTGGATAGTTTTGTGTATTACAGTAACAGGATAATATTTTAAAAATACTTTCAGAAATGTTTTCCTTGCTCAAGAAGATGTCTCAATGTGTCAATCTGAAGACAGCTTCATAGATCTCTGCATTCCCCAATAAGGTGTGAAGAAAGCAGCCAGAACATCCAAATCCTCAAGCAGTTACAAACATTTCTAGAGCTCTGATGGTTTGGTAGAAACCTGATCTTGGGATAGAGAGGCCACATTTAGGGACAAGAGGCTTTTGCAAGGGCCATTGATTTTAGCAGTTGGTGCCAGTAAATGCCTAAATCATCAGATGAGACTAACCACATTTGAGTGGGTACCAACAATGGATGCTCAGTGACCATGAAGGGTGTGAAATATCTCAGTCCAACAAGTCCAACTCAGAGATATCTCTGAGTCCAACAAGGACTCAGAGGACTGCACGTGGAAGAGTCCCCTTCCTACCCAATGCCAGTTAATGTGTAAGCCTCTCATTTCTACCTTAAGAAGAAAAAGACAACAGAGGAAAGCCCTTGAAATAGTTTTTTTTTAAATAGATCTAATATGAAATTTGAACTTTAAATGAATTAAAGATTTAGTCAATAGGTTTAGAATGGATAAAACTGAATTACTGTTAGTGAGCTTAATATTTTTTCTTCTTTAACCAAAATGGTAATTTAAGAGCAAGTGGTGTGCAATTTCAAGAAAATAAATGTGTAATATTTTGTGTGTCAGCTTTGAAGGATATTTTTATAGGCTGGAAGAAAGGTTGAAGAGAATGGTGTGTGAGACTCTGGGGACCCACAAATAGTGAGTGCCCTAGGGAGATAGCAGAGGGGATGGAGTCACAAAAAATAACAGAAGACTTCCAGACCTGAATGGCTCACGTGGACAGGGACAGTAAGTCTCTTAGAACAGGGGAAGCCTGTGTGGACAGCTCGTCAATAACACATTACTTGGAACTATAGTTCTAGATGCAGGAATTGTGGCATAACTTAGGGTATCCTAAGATTATCTGAGATGGCTTTCTACTAGCCTAGTGAGAAAGGAGGCTAAGGTCAAATGTGGAGAACATTTAAAAATGGGATTTGATGTGTCCCTGTTTGTAAGTAGAAATTTATACCTGTGATTATTACCTAGCCATAATGACAAAGGAAGAAAGAGAAAGAAGGAAAGAAAGAAAAAGAGAAAGAGTAAGGCAGGCTTGTGTAGTTCCACATTTCTCTTGAGTTTTAATTGTCAAGTTGCTCCTCAAAATTCCACTTAAAATCTGATGCTTTCTGTTTCGGACCGAAACCTGTGGGAGCCTAACTATACAAAAGTGAAAACTCAAAATGGAGTCCCCAAATTTAAAAAGCAGCCCAGTGAAATCAGATCAAATAGAAGTCCATCTGGTTTGCCACTACATCATGCCTGCAGTTCCTCTCAGGTGTACAAATGCAGCTGAGTGGAAATGTGAATATTAATTGCTTGTATCTTGCCAGTCTCTTTGATTCCTCTGGGTGTTTGAAGAAAATAAAAATTGTACATATCTCTCAGGAATATAACCCATCTGGTTTGAGGGAAATGACATTATCTCTCAGCAGATGTAGAAGATTTTAAACTACAACTGCTGAAAAACTTAGGCAGAACACCTCTAATCAGACCCCAGAGGAAAGAAAGGGGCATGTTACCCAAGAAAGCTTTTGTCATCTCTTCATGTTGGGTACTGAGCTGAGGATATCCTGGCTTATGATGAAGACTGGGTGATTTCTGGACCAAATCATTACTCAGTCTTGTGAAGAAAAACCCACCACTTGTGTTTGCATTAGTTTGTAAGGAAAATCAAATACTCAAAAAACTAGTTCAGTGTTTATCAGAATCATTGGGGCAGTTTTTTCAAAATATGAATGCTAAACAGTAGATTTGCCAAGTCAGAACCTCTGAAGGTGGGAGACTGGCAGATATAGGGTAAAGACCTGCCTTGGGCAAAGGACAACAGAGATATACACAGCATTACTATGGATATCTCATTCTCATTCTCCATTATGCTTTTTTTTTTCTTTTTGAGACAGGGCCTTCTCTGTTGCCGAGGTTGGAGTGCAGTGGCATGATCATGGCTCACTGCAGCCCCATCCTCCTGGGCTCAAGAGATCCTCCCACCTCAGTCTCCCAAGTAGCTGAGACCACAGTTATGCACCACCATGCCCAGCTAATTTTTTAATTTTTGTAGAGACAAGTTCTCCCTATGTTGCCCAGGCTGTTCTCGAAGTCCTGGGCTCAAGCCATCCTCCTGCCTTGACCTTCCAAAGTGCTGGGATTACAGGCATGAGCCACTGCGCCCAGCCTTCTGTGATGTTTTATGGTTCCTCTGGCATCCACATCTATGGTTTCATTTCATCCTTCCCACAGTCATGTAAAGCAGGAAGAATGGGTGCCCAAGAATTTTATTAGTCTTTTTTTCTGGTTGATTTATGCCCTGGTTTCACCCCTGTAGTACATCCCCCACATTATGGTGAGACTAATCTATTTAACGTGTACATTTTATCAACTATTACTGCTCAATTATTTTTCTAAATGACTCCTCATTACCATTACCATAAATATCACTTTTCTCAAAGGACAAAAAATGTTAGTGATAATCTGGTCTCTGCAAACCAGACTTGTCTAATCTCTCATCCTCCCCTCATGGTATATGAAGCTTTAGCAATAGTGACTTGTCATTTACCCTGCATATGTCAGAAAGTCTTTAACAAACTCAGCCTCCAAGGTCTTCCTCCCAGCCTCTATGCCTGGTTAATCCTTACTCATTCGGTTACATTTCTGCCCAATGAATATTTTCTTTCAATTCATGGCTTAATCTCAGCAGACAGACTTACACGTTTATTTGTATATATTTCCCATGTTAGTACTGACACACTTTAACTTAGTTTCCTTTTTTTGGTCTGTATCTTTACTATAATTTAATTTCTTCTCGGGTAGGAATTGTGCCATTTAATCTTTGTATCACTATGCTGAGAACAGAGCCTGGAATATGAATGGAAGGATGAGTAAAGGAATTCCTATTTATGCTACCCAGTTTATCCCACCAGTTCTGTATGAGTTTTACCCAGCTCCTGCTGAGGTGACAAATCTCATGTAGGCACAGACTGACAGCACATGTCTTTCTCCTAGGGGGTCCTCTTCTTGCCCCTGAATGATCAGGGTCAGTGGGACCTGATTCCATCACACATGTGTAACCCAGAAGTGTGGGAGAGGCTAATACGCATAAAACAAATATTTGAACAATGAGGGATGGGAGCAGATGAATAAAAAGCTGAGAGCACAGTTCCAAGATGCAGGATTTTTTATGGGCACCTGAAAGATGATTACACCAGACTGAAGAATTCCTTATACTTGAAGACAATCAGCAATTAACTGAGTATTGTACCCTTATATTATCCTTTCTCCTACCCTCATCAACTCCTGCTTCTCCAGTTAAATGGTGCATATCCCAATCAAAGAATGGAACACAAGTTGTAGATGCAGGCTTTCCTTTCTGAGAAACCCAGGCTTAGACAGTTACAGACCTAGTGATCAGTAAAGAAAGAACTTAATGATGCCTCATAAATGTGTGTGTATAGACAATTAACAAAACATAACTAAGAAATTTTCAAACAAGCATTTATTTTTTAACATAATTATCGTACTTCTTGTTCTTCAATTTTGGGAAATACTTAGCCACAATATTGCAGAATGTTAATCCACAGTAGCCCATAAGAAGAGAATGGACATATACATTTTATTATTTTACTTATGTGATCAAGTGTCTCTAACAGAGTAGCCTCTTTTAGTTTTTCTAAGTAAAATCTTACATTGGAGGGTTTTAGGTATGGTCATTCTTTGCACTTGATTTTTACTTGTTTTTTATCTGGACAATCAGCACTGGAATATTTCCAAACATCTAGATGATCTCTTAAATACAGGCAAAATCATTGCATTTTTAACACTGATTGGTATGGTTTGGCTCTGTGTTCCCACCCAAATCTCATCTTGTAGCTCCTATAATTTCCCCACGTTGTGGGAGGGACCCAGTGGGAGACGACTGAATCATGGGGGTGGGTCTTTCCTGTGCTGTTCTCATGATAGTGAATGAGTCTCATGAGATCTGATGGTTTTAAAAATGGGAGTTTCTCTGTAAAAGCTCTCTCTTTGTCTGCTGCCATCCACATAATATGTGACTTGCTCCTCCTTGCATTCCACCATGATTGTGAGGCCTCCCCAGCCATATGGAATTCTAAGCCCAATAAACCTCTTTCTTTTGTAAATTGCCCAGTCTCAGTTATGTCTTTATCAGCAGCATGAAAACAGACTAATACAGTAAATTGGTACTGGGAGTGGAGTGTTGCTGAAAAGATACCCAAAAATGTAGAAGCAACTTTGGAACGGGGTAACAGGCAGAGGTTGGAACAGTTTGGAGGGCTCAGAAGAGGATAGAAAAATGTGGAAAAGTTTGGAACTTTCTAGAAACTTGTTGAATGGCTTTGACCAAAAGCCTGATAGTGATGTGGACAATAAGGTCCAGGCTGAGGTGGTCTCAGATGGAGTTGAGGAATTTGTTGGGAACTGGAGCAAATGTGGCTTTTGTTATGTTTTAGCAAAGAAACTGGTGGCGTTTTGCCCCTGCCCTAGAGATTTGTGGAACTTTGAATGTGAGAGAGATGATTTAGGGTATCTGGAAGAAGAAATTTCTTTTTTTTTTTTTGAGATAGAGTCTCACTCTGTCAGCCAGGCTGGAGTACAATGGTGCTATCTCGGCTCACTACAAACTCCACCTCCCAGGTTCAAGTGATTCTCCTGCCTCAGCCTCCCAAGCAGCTGGGATTACAGGTGCCCGCCACCACGCCCAGCTAATTTTTGTGTTTTTATGAGAAACAGGGTTTCACCAAGTTGGTCAGGCTGGTCTTGAACTTCTGACCTCGTGATCCACCTGCCTCGGCCTCCCAAAGTGCTGAGATTACAGGTGTGAGCAACCGTGCCTGGCCTGAAGAAGAAATTTCTAAGCAGCAAAGCATTTAAGAGGTGATTTGGGTGCTGTTAAAGGCATTCGGTTTTATAAGGGAAGTAGAGTATAAAAGTTCAGAAAATTTGCCGCTTGACAATATGATAGAAAAGAAAATCCCATTTTATGAGAAATTCAAGCCAGCTGCAGAAATTTGCATAAGTAATGAGGAGTTGAATGTTAATCACCAAGACAATGGGGAAAATGTATCCAGGGCATGTCAGAGGTGGCAGTCCCTCCCATCACAGACCCGGAAGCCTAGGAGGAAAAAATGGTTTCATGGGCCAGGCCCAGTGTCCCCATGTTATGTACAGCTTAGGCACTTGGTGCCCTGCATCCCAGTCACTCCAGCCAGGGCTGAAATGGGCCAATGTAAAGCTCAGGCCATAGCTTCAGATGGTACAAGCCCAAAGCCTTGGCAGCTTTTATGTGGTGTTGAGCCCGTGAGTGCACAGAAGTCAAGAATTAGGGTTTGGGAATGTCTGCCTAGATTTCAGAAGTATGGAAACGTTTGGATGCCCGGGCAGAAGTTTGCTGCAGGGGCAGGGCCCTTGTGGAGCACCTCTGCTAGGGTAGTGCAGAAGGGAAATATGGAGTTGAAGCCCCCACACAGAGTCCCTACTGGGGCACTGCATAATGGAGCAGTGAGAAGAGGGCTACTGTCCTCCAGACCCCAGAATGGTAGATCCATAGACAGCTTGCACCATGTGCCTGGAAAAGCCACAGACACTCAACAACAGCCCATTAAGGCAGCCAGGAAGGAAGCTGTACCCTGCAAAGCCGCATGGGCAGAGCTGCTCAAAGCCGTGGGAGCACCTCTTGTATCAGTGTGACCTGGATGTGAGATATGGAGTCAAAGGAGATCATTTTGGAGCTTTAAGATTTGACTGCCCTACTGGATTTCAGACTTGCATGGGGCCCATAGCCCCTTTGTTGTTTCCAATTTCTCCTATTTGGAATGCCTGTATTTACCCAATGCCTATATCCCCATTGTATCTAGGAAGTAATTAACTTGCTTTTGATTTTACAGGCTCATAGGCATAAGGGACTTGCCTTGTCTTGGATGAGACTTTGAACTTCAGACTGTAGACTTTTGAGTTAATGCTGAAATGAGTTAAAACTTTGGGGGACCGTTGGGCAGGCATGATTGGTTTTGAAATGTGAGAACATGAGATTTGGGAGGGGCCGGGGGAATGATATGGTTTGGCTGTGTCCCCACCCAAATCTCATCTTGTAGCTCCCACAATTTTGTTTTGTGGGAGGGACCTGGGGGGAGGTAATTGAATCATGGGGGCGGGTCTTTCTGTGCTATTCTTGTGATAGTGAATGGGTCTCACGAGATCTGATGGTTTTAAAAACAGGAGTTTCTCTGCACAAGCTCTCTTTTTGCCTGCTGCCATCCACGTAAGATGTGACTTGCTCCTCCTTGCCTTCATCCATGATTGTGAGGCTTCCTCAGGCATATGGAACTGTTAGTCCAATAAACCTTTTTCTTTTGTAAATTTCCCAGTCTCAGTTATGTCTTTGTCAGCAGCGTAAAAACAGACTAATACACCAGTTTTTTAGTTTTGGATCAGGTGCTTGCTGTTAGGTAGACATAGTTGAGTCCAAGAGCACTCCAAGGTAAAAACTCATAAAAAATCACCAGGGTAAGACTTGGGACTTAGATTATTTTTTTTTGGCTCTGGTGAGTTTGTATTTTTTCATGATGGTCATATCCTCATCTATATTAAAGTACAGCAGACTTAATTTGAGTATCTGGCAGTAGAGAAGGTCAGGCCCCAAAGAATGCAAAGTGACTTCTCAGCTACAACCTCAGCCCACCCAAAAGGTAGTCCTTCACAATCATTCACTTTTAGTAGGCAAATGTTTTTATTTGCTCTCAGATAAAATACTCCTAAGAGCTGGGCAGCTTCTTTATCAAAGACTGAAAGAATAGTGACTAGAAAAGGCAGATTAGAACAAAAGAAAAAAAGTTATTAGAGGTAACCAATATAATTGATAAAAATGAAATGGTTTCATGATTTCCTTATGCCAAAAAGCATAGAAAAGCTCTGTTATTATTTTATTTCCTGCTGTGATCTAAAATAGAAAGGTTAAAAGTGGCCTTAACTACATTAGGATAGTTTTGTTTTGTGTCTGGGAATGCTGAAAAAAACCCAACATGTTTTGATTTCATATTGTCTGAAATGCGCCAAAGAAAAATTAGGTAAACCACACAATCTGGGTTGTTTGTCAGGCAGGTGATAGGCTAACATTTGCCAACTGCCTATGGCGCCGGAAGCATGAAGTGTAGTGGGCATGTCAGTGTCCCTGACGACCTCTGTTTTACAGAATGCTCTTGCACTAGAGATTTAGAATGATCTATACTTAAATTCCTGGGATATTTCATATGCCTGGTGATTTGACATTCACTCATTCTCAGGAACGAGTGGTTCACAGCATCGTCTAGTCAGATAGCTAAGGTATGATTCCCTGGTGGGCACTGTTGGCCTCTCCTTTATTTCTTCAGGCAGCATCTATTGGCACATTCCACGGATGGCAACCAGTTAGTTGCTCTGGCATAAATTACTTCCTGCTGAAACTTTTCAATTATCAGATACATTAAAATACTCTTTCTCTAGTTTCCAGTAGCAAGTTAGAATTTTCTTCATTTTACTGATTAATTTATCTTTGGGGAACTTTGAGAATGGATGAATCAAAATTGTATGCTTTGCACCCTATTTTGGATAAAACAGAACCCATTTAAAGTATATATTACATATTTTAATATCTGATTAAAGTACAGCAGACTTAATTTGAGTATCTGGCAGTAGAGAAGGTCAAGTTATTCAAATAAGTTGAATAAAGATTTATATTGAATATAAAAGAAACCATTACATCATGCTAATTAACACTGTTTACAAAATTCTTTTAAAACTTGTTGGCAAAAACTTTTCTTATGAGGTAGAAAATTCATCTACGTTTCCCACTAAACCAAGAGTAATGTCCCCTCTTCCCCTTTCTCCCTTCCTCTCTTCCTCTGGCTTTCTTTCTGTGCTCTCCAATGCTAATCTCTTGTTTATTAGAACTAAACATCTCCAATGTCTAAATTTTGTCTAGATCTCATTTCTACATCATTTAAGCAGCAATTCTGTAGGTTGTATGGTTACATTTTGCCAATAAAGAGCTTTGTTTGATTAAAATGATGGCTCCATGTCTGATTTTCTTGAATTCAATTTACTAGATACAGTGGGAACTTGTTATATTCTCTCTATATCCAGCCTTCTTGGAGTACCATTACTATATTTGGGGAATTTCCAGTCAAATAGAACTTTTCCAGTCTCCCCAGTTTCCTTTGCATCCAGTTCCCACGCATGTGTCCTGGGCGTCACCTGCTAAATACTTCACTCCCATGGACTAAATTGTATTTCCCCCTCCCCCAAATTCATACATTAAAGCCCTAATTCCCAATGTAACTGTATTTGAAACAGGATCTTTAGGAAGTAATTAAGGTAAAGTGAGGTCATAAAAGTGGGGCCCTGAGTATCTGAGAAGACTGTGGCTATATAAGAAGAGGAAGATATATATATATAAGATATATATATATGAGACACATTTGCAAATTGTTTCAACTTTTTCACTACTTTAAATGCAGTCTATCATCTAATCCTCAAAACAGCTTTGAATTAAATAGTATAGTCATTCTTACGTTCATTTTTAAAATGAAGAATGAGAAGCACTGAAAGTTTTCAGAGATTAGTAATAAATTTGAAAAGTTACAGAATTCTAGTTAGAAAGGAAAAAGGACTCAGGCCTCCTGAACATACATCATACAATATATGTTCATATATTTCCTCCCTTTACCATTATATGGTTTTACTTTTGAGTTTTACGGAGCCTTCTAGAAATGACTATTACTTTTTATATTCATAAAGACTCTTGTTTCCTTTCATTTCTACCACATTACACTGTTCTCATTCTCCAAAAATTAGCTCAGATCACATTCTCCTAAAGATTTTTCAGTTTAAATTTTCACTCTGCTTATGCTTAACCTGATCATCCTTTTATTTATTAGCAGTTTTGTATTTAGTTTAATTCCATCCTTTGCAAGCGTTATTTATAGTACAAGTATAATAATAACTTTTGGAGAGCTGAATTTACATTCATTAATTATTCAGACTAGGTAGGCTAATATTCACAAAAATATTATCTCATTGATACTTTTATGTTTTGGAAGTCCTGCTTTTTCAGCTTCCTGTCTGTCAGCTTTGATCACTGATTTCTTTGCTAGTATGTGAAATTCTAATGATCGCATCTTGGATACAATTTATATAGATGAATAAATATCATTTTGATTGTCACATCAAATAATTTGATAGTTGTATAGTATGATGGTAGGCATATATCCTTAGGATAATAAAGATATTATAAAATAGCAGATAGGTAAGATATTTGTTTGACTTCTTTTTCTCTCACACTCCACACAAATCCATCACCAGGTCCTCTGGCTCTATCTGCTTAATGTGTTTGTCACTTGTGGTCCTAGCAGGAAGCAGACAGCACATTCATTTTAGAATAATTTGAGGGAGTGTTTAATAAAAAAGCTTTTTTAATAAAGGTCTGGGCAGGGTATTTGGGAAACACAGAGCTAGTGTAGTACCCTGAGGGGAATAACAACCCAAGGACTGAAGGGGCCAGGGGAGGAGCAGTTACCACAGACTGGAAGGAGAGAGTCCTAGGGAGGGGGCTGCTTTGGAGGAACCTGTGGGGATGGATGAGGCAAATCCAGAGCAAGTCCTCTGGAGGGAATCGGGAATGAGTAGCTCTCTTCTGTCAACCTGATACCAGCATGGAATGAGTAGACACAGTCCACACAAGTCAGCCTTTAAAGGGAGACGGATGGAGATGCATCTGGAGAGTCAATGGAATATATCAGGCACAATATCCAAATCCGATTACTATTCAGCACCTTCATGGTAATCACCTTGGAAGAAACAGTCCTCATATTTTTCCTAAGCTATTGCAATACCTTCCTTACTCCTCTAATTTATTTCCTCTTCAACCTATTACATATTTTCCACAAGCAGCCAGAGTGATTTACAATCTCTCCATTAACAAAGACACATCTTTTCTTAAAACTCTTCAATGGCTCCCAGATTATGAGCATTAAGTGCAAAGTCCTTATCATGAATGGCTGAATATGATCTAGCTTGCCAATCATCTTTCCTGTTATCTCCTATTTAATACAGTTTCACCTATCTCTTTTACCCCAAATCTCCAGCCACACTGTATTAGTTTGCTGTTGCTGCTATAACACAGTACCTTACACTTAATGGCTTAAGTAACACAAATGTATTACTTTACATTTATGGAGATCAGAATTTTAATATCAAGGTGTTGACAGGGCTGTGATACTCATGAAAGCTTTGGGAGAGAATCTATGTCCTTACCTTCTTCATATTCTGGAGGCCACCTACATTCCTAGGCTCACAGCCCCTTCCTCCAATTTCAAAGCCAGCATCTTAGCATGTTCTCACCTCTCTGATCTCCTGCCTGCCTTTTATACAGACTCTTGTGATTAAAATGGGCACACATGGATAATTTAAAATAATCATCCCATCTAACTATCACTACGGTCGGTGTTTTCATTTTTGCCATTCTGATCGATAAAGTAGTATTTCATTTATTTTGCTTTATTTTTATTTTTATTTTTTTTTGAGATGGAGTCTCACTCTGTCCCCAGGCTGGAGTGCAGCGGCATGATCTCCACTCACTGCAAGCTCCGCCTTCTGAGTTCACACCATTCTCCTGCCTCAGCCTCCCAAGTAACTGGGACTACAGGTGCATGCCACCATGCCTGGCTAATTTTTGTATTTTTAGTAGAGATGAGGTTTCACCGTGTTAGCCAGGATGGTCTCCATCTCCTGACCTCGTGATCCACCTGCCTCAGCCTCCCAAAGTGCTGGGATTACAGGCGTGAGCCACGGCCCAGCCAGTCTATTTTGCATTTTTTTTATTTTCAATTTTGAGTGAGTGTTTTAAGATTTTTTGAGTTTTATAATTCTTTTTTTAATACCCTGGTGTTAAGAATGAATAAATCTTTCACGTTTTTAAAATACTTCTTTTTCTGTGACCTGTTTTTAACATTCATTAATTTTTTTTATCAATTTACTCATCTTTTTACTGATTAGTATGTGATTTTCATATGCTAACAGAATTAGTCTTTTGTCTGCAGTAGGTATTTCAAATATTTTTTAATTTATTATCTTTCAAGCTTTTTTGTGTGTTCAAGAATTTTCTGGGTATTTTTTTGTTTGTTTGTTTGGTTGTTTGTTTGTTTGTTTGTTTTTTGAGATGGAGTTTCGCTCTTGTTACCCAGGCTGCTGGAGTGCAATGGCACCTCAGCTCACTGCAACGTCTGCCTCTCTGGTTCAAGGGATTCTCCTGCCTCAGCCTCCCAAGTAGCTGGGATTATAGGCACCTGCCACCATGCCCAGCTAATTTTTTATATTTTTAGTAGAGACAGAGTTTCACCATTTTTGTCAGGCTGGTCTCGAACTCCTGACCTCAGGTGATACACCTGCCTCGGCCTCCTAAAGTGCTGAGATTACAGGCATGAGCCACCATACCTGGACGAATTTTCTTTTTTTATAGCATAAAAATTCAGTTTTCTCTTTAATGTTTGAATATTTCCTTGCATGCTTAAAAAGACTTCATTTAATTTTTTTGTAAAGTCGAGGTCTCCCTGTGTTGTCAAGTCTGGTCTTGAACTCCTGGGTTCAAGCTATCCTTTCACCTTGGTCTCCCAAAGTGTTGGGATTACAGGTGTGAGCCACCACACCCAGCCAAAAATTACTTCATTCTTGAACATTTTTATATTACCTTAAAAGTGTCTTCTAGGACTTTAAAATTATTTTTACATTTAAATTATTGACTCACAAGGGAGTCAGAAAAAAATGAAGACACAGAATTTTATTTTTTCAAATAACTAAGTAGCCCTCTCATATATTGAAATATCCATCTTTCTCCCACATATACCCCACTCAATTCCCTTAAGTTCTTGGGCCCATTTGGGACCACATATTCTGTGATGTTGATCTTTCTCTTTAATCTTATGTCTGTAGCTTATGAGTGTTTCCCTTACCTCTTCACTCAAACATCACCTGTCTTTCTCAGAACAGTGTTTTCCTGAGGCACTCGCTAATGCTTTTCTCCTCCTCCAGCCTCATGCTCCAAACCTGGAGATGGAATAAGTGTTTTTCATATTCCTCATTACTGCTTCTACAACTCTTCTTTCTAAAAATACCCAACTTTAAAGTCTCAAGTTTTCAAACTGATTTTTGAGTCACTTCCACTCCATCTTTGAAGTTCTTAACTCTCTCTCCTCCATATTCCTGTTATGATCTTGGCCATTTTAATATTTATGTAGCTAATCTCTGTTTCTGCATCTTCTCTTCACCAGTGAGCTTATCTTTCATGCTATCCCACTAACTCCCACAATCATGTTCTGATCGTTTTCATGCCCACGACAGCAACATTTCTTGATCCTCACTTCTTAGTTCATAGACTTCCTCTTCCCAGTAATCTTCCTTTACACCATACATGAATCATTCATTCTTATGGTCATTTGCTAGCCTGGGCAGTACCAATGATAGTGATCCCTTCTTTGTCTCAATTTAAACATTCCACTCTTCAAATATCACCCACTATCTTTCTAGTTTACTCCCTTTAGTACCCCATCTCTAAAGCTTTTTCAGAATCTCACTTGTACTTAGAATTCATTAATTATATGTTTTTTCACTGTCTTTCTACCTCCCATGATACTGCATCTTCTTACTCAAACATTGTAATGACTCCTTTGCATACATTCTCTCTGTTTATCATATTCTTGCAAAGCCTGATTAACTCCAACTCTCCATCTATTCTGCCCCTGCACAGGTACGATTGAACCTAGCTGGAGAAAGGACACAACCACTCTAACTGGTCTCTTTGAAATTCGTGATTACAGATCTCATATGGGCCCTTAATGCTGCCTAGAAATCACAGGACATTTCCTCGGTTAATTCAGATTCCCGCTTTCCTAGATGACTCTTTCATTCTTTCTCTTTTCTCCTCAAATACCCCAAAACATTTCCCTGCATTCTCACTCTCAGCTAATGACCTTTGTTTCATAGTTCAACAAGAAAATAGAAGCAGTCAGAAGAGAAATTCCATAATTCTACCACCACCTTGATTCACTTACCTACAGCACATCCTCTGCCTTTTCTCCTGGTTCTGTAGATGAATGTCCCATGTTCCTAACAAAATCTAAATCCTCCACTTATGTAGGCCCTGTGGCCATTCCTTTCTAGTTTCCCTTACTGATTTTACTTAATTCCCTCAGCCTTTAAGTATCATATTACCCGGGACTAATCCTTGGATCTCTTCTTTCTCTCTCTCTCTTTTTTTTTTCTATCCACACTCATCACTTGGTGATTTCACTGGATTTCTTGGCTTTCAAATATTGTCTACTTGGGCATAACCCCCAAAATTATATATCCAACTCATAACTTTTCTCTAGACATCATATTAGTATGTCCAACTACCCCTATGAAGGTGGGTAATTTCATTTCTCCCTTGTTGCTTGTGCCAACTGCTGAGGCACATCTGTACAATTGTAGTACTTTGAAGAATCACCCTTTGAAAGCAACTTCTATAATTAGTAAAAGATTTTTGACTAGGTGAGGATGAAAACGTAGTATCTTAGAACTCCCAAACCTAACAAATATTAAACTGCTTATACTTTAAAAATAAGCTTATTTGTTATTATTTAATGACTTTGCATGCCATTTCTAGCTGAGATGAGCACTGGGGTTTGGCAATGCTGTTTTGTATGGATATTCTCCATTTACTTTTTTAGAATTATTGGAAGCTTAGAAATTATTGAAGAGTATTAAGCCTTTAAATTGACACAGACATAGCCAGTAACAAAAACTTCATATACTACTTACATATTTTAAAGAATACTTTAAAAAGTATTTAATTCTACTTCAATCTCTTTATATTCAACAAAGAGAAAGCTTCAGGGGAAAGTGTCAAACCACAGTAGAAAACCAGCCCAAGTAGTTGCAAAGAAATGAGGTTTTTTTAGCATATGTTGAAAGTTATTTTTGACATATTTATAAATAAGCTCATCTCACATTTCCTTCACTTAATAACGATTTTTTCCTTCAGCAGAGTTTTCTGGTTTTATACATCATTTAAATTTGTTAACTTCTTTTTTACTTTTAGAAAAAACTGTGTGGAAATATTATTATTTAATTTCTATACTCATTATAATAGCTTAAAGTGTAACTCTATCTCTTTGAAAAAGCTATTTGTCACTACAGTGTTTATTTGAATATAAGTTTGATTCATTTTATATAACTGCCAAGGATCAACTGTCATGATCTCCTATAAGACCCAAAACATGTCAACCAGAACATGTCCATGTTTGAAATTATCAGAAATGATTAGCCAACATGATGGAATTACTTGGTAACATTCCAGCAATCCATCAGATTGTTTCATAGAAAAGAAGGATTCAAGAATAAAAGAACTTGTAATCATAGTAGTAGACATCTGTAGTAATTCTCTAATTTAGAATAGAGATTATTTTTATAACATAAATAAGTTCTGTGTCTGTTGGAATAAATAACCCTTTCATCAATTTTAAAATTAAAAGAGAAATAATAAAACACAGAGTAAATAAATGAAATGTGTGTACCAATTATCTAAGTTACCTTCACGTCAATCTCTTGTTGATAGCTACGTATGAAGCACCCATTACATCCCAGAAAGTATGAGAGGTTCTGGGGGAATAAAGATGTCCCAGACAGGATTAATCCAAACCTTAATGAAGCTTAAAGAGAAAGACACAAAATGAACTGTTACAGATATGATGAGTGCCATCTGAGACACATGTTCACAAAGATCAAATTTGGTCTATAAAGACTCCCTTGAAAATTTTTACTGAAGCTCGAAGGAATGATGGGCGAGAGGCTAAAAAGAAAGAAAGAGAACATTTCTTGCATATTCTCTGAGGCAGGAGAGACCTTCTCTTATTCTGGATATGCAGAGATGTCCAGTACAACTGCATAAAATAAAGGAAGTTAGACTGTACGAGACAAAGCTAGAGGAGTTAGCAGGAACCAGGGAGCCATGTTATTTTATACAAAACCATAGAACAATTTATTTATTTATCATTTTTTCTTTATCTGCCAATTAAATATTTTTAAATTAAAGACATAGATAAATAAATTAGGGAAAAACCTGTCCATGTTGTACAATGTGCTGATTTGATATATGTATACATTGTGTAACAATGATCACAGTACATTAATTAACACATCCATCATTACCTATGCTGTACATTGGATACACAGAACTTGTCCGTCTCATAACTGGAACTTTGTACCCTTTGACCAAATCTCCCTATTTCTCCCAGCCCCTAGCCCCTGGAACCTATCATTCTACTCTCTACTTTTATTAGTTTGATTATTTTAAATTCCACAAATAAGGGAGATCAAACAGCATTTGTCTTTTTATGTCTGGCTTATTTCACTTAGCATAATATCCTCCTTGTTCATTTATGTTTTCACAAATGGCACAATTTTCTTCTTTTTAATGATGAGTAATATTCCATTGTATATATATATGTACCACAGACTCTTTGTCCATTCACCTACCAACAGACAGATTGTTTCCTTATCTTGGCTTTTGTGAATAACGCTGCAGTGAACATGGAGGTACACATATGTCTTGAAGATACTGATTTTATTTCCTTTAAAAGTGGGATTGCTGGATCATATGGTAATTGTATTTTTAATTTTTAAATTTTAATTGTATTTTAAATTTTAATTTTAATTATATTTTTAATTGTAATTTTAATGTTTTAATATTGTTTTCCATATTGGGTGTACCACTTTACATTTCCACCAACAGTATACAAGGCTGAAAGCCACAGAATAGTTTTAAGTAGGGAATGAGACATAAAAAGATTTGCATTTTAAAAGATCCTTTTAACTGCTTGAGAAAAAATAATTATCAAAAGGGCAATGGCAGCAGAGAAGAAGAGAGATGATTGGGGTTCAAACTTTTTAGAAGTTAGCCTCTATTAGATTTCGCGAATAAGCAGAGGTAAAGAGTGATGGAGAAGAAGAGGACATCAGTGAATCTTGCATTGTGAGCATGACCAAGTATGTAGTAGACCAAGATAGGAAAGTCAGAGAAAGGAGCAGATGTGGGTGCTGGAAAATAAAGAATTCACATGTGTGAGTCTATAGCTAAGATGACAATTTGAGTGTGGAAATATACATTTGGGGACCATAAACATCTGGATGGCATGTAAAATGATAACGGGGGTAAGATGGCCTGGGAAAGAGAAAAATTTAAGGAGATAGAGCATGACATTTCTCGGTAGAGTGGAGATAATTAGTGTGAAAGCCTAAGATGGAACGTAAGCCTGGAAAAGTCAGAACTCACTTATAAAGAGGAGAGTAAGACTAGGAGTTGAGAAACATTGGTGAGAGGACACTACGTTGAGAGGTTTTATTTTTGTGTTTTTCTCAGAACAGTGGCAACCACAATACTTAGCATTTGTTTTTCCTTTTCTCCTCTGAGACTATAAATCCATTTGTTTACTGCTGAGTAGCTGAAATAGCCACTAAAGCCAGATGTACCTATATGTCTTTGTCATAGTGTAGAGAATGAAGGGTCATGGTGACAAAGATGAGTGTGAACTGCCCCATATTTACAACAATTGACAATAGAAAGATAAAAGCCAAATGTGTTCAAAGGTAATCAAGGATTGCAATGTTAGTATCAGACAATGCTGTGAACACAAGGTAAAGCTTTAAAGGAGACAAACCAGGATGCTTTAAAAAAGTTGAAAAATGATCTAACCTACAAGGAATGTATAAGTGCCATGAGTCTTTGTATACTACTAATGTGCTATCATAATATATTAAAATTAAAATAGGTAGACAAATAGACATTCACATATCTCTCATTTGGTGACAGATAAACACACACAATGAGTAAGGATAAGGATGATTAATAAGTTGGTCTTATACCTCTATATTTCAGACTCTGACTTGCTGACAGAATATCCCTTCAATTTAATCAACCCACAGAGCAAACACATATACACACACATATTTCTTTTTTGGAAGATATACATATATATATTTCTTTATAAATACGTATACATACATATGTGAATTGTTCTTTTTAGGAGATAGGTGCACATACATACCTTGAAAAGCATAATAATTTTCATAATTTGTAATGGGGTACAGGCCATATGCTCTGAGCTAAGTACACTGAAACAAAAAATTGCTAGTCAGATTAGGAAAGCAACACAAAACAATCAGTTAGAAATGGAAGGTAGACAAAATGGTTAAATCTTAAGAGATAGGAATTACCATTCTCTAAAACATAAAAGTCATAAAAGCATCAACATCATGCAATCTACATGCTATTATTAAAATTGTACTAAAAATTCATTAGACATTTGTTACTAAATAAAAAAATGTAAAAATAATTAATTCAAATAAATCAAAGTTGAACAAATATTTAAGAGACTTAAGAAAAATAGGTAGAGGAGATAAAAATTTTTAAATGTTAATAAGATAAACAGAAAAAAGTACAACTAAGAACTCTATCTAAAAGCTAGTTCTTTCCAGAGAGAGGTAAACTACTTTCTATCCTTTTTTAAAGTAACCTAACACAATTTAGTCCTTTTTGATACATAAAGGTAGCTCCCAAAATAGTTACATGTGACAGATAAAAATTGGCTTCTAAAGCCTCATTATCAGTTATCAATGACAAATCTCAGACCAAAATTTGTCATGAATATCAACATTTATTAAAAAGTCATTTTTTAAAAAAGCTGGCACAGAACTTTCCCAACATTTTAGAGTCTAAAGGTGATGAAGTTTCGTGTGCATTTAAGAAGAATGTGTATTCTGCTATTGTTGAATGGAGTGATTTATATATGTCTATTTGGTCTGGTTGGTTGACAGTGTTGTTCAAGTCCTCTATTTTTTATTGATCTTCGTGTAGGTATTCATTATTTTAAAAAGTCTCTAACTATTAATATACAACTATTTTTCCCTTTAATTCTGTCAATGTTTGCTTTCTGTATTTTGGGGCTCTTTCTATGTTGTTTGGTGCTTATGTTTATAATTGTTACATTATCTTGATGTATAGACCCCTTTATCAATACATAATATCTTTGTTCCTTGCAGCAGTTTTTAACTGAAAGTCTGTTTTGTCTGACATTAGTATAGCCACTCAAACTCTCTTTTTGTTATATTTGCATGGGCTACATTTTTTCATCCTGTCACTTTCAATCTACATGTGTCATTGAATCTAAAATGAGTCTCTTGTAGACAGCACATAGTTGGATTGTGGTTTTAAAAATCTGTTCTGCTAATCCCTCACTTTTGATTGTAGAGTTTATTCCATTTACATTTAAAGCAGTTACTGACAAGGAAGCACTTACTTCTGCCATTTTGACATATATTTTTAGTATGTCATACTTTTATTGTTCTTAATTTTCTTCTTTATTGCCTTCGTTTGTGTTTAACTCTTTGTGGTTTACCAATTTGATTCACACTCATCTGCCATTTTGACATCTGTTTTTAATATGTCATACTTTTATTTTTAATTTTCTTCATTACTGCCTTTTGCGTTTAATTAGCTGTTTGTGGTGTACCAATTTGATTCACTCTTATTTTCTTTTATGTATTTTTAACAAATATTTTCTTAGTAGTTGCCATAAGAATTACTTTTAATACACTAAATATATAACAATCTATTTTGAATTGATGACAACCTAAGTAGCATATAAAAATTCTGCTACTATAATATATAGCCTCATCACCCCTTTATATTGTTATTGTCAATTATGTCTTTACTTACTCTGTATATATTAACATACACTTATAATAATTATATTATGCATTTGTCTTTTAATTAAAGTAGGAAATACAAAGAGAAATTACAAACCAAAATACAATAATGCTGGCTTTTATATTTACCTATGAAGCTACCTTTGCTCTTTATTACTTTGTATTCCTTTGAGCTAATTTGTAGTGTTCTTTCATTTCTGTCTGTCAATCATGTTTTTTATTTTTTTTATTTTTTTATAGGGTTTTTTAAATTATTGTTATACTTTAAGTTTTAGGGTACATGTGCACAATGTGCAGGTTAGTTACATATGTATACATGTGCCATGCTGGTGTGCTGCACCCATTAACTCGTCATTTAGCATTAGGTATATCTCCTAATGCTATCCCTCCCCCCTCCCCCCACCCCACAACAGTCCCCAGAGTGTGATGTTCCCCTTCCTGTGTCCATGTGTTCTCATTGTGCTCTCTTGTAGCATTTCTTGTAGGGCAGGCCCATTAGTGATGAAGTCTCTCAGCTTTTGTTTATTCAAGAATGTTTTAATTTCTCCTTCATTCTTTAGGAATAATTTTTCTAACTATAGATTCTTGGGTGGATTTTTTTTAATTTTTTTTTTTTTTTTTGGTCAGCATTTTTAAAATGTCATCTCATTATCTTCTGGTCACCATGATTTCTGAAGAGAAATCAAGAAATCTGCTATTAATTTTACTGATGATACCTTGTATAAGTTGAGCCATGTTTCCTGTTGCTTTTAATATTTTGTTTTTGTCCCTGACTTTTGACAATTTGGTTATAATCAATCTCTTTGTATTTCTCCTTCTTGGAGTTAATTGAGAGTCTTGAATGTGAAGATTTAAGTATTTTATTAAATTCGGGAAATTTTCAGCCATTGTTTCTTCAAATATTTTTTCTACCTCTTTTTCTTTTTTCTCTCCCTTTGAGATCCCTAATAAGCATACTTTAGCTTGACAATATCCCATAAGTCTTTTAGGCTCTGTTTATTTTTCGTCATACTCTTTCTGCTTTTTAGTCCGGACAATTTCAATTGACTTATCTTCAAGTTTTCATACTTTCTTTCCTGCCTGCTGAATATATTTTTGAAGCCTTCTAGAGAGTTTTGAAATTTCAGCTATTATATTTTTCATCTTCATAATTTCTATATGGGAGCAAGATGGCCAACTAGAATCCCCTAACACTTGTCCTCCTCCATAAAGATAGCCAAAATTTTGAAAAAATAAAAATAAAAAAAGAACCACATTGTGGTGAAAATAACTAAAGGAGAGTGCCAGAGTATATACAAAAAGTGACAGAAGCACTAGTGAGCACAGAAACTCAGGATAGCCTCATAAACAATGAAAGGAAACACCTGGATGCCACCACCTACCCTATCCTCCAGTCAGGATCAGCAGCAGGGAAGAGGTAAGCAAGAGGACCCCAGCATCCTTCATCCACCACCTTGGACACTTACAGTTTTCAAGACTGGGGAACCCTGCAGTCCTCATGGGCACTAAACCCAACTGAGGGAGCTTCCTAGAGTCCACACAGCTGTGCTCTCTCCAGAGAAAGAGCTGACACTGTGCCCACTCCCTGTCCCCCATCTAGCTATTACACTATGTTATCTTGAAACTGGAAATACTGCTGAAGTGTGTCTTGGCTCTGTGAAATGGAATAGCCACAACACCCTTTTATCCCTAAGGCTAAGCTGCCATGGAACCACCTCTCCCCAACAGTGGTCCAGCATCCCCAAACTGAACTGTGAGCAGCTGATGGAGTTGCTCCACCTACTCCTCCCAGTTGCTTCTAAGCCTTGCACCTGGGGACTGGAGCTAAAACTGAGAATTCCTTTCTGAGGAAACAGTGCTTTCTCAGTGCTGCTCCATCTACCTCTTTCAGTCACTCCTGCACCCTGCCTCTTGGGACCTGAGCTAAAGCTGCCCACTTTCTCATGGGGAAATGGTGCACTGGCAGAGCTGCCCCATCTACCATTCCCACTCACTGCTGTGCCCTCCCCCTAGGGTCCTGAATTGAAGCCTCACACACTGCCTCTCATGGAAGCAGTACCTTAGTAGAGCAGTTCCAAAAAACCCTGCCAGTCACTGCTGTGACCTGCTCCACAGGACTCAACCTGAAATTGGACATCGCCTCCCAGGAAAATGGTGCTTTAATGGAGCAGCTCCACATACATCTTCCAGTCACTCCTACAGCCTTCCCCACTATGCCAGAGCTAAAGCAATAACTGGCATCCCAGGGAAATGATGCATTGACTGCCAGAGCAGTTATATTCCCAGTGCCTGGGCTGAAGCAGTCCCCTGTCTCCTGGGAAAATAGTACCTTGGCTGCCTGCAAGAGTAATGCTTCCCTGGTGCATAAGTTAAAGCAGCACCCTGCCTCTCAGGAAAGGGTGCCTTGGCCATTCAGAGCAGACAAGCACCCCAATACTTAAGTTGAAGTGGCATCCTGCATCTCAGAGTAATGATCCCTGGACT
Source organism: Homo sapiens (assembly GCF_000001405.40). Classification (NCBI taxonomy): domain Eukaryota; kingdom Metazoa; phylum Chordata; class Mammalia; order Primates; family Hominidae; genus Homo; species Homo sapiens. The sequence goes on along the minus strand of NC_000017.11, from coordinate 54,554,544 downwards.
GCCAAGAGCTGTCAGTCCCCCAGGTTAGAGCAGAAACAGTGCATTGCCTCCTAAGAAATCAGCGCCTTAGCCAAGGTGAGCAGCTGTGCGTCCCACACTATAGCTGAGACACCTTCACTGCATGCCAAACAAGTAAGTTCCTTGCTTACCTGGACAGGATTAGCCCTCTGTATCTAAGATGCTGAGACACACTTCTCTCTGGGAAGTGAAATAATTACTGTGCTGCTACCTGTCTCCCAGGACCCAAACAATAGCTGTGCTCTGCCATTCTGGGGTCCTTGCTGCTATTGCACCTGGTCTCACAGAGTCTGGATTGCCAAGTCCTACTATTCCAGGGTCTAGAGTCATCACTACACAGTGCCTCATGTCTTGGGACCCAAGTTGCCTCTGAACCAAACTGGATCTGGCTCTTGAATTGCAGCCATAACCTGCTCCGCAGGCCCAAACCTCCAGAGCACTCCTTCTCCAGATCTGGGTCAATGTTGTGCCTTACCCACTATGGTCAGAATCACAGCTACAACCCAGCCTTCTGGTCCTAAGCTGCTAAAAAGGGGATGCCTCAGAGTCACAGATCCTAGATCCACAGACATTATACATCCAACCCTGCTACAGAGAGTTAACCTGCACCCCACGATCCAGGTGCTACAAAGCTTCATTGGACCCTGGACCTAGGATCTTGGCTCCACAGCCACTCTGAGCTTTTGCACCTGAAATCCAGTGCCACTGCAGATGCTTGTAAGTTGTGTCATATTTGAAAATAAGGGGGATTCCCTCTGCTAAGTCTCTTCATTATGGGGAAAATAAAAATAAGAGAACTTCAAAAGCTCTTGACACTGAGAAACTTAACCAACTACACCACTGCCACCACTGCTGCTGCTGCCACTGCCACAAACTTCCACAGTCTAGGTCACTGAGACACTCACAGTTATCACTGACATTGATCACAATTGAAGAAGCTGCATGAAGACTATATCACTACATCTATTTGGAACAAGAGTCATCACATTCTTCCCAATCAACACACTAAGACCCACCTGCAGTTGAAGGTCTTTTTCTTCAAAAGCCACTCTGTAAAGTTTGGAAGAGGCAATTGTCCCACCAAATGCACTGGCATTAACGTGTTAGAGCAGGCAGATAGCTAGACACAAGCAGGAGTGGGGAGTCCATGAGAAAAGAGAGGTCTGGAAAACTTCACACCCCAGAGATCACCCAAACCATGCATACTAGATATGAGCAGAGAGGAGGCAAAACACCTATACAGAAAGGAATGCCCCTTAAGATGCCTAATGATTATTCACTCTGCATTTCAAATGTCACGATGTTGCTAGGTGCATGCTGATAAGGAGGAAAGAGGGCAAAAGAAAAATTCCTAAGAGATACACATGTGCAGTAAGTATAGATTTCACCACTATACAACCTTCTTGGGCTGGTGGTAATGAGCAATGCAGCCATTAGGTAGAATTCGTATCCCACGCTGGGTCTGTACATGCACATCAACTGACAGTGAGGATAATCTCATAAACCTGGGGTGGAAACCAGGTGGGGAAAATGTGGGGACTTAAGGCCAAAGTGGAAAAACTAGATACAGAAAAAAGAGAAAAAAGGCAGAGACTTGAGACAGAAGCAGAAGCTTCAAGAAAAATATCCAACATCGTAAAAACTCAACAGAGAACTCTCAGGGGGCCATTGGCCCATTCTCTTTCAGCAGCCTGCTCTGCCTCATCTTTCAGAGCATACTGTCCTTTTAAATAAGCTTTCTGCTCCCCATATTTTCAATAAATCTGCTATCAGAATGGTTGTTTGGCTGAAATCTTTCTCCCAAGATGACTATGGACCAAAGATTTTCCTCCTTCCCAGTAATAAACAGAGGGACGCAAGAAACATAAAAAGGCAAAAAAGTATGACACCAGCAGAGGAATACAATAACTCTCTAGTAACAGACCCTATAGAAAAGAAAATAAGTGAACTGCCAGAAAATGAGTTTGAAATAATGATCTTAAGAAAGTTCATTGATATACAACAGAATATAGATAGACAATTCCATGAAATCAGGAAAATGATTTGCAATATGAATGAAAAATTTAACAAAAATAGATATTATAAAAAAACCAAACAGTAATTCTACAGGTGAAAAAAAATCAATGAATAAGATAAAAAGTAGGATAGAGAATTTCAACAGCAGACTATATCAGCAGAGGGAAGAAATCTTTGAAGATAGGTCATTTGAAATTACCCCATTAGGGAAAAAAAAAACAAGAAATAAAAATGAGAGTAAAGAAAGCTAACATAATTTATGGAACACTATTAAGCAAACAAAATTTTACATTATGTGAGTTCCAGAAGGAGAAGAGACAAAAATGGCACAGAAAATCTATTTAACAACATGACAGCTGAAAAATTCCAAATCTGGAGAGAGAGATGGACATCTGGATCCAGGAAACTCAAAGGTTCCTGAGTAGATTCAGCACAAAATGGTCCTCTGTGAGGCACATTATAGTCAAATTGCCAAAAGTTAAAGACAAAGAGAAGATTCTAAAAACAGCAAGAGAAAAACATGAAGTCACATATAAGGGAATCCTCAGTAGAATAACAGCAGATTTCTCAGCAGAAACCTTATAGGACAGGAGAGAATGGGATAATATATTCAAAGTACTGAAAGGAAAAATATTGTCAGCCAAAAATACCATATCTAGCAAAGATTTAATTCAGTAGTGAAGGGGAAATAAAGTTCTTCCCACATAAGCAAAAGCTGAGGAAATTAATCATCACTAAATTGGCATTAAAAGAAATATTCAAGGGAGCCCTACATCTAGAAGGGAAAGGAAGATAACCACCATCATAAAAACACATAAAAGTAAAACAACAACAACAAACTTCACTGGTAAAGCATATACGTAAAGCAGAAAGTGAAAGGAATCGGACCTTACAACTACAAACAAAACAAAACAAAACAAAACAAAACAAAACAAGAAAACAAAAAAACCCACCAGACCACAATGATAATAAGAGAAGGGGAAAGGAAGAAAAAATATACAAAACAATAAGACAACAATTAACAAAATGAGAGGATTAAGTTCTTTCAATAGTAACCTTAAGTGTAAATGAATTAAATTCCTTAATTAAAATATGTAGACTGGCTAAATGGATTAAAAAAAAAACCCATAACACAATACCCAACCATGTTGCTTATAAGAAATTACCTGTAAAGGCATGCATAGACTGAAAGTGAAGAGATTGAAAAAGACATTCCACATAAGTAGAAATCTAAAGCAAGGTGGAGTAGTTATATCTACAACAGATGAAACGACTTTAAGTCAAAAACTATAAAAGGAGGCAAAGAAGATCATTATATAATGATAAAGGGATCTCTTCAGCAATATAACAATTGTAAATATGTATGCACCCAACACTGGAGCATCCAGAGATATACAGCAAATGTTTAGATCTAAAGGGAATGGTAGACTCCACTACAGTAATACTTGGGGACTTTGACACCCAACCCTCAACATTGAACAAATTATCTAGGCAGAGAATTAAAAAAGAAACATTGGACTTAAACTGCACTTTAGACAAAATGAACCTATGTTTATAAAACATTTAATCCAACAACTGCAGAATGCACATTCTTTTTATCAGTCCTTGAAACATTCTTCAGGATAGACTGTACATTAAACCATAAAATAAGACTCAGCAAGCTTAAAAATAATTAAAATAATATTAAGTATATTTTCTGACCTTGATGGATTAAAACTGGAAATCAATAATAAGAGGGACTTTCAAAACTGTACAAATACATGTAAATTAAACAACATGCTCCTGAATAACCAATGGGTCAATAAAGAAGAAAGATATTAATAAAAAATTGAAACAAATGAAAACAGACACACAACATACAAAAACCTATGGAGTACAGCAAAAATAGTATTAAGAGGGAAGTTTATAACAAGAAACACCTATATCAAAAAAGTAGAAATATTTCAGCCGGGCACGGTAGCTCACGCCTGTAATCCCAGCACTTTGGGAGGCTGAGGTGGGCAGATCACGAGGTGAGGAGTTCAAGACCAGCCTGACCAATATAGTGAAACCCCATCTCTACTAAAAATATAAAAATTAGCCAGGCATGGTGGAGTGTGCCTGTAGTCCCAGCTACTAGGGAGTCTGGGGCAGGAGAATTCCTTGAACCCACAAGGCGAATGTTGCAGTAAGCCAAGATCATGCCACTGCACTCCAGCCTGGGTGACAGAGTGAGACTCTGTCTCAAAAAAAAAAAAAAAAAAAAGTAGAAATATTTCAAATGAAAAGCTGAACAATACATCAGAAACAATTAGCAACTAGAAATGCAAAAACAATGTAAACCTCAAATTAGTAATAATGATAAAAATATAAAGATCAGAGCAGAAACAAATGAAATTAGGACTAGGAAATATACAAAAGATAAAAAATAAAAATTGGCTTTTTGAAAAGATAAATTGAGAAACCAATAGCTAAACAAGATAAAAAAGACCCAAACAAAGAAAATTAGAAATAAAAAAGAAGGCATTATGACCGATACCGTAGAAATATGAAGGATCATAAGAGACTATTATGAACAACTATATGCCAACAAATTGGAAAACTTAAGAGGAAATAAATAGATTCCTGGATACATCCAAACTACCAAGATTGAACCAAAAAGAAATAGAAAATTTCAATAGATGAATTATGAGTAATGAAATTTATTCAATAATAAGAAGTCTCCTGTCAAAGGAAGCCCAACATCTGATGGCATCATGGCTCAATTTTTCCAAACACTTAAAGAACAACTAATACCAAGTCTTCTTGAAGTCCTCCAGAAAATTAAAGATGAGGAAATTCTTCCAAATGTATTCTATGAAGCCAACATTACCCTGATACCAAAACTGGACAAAGACACATACACACAAGAAAACTATACACAAATATCCCTGATGAAAATAGATGCAAAAATCCTCAACAAAATTCTAGTAAACCAAATTCAGCAGTACATTAAAAAGGTCATTCATTCGCCATGATCAGTCAAATTTCTCCCAGGGATGCAGAATGATTTAATATACGAAAATATACAATATGTATACATACATTATGTCAGTGAATACATAATAAATTATGCTGGAAAAACTAAATATTGATATGGAGAACAATGAAACTAGACCCCTGTCTCTCACCATATAGAAAAGTCAACTCACGATCTTTTAGACTTAAATGTAAGACCCCAAACTGTGAAACTGCTAGAAGAAAACATAAGGGAAATGCTTCAGAACATTGGTCTAGGCAAAGGTTTATTGAGAAGACTGCAAAAGCACAGGCAACAAAAGCAAAAATAGACAAATGAGATTAGGTCAAAGTAAGAAGCTTCGTACAGCAAAGAAAATGATCAGTAAAAAGACAACCTAGAGAATGGGAGAAAATATTTGCAAGCTATTCATCTGATAAGGGATTAATAGCTAGAATACACAAGAAACTCAAATAACTCAACAACAAAAACACCAATAATTCAATGTAAAAATAGGCAAATTAGCTAAATATACATCTGTCAAAAGAAGACATACAAGTGGCAAACAGGTATATGAAAAATGCTCAACATCACTAATCATCAGGGAAGCGCACATCAAAATGACAATGAGACATCACCTCACCCCAGTTAAAATGGCTATTATCAAAAAGACAATAACAAATGCTGTCAAGGATACAGAGGAAAGGGAACTCTTATACACTGTTGGTGGAAACGTAAATTAGTGTGGCCATTATGGAAAACATTATGGTGCTTCCTTACAAAACTAAAAATAGAATTGGCACATGATCCAGCAACTCCACTACTGAGTATATATCCAAAGGAAAAGTAATCAATACATCAAAAACACATGCTCTTATGTTTATTGAAACACTATTCACAATAGCTGAGATATGGAACAAGCTTACATGTCCATCAACAGATGAACAGATAAAGAAAATATGGTATACGTACACAGTGGAATAATATTCAGCCAGAAAGAAGAATAAAATCTTGTCATTCATAGCAACATAGATGAACTTGGAGGACATTAGGATAAGTGAAATAAGCAGGCACAGAAAGATGGATACTGAATGTTCATATGTAGAAGCTAAAACAATGATTTCATAGAAGTAGAGAATAGAATAGTGGTTTCTACGGGCTGGGAAAGGTATTGAGTCGGGGTGGAGGTGATAGTAAGAAGTTTGTTAACAGATGTAAAATTATAGCTAGTTAGGAGATATAAGTTTTAGTGTTCCATAGCACTGCAGGATAAGTATAATTAATCATAATTTATTATTTATTTTCAAACAGAAGAGTGAATTTTTAATGTTCCCAACACAAAGAAATTATAAATGTGTGAGGGGATGTATATGCTAATTACCCTGATTTGATCATTACACATTGTATACATGTATCAAAATATCACATTCTACCCCATAAATATGTACAATTGTTACATGTCAGCTGAACATAATAAAAGGAAAATATTTTTAAAAAATGACTCTGGTTTCTTTTTATAATTTCTATATCTTTGTTGATATTCTCTATTTATTCATACATTGTTCTCCTGGGTCCCTTTAGCTCCTTGAGCATATTTAAGATGGCTGAGTTAAATCTTTGTGTAGTAAATCCAATGTTTATACTTCCTCAAAGAAAGTTTCTATTAACTTCTTCTGTGAATGGACTATATTTTCTTATTTCTTTTCATGCTTCATAATTTTCCATGGAAAATTGAACATTTTCAGTATTAGAATGTGTTAACTGGAAATCAGAATCTTCCCACTCTTCAGGATTTTTGTTTTGTGCTTTATATTGTTTGTTTTTAAAGCAATTTTCTGAATTAATGTTGTAAAGTTTGTCTTCTTAGTCATGTGTGGTCTCTGAAATTTGTGTTCCTTTATGTTTTGTTCAACGAGTGTTTCGCCAGAGATTTCCTTGAATGCCAGGAATAGATATTGCAACTAAGGGAGAAAAAAAGGGAAAAAATAAGGATAAAACTCCCTCCTACTCTTTGCAGATTGGCTCTGTACTGGGCACTCCTTTAATTCTTAGTCCTGTCATTCACAATTCCACCTTCCCCTTCACTGTCTGCTTGCACTGAGCCTTGAGAGCAGCCAGAGGTAAAAACTTGTAGTTGTTACTGTTGTTGTTTTCTGAATATGCATCTGGCATGGGTATATGTGTAGCTTTCTAAATTCTGTGGGATACACGGTCACTTTTGAATGTTTTAATTTCCAAAGAAACTCTCTCCTCAATTTTTAATCCCAGGGTTTGAACACTGTATTGTATGTTTCACTGTAAGCTTTTGCTCCACTTGTCTATGGGCTGCTTGTTATTGTTACCACGTTTTTGAAAAGTGCCCTCTACTCTTCCAACCTGTGTGAGTTCTAGGTTAGGCCAAACAAAGCCAAATTCCATGAACTAGTCTTCCTGGTAGTTCCCAGACTAATTATACCAAACATAATTCTTTCTGAATAAGGTCTATGCTGCTTCCTCTAGAATCAGGGACCAGGGTTCCACACTGGGAATGTAGGCTGCTGTCTTCAAGACTGCTACTGCACTGGGGCAGGGGTGGGAAAATGGCATGTAAAAACACCACAGAGCTTTCCTGCCATTTTTAAGTTGCCTTTTTCTTCATTCAGCATTCGCTTATTTACTCTAAACCTTTTACTGTTTTCCAGCATTCTGGCAAAGTTGATTCTTACAATTTGGGTCTGTTTTCAGTGTTTCTGTAAGGGGATGGGCTCTTGTAGCTACTTAGGTCACTCCACATTACTCTTGATAAAGTTTAAACTTCCTGTTCTTTTACTGCTCTGCTCACAGCCTAGAATAAACCATTTGCTTGAGCCAGATCTGACATATTTCTATTGCTTTTAGATTCTGCTGCCAACTATAGTTGGCATTAGTTCACACATCCTCCAACTCAATAGCTGGACATAGGACAATTAGACATCAAATTTCAAGTATAATTGGTAAGACTAAAGGCTAATTCCTTCTTAAGTTTTTGTTTTTATTTTTAATTGTGGTAAGATACACATAACATAAAATTAACTCTTAATTATTTTTCAGTTATCTTACAGTTCAGTAGTGTTAAGCACATTTATGTTGTACATCCAATCTCTAGAAATGTTTTCATCTAGCAAATAAAAACATAAAATTCACCGCTTTAAATACTTTTAAGGGTACAGTTTAGTAACATTAAGTACATTTTTATTGTTGTGTACCATCGCCACCATTCATCTTTAGAAACTTTTCATTTTCCCCAACTAAAGCTCTATGCCCATTAAACAATAATTCCCCATTCACCCCTATCCCAGGCCCTGGAAACCACCATTCTGGCTCTATGAGTTTGTCTACTCTAGGAACCTCATATACATGGAAGCATACAGTATTTGCCCTTTTGCGACTGGCTTACTTCACTTACCATAATGTTTTCAAGGTTCATCCATATCATAGCATGTCTCAGAATTTCTTTCCTTTTTAATGCTGAATAATATATCATCATATGTATATACCATATTTTGTTTATCATTCATCTATGGACATTTGGGTTACTTCCACCTTTTAGCTATTGGAAATAACACTTCTATATGGGTCTACATATGTATCTTTGACACTCTGCTTTCAATTCTTTTGGGTATGTATTTGGAAATTGAATTGCTGAATCATATGGTAGTGGTAGTTTTATTTTTTTTCATGTAATGTAATTTAAAGATCCAGGATACATGTGCAGGATGTGCAGGTTTATTACATAGGTAAATGTGTGCCATGGTGGTTTGCTGCACCTATCAACCTGTGACCTAGGTATTAAGCCTTGCTTGCATTAGCTATTTATCCTGATGCTCTCCTTTCCCCTGCTTACCTCGCCCTGACAGGCCCCAGTGTGTGGTGTTCCCCATTCTGTGTCCATGTGTTCTCATTGTTCAGCTTTCACTTACAAGTGAAAATATGCAGTGTTTGGTTTTCTGTTCCTGTGTTAGTTTGCTGATGATAATGGCTTCAAGCTCCATACATGTCCCTGCAAAGGACATGACCTATTTCCTTTTTATGGCTGCATAGTATTCCATAGTGTACATGTATCACATTTTCTTTATCCAGTCTACCATTGATGGGTATTTGGGTTGATTCCACATCTTTGCTTTTGTGAATAGTGCTGCAATGAACATACGCATACATGTATCTTTATATTAGAATGATTTATATTCCTTTGGGTACATACCCAGGAATGGGATGAGCCAAGTTCTTAGCTTCTTTGCGTCGGGTTAGAACATGCTCCTTTAGCTCAGTGAAGTTCATTATTATCCACTTTCTGAAGCCTACTTCTGTCAATTCATCCGTCTCAGCCTCCGCCTAGTTCTGTGCCTTTGCTGGAGGGGTGTTGTGATCATTTGGAGGAGAAGAGGCACTCTGGCTCTTTGAGATTTCAGAATTTTTTCATTGATTCTTTCTCTGTGGGTTTATCTAGCTTCAATCTTTGGGGCTGCTGACCTTTGGATGGGGTTTCTGTAGGGACTTTTATTGTTGATGTTGTTGTTGTTGTTGCTTTCTGTTTATTTTTATTTTAACAGTCAGACCCCTCTTCCATAGGGCTACTGTGTTTTGCTGGGGGTCCACTCCAGACCCTATGTGCCTGGGTCCCTCCTGCACCTGGAGGTGTCACCAGTGGAGGGTGCAGAACAGCAAAGATGGCTTTCTGGTCCTTCCTCTGGTAACTCTGTCCCAGAGGAGCACCGACCTAATGCCAGCTGGAACTCTCCTGAGTAAGGTGCCTGGCAACCCCTGCTGAGGGAGGTCTCACCCTGTCAGAAGGCACAGGATCAGGGATCTGCTTAACGAAGAACCGTGCTTGCCCCTCATCCGGACTGCCTGGATTCCTCAGAGCCAGCAGGAGGAAAGACTAAGTACGCTGATGCATGGAGACCCCGTGGTTACCCATCCTGGGCTTCATCCCAGGGAGATTAGAGTTCTGTTTGTAAATCCCTCGCTGGAGTTGCTGAAATTCCTGCAGGGAGGCCCTGCCTGTTGAGGACATATGGGTCAGGATCTGGCCTAAACAGGCAGGCTTGCCAAGATCTGCCACAGCTGCTGAGCTGCGCTGTGGGGATTCCTCCCAGTCCAAACCACCTAGTCTCCCCAGCTCCAGCAGGGGAAAAATGGCAGGCTGGAGCTGCAGTGGTGGCTGCTGCCCATCAGTGGTCTTAGGCAGCAGGCAGCTGCAGTGATGACAGTCACACCTCCCCTGGGGAACTCAGTAGTCTTAAGCTGTCTCCAACCCTTGTCAGCATACGATTTCCAAATATTTTCTCCCATTCCATGTTGCTTTTTTACTCTGGTTGTGTCTTAATGTGCAGATTATTTTTAAGTTTAATTTATTCCAATTTATCTATTTTTTCTTTGGTTGCCCGTGCTTTTGCTGTTATATCCAGAAATTGTTGCCAAATCCAATGTCATGAAGATTTATTTGTTTCATTCTAAGACTTTTTAGTTTTAGTTTTTGCCCAGACCAATGTCCTAGAGGGTTTCCCCAGTGCTTTCTTGAAGGAGCTTCATAATTTAAAGCCTAGGATTTAAGTTTTTAATCCATTTTGATTTGATTTTGTATATGGTGAGAGATAGGGGTCAAGTTTCATTCTTCTGCATATGAATAGCCTGTTTTGCCAGCACCATTGATGGAAAAGACTGTCTTTTCCTCAATACATGTTCTTGGCATCTTTATTAAAAATTTGTATTGAATCTATAGGTCTTTGATTAATTTTGAGACAATTTTATAAGTGGCGTAAGGTAGAAATTTAAGTTCATTCTTTTGCATTTAGTTTTTCCATCATTTGTTGAAAAGGTTGCCTTTTCAATGGTCTTGGAACTCATTTCAAAAATCGTTTAACCATATACATGAGGGTATATTTCTGGGCTTTTTATTCTTTTCTGTTATTCTATATGTCATTCTTTATGCCACTACAAAACTGTTTTGATTACCATATATTTAAGTTTTGAAATCAGGAAGTGTGAGACCTCCAACTTTGTTTTTTTTTTTTTTTCAAAATTGTTTGGGCTCTTCAAGGTCCCTTGAAATTCCATATGAATTTTTAAGATAGGTTTCTTAATTCCTGAAAAAAAAAAGACAGAGATTTGGATAGGAATTATATCAAATCTGTAGAGCACTTTGGGTAGTATTGATATCCTAATATTAAGTTTTCCAAGCCACAGACATGGGATTTTTTTTCATTTATTTGTGTGCTCTTTAGTTGCTTTCAGCCACATTTTTTTTAGTTTTCAGTGTACAAGTCCTTTGCATCTTTGGTGAAACTTATTCATAAATATTTTATTATTTTTGATGATATTGTAAATGGAATTATTTTCTTGATATCCTTTTTGAATTGGCCATTGTTAGTAGATAGAAACACAACTGATTTTTGTGTGTTTAATTTGTATCCTGAAACTGCTAAATTCTCTCATTAGTTTACACACTTTTATTGGTTAATTAATTGAAGAATATGTAGAGTTTTCTACATATAAGGTTATATCTTCTGCAAATAGAGATAATTTTACTTCTTGTTAGTAATTTAGATGCCTTTTATTTCTTTTTCTCTCTTAATTGCTCTGGCAATGGTTTCCAGTACTATGTTAAATACTTGCAATTTTTCATTTTTGTGGGTACATAGTAGGTGTATATATTTATGGGGCATATGAGATGAGTTTATACAGACATGCAATGTGTAAACATCACATCACAGAAAATGGGGTATTCATCCCCTCAAGCATTTATCCTTTGGATTATAAATAATCCAATTATAGACTTTTAGTTATTTCAAAATGTACAAGTAAATTATTATTGACTATAGCCAACCTGTTGTGCTATCAAATACTAGGTCTTATTCATTCTTTGTAAGTCTTTTTTTGTACCCATTAACAATCCCCACTTCTTCCCAGATCCCCCACTACCCTTCCTAGCTTGTGGTAACTAACCTTCTACTCTTGATCTCGATGTGTTCAATTGCTTTAATTATTGGCTCCCACAAGTAAGTGAGAGCATGAGAAGTTTGTCTTTCTTTGCCTGGCTTATTCGACTTAACATAATGACCTCCAGTTCCATCCATATTGTTGCCAATGACAGGGTTTCATTCTCATTTTTTATGGGTGAATAGTACTCCATTGTGTATATCTATCACATTTTCCTTTTTTATTCTTTTGTTGATGGATACGTAGGTTGTTTTCAAATCTTAACTATTGTGAATAATGCTGCAATAATCATGAGAGTACACATCTCTTTGATATTCTGATTTCCTTTCTTTTGGGTGTATACCTAGCAGTGGGGTTACTAGATTTTATGATAGCTCTATTTTTGGTTTTTTGAGGAACCTCCAAACTGTTCTCCATAGTGATTGTACTAATTTATATTCCCACTAACAATGTACGAGGGTTCCATTTTCTCCACAACCTCACCAACATTTGTTATTGCCTGTCATTTGGATAAAAGCCATTCTAACTAGGGTGAGATGATAAATCATTGTAGTTTTGATTTCACTGATGCTCAGTGATGTTGAACATGTTTTTATATGACTGCCATTCATATGTCTTCTTTTGAGGAATGTCTATTCAGAACTTTTACACGTTTGAAAATCAGACTATTGGATTTTTTTTTTCCTATAGAGTTATTTGAGCACCTCATATATCCTGGTTATTAATCCCATGTCAGATGGGTACTTTGCAAATAATTTTTCTCATTCTGTGGGTTGTATCTTTGCTTTGTTGATTGTTCCCTTTGCTGAGCAGAAGCTTCTTAACTTGATGTGATCAAGTTAAGAAGTGAAATTTTGCCCAGACCAATGTCTTGGAGAGTTTCCCCAGTGCTTTCTTGAAGGGGCTTCATAGTTTGAAGCATTAGATTTAAGTTTTTAATCCATTTTGATTTAATTTTGTATATGATGAGAGGTAGGGGTCAAATTTCATTCTTCTGCATATGAATAGCCTGTTTTTCCAGCACTGTTTATTGAAAGGACTGTCTTTTCCTCAATACATGTTTTTGGCATCTTTATTGAAAATTAGTTCACTGTAGGTATATGGATTTGTTTCTGGTTTCTCTGTTCTGTTCCAGTGGTTTATGTGTCTATTTTTATGCGAGTATCATGCTGTTTTGGTTATTATAGCGCTGTAGTATAATTTGAAGTCAGGTAATTTGATTCTTCCAGTTTTGTTCTTTTGCTCAGGATAACTTTGGCTATTCTGGGTCTTTTGCGGTTCATATCAATTTTAGGATTGTTTTTTCTATTTCTGTGAAGAATATCATTGGTATTTTGATAGGTATTGTTTTGAATCTGTAGATTGCTTTGGATAGTATGGATGTTTTAACAATATTGATTCTTCCAATCTTCCATTCTCAAAGTGCGATATCTTTCCTTTTTTTGTGTATCCTCTTCAATTTCTTTCATCAGTGTCTTATAGTTTTCACTGAGAGGTCTTTCACTTCTTGGTTAAGTTCTCAGGTATTTAACTTTATTTGTGGCTATTGTAAGTAGGATCACATTTTTTATTTATTTTCAAATTGTTCTGTCTTGGCATATAGAAATGCTACAGATTTTTTTTTTTTTTTTTGGAGACAGAGTCTCGCTCTGTCGCCCAGGCTGGAGTGCAGTGGCACGGTCCCGGCTCACTGCAAGCTCCGCCTCCCGGGTTTATGCCATTCTCCTGCCTCAGCCTCCCGAGTAGCTGGGACTACAGGCTCCCACCACCACGTCCGGCTAATTTTTTTGTGTTTTTAGTAGAGACAGGGTTTCACCGTGTTAGCTAGGATGGTCTCGATCTTCTGACCTCATGATCCGCCTGCCTCGGCCTCCCAAAGTGCTGGGATTACAGACGTGAGCCACTGGGCCCAGCCGCTACTGATTTTTGTATATTGATTTTGAATCCTGCAACTTTGCTAAATTTGTTTATCAATTCTAACAGATTTTTGGTGGAGTCTTTAGGTTTTTCCAAATACAAGATCGTACCATCTGAAAATAAGTCTAATTTGACTTCTTCCATTCCAATTTGAATGCCCTTTATTTCTTTTTGTTGTCGGATTGCTTTAGCTAGGGATTCCAGTAATATGTTGAATAATACTGGAGACAGTGGACATCCTTGTCTTCTTCCAGATATTAAAGGAAAGGCTTTCAGTTTTCCCTCATTCACTATGATACTAGCTGTAGGTCTGTACTATATCATTTTTATTATGGTGAGGTATGTTCTTTCCATAACCAGTTTTTTTTATGGTTTTTATCATGAAGAGATGTTGAATTATATCAAATGCTTATTACAGCATCAATAGAAATAATCATATGGTTTTGTATTCATTCTGTTGATACAATATATCATATTGGTTGATTAGAATATGTTGAACTATTCTTGAATCCCTGGGATAAATCCCACTTGGTCATGATAAACGATATTTTAAATGTGTTGTTGGATTTGGTTTGCTGGTATTTTGTTGAGGATTTTTTCATCAATATTCATCGGGGATATTGGCATGTAGTTTTTCTGTTTTTGGATGCATCTTTTTCTGGTTTTGGTCTCAGGGTAATACTGGCCTCATAGAATGGGCCTGGAGGTATTCCCTCCTCCTCTATTTTTTGGACTAGTTTGACTAGGATTGGTATTAGTTCTTTAAAAGTTTGGTAGAATTCAGCAGTGAAGTCTTCAGTCCCTGCTTTTTCTTTATTGGGAGATTTATTATGGCTTCAATCTCATTACTTGTTATTGGTCTATTCAGGTTTTGGATTTCTTCATGGCTTAACCCTGTAGGTTGTATGTGTCTGGGAATTTATCCATTTTCTTTAGATTTTCCAATTTGTTGGCATGTAGTTACTCATAGTTGCCACTAATATTCTTTCAAATTTCTGCAGTATCACTTGGAATATCTACCTTTTCATTCCAATTTTATTTGTTTGGATCTTCTCTCATTTTTTCTTAGTCTGGCTAAAAATTTGTCAATTTAATTTTTTTCAAAAAACCAACACTGTGTTTCATTTATCTTTTGTATTATTTTCATCTTAATTTCATTTATTTCTGCTCTGATCTTTATTATTTATTTTCTTCTACTAAATTTGGGTTTTGTTTGCTCTTGCTTTACTAGTTCTCTGAGATACAGAGTTAGGTTATTTGAGACACACATATATATGATGTAGGTACTTATAGCTAGAAATTTCTCTCTTAGTATTGCTTTTGCTGAATCTGATAGGTTTTGGTATGCTTGTGTGTTCATTATGATTTGTTTCAAAAAATTTTTCAGTTCCTTTTTTTTCTTTGACCTTTGATCATTCGGGAACATATTGTTTACTTTCCATGTGTTTGTATGTTTTCAAACATCTTGTTATTGATTTCTGGTTATATTCCATTGTGGTCAGAGAAGATGCATAATATTATTTTTTCAATTATTTTAAATGTTTTAAGACTTGTTTTGTGACCTAACATATAGTCTCTCCTTGAGAATGATCCATATGCTAAAAATAATGTGTATTCTGCAGCTGTTAGATGAGATGTTCTGTAAATATCTTTTATGTGAGACAAATTCTGCAGAAACAAAGACATATGACCTTTCAGACAAAATCACTTTTACTAAAAGTAAGACAGGAAGAAAGGAAAGAAAAAAAAGAAGATCACAAAACAGTAAGAAAACAAATAACAAAATGGCAAGAGTAACCTGTTTTTTGAAAAAAATAAAATTGACAAATTTTTAGCCAGAGTAAGAAAAAATGAGAGAAGACCCAAATAAAATCAGAATGAAAACATAGATATTACAAGTGATACTGCAGAAATTCAAATTCTTTTAGGTCTGTTTGGTCTACATTGTAGTTTAAGTCCAATGTTTCTTTGTTGATTTTCTGTTCAGAAAAATCTGTTGAATGCTAAAAGTGGAGTGTTGAGGTCTCCAGCTATTACTGTATTGAGGGCAGTCTCTCTATGTCTAATATTAATATTTGCTTTGTATATTTGCTTCAGTGTTTATTGCATATATATTTATAATTGTCATATGCTCTTGCTGAATTGATCCCTTTATATAATGACCTTCTTTGTCTCTTCTTACAGTTTTTGTCTTGAAATCTATTTTGTCTGATATAAGTATAGCTAGTTCTGCTCTTTTTTGGTTTCCATTGGCATGGAATATCTTTTCTCGTCTCTTTAAGTCTATGTGTGGGTTTATAGACGAAGTGTGTTTCTTTTATGCAACAGGTCATTGTGTCTTGCTTTTTTATACATTCAGCCACCCTCTGTCCTTTTATTGAAGAGTTTAGTCCATTTACATTCAGTGTTATTATTGATAAATAAGAGGTTACTCTTGCCATTTTGTTATTTGTTTTCTTACTGTTTTGTGATCTTCTCTTTCTTCTTTCCTTTCTTCCTGTCTTTTAGTAAAGGTGATTTTGTCTGAAAGGTCATATATCTCAGTTTCTCCATAATTTATCTCAGTTGCCTTATTTAGTTAATTTGGTGAGGTCGTTTTCCTGGCTGGTCTTGATGCTTGTAGACATTCATCAGTGTCCAGACATTGAAGAGTTAGGTATTTATTGCAGTCTTCACTATCTGGACTTTGCAATCTTTGTCTGTTCTTCTTGGGAAGGCTTCTGAGGTATTAGAAAGGACTTGGACCCCAAGCCCAGGAATGCTGTGGTTCTTGCAGACTTGTAAAGGTACTATCTTAGTGGTCTTGCATAAGATCTGAAAAAACTCTCTGGATTATCAGGTCGACATTCTTGTTCTCTTTCCTTACATTCTCCCAGACAAACGCCATCTCTCTCCCTTTCTGTGCTGAGCCACCTGGAACTTTGGGTCGGATGATGCAAGCACCCCTGTAGCCACCAACACTGGAACTGCCCTGGGTCAGACATGAAGCCAGCACAGCACTAGGTCTCACCCAAGGCCATCTGTAACCACTACCTGGCTACCACCTATGCTTGCTCAAGGCCCCAGGGCTCTGCAATCAGCAGGTGGGGAAGCCAGCCATTTGTGTCCTTTCCTCCATGGTAGCAAGTTCTCCCAGGCCCTGTGTGGGTCCAGAGAAGCTGTCTTGGAGCCAGGGATTAGAATCAAAGGCCTTAGAAATCCACCTGATGTTTTATTCAATGGCAGCTAAGCTGGTACTCAAACCCCAAGAAAAAGTCCTTCCCACTCTTCCCTACTTATTCCACAGGCAGAGGAGCCTCTCCCCATGGCCAAAACCACTGGCTCACACAAAGTTCTGCAAGGCCACCTCCAATGTTTACTTAAGGCCTAAGAATTCTTCAATCAGCTTATGGTGAATGCTACCAGGCCTGAGACTCACCCTTCAGGGCAGTGGACTCCCCTCTGACCCAGAGCAGATACTGAAATGTTGTCCAAGAGCCTAGTCCTGGAATCAGGGACCCCAAGAGTGTACTTGGTACTCTCTTCCACTGTGGTCAAGCTGTTACCTGAAGCCAGCACATCTCAGAGTCTCACCCAAGGCCCATGGCATATTACTTGATTATCACTGTTGGTTATTCAGTTCCCAAGGTCTCTTTAGTCAGCAGGTGATGAATTGTGCCAGGACTGGGTACTTCCCTTCAAGGCAGTGGGTTCTCTTCTTACCCAGGGTGTGTCTATAAATGTTGTCCAGGAGCTAAGGCCTGGGACTGGGGCCTCACAACTCTGCCTGGTGCTCTATCTTACTGTGGCTGAGGTGATGTCCAAGATGCAAGATGAAGTCCTCTTTACTCTTCTCTTTTCAAGCAGCAGGAATGAGTCACTTTTGTTACTGTGAGCTACGATGCCTGGGATTGAGGGAGGGGTGGCAGAAGCACACCACTAGCCACCCCATCTGGTATCTCACTAGGTCATATGCTGCTCCAGTCCACTGGCTCTAAGCCCCGGACACCATCGGGACTTGCCTAAGAATTGCAGTCTTTGTTTCCTCCACTGCCTTTCGAGTTCACTTAGTACTCCAGAGCACTTTAGCCAGCCTTGGCTAGGCTTGCTGAAAATCAATTCCCAGCCACTGAGATGGGCACTTCCCCTCCAGTAAGGGCCTGTCCAAATGCTCCCTCTGTAGGTGGCCACTGGCTAAGTTCAGCATGACTCTACTTTCTGCTGTGACAAGGTAGGACTGAATTCAATGCAAAGTCCCCCACTCATTGTGATACTGTCTTTTCCCTAAGTGCACAAATTCTGTTTCCATGCCATGCAGCCAAAGCCAGGAGAGGGATCATGCCAGCGATTCAAGACTGTCTTTCCTAACCACTCCAGTGCATCTTTCAGCAATACTAAGTTAAAACCAGGTGCTGTAATTGCTCCCCTCATTTTTGGTTCCTGTGAAAGTGCTTTTTTTGTGTTTATGAAGATAGTTTTTAAAATTTGGTGTTCCTGTGGGGCGTGGGGATGATTGGTGGAATATTCAATTCTGCCATCTTGCTCTGCCCCTTAAATACCTTTTTAAATTCTTATACCCTGTTCAAGTAAACATGGTTGATCTGATGATTTACTGATACTTACAAAACCAACCCAAAATGTAATGTCTTAAAACAACAGTCATTTTATTATCTTTTTCATAATTCTTTAGGCTGACTGGGATCAGCTGTGTAGTTCTTCTGCTCCAAGTGATGTCAGTTGGGACTGCATTAACCTGGGGCTTGACTGAGCTAGAACACGCAGGATACCTCACTCAACTGGCTGGAAGTTGGTGCTGGCTCCTGGCTAGGAATTCAACTGGTACTATTAATTGGCAATGTATTTTTCTTCCATGTGGTCATTCCATGTGGCCTGGGCTTCTTATAGCAAGGCTGCTGGATTTTAAGAGGAAGGGAGGAAAAGCTACCAGTCTGTGATGGTTAATATTGAGTGTCAACTTGATTGGATTGAAGGATGCAAAGTATTTTCCTAGGTGTGTCTGTTAGAGTGTTGCCAAAGGAGATTAACGTTTAAGTCAGTGGACTAGGAGAGGCAGACCCACCTTCAGTATCGGTGGGCACCATCTATTCAGCTGCCAGTGTGACTAGCATAAATGCAGGCAGAGGAACGTGGAAAGACTAGACGGCTAAGTCTTCTGGCCTCCATCTGTCTCCTTTGCTGGACGTTTTCTGCCCTTGAACATGAGACTCCATGTTCTTCAGCTTTTGGACTCACGGACTTATGCCAGTGATTTGACGGGGGGGTCTCAGGCCTTTGGCCATAGACTGATGGCTGCACTATCAGCTTCCCTACTTTTGGGATTTTGGGGACTTGAACTGGCTTCCTGGCTCCTCATCTTGCTGACAGCTTACTATGAGACTTCACCTTGTGATCATGTGAGTTAATTCTAATAAACTGCCCTTCATACATACGTGTATCCTATTAGTTCTGTCCCTCTAGAGAACTCTCACTAATACACAGTGTTTTTACGTTTTGGGCTCAGAATACACAGATCATCAGGTTTACTGCATTCTCTTAGCATGTAGGAGTCTACTATAACATTTATTATACAGAATAAAAAGTTAATTTTATTGGTAAAAAAGTATTTCTGATACTAATTATATTAATTCCCAAAGCTTCTTTTGGAACTGATATGTCAATAGTTAAAGCACTTATAGTAGTCATACCTGAAATGTACCTTTCTTAATCAGAATGCTAGATGACCCGTCCTGGCCTGTTAATTTATGATTAGCTTAACAAGTGTTTTTTGCCTTATGTATAGCTTAGAATAACACATAGATAATATCACACTCTCTATGTTAAAGTATCTTAAAAGTAAATTACAACATCATAATTCTAATCAAGAAAAATGAGAGTAAGCAAAATCACACAAAATTGAAAACAAATCAGTTACAGAGAGTGAGAAAATTGGAAAAAAAACGAGATAACAAGCCTTACAACATTATGCAAATGCATTTAAAACCTAGAAAATATTATTTAAAAAATATATATTTATAAATGATCAAAATTGACTTTAAGTAGTAAAAGAAAATGGAGCAAGAAGCATAGAAAATCCTGAGAAAATTATTGAAAAACTGTCTTCTAAAATTAAAAAAATAACAAAAATGACATGGTAGTCTCACATCTTTTACTGGTTCATTAGTTCATAACTTTAAAAAGCACATTATTCTTATGTGATTTGTAGATCAGGAGCATGGAGAAATAAGACAAACACCAAAATTCTTTATTTTTTGGAAGATAATACATTTGACACAAGTAGCATAAAAAATACTTATCAAATTTGATCTATTAATCTTTATAAAAAATCCTGAATTAAAGTATGAACTCACAGGACTTAGCTATAAATTAAAAGAATAATACAACATAGCTAATCAAGGTTCTTTATAAGAAGGTGAGGGTGATACAAATAATCATCAATCTTTTAATTTAAAAAAACACAACAGAGAAGTAAAACCTTGTCATCACTTAAAACAGTGCCAGTTTCTGGCTATTTATAAGCAAAAATATTGAAACTGGATCCCTTCCTTACATCTTATACAAAAATTAACTCAGGATGGATTAAAGAATAAAATGTGAAACACCAAAATTCTTTATTTTTTGGAAGATAATACATTTGACACGAGTAGCATAAAAAAACTTATCAAACTCAATTTATTAATCTTTTTATTACAAAATCCTGAATTAAAGTATGAACTCACAGGATTCAGCTGTAAATTAAAAGAATAATACAACATAACTAATCAAGGTTCTTTATAAGAAGGTGAGGATGATATAAATAATCATCAATCTTTTAATTAAAAGCACAACAGAGAAGTAAAACCTTGTCATCATTTAAAACAGTGCCAGTCTCTGGCTAGTCATATGCAAAAAAAAATGAAACTGGATCCTTTCCTTACACCTTATACAAAAATTAACTCAAGGTGGATTAAAGCATTAAATGTAAAACCTAAAACTATAAAAACCCTAGAAGAAAATCTAGGCAATACCATTCAGAACATAGGCACGGGCAAAGGTTTCATGACAAAACCGTCAAAAGCAATTGCAACAAAAGCAAAAATTGACAGATGAGATCTAATTAAATTAAAGAGCTTCTGCACAGCAAAGAAACTATCAACAGAGAGTGAACAGATAACCTACAGAATGGGAGAAAATTTTTGCAATCTATCCTTCTGACCAAGGTCTAATATCCAGTGTATAAGGAACTTAAGCAAATGTACAAGAAAAAAAACAAGCAACCTTATTAAAAAGTGGGCAAAGGACATGGACACTTCTCAAAAGAAGACATTTTTGCAGCCAACAAACATGAAAAAAGCTCAACACCACTGATCATTAGAGAAATGCAAATCAAAACCACAATGAGATATCATCTCACGCCAGTTAGAATGGCTATAATTAAAAAGTCAAAAGACAACCGATGCTGGCAAGGTTATGGAGAAAAAGGAGCACTTTTGCACTGTTGCTGGGAATATAAATTAGTTCAACCATTGTGGAAAACAGTGTGGCAATTCCTCAAAGACCTAGAGGCAGGCTGGGCATGGTGGATCATGCCTGTAATCCCAGCACTTTGGGAGGCTGAGGCTGGCGGATCACTTCACATCAGGAGTTTGAGAACAGCCTGGCCAACATGGTGAAATCCCATCTCTATTAAAAATACAAATTTAGCTGGCTGTGGTGGTGCACGCTTGTGGTCCCAGATTTTCAGGAAGCTGAGGTGGGAGGATTGCTTGAACCTGGATGGCAGAGGTTGCAGTGAGCCAAGATCACACCACTGCACTCCAGCCTAGGTGACAGAGTGAGACTCAAAATTAAACAAAAGAAAACATAGAGGCAGAAATATCATTTGACCCAGCAATCCCGTTACTGGGTATATACCCAAAGGAATATAAATCATTTTGTTTTAAAGATACATGCACGCATATGTTCATTGCAGCACTATGCACAATAGCAAAGGCATGGAATCAATATAAATGTCCATCGATGATAAACTGGATAAAGCAAATGTGGTACATATACACCATGGAATCCTATGCAGTCATAAAAAAGAATAAGATCATATTCTTTGCAAGAATATGGGTAGATTGAAAAGCCATTATCCTCAGCAAACTAATGCAGGAACAGAAAACCAAATACCACATATTCTTACTTATAAGTAGGAGCTGAATTATGAGAACACATGGACACATGGGGGAGAACAACACACACTGGGGACTGCCAAAAGGGGTACTGGGGGAGGGAGAGCATCAGAAAGAATAGCTAATGGATGCTGGGCTTAATACTTAGGTGATGGGATGATCTGTGCAGTAAACCACCACAGCACACATTTACCTATGTAACAAACCTGCACATCCTGCACATGTACCCCTGAACTTAAAATAAATGTTGTAAAAAAAAAAGACAGTGCCAGCCTCATGTTTAATATGAAACACTAGAAACTTTCTTCTTAAATTTAAGAACAAGGTAATGATGTTCATGATCACTTCTAACCTTGATGTGGAAGAACTGTCTTAATTTTACTGGATAAGAAAAAGAAATGTTAACAGTAGTAAAGAGGAAGCAATGTTTTTATTTGCAGCTGGCAAAACTGAAGAGAATTAATTACAAACTATTTAAAATAATAAGAATATTAAGTATACTACTTTTTAAATTAATATACAAAAAAATTACTTGTCAGTAAACAAATGTAGTTTACACCTGGAGAAGTGAACATTCAAGTTCTTAGTGATTGAAACTGCCTTCTTGGCCAGGTGTGGTGGCTCACACCTGTAATCCCAGCACTTTGGGAGGCCAAGGTGGGCAGATCACTTGAGGTCAGGAGTTGGAGACCAGCCTGGCCAACATGGTGAAACCCCATCTCTATTAAAAATACAAAAAATTAGCCGGATATGGTGTTGCGCACCTATAATCCCAGCTACTAGGGAGGCTAAGGTAGGAGAATCGCTTGAACCTGGGAGTTGAAGGTTGCAGTTAGCCAAGATCGTGCCTCCGTACTCCAGCCTGGGCAACAGAGCGAGACTCAGTCTCGAAAAAAAAAAAAAGAAAGAAACTGTTTTTTGCTTCTTGGCCTGGGAAGGTGGAATGGAGACATTTTGGAATATGCCTTCTTTGCCTCTTATCTAAACACTCAAGAGGATCTTCTTGGTTATTCAAATTAAAGCAAGTACTCCTTACCTTTGAGGAAGGCTGCAGCAGGAGTCTTTGTGGCCTAGTAAAGTTATCTGTAAATACTGCTCCATATTGAGAACTGGCCCATGGAAAGAAGCTGAGTGCCTTTGCACAGAGTCAGGTTACCTCATGGGAGGACCCCAGCTATCTTGAGAACCACCCCCCACCCCAATCATTTCCTTTCGAATGTGCCTACTTGAAGGCTACTAATTGCTATAATTGCTATAGATCTCCCAAGTCAGATGCACTGGTTAAGTTCAAACCCAAGCTCTCTCTTGCTCTTTTTTTTTTTTTTTTGAGACAGAATCTCACTGTGTGGCCCACGCTGGAGTGCAGTGGCACCATCTTAGCTCACTGCTACCTCCTCCTCCTGGGTTCAAACAATTCTCCTGCCTCAGCCTCCTGAGTAGCTGGGACAGGCGGGCGCCACCACACCCAGCTACAGCTAATTTTTGTATTTTTAGTAGAGGCAGGGTTTTGCCATGTTGGCCAGGCTGGTCTCAAACTCCTGACCTGAAGCGATTCCCACCCCCGCCCCACACCAGTCCCTGCCCGCCTCAGTCTCTCAAAGTGCTGGGATTACAGGTATCAGCTACTGTGCCCACCACTGAACCCAAGCTCTTTTGATTTAGATATATTAGAGCCTCTTTGATGGAGTTGGATTGTTGTGAATTACAGCAGGAAATGACACACCAGCCCAATGTGAGTACACCTTTTGAGAAAAAGAGTCAGGACAAGAGATCATCGGGGTGTGACACCAATGTTTAGACTGGAGGCTCAAAAAGAAAGGCTGGTTCCAGTACAGCCCCTGCTGAGACTAAATACCCTATGATGACCCAGTCATCAGATAACAGTGGCCCTGCTTTGAGATAAACAACTGAGGGTGTGAATGTTAATGCAAACTTGGAGCTCAATCTTGGGATCAAGACTTACAGCCTGAGCAGGTATCAGATTACCAGGTGGACACACATCAATAGGACCAGCTTTCAACAAAAGTACCATGTTGAAGAGACAGAAAGCAATGGCAATAGGCGGCTGATTGTACTCTCCGGTTTCCCTCCACCTGGCATCTCAAAGGAAAATAGACCCCTAAGTAAACTGCCTGGATTCTTAGACATTTCAGTGGGGAAGCATCAAGCGAGAGAGGCAATACTAACTGTCAAATTGGGCAACAAGTGCTCGTGATAGGCTTGAAAAATAAGAACTGTGAACTATATTTTTATCCTAAGCATCTGGTCCTAACTGGCTATATAAACAACCAGTGAATCATGCTACATTCAATCAATGGGGTATTTATTACAAAGGCGAGGTAAAAAGAATAGGGTAGTTTTTGAAGTACAAATTAGAAGAAAATGAGAATATGTCAAATATCAAATAAGCAAATAAATACATTTTTAGGGAGATTCCATTTGTGAAAAGTCTAAACTCATCCCCTTGCATATATATGTGTGCATGTGTGCACACACATAACGCACACACACACAAATGCATTTGCTCATTAATATATGAATATATTTATTCCCTAAACTGTTTCCCATGTTTACTTCCTAAGGAACATCAATAAAATAGCAAATGGGAATTTTATTATTTAATCATCTATATTTCTAGGCTATTTGTGTTCCTGTATAATAGCATGTATTATTTTTATGATGAAAGCAATACATATTTATATATTATTAAATGTATATAATATATATTTTTATATAAAAATATATATTTAAAGATGTATATTTATTTAAAATATATTTATATTTTAAAGATATATATTTAAAGGTGAGAATGGTCAAGAATGCCAAGTGCTGTACAACTATTATGGAAGCTTAGGAATAAAAAGGTTTCATTACATTTAGCAGAATAAAGTCTTATTAAAGGTTATGATCTCCTAGTAGAAAAATACACTCAGTTTAACAATTGTGCCTGTGCCTGTCATAATTTAATATGTATTTGTTAATTTAATTCAACAAATAAAGGATTTATAAATACTAAAACTATAGAATTGCATACATGTCTAATATTTAGGCAAATAACTCTATGAGTTTTCAGAAAGAAAGGTTGTTGCTTACTTCAAAGATTATATCACATTATGGAGGAGCATGTCCACATGAATTTGATGGGTTTTCTTAATAATTAGTGTGGCCAACAAATAGAGGTTGACAGAATAGACCTTTGAGGAGAAGGAATTTTGATAGTCAATTAACAGTGGCTTGAATCCTTTTAAATCCTGTGAAATAAGTACAGCAAAAATCCTACTCAAATAGTTGATAGTGCTTTGAGATTTAAAGAGCATTAAAGATTGTTGTTGACCATGTTTTTGTGGCAATGGGAAGAATTTTAAGCAAGTGAAATTGTGCTTAGATATTTAATTTCCTTTGAGTCAGAAGTCACAAGTCAGACTTTCCACTAAGAATCAGTCTTTGGAGGAAGACTGATTGCTTTCACCCAAGACCTTGAGTCCTGGTAGATAGCATTAAGAGATGTAGAAACAGCAGATTCTTGTTATTCATGGTAATGTTCATAAGGTTGTCATGAACACTGAATTAGTGAACATCAAATCATTGCTCCTTGGGGAAATAAGAGGTGATGTTTCTGCAAGCCTCTGGCCATGTTTTAGTTAACTGATCAATACAAGCCTGGTTTTGTGTTTCTGCTTAAAGACACCTTATTTAATATATATTGTTGATTTACTTACATTGAAATCATGATCAATAGCACTATAATTCATGCCTCAATGAAGCTTATCTTATGTACTTGCCACCATACAAAACATAGAGATGTGAATCTCTAAGTAAAAATATTTTATTTGTGAATAATATACAAGAAATGGGATTGCAGTCCAGGACATAGATACAGACCAGGATGGCCTCTGGTATGTCTGGAGAACGATGGAAAAGGTGAGGGTTTTATGGGGGAAAGAGCAGCTTATGCAAATTATTTTGAAAGAAATTTAGTTGGCCCTGGAAACCTATTGCAAGAGCTGGTGAGTTGTGAGTGGTGGGTTTCAGCAGTTGGTAGGTAGGAGAGGTAATCTTGTAGTTATGGCTAGGTCCTTACAGTATGGGGTTGGGCTTGTGAGACAGTGTATTAGGCAAGTGTTCTTGTATAAGTGGCTAGCTCTCCTTGTGCTACTAGCAGTCCTAGCTGACTCTTCAGTAAGCTGTAGTTTGAAAACATTTCTTGTGATAATTTCTGTTATTAGGCAAATTGTGCATTAGAGCCTCCCCTTCATCACCTTACTCAGCTTCATTTGCCAGGGTTTGACACAATGACTCTATTTTTAATCTTACAACTTTCACATACTATTTTCGCCTTAAGGCACATCATATCCTCCTTGAGTTTTGGAACGCTAGGCAGCACTTCAGCCCTATGTTTGGAAGCCTTTCAAAACAGCAAAGTCACCAACACAGAGCACAAAAATGCAAATTCATAGAACTAAATATACCATAAAAAGAACACTTGTTTACAGTACAAGAGCTGAAACAAGAAGGCAGAGTGTTGCCCTGTAGGACCTTAGCAAGGAACAAACACATTGGGCAACTCAAACTTCTCACTGCACTCTGAATAGCTGTGAATGACCTCCAAAGCACTGTGGCTATTGGTTTAGGGGTTACAAATAAATGTGAGTGAGTAGGTGAATTTGCAAATATAAAATCTACATATAATGAAGGTAGACTATGTCTTCCAACTAAGGTCTATGGAACAGAATCCAGATAACTGAAATCCATGCTGTCATAATTTAATCTGAAAATTTAGGTATTTATTTTCCTGTTTTCTTTCCTTTTTCACATTAACTTTAGTCATATTATCTATAAGGCCTTTATTCTTCATATTGCATTTTTGTATACTTAGTCATTCTGTGCTATGAGTCCAACACTTGGCAACATGTTAATTATAATTTGATTTAAAAAAAGACATTAAACCAACATTTGTGTTTGTATACATTGTTTTTGAGAGCCACATAGCTTCTTTCCCTTCATATCACTTTATTGGAATGAATCTGTTGGTTTTCTGAATAACTGATGACTTTTTAAATGGCATATATCAGACAGCCCAAAACATAAAATTCAGGAATGCAAATTTTTACACCTAGGAATAGAAGTTCCAGTCTCTACTAAGAATATGGGGGCCTTTCATGGGAGATAGCTTTTGCAACTGACCTTTCACAGACATAAAACTTGGACAAGGACTAGGGAATAGAAGCTACCTATCTGGAGGCTGCTAACCTCTGGACACCTCCCAAGTCAGTTGTGCTGGTTAAACTCAACTCCAAGCGATTTAGATTTACCCAATCATCTCTTTACTGTAAATTTTATACAAAACTATTTGGAATCCTCATGTGTGTAATTTGCTGTGAAATAAATTTTTAGTTGATCTTAGACGGCTGATATTTGACTATAGCCAATTGACAGATGTCAATTGGCTGCACCTTGAAAATAAGAGATGAATTTGCCATCTAAGTAAACCGAATGCCTGCCTTCAGGATTGTGCCTGGCATCATCCAGACTTCATTTGGATTCACTAGCTTTCCTTCACTGAAGAAGAGAAAATTGCATTCTTAATTCAAAAAAGAAAAGAAAAAGAAAAACGAACAAAAACCGTAGGCCTTGGTTTGAGGCCTGAAACTTAAGACAATTCTGGATAGCTTTGTTCTTTCCTCAAGCGTCTTCACTTTGTACTTTGTAGGTGTTTTAGAAAGCAGTGGACTCTTACCTGCCAATGTGCAAAGAATAGCTGGGAACAAGAAAATGGCACCAAGACTGTAGAACTCCTAACTAGAAAGGTCCAGATATTGGACAGACGGTAGTTTAGAACAGGCCTCTTTGGATAGAATTTGGACTTTCATGGGGGAACATATGCTATTTTAAAGGAAGAACGTTATGTTTATTTCTCATCATGTCTCTCTGGGATCTTTAGGACAGGCATACTTCATTTTATTGCTCTTCACTTTATTGCATTATGCAGATTTATTTTGGTTCAAATTTACAGCCTTTTGTAATTTGTTCTTCATTATTAATTGTCTGCGATGCTGACTCTCCAGCTATGCTCTGAGCTCCTAAAAGAAAATAACCATCCTTCTACCCTCTGTGCCTAAAAGACTACATGGTACAGAATTATGGCTTAGAAAATGTAATTCCACTTGAATGACTGCAGTGATCCATTTTCAAGGGGAAACTTAAGGAACCACTCAAATGTGTAAAGGTTATTCTATAGTTATGTAATTTGAGTTCTAGCTATACCAAAGGACATTTTTATATGGCAACCATATGGGAAGAAGTTTCTGCAGAGTAATCATATTCCAGTTAAGAAAATAAAGGCAATTAAAAGAGAAGCTATTCAGAAGGAAAAATGAATTAGTATGATTCTAACAGTTGGCCCCATCAAGCTAATCAAACCCGGGAATCCCTAAACAATCACCTGGCAGACCAAATCCAGCTTTGCTCATTTGTTTACATATTGTCTGTGCTGCTTTTGTGCCACAATGGCAGAGATGAATAGTTGCAATAGAGATCCTATGGCCTGCAAAGGTAAAAATAATAACTATCTTGTCGTTTACAAAAAAAAGTTTATCAACTCCTTTCTTGAGCACCGATCAAGGAGAGTAGTTGTATCAAATAAATACTTTATCTAATCCAAGCGCTTCATTAGAGAAGGAGCTCTTCAGTGCCCTCCCACCAAAGACAAACAATATATCTGTAGTCAAGAAAGTTGGACTTAATTGGCTCATTGCCCCAAGGGAGATAAAAAAAACCTTGGGGAACTATTAGGTATTTCAGAAAGAGAGTGTTAGGAGGAATTTGTTACAGTATTTGTGCTTGCATTAGGTAATATGGGGGAGTGTTTAAGACAGTGTAGTTTTGCTCTTCACTGGGTGCTGCCACAAAGTGGGAAAAGTTATATGATCCTTAATTTTTATCTATATAGCTGAGGAATGGAGCAAGATTAAACCATGGGTAAAGAAGCAGCCATCACTCATATTAGCTGGGAGAAGGAGATGTTTGATCATTGCTGTAGCTTGGACATTGTCCTGTTTTTGTCTGTGCCTCAAACATTATAGAGTGGTATCGTTTTGTCTTGCTGCACTGTGATCACAGAATGAATGACCTTGTCTCATATTGGGTTTTGTGAGGTTATGTTCCACAAGAGAACATCACAATCTAGCTCTTAGTGACAGGCTAGCTCAGCTGACAGTAGTTGAGGACTGATTTTCCTCTCTCTCAGAGCATCGTACTCCCTGCCTTTGGCTACCATTCTCCACTTTCTTAATCCCTGCCTTTATTTTCCTATAGAACAATGGGTCACTTGACTCAGCAAACTGGATACATTTAGAGCCATATCCCAACAGAGGCTCAATTACATGGATGTAACACATAGCAATCCCTTCATTTAAATTAGGGAGGGAGCTTTGTCTTAACCCTTAGAAAGAGTAGGAGCTTTGGAAGCAGACAGATCTGAGTTTAATTCCAAGCTCTACCATTTTAAATTATGTCATTCATGAAAAATCTCAGAATCACTGAGCCCTAATTTTCTTATATGTAAAACAATAAAGTTTTTATAGACGTTACATACCTAATGTTTGTAGAAGCACAAAGTACAGTATTTGTCACATAGGAAAGGTTCAACAAATGATAGCTATTACTAACAACAATGACAGACATTCCTGTATCAAATATTTCATTTTAATGAACATGAACAATATGCTGCCAATAAGTATGATATTGTTAATTCATGGAGGACAAAATTATCTTTTTTTGTGGTAGACTCTTCAGTAATCTAGAGAAATATTGCGCAATAGCATATAATACATGCTTCTATTTTCATGAAAATAAATTATGTTCGAATTGACTATCAACTCTGACTACTGAAATGACTAGTTATCTATTTTTATATACTTATCAGTTATTTATATTTCTTCTTCTATATGTTTGATATTCATATTCTCTGGCTATTTTTATCAGATGGTTGAAAATTTTTAACTAAATTACCAAATCTGAAACAAATAATCAGAAAGAGAACTTGATTATCTTCCTTTCAAAAAAGTCTCTGTAGTAACAGATTGACAAGAAGAATCACATTGTCTATTTGACTCCTACTTTGTAGTTCATGTTGTCATGTTGAAAAATTATAGAGAAATAAAATAAAATTATAATCTTTAAAAAATTATAGGACAAAGAGGAACTAATCTTGACTGTGAGCTGCAGAAATCAGGTAGATTGAGCCAACAAAAGGGGTGTACTTTGAGCCATCTGGTTCCCACTGAATTGTTCTTAGAGCTGGCAAATATGATATGAGCCATTAAAAACTCTTTAGTTGGCCATACATAAATTACAACCCTAATTAGTTGGTTCAGTTTTGATGTGGGTGGTTTATGAGGCACCAGACAGAAAAAAACCAGCTCCTACCTGACTTCAGAATGAGTTCATGTTAGAATATTGGCAGCAGGGCAAATATCTCAATTACACATTCGGTAATATCAGAAGAATATGGCATAAATTCCATATGGTGAGTGAGTAGGCGAAGGAGTTTGGGGTGACATTAGAGCACATGGAAACCCAGAGTCTGTGACAGTCCTGCTGAGTCCTGCTACTTTACCAAGTGCTCAATGACAGATGGAGTGTAAAAAAATATATTGCTTGTGTATTTTTCTTAATGATTTGCCATGGGGTACAGTTATTATCTTTTTAACACAATGAACTGTGGCCAAGAGTTGAAAACATAAAATGTGAAACATGATTATAAATATCTACTCAAGTTCAGAGAGGTTATAGGATACACATTTTTAATGGCTTAAAATTTGGGGTAGAAAGGAACATCATTCTAGAAATGTGGGATTTCTAAAATAATATATCAGAAAATAATTTTATTTTCCAAAAAAATAGCACTTGTGTTAAATTCTGGAATTTGAAGTTGAAAAAGCAAATTTCCTCATGTAAGGCTCATAGTTGATGGCAGGGACATAACTAAACAGATACAAATGTTTGTGTGAACAAGAAGGCTGAACTATATATAGGGCAGGACAGAAACACTGAAAAGATAGTGATTACTTGGGAAAGGCTTGTCAGAGAAGTGGATGCTGTTGGGGCCTCAGCAAAATGCCCTTTACCAGTTGGTAAACACAAGCCCTGACTCTTGTAGTGCTTGTACAAACGCAAGCCCTGACTCTTGTAAGTGCTGACTGATGACAATTTTTAGCTCCCCCTTTCTCTGGAGAATTACTTTTGTCAACTGGGGATCTGCCTCCGTGATACACTCAGCATCTTCCCTGTAGGGGAGAAAGGATTTCTTTTTTCTCACAGATCCTTTGGTTCATGATTGAAGCTCCTGTAACAAAAGGCAGATTAACAAGAGAAAAGCATTCAAAATCATTTAATAAGTTTATGTGACACAGGAGTCTTCAGAAATGAAGACCCAAAGTAACAGAAACCTATGTATAAGTTTGAGGAAGATGTGGATAGTTGTGAAAGTATTATTGGACAAAAAATGTATCATCTAACTATAGTAAACTGAGGGCATTCTTCTATGTGTCCTTGTGTCTTCAGAGATAAAGACACTCCTTTTCTCCAGGTCAAGAGAGGGTGCCTCTCAAGTGAGGGTCTTATGACCTGCTTCAGAGGAAGCTCAGAAAAGTCTTTTCTAGGTCTTAAGGCCTGATTCAAGGGATAGGGACAGGAGAAGGTCAGAGAGTGACCTTTTTGCTTCTGCCATTTTCTCAAATGCCAAGGTGCTATATTTTGAGGTAGCATGTCCTGAACCCATCACTTTCCAGATCTTGCTCAATAACTGACTGGCACTGGTGAGAGACCATTCCTCTTTCTTTAAGGTGGGACACACTCTGGGGCACAATTTGTCTTCCAGTCTTTCACCAAGAGATCAAATGGAAGCAGGTCTCCAGCTGTTACCACATTCTTGATTAGCTCTTTTTGCTTCTGATGCTTTCTGCTTCCCTGCTCCTCTTGAACACTCCCTCAATAATTCCTTTGAACAAGAATTCTAACCTGAGTGCTTTTTCTATGGGATCCCACCTAAAACAACAGCTTTTTTGTGTGTTCCGACAGACTCACCTAAGCACCTAAGCATTAAGATATGAGCTTCTTTCAA
This sequence comes from Homo sapiens, assembly GCF_000001405.40. Classification (NCBI taxonomy): domain Eukaryota; kingdom Metazoa; phylum Chordata; class Mammalia; order Primates; family Hominidae; genus Homo; species Homo sapiens. The sequence goes on along the minus strand of NC_000017.11, from coordinate 54,522,386 downwards.
CCTAAATTCAGTTACAGTGATGAAAATTTTTTTTCCATCAACATTTTCCCCTTCATCTCAATGAAGGTAAATAATGCTTAGACTACAGTGCATTAAAAGTCACTCATTTCTTTGATATACACTTGGTTCTTTTTTTCCCCACAGCATCTCTGTTCTACTTAATTCTTTGTACTTAATTTGTCTTTTTGGCCCAGGCCTCTAAATCTAATTTAAAGTAGATGATGTCTCTTTTATGTTCGTGAGATCAAGCCTGCTCTTATCTAAAAGGCTTGTCTTCTTATCCAGGAGCTCTTGATCTTTATGACACTAAGTAATTGAATATCATCATCACATTATACTTTCCATGTAGTCTCAAGTCCTAAATAACTAATCTCAGTTCTGTTGATATGCCCAAGGGCTACTCTGACCAGTATGGTAAAGTAGTTGTTGTCATTTTGTTCCCATTCTCATACCTCTCCATTCCCCTTTTGAAGGAGAGAAGAAACTTTAACAATCATTTAATCTCATCTTTTCCCCAGATGCTTGAATTCACAGTTGAATATCTTGACCTAGTCTCTCAAAATTATGTTTGAACATTATGGGGTCAAGAAACTCACTCAGTGAAGTTATCTTCATCCTAAAATTCTAGAGTAGTTTACAATAGAGAATGTGAGAGACAGACAAATCCAGGTTCTTTGTTTCATGTGCAAAGGAAGTTCAAGATCAGAGATGAGAAATTATTTAAGTGTTGTATAGACTCTAATAATTTTTCATACGGTGCCACCAGATCGTCTTTCCCTGAATTTCTAGCTTTCTGTCCTTGCTATACCCTGCTCAAAAATTATGTCCTGCTCAAAAATTAAAACAAAACAAAAACAAGCACACAAAAATACTGACAAATTCATTGTAGCAGCTGGCAAGCTAGAAACTTTTCAGCAAAGTCCATTAATGCTAGAAACTCTTTTGACGGTACTCATAAACTTTGGCTGTGGAAATTAAGACTATGTGCCAGATTTATTAGGAATTCTCTCCAGGTTTTGAAGTTTTACTATTGTTTGACTGTGAAAGACTTAATTAATCATTAACATGCCTTACCTGATATTTCGCAAAGTAGCCAGAAAAAATGATCTCAGCACTTAGATTCCAATTTGTATCTCATGCTATTTCTCGGGAAAATCTAGTCCAACTTGTAAATCTTAGAGTTTTAAGGTCAAATTCGGAGTTTCTGTTCTCCTGTAATGTGGCTAGCTAAGGAAATAGTATCCTAAGATATTTAACATTTTTAATGCACAGCTTTTTAAAGTGCATTTATTAATTTAACAGATATTAATGAGTATTTATTGGATATCAAGCACTGTGCTGAGTCCCGGGGTTTAGGAATAAAAGTGCTCCCAATTTAGTGGGAAGATTGACAAATAAATAGTTACATGTAGGCTTTCATGGAGGCACATACAGGAGTTCCAGGCAGTTCTGCCTCAAGACAATCCTTGGCATTGAGTGGGGTATGTGTATACTTGAGTGGCAGGTTCAAAAAAAAAAATTGCAGTGACAGTATCCTAAATAAAAGGGGGAAATCATTAAGGTTGGCTGAGTGGGTTTTGCAGAGGATGGGACACTTGAACCAAGTCTCAAAAAATTGACGGGAATATGCCAAGTATACCTTACAGTACTCCAGGCTGGGGAGTGGCATGCAGATAAGTTTGGAGTTGTAAAACATCAAGACAAGCTCAAGACCTACAGATTGTTGTTTTCAGCTGAAGTGTAAGGGATAAGTATCAATGATGACAGATTAAGATATAGTTAGATTTCATATATATATTTATATACATGGATATGTATGCACATATATGCATATGTATGTATAGGATATATACATATGTATATATACATATACAGCAGGCCCTTGAATAACATTGTTTCCTGACAATGTTGAGGAAAAAAAAATTGATTCCCAGCCAACATCATTGTCTATGTGGAGTCTGCATGTTCTTCCCACGTCTGTGTGGGTTTTCTCCTGGTATTCTGGCTGATTTCCTCTCATATCCCAGAGCTGTGCAGGTTAGGTGAATTGAGTGTCTAAATTGTTTCAGTCTGAGTGAGTGTAGATGTGTGAAAGAGTGTGCCCTGAAATAAAATATCCCATCCAGGATTGGTATCTGCTTTGTACCCTGCACTGCTGGGTTAGGCTCCGACTACCCAAGACCCTGAACTGAAATCAGTGTATTGGGAATTGAATAAATGAATGAGCACAAATTATTGCCAAATAAAAATTTGTAAAGTATAGAACACTCATACAAATGCATGACAATAAATGATGCAATCCCAAAGTGCTCAGTGAGCCCATGATATGTTATTGTTTGGTTTTGAACTGCATGGTGGTAGGAGGGGCTCCTCAAAATTTTTGCTTTGCAAACATTTATTTCATGACTTAACCCACCATTGTCATGACCACAGTCACTCACTGATTCACCAAAAATTGAGTAAATAATTCTTGTTTTTATTAATATTTTATAAATATATGTATTGATGTATGTATAGTTCACAGTTCAGTGTATAATATTTAGAAGTGTTTGGCCTCTATTTATAAGTTTGGTGATATTTTTATGACTAGAAATATGCCATAGGAGCTTAACTCTTGTTTATGTCAATTAGCCTATGTAGTTTCCTTATATGCCGTTTTGCTTAAACTCAGTTTCCAAGGGCCAAAGATGACATTGAGGACTACTTATTGTGTATATAATACATATCATAGGAGGCAGGGCCAAGAAGGCCGACTAGGAACAGTGGCATTCAGATGCTCCAATCGAATAAAACCATAATAAGCATGTGAGGCCTTCACTGGCAACCAGATTCTCTCATCAGAACTGACTAGAAGGCTGGCATGACCCACGGAGAGAAGGAAGAACACGGTGGTGCAGTGGCCCACCTGAGAGCCACACAGGGCAGGGGACCCTCCTCCCCCTAGCCAAGGGAGGAAGTGAGTGAGCATTGGGAATTGAATAAATGAATGAGCACAAATTATTGCCAAGTAAAAATTTGTAAAGAATAGAACACTCATACAAATGTATGAAAAAGCAAGGAAACCATGCTTTTTCCACGGAACTGTGTAACCAATGGATCGGAAGATCCCGCTCACGAACCCACACCACTGGAGCCTAGCGTCCCAACCCTGGAACACACAGATTCTCAACAGCCTCTCAGCTGGAATCTGTTTAAGCCTACTGAACTCCTGGGGAGAGGGGTGACCAGCACCACAGCTGTGATTTCCTGCTGTGTAAGCCTGTTTGAGCTCCTTGGGTGAGGGACAGCAGCCAGTACTGGGACTCCCAACTGCCTAACACGCTAAGCTCCCTGGGCGGCTGAAGAGCTGCATACATCTCTATAGCTAAAGGCTGTGCTTTTCCCCTGCTGGAGCTAGGGAGTCTGGACAGCTTGGTCCCAAGACTTGTCCCCCACAGTCCAACAAGCTGGCTGTGGCAATCTGTGGCCAGAGTGCCTCCTCAGGCCTGACCCTGACTCATACTTCCTCATCTGGTGGGGCTTCCCTGCAGGAACTCCAATAACTCCAGTCAGAGGCTGAGGGACAGAACCCAGATATCCTTGGGCCTGAGCCCTGAGGGGAAGGGGTGGCCACAGTCTGCAATCCAGCAGCCTTAGCCTTTCCTCCTGGTAGTTCTAAGGAATCAGGGCAGCCCAGACAAGTGGGTTTCCCCCTCAGGATGCACAAGCCCTCCACCAAGGGACAAAGTGCCTCATTAAACGGGTCCTGTTCCCCATGCCACCCAACTGGGTGAGACCCTCTAACAGGGATTGTCAGAAACTTTACACAGGAGTGATCCTACTGGCATCAGTTTGGCGCCTCTTGAGGTCACAGGTCCCAGAAGAAGGAACAGGCACCAATCTTTGCTCCTTGAGTGACATCTCCAGGCACGGGAATGCATAAGATGAATAGGGCCTGAAGCTTACCCCCAGCATACTGGAGCAGCCCTATAGAAGAGGGACCTGACCACTGAAAGAAAAACAAACAAGCAGGAAGCAACAACAACAACAAAACAACAAAAGCCCCCACAAACCCCCATCCAAGGGTCAGCAGCTTCAAAGACCAAAACTAAACAAATACACAAAGCTGAGAAAAAAATCAATGAAAAAATGCTGAAAACCCAAAAGGCCAGAGCGCCTCTTCTCCTCCAAATGATCTCAATGTCTCTCCATCAAGGGCACAGAAATGGATGGAGGATCAGATGGATGAATTGACAGAAGTAAGCTTCAGAAGATGGGTAATAAAAAAACTGTGCTGAGCTAAATGAGCATGTTCTAACCCAATGTAAAGAAGATAAGAACCATGATAAATGGATAGAGGAATTACTAACTAGAATAACCAGTTTAGAGAGGAACACGACCTCATGGAGCTGAAAACTACAGCACCAGAACTTCGTGAAGCATACACAAGTATCAATAGCCAAATCAACCAAGTGGAAGAAAGGATAACAGAGTTTGAAGACCACCTTGCTGAAATAAGGCATGCAGACAAGACTAAAGAAAAAATAATAAAAATGAATGAACCAAGCCTTCAAGAAATATGGGACTTCATAAAAAGACTGAAACTACAATTGATTGGAGTACCTGACGGAGACTAGGAGAATGTAAACAAGCTGGAAAACACACTTCAGGATATTATCTAGAACTTCCCAAACCTAGCAAAACAGGTCAACATGCAAATTCAGAAAATACAGAGAACACCATTAAGATACTCCACAAGAAGATCAACCCTAAGACACATAATCATCAGATTCTCCAAGGTGAAAATGAATAAAAAAATGTTAAGGGCAGCCAGAGAAAAAGACCAGGTCACTTATAAAGGGAAGCTCATCAGACTAACAACAGACTTCTCAGCAGAAACTCTATAAGCCAAAAGAGATTGGGGGCCAATATTCAACATTTTTAAAGAAAATAATTTTCAACCCAGAACTTCATATCCAGCCAAACTAAGCTTCATAAGTGAAGGATAAATAAAATGCTTTTCAGACAGGCAAATGCTGAAGGATTTTGTTAACACCAGGCCTGCCCTGCAAGAGCTCCTGAAAGAAGCACTCAATATCGAAAGGCAAAACCGGTACCAGTCACTGCAAAAACCACACCAAAATATAAATACCAATGACACTATGAAGAAACTGCATCAACTAGTGTGCAAAATAACCAAATAGCAGCATAATGACAGGATCAAATTCACACATAACAATATTAACCTTAAATGTAAATGGGCTAAATGTCCCAATTAAAAGATGCAGACTGGCAGATTAGATAGAGTCAAGACCCATTGTTGTGCTGTATTCGTGAGACCCATCTCATGTGCAAAGACACATATAGACTCAAAATACAGGGATGGAGGAAAATTTACCAAGCAAATGGAAAGCAAAAAAGCAGGGTTTGCAATCCAAGTCTCTGACAAAATAGACTTTAAACCAACAAAGATCAAGAAAGACAAAGAAGGGCATTACATAATGGTAAAGGGAACAATTCAACAAGAAGAGCTAACTATTCTAAATATATATGCACCCAATACAGGAGCAACTAGATTCATAACCAACAAGTTCTTAGAGACCTACAAAGAGACTTAGACTCCCACAAAATAATGGGAGACTTTAACACCTTACTGTCAATATTAGACAGATCAATGAGACAGAAAATTAACAAGGATATTCAGGACTTGAACTCAGCTCTGGATCAAGTGGACCTAGTAGACATCTACAGAACTCTCCACCCCAAATCAAGAGAATATACATTCTTCTTAGTGCCACATGGCACTTATGCTAAAATTGACCACAAAATTGGAAGTAAAACACTCCTCAGCAAATGCAAAAGGAACAGAAATTGTAACAAACAGACTCTCAGACCACAGTGAAATCAAATTAGAACTCAAGATTAAGAAACTCACTCAAAACCACACAATTACATAGAAATTAAACAACTTGCTCCTGAATGACTACTGAGTAAATAACAAAATTAAGACAGAAATAAAGTAGTTCTTTGAAACCAATGAGAACAAAAAGACAATGTACCAGAATCTCTTGGACACAGCTAAAGTAGTGTTAAGAGGGAATTTTATAGCACTAAATGCACACATCAGAAAGCTATAAAGATCTTTAATCAACACCCTAACATCACAATTAAAAGAGCTAGAGAGACAAGAGCAAACTAATCCAAAAGCCAACAGAAGACAAGAAATAACTAAGATTAGAGAACAGTTGAAGGAGATAGAGACATGAAAAACCCTCCAAAGAGTCAGTGAATCCAGGAGCTGTTTTTTTGAATAAATTAACAAAATAAATAGACCGATAGCTAGGCTAATAAAAAAGAAAAGAGAGAAGAATCAAATAGACACAATAAAAAATGATAAAGGGGATATCACCACCTACCCAACAGAAATACAAACTACCATCAGAGAATAGCATAAACACCTCTCTGCAAATAAACAAGAAAATCTAGAAGAAATGGATAAATTTCTGGACACATACACACTCCCAAGACTAAACCAGGAAGAAGTCAAATCCCTGAATAGACGAGTAACAACTACTGAAATTGAGGCAGGAATTAACAGCCTACCATCCAAAAAAAAAAAAAAAAAGAAAAAAGAAAAAGCCCAGGACCAGATGGATTCACAACCAAATTCTACCAGAAATACAAAGAGGAGCTGGTACCATTCCTTCTGAACCTATTCCAAACAATTGAAAAGAAGGGACTCCTCCATAACTCATTTTATGAAGCCAGCATCACCAAACCTGGCAGAGACACAACAACAAAAAAAATATTTTAGGCCAATATTCCTGATGAACATTGATGCAAAAATCCTCAATAAAATATTGGCAAACCGAATCCAGCTGCAAATAAAAAAAAACTTATCTACCACAATCAAGTTGGCTTCATCCCTGGGATGAAAGGTTAGTTCAACATATGCAAATCAATAAAGGTAATCTATCACATAAACAGAACCAAAAACAAAAACCACGATTGTCCCAATAGATGCAGAAAAGGCCTTTGATAAAATTCAAAATCCCTTCATGTTAAAAACTCTCAATAAACTAGGTTTTGATGCAACATATCTCAAAATAATAAGAGCTATTTATGACAAACCCACAACCAATATCAGATTGAGTGGACAAAAGCAGGAAGCATTCTCTTTGAAAACCGGTACAAGATAAGGACACCGTCTCTCACGACTCCTATTCAACATAGTATTGGAAGTTCTGGCCAGGGCAATCAGGCAAAAGAAAGAAATAAAAGGTATTCAAATAGGAAGAGAGGAAGTCAAATTGCCTCTCTGTTTGCAGACGACATGATTTTACATTTAGAAAACCTCATCATCTCAGCCCCAAAACTCCTTAAACTGATAAGCAATTACAGCAAAGTCTCAGGATATAAGTCAATATTCAAAAATCACAAGCATTCCTTTACACCAACAAGCAAACAGAGAGCCAAATCATGAATGAACTCCCATTCACAGTTGCTACAAAGTTAATAACATATTTAGGAATACAGCTAACAAGGGATGTGAGGGACCTTGTCAGGGAGAACTACAAACCACTGCTCAAGGAAATAAGAGAGGACACAAACAAATGGAAAAACATTCCATCCTCATAGATAGGAAGAATCAATATCGTGAAAATGGCCATACTGCCCATAGTAATTTATAGATTCAATGCTATTCCCATCAAACTACCATGGACATTCTTCACAGAATTAGAAAAAACTACATTAAATTTAATATGGAATCAAAGAAGACCCCTATAGCCAAGACAATCCTAGACAAAAAGAACAAAGCTGGAGGCATCATGCTACCTGACTTCAAAGTATACTACAAGGCTATAGTAACCAAAACAGCATGATACTGTTACCAAACAGACATATAGACCAATGGAGTAGAACAGAGACTTCAGAAATAACAGCACACATCTGCAACCATCGGATCTTTATCAAACTTGACAAAAACAAGCAATGGGGAAAGGATCTCCTACTCAGTAAATGGTGCTGGGAGAACTGACTAGCCATATGCAGAAAACTAATATTGGACCCCTTCCTTATACCTTGTATAAAATTAACTCAAGATGGATTAAAGACTTAAATGTAAAACTCAAAACCATACAAACCCTAGAAGAAAACCTAGGCAATACCATTCAGGACATAGGCATAGGCAAAGACTTCATGACAAAAACACAAAAAAGCAATTGCAACAAAAGCCAAAATTGACAAATGGGATCTAACTAAACTAAAGAGTTTCTGCACAGCAAAAGAAGCTATCATCAGAGTGAATAGTCCACAGAATGGGAGAAAACTTTTGCAATCTACCCATCTGACAAAGGTCTAATATCCAGATTTAAAAGAAATTTTACAAATTTACAAGAAAAAACCAATCCCATCAAAAAGTGGGCAAAGGATATGAACAGACACTTCTCAAAAGAAGACATAACCTGGCCAACAAACGTATGAAAGAAAGCTCAACATGATTGATTATCAGAGAAATGCAAATTAAAACCACAATGAGATACCATCTCACAACAGTTAGAATGGCTATTATTAAAAAGCCAGGAAACAATAGATGCTGGCAAGGCTGTGGAGAAATAGGAACACTTTCACACTGTTGGTGGGAATGTAAATTAGTTCACCCATTGTGGAAGACAGTATGGTGATTTCTCAAGGATCTAGAACCAGAAATATCATTTGACCCAGCAATCCCATTACTGAGTATATACCCAAAGTAATATAAATCATTCTACTCTAAAGACAGATGCACACGTATGTTTATTGCAGCACTATTTACAATAGCAAAGACATGGAACCAACTCCAAGGTCCATCAATGATAGTCTGGATAATGAAAATGTGGTACATATATACCATGGAATACTATGCTGCCATAAAAAGGAATGAGATCATGTCCTTTGCAGGGACATGGGTGAAACTGGAAGCCATCCTCCTCAGCAAATTAACACAGTAACAGAGAACCAAACATTGCATGTTCTCACTCATAAGTAGGAGTTGAACAATGAGAACACATGGACACAGAGACACACACCAGGTCTGTTGAGGAGTGAGGGGAGGAACTTAGAGGAGAGTCAATAGGTGCAGCGAACCACCACGGCACGTGTATGCCTGTGTAACAAACCTGCACATTCTGCACATATGTCCCATTTTTTTAGAAGAAATGAAAAAATACATATCATAAAATGCATATCTCATATATATATCCCACAGCATTATCATTATAATAATTATGTTTTATAATATTCAGGAAGAAAGTAACAATGTTGTAGTAGATGGTGTTTGAACAGTTGGTAAATCAAGTAGAAAGAAGAAGAGAATTAGTTTCCATTAGTATCTTTAGCAAAAATAAATTTCAGGTAGATTGAAGATCTGGGACCAAAAACAAAACTTCAAAATGTCCAAAGAATATACAGGAGAACACATTTAAGATCTTAGGGAAGTAGGACATTTTAAAAAGTAGGACATGAAAAGGGAAAAGACTGATATATTTGATTACATTAAAATGTCAAACTCTGTTCAAACAAAAACACTAAAAATAAAGTTAAAGGACAAGGCAGAATCTCAGATATTTGAAATATATCTAACTGAAAAGGTACCAGTACCCAGAATTATAAAGAACTCTTGCAAATCCGAAGACAACTCAAGAGTCAACAGGACAAGGGATTTGAATGGGTAATTCATAGAAAAGGAAACTGAAATGGCCAATAAGCATTTTAAAAGACTCTTAGCTTTGCTAGTAATTTAGTAAATGTAAATTAAGGCTGCAGGGAAATACATTTGATACCCATTCTAACAGATAAAATTTTAAGTGTCTAACACTTCCTCTTGTGTGTGGAAAAACAGGAATTCTCACATGTTATTGGAAAGAATGAGTGTTAATATAACCACCATTGAGGACAATTTGGTCATACCAGTGAAGATGGAAGTTTGTATATTCTCTTACCCAGCATTTCCACTTGCAAGCATAGTCTGTATGAAAACTTCAATACATGTAATAAAGGCTTCACAACTAATGCTATTTATTGTAACCTTATTTGCATCAACCAAAAAATTAGAAACAACTCAAATATCCATTTACAAGACAATAGATAACTGGTGGTATGTTTATATAATGTCATTAAGCACTGTAAAGTAGTAAAAATAAATAAGCTAAAAATGTAATTAACAACATAAATAAATCTCAAAAACCTAACGTTGAACAAGACAAGGACATTGTAAAATGATACATATATGCGATGCCAATTATGCCAAGTTATTAAAAAATGCATATTTTCACTATGTAAGATACACAAATATATGAGTTACAAAAATATACGTGAGAATGATAAAACACCAAAATTCATGATGCATCTACTACATCAGCTACCAGTAATTATAACATTTTTTGAGTCTCATAAGTGTCATGCACTGTTGTGAATGATTTACAGATGTTTAATTCTATCATTTAGTTACAACAGCCACTCGAGGCGATATTTATCATTATTACTCCAAGTTCATAGATAAGAAAACCGAAGCACAGATAAAGTAATTTGTCTTGTTATACAGATAGTAAGTGACAGTGATGGAATTTTTAGCCTCCTTTCAACTAAGACATGATGGCAGTTGCCTCTAAGTAGAGAGTGAATGAGATACAATTGGCTTCAATTGAAATGTTTTAGCTTATTAAAGTTCTGAAGAAAATACAGTAAAATATTAAGATCTGATAAAATAAGTGGGGGAAAATAAATGTCTGTTATATAATCCTCCTTAACTCTACTTATAATATTTACAATATTAGAAGCAGAGGGGAAGGAAGAGAAAGTGAAAAAGGAGAAGAAGGAAGAGAAGCAAGAAAAGAAAAAAGAGAAGAAGGAGGAAAAGGAGGAGTAGGGGTCAGAGGAAGGGGAGGGAGAAAGAGCACCCTGGCAGTAGGTTAAGTGGTGAATTTAAATGGGACAAACTAGAAACAGAGGAGCAAGTAAGAAATTATTTTCTAGATGGGAGATTGTAAATGTAACATTTACTGACAGTTGGTGATATTTCCAAAATGACTCAAACTATTTTACTAATGAAAAATCTAAATAATAGGGTTTAGAGTTTGAAAAATATTTTCTACATATATTACCATTCAAACATCCCCCATTACCCTATAAGGCAGGCACTGTTATTATCCTCATTGTGCTGCCAAGAAACCTGGGGTTAAGAGAAGCATCATAACTTGTCTAATAGTCCTAGATAAGGACTAGTTATCTAGTTAAGAGGCGTTAGGATTAGGGGTTGGACTCAGGTTCACTGACTTGAATCCAAACTTCCCAAACATGAATAGTTCAAAGAGACTCACAGCAACGACATCTACTCTAAATTGACTGACTGACTTTAAAAATGTATTTACATGGTCGTTAGTATCAGTCGTATTCTTCAAACATAAAATCTTCATCTCAGACATCATTTTCTGTAATCCATATTCTCAGTATTTGTGCTTGGAGAAACATCAATATTAATTCCAGCTTTAAAGCAGGTTCTGGATAGGAGCCTTCATTTCTTACTCATTTGCTATAACTTTTTGACTTTGAAGTTGACATAATTACCAAATACTCTGTTCCTCTTTTATTAGATTCTGTCATCACTGGAAATCTAAAGTTATAGATAATATTGCCCTGCCTCAAAATACAGCGAAGAAAGAACTGGGAGAGAAAATAAATCCTAAGCAATAATATTTGCATCACCCTGGGTCACTAAAATGATATTTTCACTAGAATATATTAATTGTTTATGGCCTGTTCACTTATGGGAAGAAACCTGTTCAGGTTCAAGCACATTTTGGGGGATTGAGGAAGAAGTGCCAAGGATCCAATTTAACATGACTTTGAAAAACATGACAGATTCTAGAACTAACGTAACTTTCTTGAGGCAGAGTCAATAGGCAGAAATCTACATTTGTGCATGAAAAATTCTACACAATGTCTTTGCTTTATAAAAAGACTGTCCTTTGAAAAAGATTACATTAGAATGTCTATGTCTTTTTTGCAAGAAAGTTAAAAATGTGATTAAATTGATCAAGATTTAGCTTATTCCCAAATTCTCAACAACTTGTGACTACTACTAAAACAATCCACACCTCTGCAGACCCAGCTGTTTTGTCTTAATACCTGAATTTTCCATAATATTTGAGTAAATCTAATATTTCCAGTAACAATTGCTTTATCTTACCTGCACCAAGTCATGGCCATCAGCTCCCCCATTCCTACACCATTTATTGCCCAGCAAACTAGGAGCAATGTTCATTAATTTTATTGGGAGGAAGGCTAACCTCAATTAGTAGAAATTTGAATTGTAGAATATATTTTTTAAAACAGCTGCATTGTTGCATTTGCTTGCATAATTTACCTCCTTATTTTTCTCCATGATTACCTTAAAATTAAAGATTGAGGTAGGGTAAGAATATAGTTTGAAATTCTAATTTTCCGTTCTCTTCCCTTCCAAGGCAGTTTTCAGTTTTATGCTGAAGAGGGTATCTGTACATTTCTGATGTGAAAAATAGAACCAAGTTGTTTAATAGATTTTAAAACCCAATTAACACCTTGGTTGACTTAGCTTTGTCACTGGCTTTTGTTCTAAAATCTGAGACCATAGCAAGGACTTCCAAGTTCCCCAACAAAGGAGTTTATAACCAGAAAATGGAGGAGAAAATGCTCTTTCTTTTTCCTAATGTCCTGTATACAGTATTGTTTCTGGGATACAGAAAACAGAGGTCACAATGTAATCAAGGCATTGAGATGGAGCTCACATAAACACATTTGGATGGTGAATAACAGAAGCACATTCCAGCCCAAATGGAATAGAGGGTTCACTGGGGGAGCCATAGGAAATAGGTTAATGAAATAAATTCAGGACCAGACAATGAGGAAAACTGAATGACAGAATACAGAATCAGTAATGTCCAGGGTGGAGAGCCATTGAAGATGTTTTTATTTTATTTGCAATAAGGATATAATGATTGAAAAGAAGAAATGAGTATGAAATACATTGTAATGATCTACGTATTCAACAGAACTTGGCAACTAATTAGATACGTGGATTGTAGGATATGAAGAAAACCAACACTGGTTAAATGGCTATATTCCAAGTTCCTTTTTCCCCAAGTACTTAAAAAAAATTATGTGATTTAATTGTTTTTTTAATTTTTAATTGACAATAATGGTATATGTTATATATTTATGTGGTACAATGTGATGATTTGATATATGTTTACATTGTGGAATAATTAAATCAAGCTTTTAAAGACATCCATAAAGCTGGAATAATTAGTTACAGTTAATAGGTAATTAACTTGAAGTTTAAGGATTAGTTTGGGGTCACACAGCATGAAAACAATGGAGCTAGATTTTAACTCAAATTAACACAGGCAGTACCCGCCTGAACTTTTCAATAGACTAAATGATCTTCCAAGGGTGACCTGGTGTTTTGAGAGGCCATATTTTGAATAGTTAAGAGAAGCTTGTATGTGATGTAAGATTGGCTGGGTTTGTATCTCAGCTCTATTGTATAACACTCATATTATCTTCAGCGTATCATTTCACCTTAAATGTCATTTATAAAGTGGGATAATAATAAATATTTCCTGACCTCAAAGGGTTTTGATGAGACTTAAACACTTAGAACAGTATCTGGAAAAGTGAATGCATTTATTAAGTGTTGTTTTCATTATTATGTTTTCATAATATGTATTATTATTCACTGCTTTAGTTAGGAAAAGAATGGTTGGTGGATAGCCAGGGAGAAGTAACACAGAGGCATAATTTTGAAAAAAGAAAAAAAGGATAAACTGGATTTTAGATATAATGAGACTGTTATACTGGCAATGTATCTATTTTAGATTTGGTAAGAAGGTAGCATACTACATTCTCTAGTGTGCTAGACAAAATTCATATTTTTGTAGTTGTACTGAGAAATTTTTAAATTTCAGCCTTTTAAATTGGCATGTTTTTTTACTTCCTATTAAGTACAATGCAGAAACTACATCATTCTTTATTAAACACAATGTAAAAACTACATTTTTCCATTGCTTTGACCTCCTGACTGAAGTTGAAAGCATCTACAATCCTGGAATACCTGTATCTCAAACTGGTGGATTAGGAAAGGGATATCCCTGCCCCCTGCATCTGAGACTGCAGTAACTTCCTGGCCAAAACTCCAAACACTGTCATAACTCTCTTTATTATTTTTCTAGGGACAAAAAATATGCATTTAGATACAGCTTATTCCCACTACATCCTAGATAAACCAATATATGAACAGGGTCTAAATAAAATAATTCCAAACAGGTAATCTATAAATTAAATTTACCTCCATCAGTGCAAGCAGGTAAACATCATACAGAAAAGGGGCACAGTGATATTTTTACCATCTTGTTTAGGAATGGTGCACATAATTTCAATATCCACCATTCTCATATAGCAAGAGGGAAGAAAAAATGTCATCTGGCTTATATTAGTTACGATGCTCCTGTTCTTTATAGCAATAATTATGGACATTTCCAGAAAGCAGAAATAAAGGAATGTAGCCTTTGCAAGAGGACAATACTGTAAATCAATAGAGAGGGTTTGAAGTCCTTGAGATTCTCAAGGACAAGAGTAAAAGAGAGTGGAGACCAGCAGCCAAAGATGGATACTTGAAGAGTACTTAGCTAGACTGTAGAAGAAAGAATAGAGTCAACAAAAGAGGGTGCTGAAATGATGAAAGAATAACAGCAACTTACTGGTTGTAAAAGGTTAAGATGGCAAAAACTTCAGGGATCCAGCAGAGAGATTCAGGAAAAAGAGAATTGACAAAAGATTAATAAACGTATAAATAAGAAGGCTAGAAAGTGGCCTTCTTGAGAAGAGCTTGAATGGAGTGGTGGGAATAGAAACTACTTTTTAAGAGGCTAAAAGAAAAATTGGTGGAGAAGAAATTAAGGCAGCAAAAATGTGCCTCTTGTTTAGAAAGACTAGCAATGCAACTGAGAATGCCACAAAATCACCAATGCAATTAAAGAGAAATGTACTTAAACTTGTAAATACACAAGCATTTCTTACCAAGTCATTTTCACCTCTAGCCAAATATTGATTTTATCCCAGCTGTTTCAGAATTTCCAAAGGAGTGAATTAGTGAATTATGAATTAACAAGTTTTAAAAATATATATTTTTACATTCACAATTCAAAAGATTTCCATTTTATTTTGGCTAATTTTGAAGAATTCTGTAATTTGTTTTGTGGATTCTAAGAGTAACAATAATGTATTATTATTATCACTATTTTGGTTATGATAATTGGAACAAATTGATTCCTTTTTTAGAGACCCACACTGGAGTGCCGTGGCACCATCATAGCCCACTGCAGCCTCAAACTCCTGGACTAAGCAATCCTCATGCCTCAGCCTCTTGAGTAGCTGGTACTACAGGCACATACCACCATGCCTGGCTACTTTCATTTCTTTTTGTAGAGACGGGGTTTTGATACATGACCCAGGCTGATCTCAAACTCCTGGACTTAAGCAATCCTCCCACATTAGCCTCCCAACATGGGGGGATTATAGATGTTAGCCATGGCACCTGGCCTGATTCCTTTTGAAAATGTTAAATATATGGTAGTTTCAGATAATATTTGGTATTATCTCTTGGCTCTGGGCCCTAAGTTTGCTGCTGGAAAAATCATTGCAAATTGAAGTTTTACAAATCTAATCATAATTTATATGGGCCAAAAAGTTTGCTATTGAAAGAGATTCTATTTTTCTAGCTATATCAACATTTAACATTAATTTTAAACAAATCTATATTTTTTCATGCATATTAGAAACAACCAGCTGCTAACATATATACGATATTTACAAATGCTAGTTGAATATTCTTTAAACAGCTGATTTTCCACATCAGCAACACATATGGTCAAGCTGCTCCATTTTGACCTTTGTTCTCTCATGCTCACTTTTCTCTCAAGCCATTTGTAATGACAGCTTTCCTTTCTTGCGTTATGTTTTTTAGGAAAAAGCAGTCCCATAATTAATTGACTTAAACTCTCCTAATACAATTTGTTAATTTTACACTACAGCCCTTTTCTCTTCAGAATTAATAGGCATCTCCATAAAGCCAGACCAGAATTGGTTCAATCATAAACAATGGTTTCAAATTAAATGCTGCCTGTAGCCAGGCATATTACACAGATTCAAGAATCACAAATTGTAACCTTCAGACCTGCTTCTATCAATAAAGTTTTACTGGAACACAGCAACACTCATTCATTTAGACATTGCCTTTTGCTGTTTTCATGCTACAACAGTAGAGTTGAGTAGTTGAGACAGCGGCCATATGGTCCTCAAAGCCAAAAATATTTAGTCTTTATCCCCTGATGTAAATGAACAAGCCAGATGTAAACAGTAAGTGGCAAGAACTATGCCGAAGCAGTAAGGGTACTCTACATCTGAAGCACCTAACAATTATTACCATGTAGAAAAGTCGGGCCCAGTTCAGTATTTGAAAAAAGCCAGAAATCCAGATTTTACATATAACTTTCAATTTTTTAAATGTTAGCTACTAATCTGTTTTTTTAAATGAGTGACTTAACACTTTAAGCTCAACAAAATTGGTCTACAGCCTGGATCTACTTCTTTCTGATCTACTTCTTTCTGAGTTTATGACCTCTAAAATAAATCTGAACAGCTATGTGGTGTTCAGTAAGTAAATAAGTTTCTCATATGCAAGCTGTTGAGGGTCAACTCTCCAAAAATGCCAACAAAATAAAACTTGCTGATTAAGCAAAGCTGAATTTTTTGCTCACCCATGGTAAAGGAAACAAAGTCTTATTCATATCTAGGAGGGAGAAGAACAAAGGCAAAATATTTATACAATTTTAGAAGGGGAAGGGGTCTTTGTTTTTTCTGTGTTTGTTTGTTTGTTTGTTTGTTTTGTGAGACAGAGTCTTACTCTGTCACCCAGGCTGGAGTGCAATGGTGCGATCTCAGCTCTCTACAACCCTTACCTCCCAGGTTCAAGCGATTCTCCTGCCTCACCGTCCCGAGTAGCTAGGATTACAGGTGCCCTCCACCGTGCCTGGCTATTTTTTGTATTTTCAGTAGAGATGGTGTTTCGTCATTTTGGCCAGCCTGGTTTCGAACTCCTGACCTCAGGTGATCCACCCGCCTCAGCCTCCCAAACTGTTGGAATCACAGGCGTGAGCCACTGCATGCGGCCGAGGGGTCTGTTTTAAGGTGGAGCTTTCAGTGTGGAGACCTAATTGGGATTGAGCAAATTAGTGACATAACAGTTTAGGATTGGTAAATACAGTAAGAGGAGGCTTTGGAAGCAAGTCTTAAAATGTAAAGAGTTGTTTAATGAGCCTAGTTGAATAGTCTATTGTCCTAAGAAGGGCTATAAACTCTATGAGGGCTGGTTGAGTGGTCTATTATCTGAATAAATGGATTTGCAGTAAGTTCCTGAGACATTTTCAACTTCATCTTCACAGACAAGATTTTCATGGGATAGTAAAGTCACACTGGTGCAGTTAGCTCTGTGGTTGTAGATGGCTTCAGTTCTCAGACCTCCTTTTCTCCCTACATTGGAGAACACACTCTTAAATATGATAATATAATCAATTCAGTTGGTTATCACTATGTGAGGTGTCATTATTACAAGTAAAGTTCTAGAGGATGGCCATTTTAACTTCTAATAAGAAGCAGATTTTTCCGTACTCATTTTGTGGGACAGTGGTTAGGGGACAGCAGCTAGGCACCAGCATTTAAGACTACAGAGATGACAGAGCAGAGCACAGAATACAAATACTCCAAGAAAGATTATCAGCAGAGTTTGTATGTAGCACAGTTCTCAGCCAGGAACCAAGAACACTCAAAGAAAGCCAAGAGAACAGATCCCATCCCCAATCTGAAGAAATTGCAGAGCCAAAATGGAGTTATTAACCATATATTAATTTTATGGTTTCTTTAGTGCTTGCTTTTTGGGTCATTTTCAAAATGCAGGCCTACATCAGAGATACTGAAGATTCAGTTACAGACTACCACAATAAGGAGAATATCTAATAAAGAGAGTCACATAAATTTTTAGTGTTCCAGTGCATATAAAATATATGTTTATACTATAGTCTATTAAGCATACAATACTATTACATCTAAAAAACTGTGCATACCTTAGTTAAAAATACCTTATTGTTAAAAATGCAAATAATCATCTGTTCCTTCAGTGAGTCATAATCATTTTGCCAGTGGAGGGTCTTGCCTCAATGTTGATGGTTGCTGACTGATCAAGGTGGTGATTGCTGAAGCTTGGGATGGCTGTGGCAGTTTCATAAAACAAGACAATAATAAGTTTGCCACATCAATTGACTCTTCTTTTTTTTTTTTTTTTTTTTTTTGAGATGGAGTGTCCCTCTGTCACCCAGGCTGGAGTGCAGTGGTGCAATCTCAGCTCACTGCAACCTCCACCTCCCGGGTTCAAGCGATTCTCCTGCCTCAGCCTTCTGAGTAGCTGGGATTACAGGTGCGTACCACCACACTCGGCTAATTTTTGTATTTTTAGTAGAGACAGGGTTTCACCATGTTGGTCAGGCTGGTCTTGAACTTCTGACCTCGTGATCGGCCTGCCTCAGCCTCCCAAAGTGCTGGGATTACAGGTGTTAGCCACCGTGCCCAGCCAACTCTTCCTTTCATGAATGATTTCTCTGTAGCATGTGATGATTGATGTTTGATAGCATTTTACCTACCATAGAACTTCTTTCAAAATTGGAATCAATTCTCTCAAACCCTGCCACTCCTTATGAACTAAGTTTTTCTAATATTCTAAATCTTTTATTGTCACTTCAATGTTCACAGCATTTTTGCCAAGAGGAGATTCCATCTTAAGAAACCACTTTCTTTCCTCTTCCGTAAGAAGCAACTCCTTCTCCATTCAAGGTTTATCGTGAGATTGCAGCAATTCAGTCACATCTTCAGGCTCTCCTTCTAATTCTAGTTGTCTCACTATTTCTGCTACATCTGCTGTTACTTCCTCCACCGATGTCTTGAATTCCTCAAAGTCATCCATGAGGGTTGGAATAAACTTCTTCCAAACTTCTGTTAATGTTGACATTTTGACCTCCTCCCAATGAGGCACAAATGTTCTTAATGGCATCTAGAATGGTGAATGCTTTCCAGAAGGTTTTCAATTTACTTTGCCAATATCCATCAGAGAAATTACTAAGACTGCTATAGCTTTATGAAATGTATTTCTTAAATTAGACTTGAAGGTCAAAATTACTCCTTGATCCATGGGCTGCCAAATATATTTTGTGTTAGCAAGTAAGAACACAACATTAATCTCTTTGCACATCTCCATCAGAGCTCTTGGGTGACCAGGTGCATTGTCAATGTGCAGTAATATTTTGAAAGGAATCTTCTTTTCTTAGCGGTAGTTCTAAACAGTGGTCTTAAAATATTCAGTAAACCATGCTAATCAGTGGCATGCTAACCATGCACATCTAAACAGATGTGCTGTCATCCGAGCTTTGCTGTTTCATTTATAGAACACAGGCAGTACTCTGTGTTTAGCATAATTCTTAAGGGTCCTAGCATTTTCAGAATGGTAGATGAATATTGGCCTCAACTTAAAGTCACGAGCTGCATCAGCTTCTAACATGAGAGTCAGCCCATACTTTAAAGCTTTGAAGCCAGACATTGGCTTACCTCTAGCTATGAAAGTTTTAGATGGCATCTCCTTCCAATAGAAGGCTATTTTTTCTACATTGAAAATCTAATATTTAGTGTAGCCACCTTCATTAATGATCTTAGCTAGATCTTCCGGATAAATTGCTGCAGCTTTTACATCAGCACTTTCTGCTTCACTTTGCACTTTATGTTGTGGAGATGACTTCTTTCCTTAATGGCTGGTTAGTGGAGAAATCAGAACACATACGCCATTTATCAACTAAGTTTTCCTTTGTATATATGTGCAGGTCATGGTGCCACATAATAATGACAGTATTAACATCAAAGATCTCTGATCACCATAACAGATATAATAATAAAGAAGTCTGAAATAAGTCTGCATCACATTTCCAAAATGTGAATGTGACATCAGGGACAGGAAGTGAACACATGCTGTTAGAAGAATGGCACTGACAGACTAGCTTAATGCAGGGTTGCCACAGACCTTCAATTTGTGAAAAACGCAATGTCCACAAAGTGCAATAAAACATAATATAATAAAACAATGCATGACTGTGTATTATATTTAACTCAATTTATCCAAAACAGTATGATATTAATATATGATTGACTGTTCTCACTCATAAGTGGGTGTTGAGCAATGAGAACACATGGACATAGGGAGGGGAATATCACACACTGTGGCCTGTCAAGGAGTGGGGGCAAAGGGAGGGAGAGCATTAGGACAAATATCTAATGCATGCAGGGCTTAAAACCTAGATGACGGGTTGGTAGGTGCAGCAAATCACCATGACACATGTATACCTATGTAACAAAGCTGTACGTTCTGCACATGTATCCCAGAACTTAAAGTAAAATAAATATATATATATATATGATTGACATAAAAATAGTAATAATACATTTTACATTATTTTTTCATATTTAAGCCTCTGAAATCTGGTGTGTATTTTGTACTTAGTAGCACATCTCAATTTGAACTAGTCATATTTCAAGTGCTCAACAGTCACACATTGCTATGGATTATTGTATTGGATAATGCAGATTCAGAGACTTGGGGAGAGGTATAGGGAGAGCAAGAGAAACAGAGAAATAAACATAGCATGCAAGTTTCCTTATACAGTTTAGTTGAGTAATAGGTAAAGTTCTTTAACCTTTCTAAGCCTAAGTTTCCCCACCTATATAATAAGGATGACACCTTATAGAGATGTTTTAAAGATTATGAGAAATTAAACACATTAAAACACCTAGCAAGGCACTTGAAATGTGTTCTCAATAAATATACATTCTTTTATAAAACACAGATTTAATTAATGTCTTTACTGTGATGGCTACTGTTGAGGAGATAGTGAGGTGAGTCTGCTGACTTAAGTGGGCTCTAGGTATTACAAACTAAGTTGAACAGGTTGAAAGAATATCAGGCAGTTCAATTAGCTAATGAAGAAGAGAAATGTGGTTTGGAGAAATGGATTCATGATTCCTGGTTTCAAGCAGGAACTTTGCCATTTACTGGCTGTATGGTGTTCAGTAGGTCCCTTCCACTGTGTAAGATTGCTTTTTAATCTGTAAAATTTGAGATAGTAAATAGCAATTTTACAGGATTGCTGTAAGATTTAAATGTGGTCATATCAGGGAAAGCACTTTATAAACTGTGAAGAGTTAAAAGAAATTCTAGATATTATTACGAGCTTTAACATAAGAATTTAATTTTTGTTGGTTTTATTGCTTATTTGTAGTTCAAGCAAATAGAAAGAATATTAGAGTCTTTGAATTGCAAGGTTTTCTTCTGTCCTATGATGTGCCATATATACTTTCTCTGAGGCAAGTAAAAATTTGTTCAGGACAAAAATTAAAACAGTATTAGTAACGTTTGGATTCAGTTAACAACTTTTTTGAGCTCTAGAGAGGAAATTAATTATGTGAAAGGAGTGTTGGAGTCTCTCCTTGCAAGGCTGGTTCAATATATGTGTGTGTCCCCTTTAAGACAAGTAAAACTACACACTTCTCACCTGAAGATTTATATTCCAGAACTGCAATGAAGTTCACTCAGTCTTCCTTCTTCTTTGCCTTCAGAGCACCTGTTGTTGCTCTCAGAACCAGCACCTTGCCAAAACTCCTTTAGAAAAATTTTGCTGATAAATTAAATTGTTCTCAATCCTCAATTCCCAACTGTTCTCTTATCAAAATATATAAAGTAAGGTTGGTGCCTGTTATGACAACTGAAAGGCTCTAGAAGGAAAAAAAAAAGCTTTTTTTTTTCAGGGTGGGTAGCTTTTCTTCATCGATCGTCCTGAAAGAGACTTTTTTCCTTTCTTTCTAATTAAACAGTTAGGACAACAATGATTATTCAACCAAAAAAACACAGACCTGTCAATTTTTCTCTCCCTCACTTTCCATCAGTGTGGATTGTTGTGATTTCTGAGAATGGAACAGATGCTTGCAGGGCTTGGGAATGGTGCTGGTTCTGAGGCTCCTCAGGGAGCCCTTCTATTGCAGTTAGCACCTCCACTTGTTCAGCAACTCCAATGAACCTAGATTTGAAGTGAGTTATGGATGAATCGGTGGGAAGATTGTATTATTAAATCTGCCAACAAAGAGGTCAGGGCTAGCTCTTCTATATTAAGTCAGTTTAATGGAAGAAATGTTAAATGAGACTTCACCTATTTACTCCGAATGGTAAAAGGCATCCAAAACTTGGGAGAAAGATGCATTGAGTACTCAACATTCTAAGGACAGAGCTAAGAAGGAGCCACAAATCTAGGGCCATACATATCCCTCAGCCTTTATGAAAAGCCAGCTGAGTTTGCTCTCCTTACCTTTCTGCCTTCAGGTCATATAACAGAGAGGGGAAGAGCAAGAATCAGAGGTATATGTGAGTAGGGATCTCACGGATAGATATGTAGGTCCTCTTTCCTTTAAAATCAAGTAGATGGGAGAAACTTAAGAGAGAGGCATTTATAGAGATTTGAGGGGGGGCACCTGTAATGGGAAAACTGGCATTGCAGCCTGTGCCTCCTGCTAGGAATGGCAAGAATGCATGCATTTCTGAGGGGCAGACAAATGTCAGGTAGCAGGACTTCACCTCTGTGTGTGAGGGCCCACCCAAGAAGGCAGTGTTGTTGGCCAAAATCTTCCAACCAGCAAGAGGTGCTGGGAGTAACTGTGGTGATAGAAGCTGAGGTGGAGTGAAAGAGACTGAGCCTAAGCCACAGTTCTTAGGTCAAGGAGGGTCTGAGACAGAGAAACAGCAAACACAAACCAGACGGTAATCATGAAGTTGATTAGGTGAAAATAATTACGATTGTTTTTTCTCTATTCCCCCCATTGTGCTCCAACCCTGGAGAAGCTGGGACTATTGTGGGTTCCTTGAACCACAGGTCAAACCTGAATGTGGAGACTGAAGTTTTAAACTTGATAGCAGTGAAATGTTATTTTTTTTTTATTTTAAATTTTATCTTTTTATTTTTTATTTATGTTTTTTAAGTTCGGGATACATGTGCAAGATGTGCAGGTTTGTTACATAGGTAAACGTGTGCTGCACCTATCAACCCATCACCTAGGTATTAAGACCAGCATGCATCAGCTCTTTTCGCTAATTGGCTCCCACCCCCGCCCTTCCCCAGCAGGCCCCAGTAAGTGTTCCCTTCCCCGTGTCCATGTGTTTTCATTGTTCAGCTCCCACTTATAAGTGAGAACCTGCGAGGTTTGGTTTTCTGTTCCTGTGTTAGTTTGCTGAGGATAATGGCTTCCAGCTTCATCCACGTCCCTGCAAAGGACATGATCTCATTCTGTTGTATGGCTGCACACCATCTCACGCTAGTCAGAATGGTGATTACTAAAAAGTCAGGAAACAACAGATCCTGGAGAGGTTGCAGAGAAATAAGAAAACTTTTATACTGTTGGTGGGAATGTAAATTAGTTCAACCATTGTGGAGGACAGTGTGGCGATTCCTCAGATTTAGAACCAGAAATACCATTTGGCTTAGCAATCCCATTACCGAGTATATACCTAAAGGAATATAAATTATTCTGTTATAAAGATACACACACACATATGTCCAATGCAGCACTATTCACAATAGCAAAGACATGAAATCAACCCAAATGCGCATCAGAGACTGGATAAAGAAAACATGGTACATATACACCATGGAATACCATGCAGTGGAATGTTTTAATTGGAAATGACTGGGTAGTTCTGCTACCTGCCTGAGATGTCATGGTGGAACAGGAAAGGAAAATTTGACAGAGAATGGTTAAAGGGAGTGACTGGAAAAAAAAATAGCACTGTTCATGTTTGGATGCAAAGAATTCAGACTCTAAAATCAATTACATTAAGTATACCTTTAGGGCTTTTCCCTTTACTCCTTTGATATAAGAAAGGCGGCTGGGCGCTGTCGCTCACTCCTGTGATTCCAACACTGGGAGGTTGAGGTGGGTGGATCACCTGAGGTCAGGAGTTTGAGACCAGCCTGGCCATCATGGTGAAACCCCATCTCTACTAAAAAATACAGACAAACAAACAAAATTAATCGGGCGTGGTGGTGGGCACTTATAATCCTAGCTACTCGGGAGGCTGAGGCACGAGAATTGCTTGAACTTGGGAGGCGGAGGTTGCAGTGAGCTGAGATCTCGCCACTGCACTCTAGTCTGGGTGACAGAGCGAGACTTTGTCTCAAAGAAAGGGGAAGGACTTATTACTTATAGATTTTTATGTATTGTAGTTCATTGATTCTAAAACTCAAGTTTCTGAAAACATGATGCCTCTTAAAATCAATGAGGCAAAGAGTTACTAATTATAACTTTAATTAGTAACTCATTTATTTCTTAGCAATACATAAAATAATTGAACGTCATGTATTCAATAGTTTTTAGAATTGATTCTAAAAAATTCTAAATGAAATAAGGTAAAATATTTAAAATTAAATGTATTGATTCCAAATAAAATAAGGTATAATATTTCTGAGATGGATTTCAATATCCCAGTTTATAGATGTGGAAATCCAACACTTATGCACGTTGCATTTTAGGAGCAACCTTTCTGCACCCAGTAGTGTCAAGCATTTTTTTTCATCCTTTTGGGGGATCCTTGTGAGGACAAACCTTAGACTAATTCCTAGCTGCTATGGTCTGAATGTTTTTGTCCCCCACCAAATTTACATATTGCAATCTAGCTTTTGGGAGGTCATTAGGTCATGAGAACAAAGCCCTCATGAATGGGATTGGTGTCCTTATCAAAGACAGCCCAGGAAAGACCCCCGTTCTCTCCCCCACATGAGGACACAGTAGGAAAGCACTATCTATGAGCCAGAGTGAGCCCTCACCAGACACTGAATATGCTAGTGACTTGATCTTGAAACTTTCAGCTTCCCGAACTGTGAGAAATGAATATCTGCTGTTTATAAGCCACCCAGTTTATGGTATTTTGTTATAACAACCTTAACCAACTGAGATACCAGCTACAGTTTTGTATGCTCAAGACCATCAGCTTTTAAACTTTTTGGTCTTAAGAATCTTTACACTCCTAAGATTTGTTGAGAACCTTAAAGAGCTTTCTTTATATATAGAATATATTTACCAATTTTTGCTGTATACAAAACTAAAGCTGAGGCATCTTTAAATCACAAGAATGCACAAGCACTTTAGCTGTTGGAGGAATGATGTCATTGCCTTCCTGTACCGTCTGGAAAGCTCCACTGTACACTTGTGAGAAAACAAGACCAGTAAAAAACAAATAATGCCTTTGTTTTATTAACAAAGTGGTTTTTGCCTCAGAAACCTTGAAAGAGTCTTGGGCATCCCTAGGGGTCACTGGAGCACACTTTGAGAACTGCCATTCTAAAACTTTTCTTCTCCCTTTCTCAGCTGTGAAGAGGTTGGAGTTGAGTTTCTTTTGCAGTTTTTTCATGAACAGAATGAGCATTTGTCACAACATACACAATGTACATTGCAGGACATCCTCTGTCAGTCAAAAACACAACCCAATTAGCTTTTCATGGTGCAAGCTTCCCAAATCAATCGGCCTGAAATTTTAAATGTTGGTCATTCCCAAGGCTTAGGAAGAAAAAAACGCAGGGTATTATCTCTAAGATACCACAATTAAAATATACAGACATACTCAGAATGGAGCCATGGGCTATCTCTCCACTAAGAGTCATAGTTACGGTTGTAAAGGATTTTAAAATGTGAGAGACATTATAATTCACCTAGTTAAATTCCTTTAACTGCTAGAAAAGGAAACTAAACCCTGAAGGGGTGAAATGTCCACGATTGTGAGGCCTCCTCAGCCATGTGGAACTGTGAATCAATTAAACCTCTCCCCTTTATAAATTACCCAGTCTCAGATATATCTTTATTAGCACTGTGAGAACAGACTATACAATGGATTCTATATGCAAATTGAGCGGCCATCTCATGGACATACTCAAAAGCTCATTCAGTTTCACTTTAGAGCATATTTAACATAATCACTCAACTTTCAACATCATTTGAAAAAGAACATTTTTTGGAGTCAAAATAACAGTATCTCACCATGCTAGTTGTGTGTTCTTGGAGAAGTTAATTAAATGATCTGAGCCTCAGTTCTACAGCTCCAAAGTGTTGCTTAAAACACCTACCTCAAGAATAGTTTTAAAGATAAATTAAAAACAAAAATAAAGAATGGTTTCTGGCACATCAATGGATTTGATAAACATAAGTTACTTCCCCTTTTGCAGAGAGACCAGTTGTATATCACAGCAGAGGTAGCTTAAGTTGTATTTCCAATAGGATGTCATTAACTAGTTTATCCCTTCCACAGTTTTTCTTGTACAGAATATTCAGGTATCGCATGAATCCTCGTATGTTAATATTCTCCTTGTTTGAATGGAATATACAGATTCAATTCCAGTGCCAGTTGTGCAACTACCTACATAGAGAGTAGGACTGTATGGGTTTCCATGATACTCAGTCTGTAATTTTGTGTGTTGCATTTTCTCTGCACTTAATTGTGCATCTCTTAGTTTCATTTCAAAAGCAAAACACAACACAAAACAATCAAACAAAAACCAGTGTGACCATATTATCTTTCAACTCTCCTCTTCACACAAAAAGAGGAATAGAGAAAAGAAAAACTAATCTCCCCACACCACTGAGGACTCTTGAAGCAAGGCATGCCAAGTATGAGAAGGGACTGCTAATCACTATCCTCGGTACTTTCTAATCAACAGCATGTTCTTGACCTTGCCCTTCTTAGAGTGAAAAAAAAATCTGTAAAGTAATTCAGAACCATGTCACTTCAGTCTTGTCATAGAACTCATTTTGATTCTGGGATCAGAATCCTTAAGTGCTCGACACCATTGGCATTAAAATCTTCAAGACTTGAAACTCTGGAATCCTCTTGTCCTTTCCAGTTGTGGACCTGCACTTCCTCTAATCACTCAGCTGGCTAATGATCCCTTTCCGGCAGGTGTAAATGAGTTTTCACACTCCAACCTGGCTTTTGTCAAGCCTTTATTGTAAGTAGCTAATGAGTGCTATTGCTCTGAGTTTTCTCCTGCGAAAGAAGGGTATGTCTAACTAGTGATATAATGACAAATGCACGCTAATGTTATTCTGTTCGGTGGTGCTGAAGAGCACTGAGAATTTAAGAAAGATGAATCTCTCAAACAAAGGCAGACTAAAAACATATTAAGCAGAGCTGTGCTGACAGCCTAATTCCATTACTTCTACATGATCTTGAATCCACTCAAGCATAGCGAAGATACTTCGGAGGTAAGAGGCAAGGAGGCAATATCTTCATTAAAAATGTGAGCAGAGCCTGAAGGCAGGCCCAGCATGGTAAATTAGCCCAGCTGGTGAGGAGAATCCAAGAAGACAAAATTGATCAGACCAAACATTGTTACTTCAGCATTTCAGGGCACGGACAAGTGCATAGATTTGACATTCTGCCAAATAGGACTGCAGATGAATAATCTTCTGCAGGACTCTTGATGTTCTTTCTATTCACCTCTCCCTGAACAATGGGTTTTTATTTTGATGATAATAAACTCCCAGAGCTTTGAAAAGTCCTAAGCCCAACAAAACAGTTTTATTTTCTTTGCGGTTAGTGTGTGATAGACATGTTTCAAATGTGATGGTATGCATTTTAAACAATACAGGTAGTACTTTTGAAAAGAAACATAAAAAGAAGCTCTGTTACAATTTCCTGTGATTGTTATAAATAACCTAACACCCAAATTGTTCCCATCATTCAGTATTGAGTGGCGGGGAGTGGATGCTATAGCATTTCTCTTTTCTTGTTGGAAAGTAAAGTTTCTCATCTAACTTAGAGCTTTCCCTATGTTTTTTCAAACATGTCTAATGTTGTTTTTTTTGTGTCCTCCAGACAAAGAATATGTTTTGTTGCTCTGTGTATACCCTGTACTGGCTGGTACAGAATAGTTGCTCATTGTTATTAGTTGAATAACTAGATGAATAAATAATGAATGAATGAAATGATAGTTAATCTAAAAGTGAGTGAAAGCAGAAAGTCTTATAAAATTACAGATACATATCTTGTTTTGTTTTAACCAAAAAGGATATAAGTTTCCATTTATTTGCAAGTCCTTTGATATAGAGTCAAGGGCTTCTCTTTGAGTATGTTAAACCTAGCAGAGTTCTTTATTTTCTTTCTTGCATAAACCATACCAATAATGCATCTTTCACAGTTTACAGTTTTGGAATCTTTAAAGGTAAGTAAAAACTTAAAGACACATGCAAAGCAATTTGAAGAAAGAGTTATTTTAGATTTCCCTGATTTCCCTGAAAAATGTTTTACAACTTCCTTCCTATCTTAATTCAAGAACAGTTTTTATGGTGTTTTATTAGTTTCCTGTTGCTGCTGTAGCAGATGACTACATACTTAGTAGTTTAAAGAGAAACAAATCTATACCTTGTAGTTCTGGAGACCAGAAATCTGAAATGGATCCCAATGGGCTAAAATCCAGGTGTCAGCAGGGCTGTGTTCCTTTTTAGAGGCCTTGGAGGAGAACCCATTTTCTTCTAGATTTTCCTAGCTCTAGAGGTGTCCTGCATTCTTTAATTCCTGACCTGCTTCTATCATCAAAGACACCAACGGCCAGTTGAGTTTTTCTCACATTGCATCACTCTGACTGACACAAAGGTTCACCTCTTTCATTTTAAAGAACCCTTGTTATTACATTGGGCCTATCCAGATAACCCAGGATAACATCCCCATTTTAAAGTCAGCTGATTAGCAACTTTCATTACAGCTGCAATCTTCTGTTATATGTTGCCATGCAGCAAAACATACAGATTTTAGAGATCAGAGTGTGAACATCTATAGGGGAGCATTTTTCTCTCTACTACAGCTGTGTTATTACAAAGCATACAATTTATTTTTAATAGATAAAACAGCTTTCTTTTCATAATCATAGTTTATTCATTTATATAAATTTAATTCCATATAGTAACCACAACTAAAAATACAGCTTTCATATATACACATATTTATTTATAAACAAGTAAAATTAATTTAGGATAGCAAAATCTTATCTGGTAGGTGAGACATTCGTAATTGGTTGCCTTATTTAATATTGTTCCTCACTAACAGAATCTCAAAATTGTTTGGGAGTAACAATATAGCCTACTGTGGGCAAGTAATAGTCTAAGTTAAATTACAATCTTGGACCCCATTTCCATAGCTTCTTTTGGTGCTAAAGATGGCTGCAGAAAGACTCATTCACTTTTGGCTAATGAAACCTAAAGAAAAGACTCTTGCAGAGGCTTTTGGAGAAGCTATTGTTTTTCTGATTTAACAACAACAACAACAAAACCCACAACAATGTGATTGGCAATATTTGAACCTTTTTTTCTCCTACTTCTTTCCTTCTATAATGAGAAAGACATGGAAATGATACTTGGAGTTTCAGCAGTTCTTCTATTGCATGAGGAAGACGTCAATGCAATCTCATGTCTTTGACCATGGCATATTGAGTTACTCAACTCTAACTGCTGAACTCTGACTTCTTGTAAAGTGAGAAAAATTAATTCTCTAAGGTTTTCTGCTTCTCACAGCCAAATATATTACTAATTGAGCTAATGGATGCAAAAGTGCATGAACACAATGGAGAACTGCCTACTTGCTATGAGTATTCGATGTGTTGTGAGCATCAGTTAATAAAACTTACAAAGTGAATGGAAGGCAAGAGTTAATCAGGAGAGCTGGTTAGATGGAGGTCACTTAAGGGACAGTCTACTGTTCACTGAATGTATGCTTACAAAAAGTGACATGTGGTAGGCATAGTTGTCCTTCATGTCAAGATTATATGTATATGGCTGGAAGATGTCATTTAATCTAGTTAAATCCTACTATTAAAAACAGAGTAGGATGTGTGTTTTGGTTAAATACAGCCTTGATGAGATTTCTAGATGTCCTTAATACTGCCTCTCTAATCTTACCACCTGCCACTCTCCTACCTCTTCATTCAGTGGACTGAGATTGCTGACCTGTGTGTTGAACTATTATGCTGGCTCATAATAACATGCCTTTGAATGCATTGTTTCCTCTTACCAGAATGCCCCTTCTTCCCTTGACCAACATAAAAAAAACACCTGTTTTTCCTTTCAAATACTTTTCAAGTGATCCTTTTTATGAGAATCTCTTCTTAATTCCAAGATCCAGCACTCTCAGCCTGCCTCCCAATAGAGTGAATCAATAAATCACTGTTGAGCTACCTTCAAATCTGGTGCATAATTTTACTACTAACCTTATACAAATCTCATATGTGCCTGTCTCCTCTACTTCCCAAAGGTTGAGATCATACCTGGTCTATTCATATTTTTAACACCAGCATCTAACCGAGATCCTGATGTGTAATGGCCCCTCAATACATTTTTAACCAAATTAAATTCTGACCTAATCAAACATATTATTTGAAAAGTTAGATTCATGAATAAGATAAATTAAGTGGCAATTACTAATTACCCAAAAATACTTTTTATTTAACAAAAATATTTGCTTCCTTCCTTTTTTCCTAGCAAGGTAGTACAGTATATCAGGACTTGCTCTGAAGTCAATTTTCTTGATTAAAACCCTGACTAAGACACTCACAAGTCTACAAGCTTGAGAAAGTTATTTAAGCTTTCTAACCTTGGCTTCTTACTCCTACATAATGGGAATTAAAGTAATTTGCTCCACAGAGTTATCAGGAGATTATAAAAGCTAACCCACGTGTATATGTATATATGTAGCACAATGACAGTCACTGAGTTAGTGTCAATAGACCGACACTACTAATATTATATTCCCCTAATTCTGTCTCAATGAACTTGTCCATTTGGAAACCTCCCAGATGACCCTACCCAGGTAAAATTTCTCTCTTATCTTGGGCCTCATAATTTATCTCTATTCTGACAGTTACATTGTCTTAAACAATTATTTATCTGTGCATATAAATTGCATCCCTTATCTACATAGAATAGTCAGCAAGATCATGGACTCTGGACCCAGAACACCTGAGTCCTAGACTTTTCTGCCACTTAAGAGCTATGTGATGCTGGGAAAGTTAATTAATCTTTTTGTAGCTTAGGTTTTTCATTTGTAAAATAAAGATCATAATGCCTATTTGTAATGCCTATTGACTGCTTATTCAATAAGGTTGTTGAGATGATTGAATGTGTTAATATATGGTAGTGTCTGGCATATCACAAGCACTCGGTAAATAATATCATTAATATTCATAATAATGTAGATTACAACCTCCTTGATGGCATAGCTCCTATCTCACAGATGTTTGCATCTTTTGCATTTTCTATTGGTTGTTCAACAAATGTTTAAATGTGAACACATGGATAGATGAATGAAGGCACTGGCTGTATCAATTGCTATCTACCTGCTTCAGCATCTGGTTAACAGCTTTAAACTTAGGAGACTGTACTGAAATCATTTTTCTTGCATCATGTGATACTGATGATGCAGAACCATAAGAGAAGGTGAAACTATCACTATAACTAAGCAGAAGGTATATTTTCCAAATTAATTTTTTCCTCAGTGTTATTAATGCAATAAAATTGTATTTAACTGGAATTCATAGGATTTAGAGAAACAATAGCATGTAGTTTCTCCTAAAGCCCTGTGATAAATCTTTAGCAGGTACAATTTCTTTTCTAACTAAAAAGAGTAATGAGAAAGTTAAAGGGCTTGATTATAGACTCTTGGAATCAAGGGGTTAAAGTGCTTAGTAGCTGCATAATATTCAACTGGGGATTACTCTCATGAGCATGGGATAAACTTACTGCACAAGCCTAATGTAGGCATTTCTGCTGGCAAGACTAAGGACTCTCTCAGCATGACAGATTGGGTCTTTCCAACCCAACAGGCCTTTCCAGGCTGACATTCAGCTGCTCATCATAGTCGCCCATGTTCTGATCATATTGACCCCTGACAATGTTATGTTCTTTCAGTCTTTTTCTCTAATGACCTTATATTCCTCCTTCAAAAATAGACTCAATATGCACCTCCTCTGTCACTCTCCTCAACTCCTTCCCTCTACAATCTAGGTACTCTCTTTCTTCTGTGTAGCAGGTTAATGATTTATTAATGTGTTTTCTTCTGGTAAGTATGATGTGTCAGTTATCTTCCTTCCCTAAACATCTCCTACATTTTTTTCTGGTGGTCCCTGAGGGAGCTTTAAGGAGAGCTATGCTCAATCAACGTCAGTGTTTGCCCAGATTCACATGGCAAGTGAATATAAAAATAATACTGGAAATTAGTGAGCATTTTCTGGGTCAGGGACCTTGCTAAGAGGTTTATGTAGATGTTTTCATTTAATTCTCATTTAAACATGAAGAAAATGGGCTCAGAGTATTGTGGTAATTTGCCCAGCATTAGCTACAGGGCACTGAATGAAAATCCAGGTCTCAGAACTCAGGACCCACACAGGTGTCCTTCTTAGCATCATCACATGGCCCCCTCATTTCCACTCACACCTCTTTCTCTTACTTCTGAACTATGTCATTTTTTTTGCAGCTCCCAGTTCATCATGAGACATATCAAAGATGCTAAATATGTACATATTGATGATTGGATAGCTAATGCCTCCACATCACTTAGAAGCTTTTATTGATACCTCATTTAACAGTATATTTCTCCTAGGAGCTATGAAATTTGTGGCCCATTTGGAAACAACATAAACACCAGTGAGTGGATATTAGATGGAATAGACTGTGGCATTTAAAATGGTGTTAACCAAAGTCCTATTGTAACATGGGGAAAATATATTTTCAGCAAAATATCCCCAAACAACAGTAAAAAAAAAGCCTAGGATTTAAAATTGTATGTATAATATGACCTGAACTATCATAACTCATATTTCTAAATTAAAAGCTATTGATTCTGTCTGGAACGAATATAATAATCAGCTCATCTATGTATATAATTTTATAACTAGTAGAAAAACTTTATTTTGAAGATGTATGTAGAAAGCAAGTGTCCATATGAAATTCTAATGATGTCTAAAAATAAGTGGAATGGGTGACAGTTTTTTATCAATGCCTAATTGCATAGGAGTAGTCTGATTAATTTTATTGATCTGTAGCTAAGTCAGAAAGATTTAAAACCCTTTAAGGCTTTTATATTAGCAAAACAACTGCAGCTTTTTAGGACACCTAAAATTAGGTCACATGGAAATGCATAATTCTCAAATATGGTTTCTGACTATGCATGATTAAAGTCTTCATTTATACTGTTAACAACTGATTTCTCTGGCTAGTTTTTTCAAGAGTTGCTCAACCTTTTGCAGAGAAAAGATTACAGTTCTAGTTGGTAGAGGAATAAACAAATTTGGGGATTTCCTCAGGAAGTTGCTTGTATTTATGTAATTTTTAAGCCCCTGGGTTGGAATACCTACCTATAAGTGTTATGCCCATTTAGCAGATATGACCTCTACTTATCTTTTCAAGGTAATTTAAATAACTTCTATCAAAGCAATATTCCTATCTTGTTGAATTTCCTCACACATGTTTTTAAGAACTGCTATAGCATATCAGAAAGAGCTTATATTTCAGAGTTAGAATCAAACTATCATACAACTCTCTTCATCAAATTTGGGGATTAAATATGCCTACAGAACAAAAAGCAAACACAGTGATGCACACTGCTTGCATTATCAGCAAGATATGGATGTCTTATTTACCTTAGTTTCTAAAAATAATTGCCTACTTTAAGATTCCAGATGTCTGAAGAAATCTTAACTCTTTGGATACTCAAATTAATGTTCTCAATTTAAATCATTATGACTCTAAGTATAATCAGCCTCCTTACCTTACTGAACAAAAATATTGAATATAATTTATATTTTCCAAAAAAATGTACAGTCGACATTACAGTCACTGGATACTTTATGGTGTATTAACAGTCACAATCCCTCAGGGACTTCCAAAATACATGTACAATCTCTTGATAAAATGGTCCCGACTGCTGCAATTTTCATCTTACTTGGTATCTGATTTTAAGCATTCTTCTGCTTCATCATTTACTCACACATAGACTGTTAGCATCACTTACTGTTGACAATTTATCTTATTACAGCAGTCTCTATTCCTGTTAATCTGCTGTTGGCTAGGAAACACAAAGTAAGAGTAATTGAGTTCTGGATGACGAACTTGGCATTCTCTAGAGTAAACTGCATAGAGTTGAATGTACAAGCTTTAGAACATTGTTCATAGTGTTTGTGTGTGTGTGTGTGTGTGTGTGTGTGTGTGTGTGTAAATGTGTATTTGCATGTGCCTAATATTTGGTTTCTGGCCGTGTTCTGGTTAGAATAGTTTGTTCAGTAATGTGACCTTCTTATAAATGACAATAATATATGGAGGCCGTTAAAAATTTTTATAGATTTTTTGAAAGTAGTAAGATGTACTTAAAGTATTCAATATTTTGACTCTGGTGGAACCAAACACACACACACATCACACACATATATACAAACGCATACATGCACACATATATGTATATGAGGTTGTTATATATAATTTGTTTATTGAGGAAATAGAAATGAGTAAGAATCTATTCACCTATTCACTTATTTATAGCTAGGGTGAAAATGTAATGAGGGACATGAGGTCACTAAGATACATTCCCAGACTAAGCAACCAGCAAACTCAAAGATGGAAACATGGGCGTTCCACTAACACTACTTCTATTTTGTAGGAGGAAAACTGACAATTTGAAATTTGGGTTCAAAGTCTTTTCTTGCTGATAGGTGCCACCTTTGTGTTTGACTAAGTGTGTTTTTGAAGTGGGCAGTTTCAATTAAATTTTCCAAAACATTTTTTGTAAACCTTTTTCTTCTGATAACTTAGAAATCAGACAACAGCCACCCCTGACATAGTTTGCAGCATGTCTTCAAGAAGAAACTGTCTGCAAGGAAGGTCTGATATCTCTTATCATCTTCTGTTAGACAGGGGCTGGCTCACTCAGTCAAAAATAGTTAAGATTACCTCTTTGAACTTTCATTTCTTCCTGAGCCACTGAGTGAATCCAGAGACCTTCAGCTGTGTCAGGCCATGGTTACTTCTCAAGGAACCAGTCGGACGTGTTCCTCAAAATGTAGATTCTTTCTCTTGATGAGGACACACTGCAGCATAATATACTCCTTTAATTATTCAGCTGATTTAATGATTCAAGATATTATCTATGTAATGAAAAAGAGTCACCTGGTAACGACAGTTCATATAGCTGCATGTGACATATGCTCATTCTGTTATAGCAAGACACTACATAATGTTGTGATATATCTATGTACCTGTTTATCCCATGATAGACTGAATGTTTGTGTCTCTCCCAAAATTTAAATTGGGACTCTAACCCTGAATGTGATGGTATTTGAATATAAGGCCTTTTGGAGGTAATAAGGGTTACAAGAGGTCATGAGAGTAGAACATTCATGACAGGATTAGTGACCTTGCAAGAGACCCGAGAGCTCATTCTCTCTGTCCCCACATGTATACACAAAGAAGAGGCCATGTGAGCACACAGTGACATGGTGGTCCACCTGCAAGCCAAAACAAGAGGCTTCAAGATAAAGCCTACCTTGCCAGCACCTTGATCTTGGACTTACAGCCTCCAGAACTGGGACAAAACAATTTCCGTTGTTTAAGTCACCCAGTCTATGATACTTTGTTATGGCAGCTCCAGTTAAGAGTTTAGATGGTCAGCTTCTTGAAGACAGTGATTGAATCTTATTTCCTCTTGTATGTCTAAGGTAGTGGTTCAGAACCCTGGCTGCACATCAGAGAGTATTTAGAATAAACCAGCGTCTTGTTCTTACTCCAGACAAATGGAACCTGAGTCTCTGAGGTGGGGGCAAATCTGTTTCTAAGGTGGAGTCATATCTCAGAGAATCAGATTTACGTTTATTTTAAATTATAGTCTACCTTTATATTTAATTATATTTATATTCAATTATATATTCAATTATATATGTATAATTTATATAAAATTATAAAAATATTTATATATTGATATAATTGTAATTTATACTTATAAATATATTTATATTTATAAGTATAAATTACATTTATACTTATAAATATAAATTTACATTTATACTTATAAATTTACATTTATACTTATAAATATAAATTTACATTTATACTTATAATTTTTAAATGATATATGTATAGCTTATAAATATATTATGTATATTTATAGTTTATAAATTATATTTATAAATATAATTAATATAAATTATGATATATAAATATAAATTATCATTATAATTTTAATATATAAATATAAATTATCATTATAATTGCATATACAAAATTATTTTAAAATCATAATTATGTTTTGTAATTATATGTATGTTTATTATAATACATAAATATTGAATGTATTATACTTTATAATACATAAATATTGAATGTATTATACTTTATAATACATACATATTGAATGTATTATAATTTATAATACTTTACAACATATATTCATACTGTATATATGTATGAATATATACGTACAGTATGTATATATTCATACTGTATTAATTGAATGTATATTTAATTATACTTTCAATTTCATTTTATTTGTGAAATACCACCCAATTTATTCTGATGTGCAAAGATGGGAACAAGTGCTCTAGTAACTAACATAGTACCCATCATAAAGCAGGTACTCACTTCACTCTTTGGGAATAAGCCATTATTCAGAAAAGAAACTAGAAATCAAAAGATTTGATTATTTTACTTATAAATACTTTTCAGTTTGGGAGTAAATGTCAAAATGTATTTGTATTGTTACATGTATTTTATGTGGCATCTTATACACAAATTGATTATGCACATATGATTAAACTCAATAGAGATTCAGAAAGTCCAGATTTGTTTTTAATTAATGAAGTCAATGTATAAAGAACAGCAAGCACAACAGGCCCGCATATGAGGAATCTTTGTCATTAGGAAGTAAATCATGTGCATATCTTTGCATGTACTCAGATTCAAACTCCTTGAGAACACAGAACCTTTTTATCACAAATAAAAATATCAGCCTCTGTGGTCCCAATCACATTTTGCTTTATAACTCCCATAAAATTTGCAAATCTGCCATTCTCTCAATGTACACATTGGAATTTACAGTTCCCATGATTTGAATGATGTGTGCCCTGAACAATTAAGTCAAGGAAGAGATTCAACAATTTTCACTGAATGCCTCCAATTACTGAGGTTCCTTAGCATAAAATATCATATTTAATTCTCACAACTACCCTGCAAGCTAGATGTCATCTTTATTTTTCAGTTGAGGAAAACTGGGCTCAAAAGATCTACCAACTTGCTCAAAGTCTCACTGTAAGGAGGAAATTTGATTTTTAACTCATGTTTTTGGCTTTCATCTGAGTCCTCTTGCTATTACTGCATGGCAGCCTCCTTAGGCCTGAAGTCTGATAGCAAAGAATGAAAGATGCATCAAGCGTCCATCCAGGCAACCATTTTCCCTTTATGGGGCAATACTTGTGATGTCCTTGACTAAAGACCCTCTGGGGAAAGACAAATCTTGGCTTAACACAAGGTATTAGGAGATGGGAAAGATGTTGGACAGTAGGCATAGAACAGTCTTGGAGTCTCTGCCTTTGAAACAATGTAGTGTAGACAATGTGGTGTAGACAATGCAGTGTAGGCAATGTGGACATTATAGAAAAGTCCAGCTTTTTCTGTGGGCCAGAACGTAGTGCTGGTGAAGGTTCAGACCTTTGAAAGTCACTAAGGTCTGCATAGAATTACTCTCCAAAAACTGTTTCTCACACATCAGTACGTGTAAGAATCATCTGAGTGGATAATGATGAAAGGTAGATTCCTGGGCCCCATCCCTAGACACTGAGATTCAGTACTTTAGGAGCTGCAGACTTATCCAGTTAATAAGAAACAAAGGATACTGGAGATCATATGGTGCAAAACAGTGCTCTCTAGGATGGCGACAGTGACACTCATAACCTCAGTAAACTGCCATCAGCTCACTAAGATGCTGCTTATGAGCTCCTCATGTATTTAAATCAGGTGATTCATGCCACAAATGTCGGACAGAGCTTGACACATAGGAAGCTCTCTGTACATTTTAGCTATAAATTTACAAGGTGTAAAAACTAAATCCCACACCTGCAAGATATATCGGCCAAGATCACACTCCAAGGTCAAGGAAGTGCTAGTATTGTTTTTAATGATAATTTGCTTATTTTTCACTCTTGTCAATTCTTCACAATTCTGCCTCCTAAATTTGAATGTTGACATTTTTCCTGATGTTACTAATTACCCAATAATAAATGAGGAATCTTTAATAGACAATAAAATGCACCCTTTTTCAAATTCATGTGTGCAGCCCTTCTTTCTCTCAGGCTCAATTATTTCACTGTTTTTATAGGCACCACAAAAAAATATAGCCATATCAAATAATAATTTAAACTTAAGCTCTTTGACACACAAGTCAGCCCCTGAAATAATGGTAAGTCATATGTAGATAGTGAGTGGATCACCTGATATGCCCACAACCCTTGCAGAAGAGACTGTGAACCTGGAAAGATGGCTCTGAATATGTTCTCTGATAAGTTGTCTCTGAGCTGAAAGCGGACAATTTACAGCATACATGCAAAGCATCTCGAGAAGGAAACAGAACAGGTGCATAATCTTCCATAAAGAAGGGAGGCTATTTATTTCTTGAAGAATAGGCGGAGGGACAAACTACCTGCCTACTGCCAGGGCTCTTTTGCAATTCAGAAGATGACTGTAGCTTGGTTTATAATGAGTTTTTCAGGGAAGCAGTGTAGAGCTACTCTCCGGAACTTTGCAATATTAGTCTAGCCCTCAACCAGCTTTAAAAATGATAAATCTTTGTCTCTGAAATAGCATCTTTTATGTTTAATTTATTTTCTTTAGCTTGAACAAAGCCTCCCTATTTATTTTCTGTGACTCCGGGGGTTAATAATTTATTTTCTTCAGCCACAAGAAGGTCGTCTTCATTTATTTTCCGTAGATCAAGGAAGAAACTTTTTAGATGCAGATCAAATGGTAGCACTGACCACAGACGCTGACGGACAGAGAAAGTATGAAAGTTTATTCCTCTATCCTTGCTATGCAGTTTTCTACATTTGACAGCACACATTAGGTTTAATTGTGTGTAGTGATGTAGGCAGCTGCAATTACAGACTCCCGTGACAATGTAATAAATTGCCACTTGTTCTGAAGATTCTATGGTGGTATGCTAGAGCTGGCTCACACTGGCTTGTGAAAGTTGATCCTATGCACCTATTCCCACTTCCACATTCGGTGGTATCATTTTGAAATCAGCCATTATGGGAGCATTTACACCACAGAAATTGGCAAATGTCATAAATTAGATCATTGTTTAGAGAGCTAATTATTAAACATGTAGTAGCACAATTCTCTCTCAACATACACATGCAGGTGTAAATCTAATATAATTGAACACCTTTATTCTGTTTCTATATGCAACAGAGGTTAAAGTCATAGTTGTCTTTACAGAAATTTTGTTTTTGTATTTAGTCAGTCACCCAGAAGTATTGACTCAGAAACTGATACCGGTCATGAAGTGTATAGACTTTGCTCCTCTCTCTGGTCTTTAATTGGACAATTTTACATTTGTTTTTAGTTGCTAAGATTTAAAGAACTTCTGAATAGTAGGCATGTAAATTTATTGTTCTATCTTAAAATATCTTTTTTGTTTAGCACAAATGTCTCCAAACATCCATTCAGCAGAGAATCCCCAAATCCATCTATTTTTTTTTATCCTCTCCATCTTGTTTCCTTCCTGGCAACCACCCCAGCTTCCACAGCGACCTCAGACAGGAAGATAAGATCTTCAGAGGCTGATAAACAATAGTTGTATTTATTGCTGAAATGAAATAGTTTAAAGTTTATTCTTTAGGAGAAACAAAAACTTCCAAATAATAATTTTTGCCTTGCAGATGTATCTAGAAAACTTACATTTCATTTACAACTAGCGTATTTAGAAGAAAGAGACCAAATTTGATAAGCGACTTATAACCATGTCACTTATCAGAGAGAGAGTTGAATGAATGGAAATACTCCGATAACATGTAGATGTCAATTCAGTGTCTCTCTAACCATGATAAGCTGGATATGGGAAGCGTATTCAAAAGTGATATAGATTATGCTAGAAAACAGGGACAATAGTTGGGAATGTTTATCTACACTTTTATTTATTTTTTTCCCTGAGATGGAGTTTTTGCTCTTGATGCCCAGGCTAGAATGCAATGGCACAGTCTTGGCTCGCTGCAACCTCTGCCTCCTGGGTTTAAGCGATTCTCCTGCCTCAGCCTCCCAAGTAGCTGGGATTACAGGTGTGTATCACCATGCCCAGCTAATTTTTGTATTTTTCGTGGAGATGGGGTTTCACCATGTTAGTCAGGCTGGCCTCGAACTCCTGACCTCAAGTGATTCACTACCTTAGCCTCTCAAAGTGCTGGGATTACAGGTGTGAGCCACTGCGCCCGGCCAACACTTTCTAAGTGAACAGACAGTTTGGCATTATTTAATTCTTGCTAAATATTAGCAAAAAAAGAACCACCTTAAAAAATAAAATTACCCTCTTCACAAATATAATGTTAAAATTGAAGGTCTGTGGATTTGCTGTAAGTAGTGAATACTACCCAATATTAGTAAGAGTTTAAGGGAATGGACACCTTCATGTATTGCTGGTAGGTGACAGATATTTTGGCAATGAACACCAAAACCTTAAACATTGGCATACTTTTGGACTTTATTCTGTGGATTTTATCCTAAGGGACAGGATTAGTATACATGAAGATTTAGATATAGAGCTATTGACTGAAGCATTTTAGGACCTCAAAGGTGGAAATTACATATATGTCCAAAAATATATAACCATTCAATAATATAATTGTTAATTAACATGATGCTGTTTATGAGCTGTTCGGGGTTCAGCAGCATAGATCCCTCTGAGTCTGTCTCTCTTTGTAAAATGAGTAAAATACTAACAGTTAATATTTATATAGTGCTGATTGTATGCAGCCACGATTCTAAGTATTTTACATATATTAACTCATTTACTCACTAAAGTAAGTATTTTACGTGTAAGTATTTATAAGTATTTTACATATAAGTATTGTAAGTATTTTACATATATTAACTCATTTACTCACCAAACTGTGTGAGGTATTTGTACCAGAAGCTCCTAGAGAATGAGATACTTGCCTAAGATGACAAAGCTAGTGAATAGCCTAGCTAGGCCGCTAACTCAGCCCATCTGGCTCTGCCTCTTTCTTATGCTGCTAACCTTCCCTATGTATCTCACATAACTGGAAGAAGTGCATGAGATAAGACTATAGAATGTCCAACATTTGGTAAGTGCTCAATAAATAGTACTTTCCATTTAAACAACAACAAAAAAGCAAAGCTAGTATGAACTAGTTAAAAACCTGGTCAAGTCTAAAGACAGAGATCATAGGCAATACAATTGCAAAGGGGATTTGAGTAAATTGGAAAGTTCTTCTACTAATTATATAACTTAGATTCATAAACAGCCCCTGCACAGCTCTCTTAGACAGACTTGGAATTGTCTTAGATACGATGTAAAGCCTTGCTACAGCTCTGGTGTGGTAAAACTTTTGAGGAATAGCAAGCAAGAACAGAAATGACTAGAGTACCAGAAAGGGGAAAAAAAGAGAAGTGCTGCATAGCTGAGGCTAAAATAATTGTACTTGAAGAAATTACAGAGCCATTGGCTGTTGTCTATGAAAAGCAAAACAGCAGGCAGGGAGATAAATCAAAGTTGCCCGTGAGTAGGAATTGCAGGATGTTGCTGATTCATTGGAGGCAATACAAGAAGTTTCAGAGCAGAATCAGGAAATCTGGTGTTAGGGATTGACTTCTCTGTATCTCAGCACTACTACACTATTTGATACAGTGTTGCTATTCTATAAGTGCCCAAAAAAGAAAAGAAAAATGAGGCCAAAGTAATTATGTTGCACAACTATTCTCTATTGAGCTTTTACTAATATATGAGTCTTGATCTTACAATTAGTACTTGACCAACACTAAATTTATAATTTAAACTTCTTGTGCATAATAGAAACTCTTTAAATTATTCACATATTATGTTACTTGGGTCCTAGATGGATCTTACTCAACCTGATCTTTATTTAAATTGAAAGTTTTGATGTGTACCTACACAAAGACATTTTATTTATTTATTTAGAGACAGTTTCACTCTTGTTGCCCAGGCTGGAGTGCAATAGCGCAATCTCGGCTCACCGCAACCTCCACCTCCCAGGTTCAAGTGATTCTCCTGCGTCAGCCTCCCGAGTAGCTGGGATTACAGGCATACAACACCATGCCCAGCTAATTTTATATTTTCAGTAGAGACAGGGTTTCTCCATGTTGGTCAGGCTGGTTACAAACTCCTGACCTCGGGTGATCCGCCTGCCTCAGCCTCCCAGAGTGCTGGGATTACAGGCGTGAGCCACCACGCCTGGCCCATTTTATTTTTTTAATGACCACAGAGGCCACATTTTTTTAAACTGACAACTCAATCTCTACATACATACAGTATTGCACAAATTATAAGTGGATCAACAATTATATTAATGATACAAACTCATGAGCATTTACATAAAACTACCGCTCTAGGTTTTGATGCGTTTTGTGCCAACTACTTCAGTAAATAAAAGAAACATAAAGAAACTCAGCTACTTGAATTCATGAGAATCAGCTTTCTAAAAACGCATATATGTCATCTCAGAATTCTTAATATGTCAAACCCAGGAAAATCAGAAACTAGGAACACTTTTAAAGAAAAGTTGGTGATAAAAATGTTAGGTTAAAATATTGTGTAAGAACTTTAGCAACTGGACTGAGTAACCAGGAAGTATTTGCATACTGGGAATTTTAAGAAAAGCTCCCCATGTTCTCCTTTGCAATTAGGACCACATTCCAAAAGCATAATTCTGGGTTGTTACAATATTTTCTCTTCTACAAACCACTGTTTCAAAGGTTAAGGAAACAAGATGGTAATTCACATAAAAGAATTTTAAAGTATTCTTCCCACTCAAAATAAAAATAATATGACCTCCATCAAATTATAAGGAAATTCTATCAAAATGTTGACCAGATAAAGAAGTCAGAACATTTGCCTTCACTGACTGACTCAGACGGCAGAGCATGTATGTCACCTACAAGGAAGGGGAGATGGGGGTAAAGCCCCTGCTCTCACCTGTGAAGGGGGGGTGGACAGGAGCCCTTTGGCTTCCCTGGGGTTTTGCTTCCTTACACAGAGAACTGAGGGCGGTGGGCTACATGGCTTTTAAAAGACACCTCAATGGAAAGGATCAAATTCAGCTTGAGATCTCATCTCTGAGCAGACATATAGGGTGGCAAAAGAAACAGATTTAAAAACAGGTGGATGAAGTCTTTCTCACCTTTTGCTACCATCACTCAGCACTAATCTGTACTATAGTTCAAGCAAATCCTTGCTTGGTACTATTAAAGGGTCTGCAA
Organism: Homo sapiens; assembly: GCF_000001405.40. Classification (NCBI taxonomy): domain Eukaryota; kingdom Metazoa; phylum Chordata; class Mammalia; order Primates; family Hominidae; genus Homo; species Homo sapiens. The sequence goes on along the minus strand of NC_000017.11, from coordinate 54,478,676 downwards.
CAAGGCATCTGACAGTGAATTTTTGATAAAAATGTAAAAAGGCTATGTTAAGTTTGGGTGGAAAAACAATGTACCGCCATGTTACTACCAGCAGTCAGGACGTCCTGTCTCTGATTTTAGGAGTCGCCAGTCTGGATGGGAGAAATGCTGAAGGGGATGCGTGTTCAAGCCGTTCAATAGAGATCTAATGAGTGTACATGGTTCAGGAAATGGATGAACAGGTGCCCAGGAAGGCAACTTTGATGAAACTGGTTCTAAAACAAATGATGCAAGAGGATTAAATGATCCAAAGAGAGTGATGTCTTCTCACTTTCTGTCCCCTACAGAGAATACAAATGTCATTTCTTCTGGAATCTAACTTACTGGCTTCATTTTCAAAATGCATCACTTTATTTTCTTTACAAGGCAGCCGCAAGTTAAGCATGTGACAGTCACATGATTTCTTCAGTGAGCCCCAAGGTTTCCACCAGCTTTCCTGGAGCCTATGGCCAGAGGAGTCCTGAGATGTCAAATATTAACTTACTCCACAGCCACAAGTTCATGTTGGGTTATTGAACATAACTCACTGGATAATTTGTCTTCAACATAGTCCATTTCTGTTCCTAAAGGTGTTAGCTGTGCTTTCTTTTCGATGAATACTCTGGCTTCATCTTGTATAACTTCATCAGAATTTCCTTTTGTTTTCGTATATTCTACAGTATAAGAAAGGCCATTACAGCCCCTGGTTCGGACACCAACTTTTACATCTACAAGCTCAGGCTTATCTTTAAGGAATTGTTTTATCTTGTTTACTGCTGAAGGTGTCGGGGTGAGGGTGCCCGGGTGGGCTGCAGCTTCCTCTTGCTCAAAGCCCAGACAGTTGCCCGGACTAAGGAAACGACATCTTTCCCATCCCTGCATCTCAGTGCCTTGGGCTGGAGCTGCGCCGCCTCAGCCTCTCTCCATGGACGCGGCGGGCCCATTGACACAAAGGCGTTTTATACATACACATAGATTTTTCCATAGGATAATTGAGCCCTAAAAAAAAAGCCAGTTTTTTATAGCCTTCAATACCAGTGTGTTTTTTCCTCTTTCAAAATGTATGTCCTATCAGTAATATTTATTTATTATTATTATTATTATTATTATTATTATTATTGAGATGGAGTCTCACTCTGTCGCCCAGGCTGGAATGCAGTGGCACGATCTCGGCTCACTGCAACCTCCACCTCCTAGGTTTAAGCCATTCTCGTGCCTCAGCCTCCCCAGTAGCTGGAATTACAGGCACTGTACCACTACGCCTGGCTAATTTTTCTATTTTTAGTAGAGGCGGGGTTTCACCATATTGGCCAGGGTGGTCTCGAACACCTGAGCTCAAGTGATCTGCCCGCCTTAGCCTCCCAAAGTGCTGAGATAACAGGCGTGAGCCACTGCGCCTGGCTCTATCAGTAATATTTATTCACTTCCACAAATAATCTAGTTTTATGCCAAAATGTACTGTATATTTTGTGTATATTTTTCTTTTGCTATTATTTTTATTTAATTACATCCTGAGTGCATACTTATTAATTTAAAAGATAAAACCACACAAATGTTTTAGGTTCCATACCTGAGAGTCCCTCTTCACCTCCAGCCATGTACCTGGTTCTCAAAGGTAAGTTCTGACTCTCACACCCAAATTTGCTGGGCCAAAAAATTTACATATTTATGTTTTAACCTTTAATTTTAAAATATTTACTTCCTAATATGCCTTCTATTCAATATAATACATGCACTTGTAAAACAGTACAAACTGGTATTCTATTCAAAGCAAACAATGGCTTCTAGCTAAGGATGGTGATTTGAATTCATGTCTTTATTTGACACCTTCTGAAATTCCACCAAGATGACAGCTTATAAAAAAATACACCAATGCCCAAGCTCAAAGAATAACACAGGAAATAATAGTTACAAACTGTTGGAAGCTGGAGAATCCATGGACAAGTGGTAACTGAATTAGCCAACTTGAGAAAACATAAATCTAAACTGGCATTGCTAGAAGCTGACTATCAAGTTAATCTGCTTTGTTATACCTCATAACAGAAATCAAAGGCATTGGATACTTCTGAAAGAGATGGTGAAGATGAGGAGATAAAAAGCAGTTTCGACTGAAAGATTTTCTAAGTAGGTAGCTCCCAGATTCCCTCCTCATTTTTAGCCCTCACCAGTGTTAGTAGAAGACTGACGTTTACTCTCCAGAGAATTTCTGAGTTTCTCTTTGCCATGGAAATGTAAGTGCATTGAGGGTGAGAAAAGTGTAGTAAATACACCGACTCTCAGGACACTAGTAGCAAAAATTACTTCTGCAGGAAGGGAAATGGAAAAGTCTTCCTTGAGGTTTCTCACCATCTTGAGAGAAAATTACCTAACAGTCACCTCACGTGAAACCCACACTCAACAAGTTTCTGTCATAGTCACAGATTGCAAAAATCTTTTTGTTGTCAGGTTGATATGATGTGATTGGGTAGCCAAAGATCATGCCATTAGACATCTGGAGAAAGTTTTTATCATGAAAGACAGAAAGCAACATGTACAAAAACAGCAACAACAAAATTTGGGGGAAATCAGAGATTATGCAGGGATATAAAAACTAGAATTTAAAAACTCATTAACATCTCAAGGAATATAAAAGAAAGTTTCTTTCTATGAAGCAAGAAAAGTGTGTTGCAAAAATTGTCTTTGAAAGAACAAGAAAGATGGCGTGTAAATTTAAAATATGATAGGAAAAACTGAAATTCAGTAGAAATTTTAAATGATAAAGTTAAGGAAATTTTCCAGAAAATAGGATTTTAAAAAAGGAATCTAAAACAGGAAAGGAAATATAAAACAAAATATCAGCCTGAGTGAAACACATCCAGGTAAATGAGTTTCAAAAAGAGAAAAGAGTAAAAATGGAATGAAAGAAATTATAAAGAAGTAATTAAAAATAAATTCACAAAGTTGAAGAATATGTCTCTTGATTTAAGGATCTTTTGAATGACCAGAACAAAGGATTAAAAAAAATCACATCTTGAAATTTCAAAAACTGGCAACCAAAAAAAAAAGGAAGCATGCTCCCGGAAATAAAAAAACAAAACACAGTAAAACCAAGAGCAAGAATTGAAAAAAGAAAAATGAGAATTGAATTTAAATTCTCAACAGCAAAATCTTCAATATTCTGTTAGCAAATTATTTCCAAGCTAGAAAGCAATATATAACCAAACCATCAATCCAAATATGAGGGTACCATTTCTACTTCCAGCTAGTAGTTACATTTGAACGGTCTTCCTGCTAAGGACAAGCAGGAAAACTGGATAAGGTATTTTTTAAAAACCTGTGTGAAGGCACTGGAAAGCTACTAGGGCAGTGAGTACTTGAAGGACCAAAATCCTGGAGGAAAGGGAAACCCAAAGACTTGTGCCTAACATTTAGCCCTGCTTTCTCCTTGACACACTTGCAAATACTAAAGAAGCGCCCTGAAAGAATGAGCTGCAACTAAGAGAATGAAAAGCTGAGCAAGTGTTAAGCAACCTCATGGGGCTGGGAGGAAAAAAAAATGGATTCTAGGACCCACCAAAGGGAGTTAAGGTAAAAACACAAAGTTTTCAGTTGAGACACCTAAGAGACAATTGCTTAAAGTGAAATAAATAAGAAATAGACCAGACATGGCAATAAGTGAAACATGCCTCTCAATTAATTCAATCTCACTGTATTAAGATGATCAGTTTCTACCCTAATTACCTGTTAGTGGTAAAAGTAAATGCTGTCTGCAAGAAGTGTCATCATTCAGAACTTCCAATTGTCTCTTACTTTTTTATGCAGACCCTCTAGGGCTCTATTTAAAAATAAAATAGCAGGCAGGTAAAAGATAAGAATTGACTGAAAAAATTTAGAGAAAAATCAGAAAATGGTAACCAATCCACAGGAAAGTCAGATATTGGTGGTATCAGACACAGACTTTAAAACTAGAATTAATATGGGCAAGAAATTAATGAAAAATTTATAATTTTAGTAGAGAATGTGAAACTAAAATATGAATTCTAGAAGTAGAAAATAAATACAATCAAGTATACAAAAGACACAGTTTAAGAAAGGATTAACGATTTAGAATGGGGGCATAGAAAAGTATCTCTAGAATGAGGAAAGGAAACAACTAAAGGATAGAAAATGAAACAAGAATATAAGAGATACACAGCACAGAGTGAAATGATCTAACGTATATGTAATTGGAGTTACAGGAGGAGGGAAAAAACAGAATGAGACAGACCTAGTATTCTGTAGTAATTGAAGAGGTAATGCTCTACAGTTTCCCAAAATGGATAGAAAAAATTGTGCCTAACATTCACAAAGCTATATAAACTTCAAGCAAGATAAATACAAAAAAAGAAAACCCACCAAAAAACAAAAGCAAAAAAACCCAAATACAGGTACATCTTAGAAAACTTCTGAAAATCTAAAATAAAAAGATAATTTAAAAAATAGCCAGAGTAGGCCAGGCACAGTGGCTCATGCCTGTAATCTCAGCACTTTGGGAGGCCGAGGCAGGAGGATCGCTTGAGCGCAAGAGTTCAAGACCAGCCTGGGCAACATAGGGCGATCCTGTATCTACCAAAAAAATAAAAATAAATAGCTGAGAGTGGTGGTGCATGCCTGTGGTCTCAGCTACTCAGGTGACTGAGGTGGGAGGATCACTTGAGTCCAGGAAGTTGAGGCTGCAGTGAGATGTGATCACTCCACTGCACTCTAGCCTGGGTGACACAATAAGCCTCTGTCTCAAAAAGAAAGAAATAGCCAGAGTAAAAAAGATTACCTTTCAGAAAATGAAACAGATGAAGTAAACCAAGAAATAGACCTGGAATTCAAGATACATGTGATCTAACCAGGCAGATTGATAAAGGGTACTCCAAGGTTTTTACTGAAAGAATCTCAGTGTATTAGCTACACCCCCCTGACCTAGAAATTAACTTGTCCAGAATAGGGAATAAGATAGTAGACATCCCACATGATGAAAGTTTCAATGTAACTGTCTTCTGTAGTTAACAGATAACAATAGGAAATGCAGAATTAGGCTTTCTCATTTCAATGGGAAATAATAGGATTCTTGAATAATAATCAAGAATAGTGGTGGGTAACCATCAATTGTTACACTGGTGGTGTGTAACCGTCAGAGACACAGTGGGGACATCATTTACTTCAGTAAAACCTGGGAGTTCAGGGTTTCATTTTATTTTCCACTTCTAGAATCTATGTTTGATTATTATTATAGATTTATGTTATCTGCTGAAATTATATATTTTTCATTAATTTATTGCCCATATGAATCCTAGTTAGTAAAGTCTGTGTCTGATACCACCAATATCTAAATTTCCTCTGAATTGGTTACTATAATCAGAGTGTTTCAACCTGCAGAGGTCTTAGCAATGGCTAATTGATCACAGAGTCCCTAGAAACTAAATAGATGGGCCTATCAAAGGGCTATTTGGCAATTTAAGCAGAATAATTTTAGCTCAAGTAAGCAGAAACCTGGCTTAAGTCACTGCAGGGGAAATTAATGGACTCTTACCTACATTGAAGGTCTCTTTCTCAAAGATACTGGTCTCCTTGTCAAATGAGGGACTCTGTTTCAATGACATGCTTGTTCTTTTTTTTTTTTTTTTTTAACCATGTCTCAGCCAGTTTGGTCTGCTATAGAATGGGTGGTTCAGACAAAAAGCATTTATCTCTCACAATTCTGGAGGCTGAAAGTCTAAGATCAGGGTGCCAGCATGGTCAGGTTTTTGATTATGTCTTCAACATGTCCTTCCTTGGTGAGTGCATGTAGGGAGAGTGGTAGCTCTAGTCTTTTTCTCTTATAAGGACACTAATTCCATTCTGGGGGCTCCACCCTTATGAACTAATTACATTTTGAAGTCTCCACCTCCCAGTACTATCCCACTTGGGGTTAGGGTTTTAACATATAAATTTTGAAGAGGATACAAACATGCAGTCCCATTAAACCATAAATTACAGGTATATACTGCAATTCTCCATCAATGCCTTCTCCAGAAGGGGAGCTCTGGAGCACTAAGAGACATTGCCGTCCAAACTGCCCATAGTGCACTTGAGTATTATCTCGTCCACTGGATCATAAAATTAGAAATGCACAGCTGCGTTTCCTTACAAAATGGCAAAGGTATATAGGACTGAACAGGTATAGGCAAAGAATAAGAGAGGATTCTCTTAATCTTTGAGTATTCTCTTCCTGCCCCTCCAGATCCCCTTTCCACCATTATCAACTTCTTTTATGCATGCCCTGGAATGATCTTTTACTTTGGTTTGGCCAACAGGAGACACCAGCAAGAGATCAAAGGATGGGAGTTGATTGAAGTTTGGTTGTTCCCTGGCTCCCTTTCTGCCGGTCTGCTGATTGGCAATGGCCATCCTCTTTGGGAGATCACACTTCCTGCCTGGAAGCCCTCTCCTACAGCTAGTATGGGAATGGTTCTATTCCCAGTTTCCATATGCCCTTCCCTTTGACCCTTCAGACCTAGGAAGGTAAAGGGTCCCACTGTTTCTGGCAAATTGGTGTGCTCTGTTCCTACTAATTTATTTTAAACCTCTTCATACCCTTGAATATAGTCCCTTCATTAAAATTTCTTTAATTACCTCATTTGGCAGTGCCATCTGTTTCCTGTCAAGACCCTTCTGATATAATTTCTAATTTAAAATGCAAACTGTATTATAGTATTGAATTATCATATATATGAGTCTATTTCTGAGCTCTCTTCACTGGTGTGCTTAAATGTTCTTGCACCAATAACACATTGTTGTAATGAATCTAGTGTTATAGCATAGTTTTATATGTGATAGGGCAGCAGTTTTTCAACTTTTTCGCCTCAGGAGCCCCTTGTACTCTTAAAAGTTATTGAGGAGTCCAAAGAGATCTTGTTTATGAGAGACAAATTTATCAACATTTCCAATATTAGAATTATACTGGAGACATTTAAAAAATTTGATTATATATATATATATATAACAATAATAAATGTATTATGATTTAACATATTTTTTGAAAAAATTATTTTACAAAAATTTTAACATGTTTTATTGTTTTAAATTTTTTCAAATCCTTTTAATATTTGGCTTAATAGGGAAGACTTGTATTTTAACATATGTATTTACATTAAATCAGTTGCAATATATTGTTTTGCTTGAACTATATAAAGAAAATTTTACCTCATAATGATATGTAGTTGAAAAAGGATAGAATATTTTAATAGCCTTTTCAAATAATTGTTGATTTTCTTTCATCTTATACCCAACTGTGATGAACAATAGTATCTCAATGGTCATTTGTAATGTAGAATATGGAGCCATATCAATAAGTTTCTTGTATTTAAAATCCATTGGTCTATGTTTCGCTGAGAATGGATCTTAGATGCAAACATAGTTTTGTAGCATCATGCGTTGGTCATTTGGAAAATATTTATTTCCTGAGGTATGTAAATCTTAAAGATGTCAATGTAGTAGACAATGTCAAAAATTATAGTTAAGATAACCAGGTGTGTCAGTCATCAGAAAAGATTCAGCTATTGGGAAGCTCTCAAACTTATAGTGGCAGATACAAGTTTTCTAAAATTTTTCTTTTCGTATGAAAGATAAAATTATATCATTGACAACAAATCATGGCAACTGTCTTCTTGATGTGACAGTCTCACTTCATTTATTTTTGAGAAAATATCTACCAAATATCCCAGGCCTGAATAATCATAGATCATCCAGTGCTTACTAGAGGCAATGTACAACATAGTGATTAGAATTTGGGGATCTCAAAGTGAGACATGTTTGGAACCAAATTCTGACTTGACTACTTATTTTGAACATATGAATACTTTATTGCCACTCCCACTCTATGAGATACAATAAATCTGACACCTTTGAAGCATATAAGCAGGGGCCCAGTACATTGTCATTGATCTGACTGCATTAATGAATAGATGGGGACAAAATGATCTTACAGCTGCATAGTCAATCATAGACCAAAAGGGCCTTGAAATCCCTTTCTGATTCATTTTACATACATTGTAGTTAAAATTAGGTCAGGAAGAAGATTAGGCAGATATCCTTGTTTCTTAAAGACAAACTTTAGTGTTGTCATATAATCACAACAATATCTGTTCTCCTGTATGCAGAACACCATTAATATACACCTAAGTATCTAAAATAATACTATTTTTTGAGTTTATAGATAGATAGATAGATAGATGATAGATAGATAGATAGATAGAGACAGAGTCTTGCTCTGTCGCCCAGACTGGAGTGCAGTGGTGCAATTTCGGCTCACTGCAACCTCCGCCTCCTGGGTTCAAGCGATTCTCCTGCCTCAGCCTCCTGAGTGGCTGGGATTACAGGCACGCACCACCACGCCCGGCTAATTTTTTTGTATTTTTAGTAGAGACAGGGTTTCACCATGTTGGTCAGGCTGGTCTCGAACTCCTGACCTCGTGATCCACCCACCTCGGCCTCCCAAAGTGCTGGGATTACAGGCATGAGCCACAGCGCCCAGCTGAGTTCTTATATTTTTAATCACATTTTTGAACTTTTGCCAAAATTTAAGTAGACAACAGAAGATAGAGTACACAGCACTTTTCCAGAGAGAGAGAGTCAAATATCCAGTGAGGAAAGGAAATAACTTCTTCTGGTTCTTATTTTTCAAAAGAGTAAACAAGTCTTGTTTATTTTTTTTAAACAACACATCAGACATTTAAAGGGAAGAATCTGAAATTCTATTTTAAGGTTGAAAGAATAAGAAACGTTCGATGTGCTATTTCATTTCATCCTTTAGTGTCATTTGGGTCACAATCATAACAAAACAGTTATCCAAAAAGAAAATTTAGATTTTTAAGTGCTCTTATGGAAGTGTTTTATAGAAAGTTATGCTCAGTGGATGTGAAGATGAAAAGGTACCTTCTCTTTGCTATTGCAGTAAAGGAGCATATGGTAGCTAATTATGCATGCTGTAGATTTTTAAATTATTTTTTCTCTTTCTATTCTTTTACTTTAAGAATAAGACTTTTATATATTTTCAAAGATGGGCATATGTCTAAGTAACTAAGAAGGCAAGTAACTAACCACCTTTCTCTTGTAGAATTCACACATGATCAGTCCAGCTGGGGAATATTTTCTTTCAATTGATTGCCCTGTTCTCTGAGAGGCCTCATGCTACAGAATACAATACATACAATCACTACTCTAGCTCTTTTGTTTTTTGTGATATTTCAGTGTAAGGCCAATACCAATTGATATTCATTCTTCCAATTTAGAGAAAGCAGTTTTAAAACTCTGGCAACTTAAAGAACATATTTCAGTTTTTTGGCATGGCCTATCTCATTGACTTTATAGTATTCAAATCAAAATATAATAACTTCTCTAGCCTGTATCCCCTAAGTGTTCTTGGAAATCTCATTCAGTCAGAAAACAGTCTCATATTTCAATCATACAAATCTACCTTTTTCTTTAAAAAAAATGAAGGTGAGCTCTGAATTCTGAATAAGAAAGTAGAACATGAAATGTAAACGAGTTAAACTTTTCAAATGTCAGAAATGAAAGGACTTTAGACATTGTTCAGTTCAATTTTGTCAATTTGGCAGATGAGAAAACTTTCTTAGAGAGGTGAATGATAACAACTACCATTATGGACTATTTTTTGGGAACTAAAGATTTCGTTAAGCACTGTGCATTTATTATTCCATTAATTCTAACAACAGCCTTTATCAATAGGTAAACAATCTCTGTGGTATAGAAGTGGAATCTAAGGTTCAAAGAAGCTAAATAATTTGCCCCTGTGTCATATCTAGAAAGAAAGACTCAGGGCCAGAATTTGAATCCAGGCCTGTCTGCTTGACATTCTAACCCATATCAGAGCTCTGAGAGGATGTGCTGAGAAGCTAAAGAAGGAGAGAAGGTCATAAAGCTCAGTCAGTGGAGTTAGCGCTTTTAAGGTTATGTCTTTGTTGCTGAGAATTGGGAGAGATTTACAATGTCAGCTAGTGAGGTGATAATTGGATTTTCAGCTCAACTCAGAATGACTTAGAGAGTGTGATTTATTTTTCAGTACATACGGGGATTTTAAAATTTGATATAGAGCTGAGGCCCCAGCAGGTCTCATGGTATAAACTGTGCTGGTTGAAAAAGGGAGGGACCATTGCCAGCCATCTTCCATATTTGCATGGGTATTGGAGACAACATTTGCTCCCTAGATGCATAGGCTCTGTCACTATTAGCTGTATAATTTGGGCATATCATTTCAATTTATCCATTTTCTCATCTGTAAATTGGTGACAATAAGAACTGCTTAATAACTTAGTACTATTGCTATGAAGATTTAGCAAAATATATATAATATTTTTAAAGGCAGTACATATTTAAATATTATTTCCCTAGAAGTCACTAGGCATTTGCAAAGTGTGACTAGTGAAATCAGCTCATGCAGAAACCTGTAGTAGGGGCCATTGTATAACAGTTTTCTCCTCTTAATAGGCATAAGAATTACCTGTGAATCTTATTAAAATGCAGATTCCTCCCAGTTCAGTAGGTCTAGGGTAGGGCTTGAAAGGTTTCATATCCAAAAAGTTCCCCAGAAGTATAAATACTGGGAATCCACTGACCACATTTTGAATAGCAAGGGTCTGGATTACAAAAAATTCTAGTGTTAATAAAACTTACGTAGTTTGAAGATTTTGGCTGAAATACAAGATACTCTTAAATGAAATGCTGGAAATGTTGGAGTAATAGAAACAAACTGGAATTATTTAAGGAAAGGATCATTTTATTTAACTTCCTTATTTTTGTGTAAGAGGAGACTACATACACGTGCGCGTGCACACACACACACACAAAGGTAAAGTACCGTTCTGAATGGCCAGCCAACAAGTTGGTAAAAGAGGCCAGATCTCCTGGCCTGAGGACATTTCTAGGCTGGGGTAGGCTGCTTCACCTGGCAGAATATCATCCACCCACTCAATCCATTACAGCTCCAGTTTAAAGAAAGTCTGCTGGAAGAATTCCCTGTTTCTTGGGGAGTTCTGTCTTCAACTGATTGGATGAAACTCATTCTCATTACAGATGGTAATCTGCTTTACTCAAAATCTACTGATTTAAATGTTAATCTCATCTAAAAAATACCCTCACAGCACCATCCAGACTTGTTTGACCAAATAAACATTAGGCTACCAGGGCCTAGTCAAATTAATACCTAAAATTAACCATCTCAAGATGGTGCCATTGAAACCCAGAGTAAAAGGAGTTTCAAGAAGGAGTGAGTAGCCAGCTATATTGACTACTGCTAAGAGGATCAGACATCATCTGTTACCTTCACCATCTAGGAAGTTATTACTGTCCTTGACAAGAGCAGTATCTGAGTGCTGGAAACAGAAGCCCAATTAGAGTATGTTGTGAGAAGAAATTACATATATAGGCATTTTTCTTTTTATGTCAATCTTCGAGAAATAATGAAAACTAAATCCACATTTTAACAAATCCTATTCCCTTCTCTCCTTTCCATCTCTAGGATATCTTAACTAAAGTTGGAAGCCTGGAGACTGTTTAGTTGGTCTCCAAATCTCTTTTCCTGATGACACAGCAAATAAAAATCAGCCAAAATAGTCTTATCTATTTTTAATCTTGTTATTGTATGTATGTATTTTTTTGTAAACTGACATTATCTTTTTTAAATGAATTGAGATATAAATAAAACATAGTGAGATATATTTTATTATAATACATTGATGATGTCTAAGATTATACAAATTTATGCTGAAAAGATATTGCAGAAGAATCAATGAATAAAACTTAAATGCCTTTAAAATCAAATCATAGACTTCCCACCAAAGTCCACGTTAAAAGCTCTACTTTCACTGTTGTATATTACTTTTAAGATTTTGTACACATTTAAGTGTTAAAAAATGAAAATCAATGGCCTTGGGCCAAGACAATAGAATTCTGATATGGGTCCAGACACTAACTCTTTGTATGACTATAGCAAGTCCTCATCTCTGAACTTCAGTTATTTACACATAAAATAATGAGGTTGAATTCACTGATCCCTAATGTCCTCTGCAACTGTGATAAATTATGGCTTGAAGCAGTTATAGCCCTGGGAATTTAAAAAAAGGGAAGCTCAGTTGTAAAATTGCATAAATTCAAATTGTGTTTTTTGTTTAAGTACTAGAATATAATAAATTAAACATACCCTTTCAAGGAAGTGATGCTTTTTTGTCATGAAGACATTAAAAAATAAAACATATGAGATTAAGAACATAAATCATGAATTCCTAGAAAATGAAGTTGAATAAAATTTGTCCATTTTATTAAGCATAAATGGGCAAGTTAGTTTAAATGGATATTTTTGAATTTCACTCTCAAAGATTCTGTTAGATAGTGCCTTGTTCCCAGTTTAGGGATCTACATTGTAAACATCTTCCATGGTCCAATTGGTTCTGATGTCTGTGGGTCCAAAGAACATTTAAAAGATAATGAGAGGAAAAAAAAAAACTAAAGTAAAAATAAATAGAAAACCATGTACTTCTGATGGGCTGAAGATTACGGATTACGTTAAGAATTGCTCATTTGAGGTCTGTTCCAAGATGGCCAAATAGGAACAGCTCCAGTCTGCAGCTCCTAGCGTGATCAAGGTGGAAGACAGGTGATTTCTGCATTTCTGACTGAAGTACGTGGTTCATCTCATTGGGATTGGTTGGACAGTGGGTGCAGTGCAAGGAGAGTGAGCCAAAGCAGGGTGGGGTGCCACCTCACCCTGGAAGTGCAAGGTGTTGGGGGATTTCCCTTTCTTAGGCAAGTGTCAGGGGATTTCCCTTTCTTAGGCAAAGGAAGCTGTGACACACTGTACCTGGAAAATGGGACACTCCTGCCCAAATACTGCATTTTTCTCAAGGTCTTAGCAACTGGCAGACCAGGAGATTCTTTCCTGTGCCTGGCTCGGTGGGTCCCACACCCATGGAGCCTTGCTCACTGCTAGCACTGCAGTCTGAGATCGACCTGTGAGGCTGCAGCCTGGTGGGGGGAGGGGCATCTGCCATTGCTGAGGCTTGAGTAGGTAAACAAAGGAGCTGGGAAGCTCAAACTGGGCGGAGCCCACCACAGCTCAGCAAGTCCTACAGCCTCTGTAGACTCCACATCTGTGGGTAGGGCATAGCTTAACAGAAGGCAGCAGAAACTATTGCAGACTTAAACATCCCTGTCTGACAGCTCTGAAGAGAGCAGTGGTTCTCCTAGCATGGTGTGTGATCTCTGAGAATGGACAGACTGCCTCTGCAATTGGGTCCCTGACCCCCTTGTAGCCTAAATGGGAGACACCTCCCAGTAGGGGCTGACAGACACCTCATACGGGCAGGTTCCCCTCTGGGATGAAGCTTCCAGAGGAAGGATCAGGCAGCAATATTTGCTGTTCTGCAGCCTCCGCTGGTGATACCCAAGAAAACAGGGTCTGGAGTGGACCTCCAGCAAACTCCAACAGTCCTGCAGCTGAGGGACCTGACTGTTAGAAGAAAAACTAACAAACAGAAAGGAATAGCATCAACATTGACAAAAAGGATATCCACACCAAAACCCCATCTGTAGGTCACCAATGTCAAAGACCAAAGGTAGATAAAACCACAATGATGGGGAGAAACCAGAGCAGAAAAACTGAAAATTCTAAAAACTGGGGCACCTCTTCTCCTCCAAAGGATTGCAGCTCCTCGCCAGCAATGGAACAAAACTGGATGGAGAAAGACTTTGACAAGTCGACAGAAGTAGGCTTCAGAAGATTGGTAATAACAAACTTCTCCAAGCTAAAGGAGCATGTTCTAACCCATTGCAAGGAAGCAAAAACCTTGAAAAAAGGTTAGAAGAATGGCTAACTAGAATAACCAGTGTAGAGAAGACCTTAAATGACCTGAAGGAGCTGAAAAACATGGCACGAGAACTTCGTGATGCGTGCACAAGCTTCAATAGCCAATTCAATCAAGTGGAAGAAAGGATATCAGTGATTGAAGATCAAATTAATGAAATAAAGCAAAAAGACAAGATTAGAGAAAAAAGAGTGAAAAGAAATGAACAAAGCCTCCAAGAAATACGGGATTATGTGAAAAAACCAAATCTACATCTGATTGGTGTAACTGAAAGTGATGGGGAGAATGGAATCAAGTTGGAGAGCACTTTTCAGGGTATTATCCCGGAGAATTTCCCCAACCTAGCAAGGCAGGCCAACATTCAAGTTGAAGAAATACAGAGAACACCACAAAGATACTCCTTGAGAAGAGCAACCCCAAGGCACATAACTATCAGATTGACCAAGGTTGAAATGAAGGACAAAACGTTAAGGGTAGCGAGAGAGAAAGGTCGGGTTACCCGCAAAGGGAAGCCCATCAGACTAATAGCAGATCCCTCAGCAGAATCCCTACTAGCCAGAAGAGAGTGGGGGTCAATATTCAACATTCTTAAGAACAGAATTTTTAACCCAGAATTTCATATTGAGCCAAACTAAGCTTCATAATTGAAGGAGAAATAAAATCCTTTACAGATAAGCAAATGCTGAGAGATTTTGTCACCACCAGGCCTGCCTTACAAGAGCTCCTGAAGGAAGCACTAAACATGGAAAGGAACAACTGGTACCAGCCACTGCAAAAACATGCCAAATTGTAAAGACCATCAATGCTATGAAGAAACTGCATCAATTAACAGAAAAAAATAACCAGCTAACATCATAATGATAGGATCAAATTCTCACATAAAATATTAACCTTAAATGTAAATGGGCCAAATGCCCCAAATAAAAGTCACAGACTAGCAAATTGGATAAAGAGTCAAGACCCATTGGTGTGCTGTATTCAGGAGACCCATCTCATGTGCAAAGACACACATAGGCTCAAAATAAAGGGATGGAGGAATATTTACCTAGCAAATAGAAACCAAATAAAGGAGGGGTTAAAATCATAGTCATGGATAAAACACATTTTAAACTAACAAAGATAAAAAGAGACAAAGAAGGCCATTACATAAGGGTAAAGGGATCAATTCAATAAGAAGATCTAACTATGCTAAATATATATGCACCCAATACAGGAGCACCCAGATTCATAAAGCAAGTCCTGAAAGACCTACAAAGAGATGTAGACTCCCACACAATAATAATGGGAGAGTTTAACACCCCACTGTCAATATTAGACAGATCAGCAAGACAGAAGGTTAACAAGGATATCCAGGACTTGAACTCAGCTCTGGACCAAGGAGACCTAATAGACAACTACAGAACTCTCCATCCCAAATCAACAGAATATACATTCTTCTCAGCATCACATCACACTTACTCTAAAATTGACTACATAAATGAAGTAAAGCACTCCTCAGCAACTGTAAAAGAACAGAAATCACAACAAACTGTCTCTCAGACCACAGTGCAATCAAATTAGAAATCAGGATTAAGAAACTCACTCAAAACCACACAACTACATGGAAACTGAACAACCTGCTCCTGAATGACTACTAGGTAAATAATGAAATGAAGGCAGAAATAAAGATATTCTTTGAAACCAATGAAAACAAAGACACAACATACCAGAATCTCTGGGACACATTAAAAGCAGTGTGTAGAGGGAAATTTTATAGCACTAAATGCCCACAAGAGAACACAGGAAAGATCTAAAATTGACACCCTAACATCACAATTAAAAGAACTAGAGAAGCAAGCGCAAACACATTCAAAAGCTTGCAGAAGGCAAGAAATAACTAAGATCAGAGCAGAACTGAAGGAGATACAGACACAAAAAACCCTTCAAAAAATCAATGAATCCAGAAGCTGTTTTTTTGAAAAGATCAACAAAACTGATAGACTGCTAGCAAGGCTAATAAAGAAGGAGAGAAGAATCAAATAGATGCAATAAAATATGATAAAG
This sequence comes from Homo sapiens, assembly GCF_000001405.40. Classification (NCBI taxonomy): domain Eukaryota; kingdom Metazoa; phylum Chordata; class Mammalia; order Primates; family Hominidae; genus Homo; species Homo sapiens. Next base: position 54,462,747 of record NC_000017.11, on the reverse strand, counting down.
GGGATATCACCACCAATCCCACAGAAATACAAACTACGATCAGAGAATACTATAAACACCTCTATGCAAATAAACTAGAAAATCTAGAAGAAATGGATAAATTCCTGGACACATGCACCTTCTCAAGACTAAACCAGGAAGAAGTTGAATCTCTGAATAGACCAATAACAGGCTCTGAAATTGAGGCAATAATTAATAGCCTTACAACAAATAATGTCGAGGACCAGGTGGATTCACAGCTGAATTCTACCAGAGGTACAAAGAGGAGCTGGTACCATTCCTTCTGAAATTATCCCAATCAATAGAAAAACAGAGAATCCTCCCTAATTCATTTTATGAGGCCAGAATCATCCTGATACCAAAGCCTGGCACAGACACAACAAAAAAAGAGAATTTTAGACCAATATCCCCGATGAACATCGAAGAGAAAATTCTCAATAAAATACTGGCAAACTGAATCCAGCAGCACATCAAAAAGCTTATCCACCATGATCAAGTTGGCCTCATCCCTGGGATGGAAGGCTGGTTCAACATATGCAAATCGATAAATGTAATCCATCACATAAACAGAACCAATGACAAAAACCACATGATTATCTCAATAGATGCAGAAAAGGCCTTCAACAAAATTCAACAAACACAATACTCTGTCCCCAAACTGCACTTACTACAATATTGCTTCTCATTAATCTAAATAATAAAGGACATCAGAAAGTGTTATCTGAGAAGATTTAGGATCCTAAATAATCTGGTCTGTAACTTTGAAAGAGAGTAAAGAAATTTGCCCCTTAAACCCTGGTTTGTGAGCTTTCCTAATACCTACTATAGAAATGCAAAATGTTTTTCAATTATTGCATTAATTCTCATACATTTTATCTACATTTTCTGACTGAATAGCCTTCATTCCAATTGTGTTTTCTGTTTTCTTTGTTCTGATAAAAAATTATTTTAAGGACATTTTATTCTCTTCTATAAAAACAATTATGCAAAAAATTATTTCCAAATAGTAACAAACTCTTAAGTTTGTGTTTCATTCAATGCAACATTTAGTAGCATCTCCCAGCTGACTTCTTATGTGATGAAAGAAAGCAAATGCTGTAGTAAAGAGAAACAGCTGTTTCTTCCAACATGATAAATGTTATAAATCCCTTTCTTGTGAATAAAATGCAATCATCCCCTTTATTTCCAAAGGTAGGAGAGATCAGCTCCAAATAATGACAATCAGCAACAAAGGTGACTAACAATCTCCTTCAAACAGTGGGAATATGTATCTGACCCACAGTTTACCACTTCTCAATTCTTGTTTAGAAGAGAATAAGGGGAAGTTGGCTACAATAACCATAATATTCTTTCAAATTAGGGTCTATGATTTTGAAAAGTTCTTCCTAAGGATGTCAGCACTGAAGAACAGGTTCAAATTGTCAAAGCTATTTGCAATTGATACTGCAAGTAAGTTTTAGCAATAGGGAAATCAGTCTGTGTCAAAGCAACTTGGGCCATTAGTGAGTATCATTTTCTCCATCTGTCAAATAGCGATGAACTTCTTTTGAACAGCTGTTCAAATTAGCATGAGCTCACAGGCCTGAGGCCTAAATATGTAATCTGGCTGACCCTAATAATAATTGTGCCTTACCAAGTGAATGTTCATGAAAATCCATCGTGTCACTGCTTCTGACCTCCTTTGAACATTTGTACCATTTTTATACTTTTGCAGCTTGTTATTATCATTCTTTTATTCATGCATTTTCTCCTTTATTATCAGCTTTCACTTAAACCTTAAACCTTAAACCTATTTTTGGAAGCTCCTATTCATAATAGCTTAAATCACGAGTTATATTATTTTTTAAAAAATTATTTGCCTGTAAAAGAAATAAACTCAAGTTGCCTAAAGCAAAAGCTGGCCTTTTGGTCTCTTGAAAATGTTTACTCAAGGCCCGCACCCCCTATACTTAACCTTGATACAGAAAATCAAAGAAGAATCATCTCACAACAAAGGAGAATCATCTCAAAGACAAGAATCGGATAAAAAGCCTATATATTATAGCATCAGTCCCAAGCTATCCATTCACTGTCTTCCACTGGGACTAATTCTAGCTTAGGGGTGTGGAGCTCTCTTTCCCCTGGTGGGGACAATACATGAAGATAATTCATCTAAAAAGAGAAGAGACTGTGAGGCCGAATACAAAAAATGAGAGACAAGTTGAGGAGAGAAGTGGGGACAATTCTAAGAGAATTCTAAGATTCAAAGCTGTTTTATCTCCCATCAACACATCAATCAAATTTCCACCCTCTAGATCTTTGAAAACAGTCTTGAGTGCTCTCCAATGCTAACAATTGTAGACCTTAAAGAAAAAAACAAATCTAAGTCAGTGTAAATAGAGAGTTTACTTGGGCCGTGTTTGAGAACTGTAGCCCAGGAGTGATGGATTTAAGTTTCAATTAATGTATGCTCAGGTTAGCAGCAGTTACAAGTGGGTTTTTAAGAAAAAAAAAAAAAAAAGAAGAGGCAGTTCCTAAGTTGTTTACTGAGAATTTACATTAAAGTAAAATAAGCTATTGACTGGTTATACATCTTTCTTTGCATCAAAAATTCCAGGAACATGAAGATAATGGGACAGGCAGCAAGTCAGGAACAAAAATCCTTTAAACAATTGTCCCTTGGTGTGGGTGCAGGGAGCATGATTAAAGTTATGTCTTTCCGGGTCTGATAAATTTTCACATACCTCATAGCTCAGAATGCTCTGAGTTATTTTTTTCTTTGTTCATAGTGAAGTTGGGAATATAAAATACTATGATTGAGCTCCAGGAACAAGGAAAAGTTCTTTAGAAGTTGAGGTAATTTATCTTGGACATCTTTAGTAAGTACAGTGTTACAATGATTGCTGAATAAATCAACATATTTGTACCAGTTGTAAGACATTTAAGCAAAATAAATATATTTATGCTAGATGTAGGAAATTTAAGTTAAAAAGTAAATATTTAAATGGATACACCGATGACTCCCAAATATTTAGATTTAGCATGGACTTTTCCCTTGTGAAAGAACAATTGTACTGGTTGGAGTTAGACAGTCAAGAACGGGTTTAGTCAAACTACTGAAAAAGGTCATTTGTATTTGCTAATGGGCACTTATTTAAGACTCCTACCTTTCCACAGAGATTGGAAGATAGGAGATTGATCTATCTTGAAGATTATAGTTCAAAGGGGTGGCTCCCAGGTTTTTGAAAAAGACATTCCTGGCTGGTAAAACTGGCAAGAAGCTGGAAGATTTACATCTCAAAAGGGCAGGGAAAGGATTTATAATTTCTGAAGTAAATGCTCTATGAAAAAGGGGGCCTATAATCATGAAGAAGCCTATCTAAAGTTTAGCAAAATCAAAGGAAATCATTAATGTCATTTTGATCACCCTTGGCTTATAATAGCTACTCAATATTTTCACTGAATATCTGACTGGCATCTAAAACTTGAAATATCCAAAAATGATCTCCAGATCAGCCTGCACAAAGCCATTTATCTTGCATTCTCCCATCTTCAGTAAATGATAAACCTCAGTAAAATCTTACCATCATCCTGGTCTCTAGTTTAAACGTAGTTAGAATCTGACCATTTATCACCATCTCTGCTGCTGCTCATATGAATTATGAAAACAGATTAGTGTGGTTCCTGCTTCTGATCTTGCCTCTCTTTCATTTATTTTAAACATAGAAGCCAGAGTGATCCTTTTAGATCATAAGGCTGATCATGTTACTTCTTTGATCAAAACCTTCTAATAGCATCAGTTTCAATCAGGATAAAATCCAAAATTCTTACATGACCTTCAAGGCCATCTTCATCTCACCCTGCATTTCTGACTTCTTCAACTCTTTCTCCCTCTTCCTCTGATCCAATCACATTGATCCCTTGCTATTCTGGGAACACATTAGAAACCAGTCACTTGCTGTCCCTCTCATGAGAACGCTTTCCCATGATATCTGATGATTTTCTTCTTCACTCTTACAGGTGTCTATTCGACATGACTTTCTCAGTGAATAATTCCATATCACACTATCTAAAGTTGTGTTTCTACTCATTTTTGTCTTAATTTGACTAGTTATTTTTTAATCTGTATTGTTTTTAAGGAGTTATATTTTCATTTTATCAAGTTTAGTTTTTCTTTTAATTTTTATTTTATTTTATTTATTTATTTTTTTTGAGATAGAGTCTCACTCTGTCACCAGACTGGAGTGCAGTGGCATGATCTCAGCTAAATGTAATCTCTGCCTCCTGGGTTCAAGCCATTCTCCTGCCTCAGCCTCCTGAGTAGCTGGGACTACAGGTGTACGCCATCACACCCAGCTAATTTTTGTATTTTTAGTAGAGACGGGGTTTTACCATGTTTGCCAGGATGGTCTTGAACTCTTGACCTCGTGGTCTCCCACCCTCGGTGCCCCAAAGTGCTGGGATTACAGGCGTGAGCCACCGGCACCCGGCCCTAGTTTTCCTTTTGTTCATTTATTCATTCCTGGATTGAAATCTCCTATTCCATCCATTCTGCTTTTTTTTTTTTTTATCGTTTTGCTCCCTTTTTTTCTAATTTCTTTTGTTGAATTTATGTCTTGATAAAATAAAAATTTCAGACAAATTAAATTTAAAGGAGGTTAACTGAGCAGTGAACAATATGCAAATTGGGCAGCCTCCAGAATCACAGCAGATTCACAGAGATTACAGTGCAGCCATGTGGTGGAAGAAGATTTATAGACAAAAATTTGGAAATGATGTACGGAAATTGGAAGTGAGGTACAGATTGGGTTGGTTGGTTACAGCTCAGCATTTACCTTATTTGAACACAGTGTGAACACAGCAGTGTATGAGTGGTTGGACTATGGACACTGGGATTGGCCAAGGCTTAGCTATTATTACAGGAGCATACTCCTAAGTTAGGTTTTCAATCTTGTCTACCTATTAAGGTAGGTTGCAGTTCATCCACAAGAACTCAAATATAGGAATACGGAATCTTCTCAGGCCATATTTCATTTGCTTTAACCATTCCCTCTTTGTGGTCATTTTCTCAATTTTGAGAGACTGACCAAAACTTTAGCTATTGATGTCACTATCGCCATTGTAAATGTACTTGAAACCCACTGAGAATCAGTAGAACAGTGAGTTTTGCAAAGGTAGAAACAAGGACTGAGTAGAGGGTGCCTCCTTATGCTGGAATAGCCTGTTTACAGGAGAAAAACAAAACAGGTCTGTTTTAGGATCTATGTATTTCCTTAAAGACTTAGTTTGATTATGTTTCATTTAGCATGAGTGACTCCATTTTAGTTTGGTTTGGCCTGCTGGGTCCTAGTGCATGAGCTTAGTCTGAAATGATGGCCTCCAATAATTTTGTTTAAAAAATTTATCCTTTTTGGTCAGGTTCTCACTTAGGTGAGAATGTGACTAAAACTTAGTGCCTTAGTGCCACTCCCTGTTACCATCATTTTGGGTTTCTGGTCTCAGCATATTGTTCACAGGTTACGGTGTCCTTATCATTGTACATTTCTTTTAGCTTCTGTCATTCCAGTTGAAGAGAGACCATTTGATGTTCTACAGATGGCTGCATGCAAACATTTAAAATCTTTAGAGAATACAGAACACCAGGGAGGCCATTATTATGACTATTGGGAGGATAATACCAAGAGTTTGGAGTATCCCCTTTGTCATTTTTTATTGAGTCTATTTGATTCTTCTCTCTTTTCTTCTTTATTAGTCTTGCTAGTGGTCTGTCAATTTTGGTCTAAAAAATTAATTTGTTGACCTTTTCAAAAAAGACCTTAATTATCTTAGGTAATTTGACTTAGACTGTGGAGTTCAAATTGTATATCTAAACAATTTCAGTATCGGCTGATTTAACGTGAAAATCTGACAAAGTATTTCCTCAGTATTTAATTTTTTTGTTGTTGTTCTACTTGGGTTAGCAATTTTATACAAAAATATTTGGTTATTTCTGTGGTGTACAATAACTTAACATGATAACCATAATTATGATTGATAGCATATAATCAGACATATTAGAATTTTTAAAATCCCATACAATTTTACAACATATTAATATTCAATAGAATATAACTTGAAGATTAAACATTATTAGTTTGACAATGCTTCCCATGTATCTTAATGTGTTAAATAATTCTGTTTACCTCTCTTTTGGATACTTCAAGGAGGGCCCCTTTGTAGCATTCCAAAGTTACAGGTCAGAAAAGACTATTTCAAAGCTGAAATTTGATTTTGGGAAGCCTATTTAATATGTTAAAGGTTTAAAACACTTGATATTGTGAACTAGAATTCCAGGCTACCATAAGTTATTCATTTTGCCAAAATGGTGACTTGAAAATTTTTAAGAAGGCAAAAACCTTTACTCATTGATAGAAGACTTAGCTTTCCAAACAATCTGCCTTTTGACTTTTCTATCTTCTTCTTTTTTCCTTTTTGGTAGTGTATTTAGGGGGGAAACAAAAAATTTTTTATTATCTTTTAATATTACATGAAAGTCTTGTTCAAGAGGGAAAGCCAAATTTTACCTTTGCATTAGTGGACTATTAATGTCAACCCCAAGTTTTAATAAAACCTCATAGAAAAATCTATACAGTCTTAATCAGCTTGACTATAAGGTGAGATTTTTTATAAAGCTTTTATAACCCATTACAAATTTTTGTTAAAGAGCTTAGTGTTTTAAGAAAACCCTGTTGTGCTTTTATTTTGATGTTCAATTTATGGAAAACCAAATAGTACCCCTTTACATTTAGCCAATCTTTTCACACATAGAATTTCTTTTACAAGGTTAATTTTCACAAACCTTCCACAACTTGTTTAAACCTTTAAATATTTCCTATCTCACTTAAAACAATACTTTAACCCTCTAAACTTAGGCCAAAAAATTCACACTTCCATTACTTTTAATAATTTTTTACCAAAAACACATTTCACTTTCTTTACAAACCTTGCATGTAAAACTGTTTTTTCAGTAGTTTCAAATAAATGTTTATACATGCTACACTGTTAATCCTTAGCAATTTTTACTTTTGGTGAAAAACTCTAGTAAGTTCAGGGTTTTAATTATGTACTAGGTGTGGAGCCTCGGACCCAGACAGAAATGCAGATAAGGTCTGACTCTTTCCAGCACCGTGTCCCAGGCCTTGCCTAACTGTAAAGCAGGTAAGTTGTACTGTTAAGAGTCATAGTGGCATTTTATCAAGCATTTATGAGGCCTAATCACCTTTAAATTGTACAACATTTCTTGTATAAATTCCTTTTCACAAATTCTTTCATGACTTTCACAGACCATCTACAACATACTTTGACTTTCTAACTTGTCCTAAATATTCCTCTGTTTAAACAGCCAGTTACTTTACTTTAGCTTTAGGACAATAACTTACTCTACAAGATCCTTTCTTATATAAAATCTCCCCTCTTTAATACCTTTTTTTCATAGCTAGGGTGTATGGCTAATTTAATATGTCCCCAGGCCTTATCTAGAATCTAATGATCCAAAATAAATTGAACAATTTTTAAAACTCAAAGTAGCAGGTTATGACTTTAAAGCAATTAGCAAACTTAATATCTGACTGGCATAATTTAGACCAAATATTTACACTTTTGAAGACTTTTTACCAATAATTTGTAAAACTGTCTTTATTTCCCCAAGGTTACTTATGTCACATAATTAAAAGGCATTACACTTTTTACTTTTCTAACAAAATATTTGATTTAAGCTCTTATTATTTTTAAACCAGTTAGTTAAAGCTCTTTCATATATAAACATTACATAATAATACATATAAATACAAAGACAGAAGATAAAGGACTCATTTTCCAAGTCAGGAATTGGACACTGAACCTGGGCCATCACTGTGAAAAGAGAAAGCACAGCCACATAGTTACAAGGTCAAGGTCCCAAGGACATACAAGACAAGAGGAAGACCTCATCCAGTTTTGTTTTGTTTTGTTTTGTTTTTCTTCAGGGACCTGCAGCAAAGTTTATAACTTACCAGTTTGCTGGACTGTTTTCAACAGCGGACTTATAGGTATCCTAAGCCCATGTTCTATCCAAAGGTACCCCTCTACGTTATAGAACACAGAAAGACATACAAATCACACTAGATTACTACAATTTAAGATTAGCCTCACCTGCCTGTAATTCCAGCACTTTGGCAGGCCAAGGTGGGTGGATCATGAGGTCAGGAGTTCGAGACCAGCCTTGCCAAAAGGGTGAAATCCCATCTCTACTAAAAATACAAAAATTAGCTGGGCATGGTGGCAGTCACCTGTAATCCCAGCTGCTTGGGAGGCTGAGGCAGGAGAATCGCTTAAAAGGAGAATCTCTTGAAACTGGAAGGTGGAGGTTGCAGTGAGCCGAGATTGCACCACTACATTCCAGCCAGGGCAAAAGAGTGAAACTCCATCTTAAAAAAAAAAAGAGAGAGAGATTAGCATCACAAATCCTTTTTCTCATTAATCAAAACTTTACAGAGGAAATAAACAGTGATTTTTACCATTCATCCATTCAACCAGTTTGCACACAGAGAGGGAGAGAGAGAGAGAGATTGAGAGAGAGAGAGAGAGAGAGAGAGAGAGAGACCAGAAGTCTGGCTGGTAAGAAATTCTTACCCTTTTGCTATCATGCCAGGCTTCTGGGTTTCTTTTCTCTGAGTGACCCAGCTGGCTGCACTGCAGCCCTGGGGGCCAAGTCACAGCACAAAGGAAAATTATCTGTTTCTGTTCTGGCCAGAGTAAAATATGTATGAAAAAATAGACATTAGCCATTCTGCTTAGCACCCAATATTAAACTGTCAGGGCTTAAGTTTGCCCTTAGATGGATCTGTTATGTTTAATCCAACCTCCAACTAGGAGTTTAAGCATGTAGTCTCTGGGAAAGATGGTTGCCCTGGGTAATAGAAAAGATAAGAAAGGGAAAGGAGAGAGAGAAAAGCATTGCCTATGGCAGGATGGGGAAGGTGATGAGTTCAGGGAGGCCAGAGAAAGATCCACCCATTGCAGCAACTCTAAAAAGTTCAGGTGGCCACTTGTCAGTAGCAAAGGGATCTTTTCCAGCAGTCCCATCAGCTCTCAATTTCCCCTTTGGGAAGGAAAAAGCTCCCCATGTCCCATGGTCCTGTACATATCTAATTCTATCACCCGTAGCTGTCAGCAAAAAGTGTAAGACAAATTAATCCAAAGAGAATAGAAGCTAACATTTTAGAGTGCCAAACCCATTCTTAGCCTAAAGGGACTCACTCAGAGCCCTCATTTTTAAATGTACTCCAATCTGTTGTTCATTGAGAACATTCCACTGTAAATTACTAAGATTTTGCCATTTCTGAAGAATTTACTGCCTCCCAGGCCTAATGTATAAGCTGGAAAGAACTCAGTTTTCCAGGAATTAAAGATCCCATTTTTACCTAAAATATTGGCTTTACTCTCAGGTTCTCTCGATTAGCCAATGATTATTTTTCCTACCTAAGTACACAAGAAAAATGAAACAAAGGGGTAGAACACAAAAATCCCAATGATTTTTCAAAAGCCAAATATTATAACTACAGTGATATTACTGCTTACTACCAGTTCCTATCTGACCCAGTCAGATGTAAGAAGTCTCTAACTGGAACCAAGCCAGTTAATTCCACAATCAAATTCATTCTTGGATCCAGTCCAGTTTCTGTTGCAACTTCCAAACCCGGTTTGGATCAGAAATTCGCTCGAAGAAACTCAGCTCAAAACACAAATCCATGGAGCTCCAAAATCTGAGAGGGTGCTTACCCACAATCCCCAACTGCTCTGAGAGATCAGTGGACAAAAGTAGATCCTTCAGGTACCTTGTGGGTTAATTCAGTGCTCCTGGGGATCTCTAGAAGCTCAACTTTGGATCCTGCTTCTTACACCACCTGATAAAAGAAAAACTTCAGCCAAATTAAATTTAAAGGAGTTTCATTGAGCAATGAATGATTCATGAATCAGGCATCTCCCAGAATCACAGCAGATTCACAGAGACTCCAGCGCAGCAACATGGTAGAAGAAGATTGATGGACGAAAAAAAAAAAAAAGGGAAATGACATACAGAAATTGGAAGTGAGGTACAGAATGGTTGGGTTGGTTACAGCTTGGCGTTTGCTTTATTTGAACACAAAACACAGTTTGAAGACAGCAGTGTATCAATGGTTGAAGTATGGCCACTGGGATTGGCCAAGACTTATCTACTGCTACAGGCGCATACTCCTAAACTAGGGTTTCAATCTTGTCTACCTATTAAGCTACGTTGCAGTTCTTCCATGAGGACTTAAATATGGAGGTATGGAGTCCTTCTCAGGCCATATTTAGTTCCCTTTAACAGTCTAAATATATAATTAAATTTTTGATAAAATCTTTTAACATAAATTATTTGAAAATACATTTGGATCATTTTTTGCACTTTGATATGTAATTTCTGTTGTTTTACAAACATTTCTTAATCACATTTGTGATATCTTTATTTCTGGAGCTTTTAGGAGAGTGCTTTGAACTTTTTAAATAGTTATTTTCATTTAATATATTGTGAACGATTTCTGTATTTGTTACAATGTGATGAACTGATACTCCCTATACAATGGAAATTATGGATATTTGTCATCTGACATAGTATCTGGTCACATGTTATTATTGCAAAGGTTTTCATTTTCAAGTATTTCTCTTTGAACTTTGTTAGTGGCATCTTTCAGCCCACAGATTTATCTATTTAGTTTTTAAACTAAATCTGTCCATCTTTTCTGGCTTCTGGGTTTCACGTTCTTGTTAGTAAACTTTAAGTTAAAAAAAAAAAACTCAAAAATTATATAATCAGCTTTAACTTCTGCCAAACTAGATTATTTGCATTTCCTCAAACCAAACTATAACCAAACCTATATGTTCACATCGCCAAGTTTCTCTTACTGTTTTATTCTTCCAGAATTTCTTTTCATCTTTGTCGAAATCCTGCTCATTCCTTAAGATCTATTTTAAAACTTACCTCTTCTATAAATGTGTCCTGATTTGCTTCCATCATGCAATCAGATGAACCTCTCCCTTTTCTGATTCTCCACTGCACGTTATTTGTACCTTTCTTGTGACATCTCATATCCTGCCTTGCATTAAGATTAGTTCAGTACTTGCTTTTTCCATATCTTCCATATGTATTTTCTTGAGCACAAGGACTGCTTTTTCTTAATGTTTGTTTTTCCTGGAAGAAGATTATGCACACAATAGGCGTTCGATAAGTATGCATTGTTTTAAGGGTTTGAGTGGTAGAGACTTTCTCTGATTTCAAGTCAAAGTGCATGTTTCAGTTTGCTGAAAGCTGCTCTGGAAGAAAAGCTGGTTACCCTGTCAATTTGAAGTACCCATCCTGATTAACCTGACAAGATGAACTACAGAGACTCAAGCATGCTCAGAAATGCTAGACAGACATTTAACTTAATAGTTCAGGAAATATGATTACTACCATTGTTTCTGTTTTATGTTACTGGACTTGAAGAATAGGTCTCTCAGCTTCAGTTTCTAAGACATCTGAATAAAAATATATTGTTTATCTGTAAAATATCACTAGAGAACTGGCTGTTTCAGATGTCAGGTTGATCTAAAACATACTTCCTTTTATCCACAGCCTCTCTGTTTCCTTCAGCATTTTATTGGTAGAAAATAATCCACGGGCTTGATTTTCTAAGATATTATCACAGAAGTTCTGTGATAGGCTCTCTTTCTAAGAATCTATCTGAGTCTTCCCAGCTGCAATCTTTTAGGTAAGGCCAGTCTGCTCTCTCCACCTTATGGTTTCTATTTGGCCTTTTGTGATTGTCTTGAATGGAGCTCTTTATTCTTAATATTTAATGAAAGAGTTGTCTTTTGTGCAAACCCCTTTGAGAATTTATTTTATCATTCACAAGTGGAAAGCGAACTTTTCTATAAAAATTTTAGAGAAAATCTGTCCCTTGTCCTGAGAATTCTCTCATTTATACACTATGGATATTTTCTTTCATTTATGGGATCATTTGTTAAGGCTCTCATCTTCCATTTTACATGTTAGAGAACACTCTAATAAGATACTGATTTGACTGGCAATGAATATAAGCTCCTGTTTAATGCCATTTTTATGGTTTTGAGCACAGTTATTAGTTCTATATGTCCCAGGTGGATAAAGAAAATCTCTCAATTCCATAGCCATTGAAAAAAGCAGGAGAATCTGTAGAACTAGAATTTCATGACTGATTTCTTCAATTGCGTTGAGTTTTCTAGCTTTAAATCAGTTTCAGGGGTGCAAGGTACTCTTACTGAAATTTATCATGTCTTATATGTTTATTAGTTTTCCAGGGATGTCAATAAAATACCACAGACTGGGTGGCTTAAACAATAGAAATTTATTTTTACATAGTTCTGGAGGCTGGAAATCAATTCCAGGTGTTGGCATGTTTGTTTTCTCCTGAGGCCTCTCTCCTTGGCTAGCAGATGGCCATCTCCTTCCTATGTCCTCACACGCCCATTGAGGATAGACTGGAATGTGGCACATATACACCATAGAATACTATGCAGCCATAAAAAATAATGAGTTCATGTCCTATGAAGCTGGAAACCATCATTCTTAGCAAACTAACATAGGAACAGAAAACCAAACACCACATGTCCTCACATAGGTATACAAGGGTATGTCACATAGGTAAACATGTGCCACCGTGGTTTGCTGCACCTATCAACCTGTCATCTAGTTTTTAAGCCCCACATGCATTAGGTATTTCTATGGTATAGGTATACATAGGTACAGGTATACATATGACACTCTCATCTCTGGTTTCTCTTCCTATTCTTATAAGGACAGCATTCCTGTTGGATTAGATCGTATCCATATGACTCTGCTTGATTTTAATTATTTATTTAAAGTTCCTGCCTCAAGTTACCTTCATAATCTAAAATATTGGAGGTTAGGACTTCAATATGTGAGTTTTAGGGGACACAGTATAGTCCATAACGTCATGGCAAAGGGAAATATCTAATTCCTTTACTTAAAGGAAACGACTTGTGTAATGTGTTTAGTAAATTTCCAACACATAATTAAGACTCAACCATTGGTAGTGGTAGAAGTTACTTTTACTGTTGATGTGTGGTGGTGATTATTATTATAATAAATCATTACTATTATTTAGACAAGAAAGGCCATGCAAATACCAGATACTTCTAGGGTAAAAGTCTTCTTACAATCATAGTGTTGTTAATTTTCAGCCAATAGCTCTCTTATTCAGAAGATATTTGACATTATAAAAAAACCCAGGTGAGGAAAAAGATTTGAAAAAAATAGAAGAGACAGTTTAATTAACTGAAAGTAGTAGGGGCTTTGGAGTTAGTAGACTTGTGTTCAAATTGCAGCTCTGCAAAGTATTGACTGAGTCTTGGAGGTAAGTATTTACCTGGGCTTGCAGTTTCTAAATCTTAAAAACAAAATAATGAGTTCATATTTGTATGGCAAAGATCAAGTAAGACAACGTATTTGGAAATGCTGAAGGGCACAATATTACACGTTTTGATGGGCTTTATTCCATGACTTGTGAGGAAAAGGGTAAATAACTTCTGTGATTGAATAGAGGCCTCAGAAATAACGCCTCACATCTACAACCATCTGATCTTCAACAAACCTGCAAAAACAAGCAATGGGAAAATGATTCCCTATTTAATAAATGGTGCTGGGAAAACTGGCTAGCCATATGCAGAAAACAGAAACTGGATGCTTTCCTTACACCTTATACAAAAGTTAACTCAAGATTGATTAAAGACTTAAATGTAAAACCTAAAACCATAAAAACCCTAAAAGAAAACCAAGGCAATACCATTCAGGATATAGGCATGGGCAAAGACTTCATGACTAAAACACCAAAAACAATTGCAACAAAAGCCAAAATTGACAAATGGGATCTAATTAAACTAAAAGGTTTTTGCACAGCAAAAGAAATTATCATCAGAGTGAACAGACAACCTACAGAATGGGAGAAAATTTTTGCAATCTATCCATCTGACAAAGGTCTCATATCCAGAATCTACAAGGAACTTAAACAAATTTACAAGAATAAAACAACCCCATCAAAAAGTGGGCAAAGGATATAAACAGATACTTCTCAAGAGAAAACATTTATGCAGCCAACAAACATATGAAAAAAAGTTCATTATCACTGGTCGTTAGACCACAATGAGATACCATCTCATGCCAGTTAGAATGACGATCATTAAAAAGTCAAGAAACAACAGATGCTGGTGAGGCTGTGGAGAAATAGGAATGCTTTTACACTGCTGATGGGAGTGTAAATTAGTTCAACCATTGTGGAAGACAGTGTGGCAATTCCTCGAGGATCTAGAACCAGAAATACCACTTGACCCAGCAATCCCATTATGGGTATATACCCAAAGGATTATAAATCATTCTACTATAAAGACATATGAACATGTATGTTTATTGCAGCACTATTCACAATAGCAAAGACTTGGAACCAACCCAAATGCCCATTGATGATAGACTGGAATGTGGCACATATACACCATAGAATATTATGCAGCCACAAAATATAGTTCATGTCCTTTGCATGAGTTCATGTCCTTTGCAGGGACATGGATGAAGCTGGAAACCATCATTCTCAGCAAACTAACGTAGGAACAGAAAACCAAACACCACATGTCCTCACTCATAAATGGGAGTTGAACAATGAGAAGACATGGACACAGGGAGGGAAACATCACACATGGAGGCCTGTTGGGGGGTGGGGGAAGGGGAGGGAGAGCATTAGGACAAATACCTAATGCATGTGGGGCTTAAAACCTAGATGACAGGTTGATAGGTGCAGCAAACCCCCTGGCATATGTATACCTATGTAACAAACCTGCACATTCAGCACACGTATCCCAGAACTTAAAGTAAATTAAAAAAATTTATTAACCACAACAAAAAAAGAAGTTCTATATTTTAAGTTCCTCTAGAAGCCCTAAAAAAGGCAATATTTTCAAGTGAAAAAATAGTTGTAGGAGAAAGTGTGTTTTATTATTTATTATGACAATGATTTCTCTTTTGGAAATAAAGTTCTCTTTTTAAAGCAATTTGTGCTCATGTCAAAAATTCAAGTGATACAAATGAGTATACAGTCAGTGAAAAGGATGAAAAGTCTTTTCTCACCTCTTATCTCCAGTTCCTCAGTTCCAATTTGGAAACAACCTCTGTTATGAGATTCTCATGTTCTGTTCTCTCCATATAGAAACAGATGCTCTCCTCTTTCCATACACATGCTTCAAAAAGAGAAATATACTAAGTTTATACTGTTTTTTACCTTGATCTTTTCATTCAACATTGCATCTTGGAAATTGCATCACATGCTGTCTGTAAGTGTTTAGCTTTTTTCTGGGGTTCTCTTTATTACATGGGTCTTGAAGCCTGAAAACTATACTCCACACACATTTCCTTCTCGCACTGCCTCCTCATTTTCTACATATAACTCTGATAGTGGCAGTGATAGTGGCAGGTTGCAACAAATGGCTGCACATATCTGTGGGTGAGAACTATTGGTAAAGTAACAATGAGGGTGGCAGAGCAGTGGTTCCAATAGCCTCTGAAACAGTTACTCTAGTAATCTTGATAGCAACAGTAAGAGGGGCTACTTCTCAGCTACTCTGGAAGTACCTTCAGCAGCTCACTGGCAAGGGAAGGTATAAGGGCTTCTGCCCCAAGGCAGTAGCTGACTTTTGGTCCTTGGGTAACACTCGTGTGTCCCTTTGGTTGCTCCTGCCCCTTTCAACACCTGCAGCTTCCTAATTTGTAGGAAATGGCTCCTTGTTCTTTCTGTCACCCTCAACTCTCCCAAGCCTTTTCTGGCTGAATTGTCTAGAGAGGTTTATGTTTTTCTAACTAGATATCAATTAAAACAGCAATTATTATATATCTATTTAATCTGTATGTCATTATCTGTTATTTTAAATGGCTGAATTGTATTTCATTGTGTGAGTACACTGTAATTTATTTAGTTAATCCCTTAGTCATACACATTTAGGATATTTCTAGTCTCTTATTTCAGATATTGCTTACCCGTGTCAAATATATCTGCAGAGTAAATTCCTAGAAAAGGAAATACTTCATCAAAGACCTTGTGAATTTTAAATGTTGAAAACTAATATCAAATTACCTTCCAAGGAGGGTGTACTAATTTATATTCTCTTAAACAATTAAGGAGAATGACTATTTACTTACAGACTGGGCAAAAAATTATAATATCAAACTTTTAATTTTTGACAGTTTGATAGATTAAAATGGTATCAGATGAATGATTAAATATATATTACTTTATTTAAGGTAAATTTGAACATCTTTTCAAATGTCTAAAAGCTATCTGTATTTCTTTTTCTGTATATGATCCACTAGTGACTTTAAACATTATATTGCCTTTTCTTTTGGACTTATGATATTTCTTATATATTGAGGATATTAATTCTTTGTCTGTCATATATATTGCATAATTTCCCCTAGGTTACCATTCTCTTTTGAATTTCTTCTTTGTAAAAACTTTTAAATATTTATATAGTCAGCCTTTTCTTTACATAATGAATATTTTATGTTATAATTCCAGGTTTCATTTTTGCTGTAGAAAGGCCTTCTCAACTCTGAAATTCTAAAATTTTTGTTCACATTTTTTACTTGGGTTTTTATTACTTTTTTTTTTAAGTCAAGTCTTTTATCCATCTGTGATTTATTTCAATTTAGGGAAAGAGGTAGTGACCTTACTTTATTTTCCCCAAAGTTGTTAGCAACTTCTTTCAACATAATTTACTGAGTAATTGATGTATTAATTCACTGATCTGAAACTCTATGCTTATCATATACTAAATTATTTTGTTCCATTGAATTGCTATATATTCATATGCCAGCACCAAGCTATTAAAACTATTATTTATCTATTTTATCATCTGTTGGGATTATTCCCCCTTTTACTCTTCTGTTTAAATATTTCTTTTATCCTGGAATATTTGTTTTTCCACATAAAATTTAGAATTACTTTGATCAGGTAAATACTTTTTTAAAAAAAATTCATATGGCCTTCTATTTGTAATCAGTTTAGGCATAATAGAACAAGCTTTTATATATTTCAAAATAAAAAGGTCTCATATCTAGAAAGTGGCTTAATGGCCATTTCATCTTGGAACATATTCCTAACCATTATCCAGTGCTAAAAACAATGTTGATAGGCAGCTGAACACAAATTTTATTAAAAATGTAAAAATACAGTTGTGAAGGCATTGGCAATACCATATTGACCCTGTTAGATGTCCTAATTAGGACACAAGAGACATTTCACTTACAATGTATGTTTATGGGCCATTTTTTAAAGGAAAATAATCATAAGGTAGATGGACATGAAAGAGTAAAGCAAATTCCATAAATGCTTGGAGCTAGGAGAGATTGTAATGAATGTTTAATTCCACTGTCGGATTCTACAGATGGAGGCAGTGAGGCCAGGAGAAAGAAAGAGACTGGTCCAAAGTCACACCATGAATCTGTGGCCAACTTGAATTTGAAGTCCATTCCCCCAGCACTCAATTTACTTTTTCTATAGACTCCAGCTGCTTATCTCACCAGCTACATGCTTGAATCTCATTTCCAAGAAAACAGCACAGCTAGAAGAATCAGCTTTATGTGTGTACTGTGTTTGTGGCCCTTGACTTGGTTCAATTTGAGGTTTCAGTGGTTTGTCATGGTAATAGCCTATCAGTAGAGACTCAGACCTTTAAATTATGGGGTGTTCAAGAATCTCATTTTAAGATACAAATGCTTCTGGAAAGATGGCATTTGGATGACTTTCCTAAAAGTCAGAAGGAGGGGTAAATTACCTTCAGGCATTAGTGTATTAATTCCTTCTCATGCTGCTATGAAGAAATACCCAAGGCTGGGAAGGCCTCAGGAAACTTACAATCATGGCAGATGGGAGAGTAAACACATCCTTCTTCACAAGGCAGCAGGAGGCAGAAGTGCCGAGCAAAGGGGGAAAAGCCCTTTATAAAACCATCAGATCTTGTGAGAACTCACTATCACTGAGAAGAGTATGGAGGTAACTTCCCTCACGATTAAATTACCTCCCACCAGGTCCCTGCCATGATACATTGGGATTATGGGAACTATAATTCAAGACGAGATTTGGGTAGGCACACACCCAAACCATATCAGATAGCATAGATTCACTCTCTCTACGTAACAGCTCATCTGGCCCTGGCCCTAAGGGAAGGGGAAGCAGAGCCAACAGGAAGATTTTTAAAGGCCTTAAACAAAGGCTGGTCCTTTCCTACAACGGTTTACTGTATTCTAAGAGTGAGGATGGGGGCTGAATATACAGGATATCCCTGTTTCTAGGAAGCTAGGGTTCAATATTAGGATTCTTGGTGCAAATGGGGAGTTAGGGAGGGATGTAGCAGGGTCTCAGAAGTTTCAAGAAGATTTCAATTCAACTTGAGCCAGCATCCAGTGGTTTGTTATAGGCATCCCTGGGCTCCTTGTTAAAACATAGAAAGTTAGACTGCCAAGTATTTTTTGCTTGGGTATTACTGTGAAGGTTCTTTTGATGTTTCTATGCACTTGCTATTCAGTGTTACAGACATTGTGAGTATTTTATAAGATAGCCACAGATATTAATAGCATCTGGAATGCTTACATAATATAACATTTTAGCAAAAAAGTATTATTTTCTATGTGGTACTATTATTTGCAGATTTTCTTATTTGTTTATTTATGAAAAGCAGATGAAAATGAATGGCACCCAATGGAAACTATCTTACCTGGGGAGCATTGAGACTTTTGTACTTATTTTCTCTTCCTCTTAAGCACGAGCCTTTGAAGTATGAAAGGCCAGAGAATCTGAGGCACAAAGGAGTGATGTCAGTGGCTAAGGATGGATAATGACCTGCTAGAACGAACCCATGGCTCCTAATGCTTTCTTAAATTGACAGTCACTAAACAGAATATTCTGAGACTTTAATGAGCATTTGATTGTCTGGATCTTGCTTAAATGCAGATTGCAAGGCTCTTCCCCCAAGAGAGCCTAAGTAGCATCCCTTGAATTAAGCAAAACATCTCCATTTTAAATAATTGCTTAAGGATACTCTGATATTAGTGGCCAGGATTTCACTCTATGTAACAGTAGAGTGCCTCTAATTATTTCTCTCTAGAAAGAAATTTTACTGAATCACACATCACAGGATCTCAAAAACGGACCATATCTCGTGAGTCATATCACTAGTCCAGCAGTTGTCTCTTTTTAAGGTCCTTCCAGCACATCCCCATTGGAAAACACCTAACATTTTACACAATGCCCCTTTATACTGAAACAAAATCTTTCTCCCTGTGTCTTCCAGTCACTGTCTGTCTACTTTCAGTACTGTGTTTAAATTCAGTTCCTGTTTCATATATTAGAGGATAATTTTCCAGACCCCCTCGATACTTTCATTCTCTGGAAAAAAAATATCCTTAGTTGCAAAGAATTCTGAGTTTTCCCCATGGTACCAACTTTCATGGCATGAGAAATAGTTTAGCAGGTCTTTCCCTGAGCCACTCTAGGCCTGCAAGTCCCTTTGGGATGCAAGATAATTTTTTAAATACACTAGTTATTCAATTGTTGTGCCCATATTAATTTAATTGCCACTGAACTACCACTGTCCACACTGGGAAATGTGATAATTAGGTGCTTTTTTTTTTTTTTTTACCAACTTGCATTTCACCCATTTTACTAAAGATCTATTCTCCAGGTGTTCGTCAGATACCCCTGACCTATCTGGCTATGAGGTGTCAGGCACTGTATTTGGTGTTGCTGATATGGTGTCAAGTACAATGATAGAGCAAGTAAGATGGCTCACTTGCTCATTTCACTGTGGAGTAGTCTTTTTAACTGCTTTCCTTTCTCTTTCTCTTTAAATTGAAAGGAGGGGTAGCAAGGACATGGAGCATCTTTATTTGCACTACTTCTAAGATGTACTACTTCTGTTATCTGCCTTTATTCCAGAGAACTAGCTTCCCAGATTTTAAGAAACTCTGGGGTTGTCATGAGATTTTTCCCCAAAGGAGTGGGACATGAAAAGCAGGGTAGAATACAGTTAGGGAGAGAAGATGGGAAGTCGTTTCAAATAAAGGATGTAACAGGAGAAAAATGAATAGGGACTGCCCATGTAATTATGTAATGGAAAGTACGTGTGTGTGTGTGTGTGTGTGTGTGTAGTCACAATTCAAGGATCTTAAGTTAGAACACATAGTTCACTTTAGAAGACTACAGAAGGTAAAATTAACCAGGCATAGTGAAGGTAGGCAACTGCGGCTGGCAAAAAATACAATTATGTGGAGATAATTACGGACTCAATAAGCTGATGCCTCAATTTTCCTACCCCACCTTATCAAATGTCCTAAGAAGGAGCTCATTCTATTACTGCAAACAGTTTAGGAAAACAATCCAACTAGAAGTTGATTTGTTATGATTCAGTTAATTAGCCTGGTATTATCCTCTGTCAAAGGAAGGTTAAGGGTTAGCTTCTTTAATAGAGTTCCTGTTGCAGAACATTGACAAGACAAATGTGATTGATTTCTCACCTAAATTACAGCATTCTATTTGGTATTTGGAAGGTAGGCACAAGGAGAAATAGGATGTGAGACAATGACGTTTATATTAGTAGAGCCATATATAAAGTATTACAAACATTGTATGGTCAACAATTATGGTAAATCTAAACTCAGACTAGATATCTGTGACTCAGTATTTACCAGTAACATAAGTTCCTATAACTTTTGCATAGTGAGTTTATGTGTAAAAAGCTGTAATACATGTGTATCTTGCTTTTTTTTAAAATTATACTTTAAGTTCTGGGGTACATGTGCAGAATGTGCAGGTTTGTTACATAGGTATACACGTGACATGGTGGTTTGCTACACCCATCAACCTGTCATATACACTAGGTATTTCTCCTAATGCTATCCTCCCCCTGCCCCTACCCCCTGACAGGCCCTGGTGTGTGATGTACCACCTGCCACCATGTCCATGTGTTCTCATTGTTCAACTCCCACTTATTAGTGACAGCATGCAGTGTTTGGTTTTTTGCTCCTGTGTTAGTTTGCTGAGAATGATGGTTTCCAGCTTCATCCATGTCCCCACAAAGGACGCGAACTCATCCTTTTTTATGGCTGCATAGTATTCCAGTGTGTATGTGCCATATTTTCTTTATCCAGTCTATCATTGATGGGCATTTGGATTGGTTCCAAGTCTTTGCTATTGTGAACAGTGCTGCAATAAACATACATGTGCATGTGTCTTTATATTAGAATGATTTATAATCCTTTGGGTATATACCCAGTAATGGGATTGCTGAGTCAAATGGTATTTCTATCTACATCCTTGAGGAATTGCCATACTGTCTTCCACAATGGTTGACCTAATTTACAGTCCCACCAACAGTGTAAAAGTGTTCCTGTTTCTCCACATCCTCTCTAGCATCTGTTGTTTCCTGACTTTTTAATGATCAACATTCTAACTGGTGTGACATGGTATCTTGTTGTGGTTTTGATCTGCATTTTTCTAATGACAAGTGATGATGAGCTTTTTTTCATGTTTGTTGGCTGCATAAATGTCTTCTTTTGAGAAGTGTCTGTTCATATCCTCTGCCCACTTTTTGATGGGGTTGTTTGTATTTTTCTTGTAAATTTGTTGAAGTTCTTTGTAGATTTTGAATATCAGCCCTTTGTCAGATGGATAGATTTCAAAAATTTTCTCCCCTTCCGTAGGTTGCCTGATCACTCTGAATATATATATATATTTGCTGTGCAGAATCTCTTTAGTTTAATTAGATTCCATTTGTCAATTTTGGCTTTTGTTGCCATTGCTTTGGTGTTTTAGTCATGAATTCTTTGCCCATGCCTGTGTCCTGAATGGTATTGCCTATGTCCTGAATGTTAGAGTTGCACTCACTGAAACAGCAGCAGAAAAACTATTTTTCCCCCTAGACCACAAAGAGGACTGAGGAAGGTCAGATTTAGTGGCCCCTACTGATGCATTATCAAAAACCTGCACCCTTGCCTTTCCTCTTAGACCACAAAGAGGACTGAGAAAAATTGGATTTAGTGGCCCTTACCGACGCATTCTCAAAAACCTGTCAGAGTCCTAAGCATTTTCTTATGTTAGTATTGGGACCTTACCCTTATCTTATAAAGATGATATACCACAAAAATTGAGTGGAGGGCCATACCCTGAAGGAGGTAAGGGATCTGCAGGGTTGGAAGAGTGATGCCTTTTGTCCTCACTTCTCATCATATGAATAGGAAGGATATAATTTCTGAGGCTCTCCATATCCTAGCTTTGGGAATAGGTTTTGTTAGGTCTTCTAGTCTGAGGAGGCAGATAGTTCCCAGATAGTTCCCCCACCCCCAGAATGGGCTTTGGGCAAAAATTATGTCTTTCTAATTGGTGAGCCCAGGTGCCTAAAGAAGGGAACAGAGTTCTGAAATTTATACTAGAAATCATTTTTATAGGAGAAACTAGAAGGGTACCAGGGACAGGGAGTGGTTTTTAGAAGCAGGACTAGCCTCAAAGAAGACAGGTAGGAGGAAGTTTGTCTGACAGGCATTAGGACCCAGGAGGCAAGGGTCAGGATAGATAGGATAGATGGGCGAGTCTTGTTTGGGAAATGTAACTTTCAGAGTTCTGCTCACGGCTGCAAGGCCAACCAACTTTTTGTCGGGACCTCAGAGCTAAATGGCTATCCTCTCTGTCAACCCTCAGCTCAGCCCAGAAGTACAGGAAAAGAAGGAGTTGATTCCAAGCAAACCAATGCTCCCGGCTCCCAAGAGTCGGGGGGGTTGTTAAAGAGCCCTTTCCCAGAAAGTCTGACACCCGTGTCTTTAGTATGACGGCAGTGCTAGTCACTTTTTACTGGCCAACAGGTGCCCAGTGTTTAGCCCCTGAATTCTAAGGAAAAATAGGACAGAACAGCAGCAAAAGGGGTCCGATGGTACTCACCACATGGCGAAATCCCAGATGAGCCCCCAAGATATGTCCGGAGTTGGTTCCTTCTGGTGGTTCATGGTCTTGCTGACTTCAAGAATGAAGCTGCGGGTTTTCACGGTGAGTGTTACAGCTCTTAAAAGTGGCATGGACCCAAAGAGTGAGCAGCAGCAAGATTTACTGTGAAGAGCAAAAGAACAAAGCTTCCACAGCGTGGAAGGGGACCTGAGTGGGTTGCTGTTGCTGGCTGGGGTGGACAGCTTTTTTCCCTTATTTGTCCTCTCCCATGTCCTGTTTCTGTCCTATCAGAAAGCCCTTTTCTCAATCCTCCCCGTGATTGGTAACTTTTAGAATCCTGCTGATTGGTCCATTTTACAGAGTGCTGATTGGTCCATTTTACAGAACGCTAATTGGTCCATTTTACAAACCTCTTACTAGCTACAGAGCGTTGATTGGTGCATTTTACAATCCCCTTGTAAGGCAGGAAAGTTCTCCAAGTCCCCACTCCAGCCGGGAAGTCCAGCTGGCCTCACCTCTCAATGGTAGTTTGTATTTCTGTAGAATCAGTGGTGATATCCCCTTTATCATTTTTTATTGTGTCTATTTGATTCTTCTTTCTTTTTCTCTTTATTAGTCTGGCTAGTGGTCTATCTATCTTGTTGATCTTTTCAAAAAACCAGCTCCTGGATTCATTGATTTTTTGGAGGGTTTTTCATGTCTCTATCTCCTTCAGTTCTGCTCTGATGTTAGTTATTTCTTGTCTTCTGCTAGCTTTTGAATTTGTTTGCTCTTGCTTCTTTAGTTCTTTTAATTGTGATGTTAGGGTGTAATTTTAGATCTTTCCTGCTTTCTCTTGTGGGTATTTAGTGCTATAAATTTCCCTCTACACACTGATTTAAATGTGTCCCAGAGAATCTGATATATTATGTCTTTGTTCTCATTGGTTTCAAAGAACATCTTTATTTCTGCCTTCATTTCATTATTTACCCATAGTCATTCAAGAGCAGGTTGTTCAGTTCCCATGTAGTTGTGCAGTTTTTAGTGAGTTTCTTAATCCTGAGTTCTAATTTGATTGCACTGTGGTCTGAGAGACTGTTATGATTTCCATTCTTTTGCATTTACTCAGGAGTGTTTTACTTCTAATTATGTGGTCAATTTTAGAATAAGTGTGATGTGGTGCTGAGAAGACTATATATTCTGTTGATTTGGGGTGGAGAGTTCTGTAGATTTTTATTAGGTCCACTTGGTCCAGAGCTGAGTTCAAGTCCTGGATATCCTTGTTAATTTTCTGTCTCATCGATCTGTTTAATATTGACAGTGGGGTGTTAAAGTCTCCCACTATTATTGTGTGAGAGTCCAAGTCTCTTTTTAGGTCTCTAAGAACTTGCTTTATGAATCTGGGTGCTCCTGTATTGGGTGCATATATATTTATCATAGTTAGCTCTTTTTGTTGCATTGATCCCTTACCATTATGTAATGTCCTTCTTTGTCTCTTTTGATCTTTGTTGGTTTAAAGTCTGTTTTATCAGAGACTAGGTTGTCAACCCCTGCTTTTTACTGCTTTCCTTTTGCTTGGTAAATATTCCTCCTTCCCTTTATTTTGAGCCTATGTGTGTCTTTGCACATGAGAGGGGTCTCCTGAATACAGCACACTGATGGGTCTTAATTCTTTATCCAATTTGCCAGTCTGCATCTTTTAATTGGGGCATTTAGCCAATTTATATTTCATGATAATATTGTTATGTGTGAATTTGATCCTGTCATTATGATGCTAGCTGGTTATTTTGCTCGTTAGTTGATGCAGTTTCTTCATAGCATTGTTGGTCTTTACAATTTACCGTGTTTTTGCAGTGGCTGGTACCAGTTGTTCCTTTCCATGTTTAGTGCTTCCTTCAGGAGCTCTTGTAAGGCAGGCCTGGTGGTGACAAAAATCTCTTAGCATTTGCTTATCTTTAAAGGATTTTATTTCTTTTTTATTGCTTATGAAGCTTAGTTTGGCTGGATATGAAATTCTGGGTTGAAAATTCTTTTCTTTAAGAATGTTAAATATTGGCTCCCACTCTCTTCTGGCTTGCAAGGTTTCTGCTGAAAGATCCGCTATTAGTCTGATGGGCTTCCCTTTGTGAGTAACCCGATCTTTCTCTCTGGCTGCCCTTAAACATTTTTTCCTTCATTTCAACCTTGGTGAATCTGACAATTATGAGTCTTGGGGTTGCTCTTCTCAAGGAATATCTTTGTGGTGTTCTCTGTATTTCCTGAATTTGAATGTTGGCCTGGCTTGCCAGGTTGGGGAAGTTCTCCTGGATCATATCCTAAAGAGTGTTTTTCAACTTGGTTCCATTCTCCCTGTCACTTTCAGGTACACCAATCAAACGTAGATTTGGTCTTTTCACATAGTCCCATATTTCTTGGAGACTTTATTAGTTTCTTTTCACTCTTTTTTCTCTAATCTTGTCTTCTCACTTTATTTTATTGAGTTGATCTTCAGTCTCTAATATCCTTTCTTCCACTTGATTGATTTGTCTATTGATACTTGTGTATGCTTCATGAAGTTATTGTGCTGTGTTTTTCAGCTCCATTAGGTCATTTATGTTCTTCCTATACTGGTTATTCTAGTTAGCAATTCATCTAACCTTCTTTCAAGGTTCTTAGCTTCCTTGCATTAGGTTAAAACATGCTCCTTTAGCTCAGAAGAGTTTGTTATTACCCACGTTCTGAAGCCTACTTCTGTCAATTTGTCAAACTCTTTCTCCGTCCAGTTTTGTTTCCTTGCTGGCACAGAGTTGTGATCCTTTGGAGGAGAAGAGGTATTCTGGTATTTGGAATTTTCAGCCTTTTTGCTCCAGTTTCTCCCCATGTTCATGGATTTATCTACCTTTGGTCTTTGATGTTGGTGACCTTCGGATGGGGAAGCTGGACATCCTTTTTGTTGATGTTGATACTATTCCTTTCTGTCTGTTAATTTTCCTTCCAATAGGCCCCTCTGCTGCAGGTCTGCTGGAGTTTGCTGGAGGTCCACTTCAGACCCTGTTTGCCTGGGTATCACCAGCGGAGGGTACAGAACAGCAAAGATTGCTGCCTGTTCCTTCCTCTGGAAGCTTCGTCCCTGAGGGGCACCTACCAAATGCTAGCCAGAGTTCTTCTGTATGAGGTATCTGTCAGCCCTTACTGGGAGGTTTCTCCCAGTCAGGAGACACGGGGGTCAGGGGCCCGCTTGAGGAGGCAGTCTGTCCCTTATCAGAGCACAAATGCTGTGTGCTGGGAGAACCACTGCTCTCTTCAGAGCTGTCAGGCAGGGATGTTTAAGTCTGCTGAAGCTGTAACCACACCCACCCATTCCCCCAGGTGCTCTGTCCCAGGAAGATGGGGGTTTCATCTATAAGTCCCTGACTGGGGCTGCTGCCATTTTTTCAGATATGTCCTGCCCAGAGAGGAGGAATCTAGAGAGGCAGTCTGGCCACAGTGGCCTCGCTGAGCTGCAGTGGGCTCCATCAAGTTCGAACTTCCAGGCAGCATTGTTTACACTGTGAGGGTAAAACCGCCTACTCAAACCTCAGCGATGGCAGATGCCCCTCCCCCCACCAAGCTCGAGCATCCCGGGTTGACCTCAGACTGATGTGCTGGCAGCGAGAATTTCAAGCCAGTGGATCTTAGCTTGCTGGGCTGCGTGGGGGTGGGACCTGCTGAGCCAGACCACTTGGCTTCCTGACTTCAGCCCCCTTTCCAGGGAAGTGAACGGTTCTGTCTCGCTGGCATTC